>NC_000008.11:64052265-64677265 GCF_000001405.40 Homo sapiens | reverse complement strand
TGTCTGGTAAGCACATGAGAATGCTTTGTTCTGAATTTTAATGGCCAGTTAGGGTAGGAACTGCCACTTTTTGTTTTGAATATATTTTGCCACAGTGTATATTTTTTCCCTGTAACTCAAAATATTGTATGACTATTAGGCTTATAACAAGCTTAATTCAAATTGTTCGTGTAAATATATTTTGTCTAGTGGGCTTTTCTGTTAACATTCCTGAGTTTTTGTTTTAGCATCATAATGTGTTGCCTTTTACATTAGAACAAAAGCCCCCAAATGTCGGTTCATCAGCTGACAATACCAGTTTTGTCTCTTAATTAGAAAAGAGAATAAAGCTGTTTAGGGGTGTCAATAAAATGACAGATGCATCATTAGCAGACGGCTATGGTGGATCAGTTTTGTGCAAATACTTGGAATGGAATTAATAGGAATTTCTGCTAGCATATTTAAATTGAAAGCTTGGGGGAAGAAAGCAGTGTTTTAATGCCGTGAACTAGTCAAAGAAAACGGGAGCAAATGACCATTTAATACTGAATTAAGAGTGTAAGAGAAATCAAGTTGCAATAGAGAATATATTACTGAGAATTTTATATATTATTAATATATCACAAATGAGCCATTATGAGTATTGTATGATTAATTCATTTAATAAATATTTATTGAGGGTCTACTATGTGCCAGGTGGTAAATTTAATTAGAGTATACAAGTGAGTCCAGACCCAATGTCACTGTCCTGTATAATTAATAGGACAAAATTTCACTTCAACCCTAAGTATCCGAAGGGGTTCTTCAGAGGTTTTGCATTAGATGGTCTCACAGTGTATAAAACCCAGGTCATCCAATGTGATTCAGAGGTTAATTCCATTTAGTCCATATATTCTAAATGGTTGGCAAGGTTGTTTTAGCAAGTACAGGCAGGTGCACATGGGTGTGCTAACGCGTAAGATGGTACATTGTTTTATCTAGTCATCAGGAAGCACTTTACACATGAGACTAAAGCACTTTGTCCAATTCAATAATTATATTCTTAGTGCCTAAAATAGCACCACTCTGGAGTAGGTACCCCATAAATATGAATGAATGGTTGAGAAAATAATTCACATAAAACTGAAGACAAGCAATAGGTTAATTGGACAAATATTAAGTAAGATATGGGTTGGGATACTAAAAGACCTTTGTTTTGTTTGAAATCTATTCATTTGTTTATTTATTCTGTCGATGCTTAGAACACTTCTGCTGTTCCTTGCACTCTGTCCGGACTGGGGAGTTAAGAAAGGAAACACACAGGCCCTGCCTTCAAGGAGCTCTGAGTTTGTGCTGAGTGATTTTGATCCTCAGAGACCCCCCTGGGGGTGTATGGTCCTAGGATGTAGAAAAGTGCAGAATATCATAGACCTCTAAGGACTGGCCTTGGAGCTATATACAAAAGTTGGTTTTTGTGAATCTCACAGGAAAAATGTATGAACCCTTAGTCAGGACCTAGGTATGTGCTATTGTGGGTATTTCAAGTGCATCCTCTAAGAAACAACCACGCTCCCAGTTCTTGCTCTCAAATTCCACATTTCAACCACGTTTGTTTCAGTGTTGTACCTGATGTACTTGATCCCCAGAGTGGATTTTTAATACTTCTTCTATATGACAGAATCATTTAGTGATAGTTAAGTAATAATTAGTAATATGTATTTTCTTAATATTTTGGTTTTTAAAATTAATAAAGAAGAAATTTCAATGTATAGACATTACTCAAAATCAGTAAAATAATAATAATAGCAAAATACTTAATAAGTAATATAAAATAATAAAAAATAAAATTAATAAATAATAAAATAATGCATGAACTGAAATGTGTATTTACCAAACAAAAATAGCACATCTTGCAGTTTTCATTGTTTTATTATTTAAAAATTTTAAATATAAATAAAAATTCCAGGGGCTTATAAAGAATGAGGGGATTATAACACAAGTTTTCTTTACTGTTACAATCACTGTGCTAGCATATTTATTTAGAATCTACTGTTGAAATGAAGGACCTAGTAGAAGGACTAGGTTAGGAGGAATGAATTACATTCAAAGTGAATTTACACCTTTTGCACAGTTAAGAACTTGTACTTGAAATGAATGTAGGTAACTGAGCCTAGGTATATCAGGAGGGCCAAGTGTATACCTGGTTCTCCAAATTTAACTTCCATGAAGAACACCATGTTCATGTAAAGAAACGTAAGAAAAATATTCTAACTTACCACCCTATGAAACTCAGTGGACTGAAAGTATCACTGTTTTACAGCACATCATTTAATAATTGCTATTCACGGTGATAAGCCCCAGTCATAAAAAAAATCTTTAAATTGTGATCATTGTGCAATAACTTTGAGTCAAGAAAATTTGTGATAAAATTTACAAATATTGCTATTCAGGATATTTTGTGATAGTTACAACTAAACAAAGATGAGTCATCTGAAACGCTCCATTCTCTGTGATCCAAAACAAAGGTATTGTTTTATTTTTTTATTAAGAACACTTTAGGTATATACATGAATTTTCATTGGTAGCAGATGTGCTTAGAGCTAGGTGCCCCTGAAAGACTCTCCTGTGCACTACGGTGTATTGTAAAGATCAACTTGCTTAGTTTCTGCAAGAAAGAAAATATCCCATTCTTTTTGTCTTTGCCTTTTTTCATGTAATAACCACAAGGTGAAAAAAATAAGCTGGAGCATCAATGCTACCCCTTATTGCCATCAAGTATTTAAAGTTATCATTATTTACTCATTCATGCATTTATTCTTTCAACAAATATGTATCAAACTTGCCATAGCCAGGTAACTTGCTAGGCATAAGGCAAATCACATCCAACAAGGTCAAGGGTATGGTGGCATTGACAGACAAGGAAATCCCCCTCTACAGTAAAGTGTGGTCTCTGTGCCAGTGACAAAGGTGTGCACCCTCAGGTTTGGGAACATAGGCATTCTCAAAAATGGAAACACCAAAGCGACAAAAGAATAATGGCAATGAATCGGAAGTATCTGTCTCTGTGTGCATTATAGATATAGTCAGTACTCAGCTGTTAAATCCAGCAAAAATTCCATTGCTTTAATTAATTTCTTTGTGCCGATTCTTCCTAGTAAGACTTAATTTTAACAAAGTTAATTAGGTTGAAGATTAAAAATCCCATTAGTGTCGATCATTCACTTCTTGGCTCTGTCAACAAGGTACTAAAACCTTGCTCAGTTCCAGAGGGCCAAGTGGAGGGAAGGGGTGAAAAAAAGCAGATGAGCCAGCTGCTGGGCATCCTTCAAGACCAGATATTTTATGCTGTTTTTGAAGATTTAGGTGGATATCAGATATAATCATTTTAAAGCATATTTTTTCCTTTTCCAGTCATCACTCATCTCTCATCCTTTAAACCTGTGGCTATTTATTTTCTGAAAGGTCTGCGGCAATGGTTACATTTGCTGAGAAACTCTATTCCATGTACTCTGATTACCTAATTTGCAGGTTTGCAGGGCATAGATTTTTAATCAAGGACCTGTTTCCACTGTCACCTTGTCTGCCCGTTTATTATGGTTAAGAACTCAATGGTGGCTAATATCTTACTCAGAGCAGGAAAGAACAAACAATTAATAGAATCATGAATTACCTGCAGGTCATAATTCTGTTCAAAATACTGGTTAGTTTGAGTTATGTGTTCCTCCTTGGCTCCCACATCCAACTTACAATGGGAAGAATTACACAAATTCAAACATGTATTGTTAAGATTTGCTCCCAGGACATGGCTATAGTGTTAATGCAGCAGCCACACAAAAAGAAGGGAGGACCAAGTCCAGAGCAGGGGAGCATAAGCTACAGGCTGAAACCTATTATCTTGTTCACAGTGGAAAGTCGTTAATGGGGAAGGAACCAAAAAGGGTTGGAGGCAATGGGAAGCCATCTGAAATCAAGTTCAAACAGGGACATGGCAAAAGCATTCCAATTCCTGAACAGAGCTGAAGGCCAAGGGGAATTTGATCAAGGTTTAGGATTAGAAAAAAACGGAGTATACATTATGCAGAACAGGATTGTCCAAGCCAATTTATCTCAAAACAAGGTGAGGGAAAATCACAACAGGACACATCCCCCATGAAATTTTTCTGGGGTACCAGCACCCACAAAAGATGGAGAAACTCCACAAGACTAGAGCAAAGGGGGAGACAAGGTATGTAGCTTGTGCCTTTATGGTGTGTGTGTATGTCTGTGTATGTCATTTGCTTTTTTTCTCCCTTGCCTTTGAACATGACTACTCTATTCATACTTGACATGCACAGAACTCAACTGCACAGAGTAAATATTTTTAAGCCGGATTAAACATCAGTTCTTTCTTACCACTTGAAAACCTGCAATCCAAGAAATCCTGGAAAAGAACAAACCAAAGGGGCTCACTCATTGATGATTGCCCTGCCTTTCACCCACATTTGGTCTTAACTATTAACATACTTATTACATTCACACTCAGAAGTCAGCTTATCTGGGCCAAGAAACATAAATTGCAAGTCAGCGTTCCTTGGGAGTCATGCCTGTGTCTTGCCACACCATCTGAAGTGGTTACTTGGCCCAAATCTCCCCTTACTGATAGGAGTCACAGCTCTTGGATGATAAGGGCATCTCTTAGGTTCAGGTTTAGAAGAATGCCAACTTTTTCTCCACATTTTTTCCTCTGCCCCTCATAAAAATACACACACATCAGATAGGAAGAATCATAGGTAAGAAAGATGAAATATAGGATCTTTTGTTTCTCATGAATAAACATCAAGTCTGGTAGGTTTAGAGTAGGGTGTGTTTTTGCTTTGAAGGAGGAGAGGGAATTAAGAAGGGGAATAATAGGGTCAGAGAGGGATATTTGTTCTGCTTTGGACTTTGTCTACCAACAGTGTCATGTCTATATTGCTTTCAAATGAGTCAGATAAAAGCAATTGCATACCTTAAACACCTTAATCGGTCACCTCCATTCATTAATCAAGTGAGAAACAAGAGCCTCCAGTTCCAGGTTGGTGTAATTTCAGCTTAGAGGAAACACTTTCTGCTCATTAAGGTCTTAAACTCAGCTTGTTTCTTAGTTACCTGAAATTAAAATGGCCAGTCTTCTACAAGATCATATCATTAATCTGTTCATTATTTATTCAAAATAATTTATTGAGTGCATACTATGTAAATTACTTTATGCAAGATCTATGGAAGGAACAAAAAAAGTAATGAGAATGTCAGCTCTTATTTCAGCTTAAATGTCATGGCTTCAGAGACACCTTCCCTGACCACCCAATCTAAATGTAGCTCACCACTCATGTGCAATCATATTTATCTTGTTTTATTTCCTACATAGCCCTATCACTCATATATTGCTTTTGACTAGTGATGTTATTTAAGTGATTTTTAGTTTTCCCCTGGAAAAATGTAAGTTCCAAAATAGGAGAACCTTGCATCTTTTCCACCCCTTTTATCATCTGGGTTTTCTGGAGAAACAGAACCAGTAGGAGATATATACGTGTGTGTATGTGTGTGAATGTATCCATACACACATTTATTGTATTGTATATGTATATAATTTATGTTAAGCAGTTGGCCTGTGGGATTGCAGGAGCTGTCAAGTCCAAAATCCATAGGGCAGGCTGGCAGCTAGGCACTCTCAGGCAAGGGTTGATGCTGTAGCCTCGAATCAGATTTTCTATTTCTCAGGAAAAACTTGGTTTTGCTTTTAAGGCCTTTCTACTGATTACATGAGGCCCACCCCTTATTATTGAGGGCTGTCTCCTTTAATTAAAAGTAACTGATTATATGTTGGCTATATCATTCCATTGCCTTGGAGTTCTACGCAAAATTGTGAATGAAGTACTTCATCCAACAAGTTTTTAAAAAGCTGGGTTTTTTAAAAATAATGATTACATGAGAAATATGAGGATTTCTCTTGATGTAAAAAGTTTAGTTGACGCAGAGTAGCAAGTGAAAAGCCCTTTTATCCTGTACCCTTTTTTCTGCCCCCACCACTGCCCCAAGCTCTATTGGTAGTTTGATATAAAACCTTTCATATCCTCACTTTTGCATTTATTTTGTGTATACATGGAGGGGGAGGCATTTACATAAATTGAATATAGTTATTATTCTGTAACTTACTACTTTCATATCCTCATTTCTGCACTTATTTTATATATACATGGGGGGGAGGCATTTACATAAATTGAATATAGTTGTTATTCAATAACTTACCTTTTCGCTTATTACATAGACCTTACAAGCTATGATCCTGCTCTCCTTGTGTCTATGACCCAGGTGGGAAGACACATCATCTACAAGGAAATAATTAAGCCACAGCACTGACCAATGTATCATTCAGAGCTAAAATAAGTGATACTAACACCAGGGTTTAAAAAAAAAAGACTAGGAATTCAGAGCAGGGAAGAGCCTTGTGAAAGGAAGGGATGAGCAAAGACCTACAGGAGGGTCAGGCATCTACATCAGGTTGCTATTTCACTGCTCTTTTTCATTGTGTGACAGTAACTAAAACCCAGTTGGGCGGCTTTCTCGTTGCCCTCTCAGGGCCTGTAACTGTCTGTCTTTGGTTCAGTTTGTCTCTGCAGGTGACAATGACAATGAGCTGTTTTCTTGGGAGAATGTGCTGCTGCAGTTTGGTTCCTGCAGAATGAGTGGCGCTCCTGCCTCCTTTGAGTTATGGTCCTCTTGGATCTTGTGGGTCAGCTCTTAATTGGGTGGGGAAGGTGACTCATTTAAGCTATTTTGTACTCAGTGTTATATTTTACTGACTGTAATAAATGTCATTTTATTAATTAGTTTGGCAATCCTTTTTATCTCCAGGAAAATGGCAGAAGCCTATCTTTTTTTCATTTTGTGTACTTATAAAAATTATAAAAATTTTATAAAAATTATCCTTCTTAAAGAAGCTAGAAGACTTTACATAATTTTACCTTTATATAGTATTGAAAAATACATGTAAACATGTAAGAGGAAATGAATAGGAACATTGGTGTAAAGTGAGGTGTTCTCCTTGCTTTGGCTCTACTGCTGGCTGTATCTGACTTTCAGGTAAGGGCTAGGCACATGAAATGGGTGGAACCCAAGTGTTACAGAGAGGCCATGTGGTACAGGGCAACAGGGCACGGCACAGACAACAGACAGTGTTCTCTGAGTTCTGCCACTAGGGTGTGGCATTAAGCCAATTGTGTCCTTGCAGGGACAAATTGGAGTTGGAATAGCCCTTAAGCATTTTTAAGTCCTGAAACACTGCTTACACACAATCTTACATTTAATTCTAACTTGTGAAACAAAAAGGCAAATCTGGAAGCCAGAGTCTAGAGTAAGGCTTAGAGTACAGTTTGCAAACCATAAATTCAATTGAATGAAATGATACCTGTTCTCCCTTTGGAATTCTATGCAAAATTGTTAATGAGATAATTCATCCAACAAGTTTTTACAAAGCTATGTTTTCTTTAAAATAATGATTACATAAGAAACCTCCAGAGTTGCTGGGGAGGGGTGTGTGTATGTGTGTGTGTGTGTGTGTGTATGTATGTAAAACCTTCATTCCCTCCCTAGAGAGAACTCAAGAAACCCCTACAGTTTGCAAACCATAAATTTACTGAAACGAAATGATGTCTGTTGCTGCTTTGGAATTCTCTGCAAAATTGTGAATGAGGTAATTCATCCAACAAGTTTTTTAAAAGCTATGTTTTCTTTAAAATAATTATTATATAAGAAATATGAGGGTGTCTCTTGCTGTAAAAAGTTTAGTTGATAAAGAGTAAAAAGTGAAAAGCCCTTTTATTTTGCACCCTTTTTCCTGCCCCTGCCCCTGCCCCAAGCTCTATTGGTAGTTTGGTATGAAACCTTTTATATCTTCATTTTTGCATTTATTTTGTACATACATGGAGGGGGAGGCATTTACATAAATTGAATAGAGTTATGTGTAACGTACCTTTTCACTCAACAGTATGACTTAGAAATCATTTTGTATCAGTACGATATACTTAATTCTTCCTAAGAGCTGAAAAGTGCTAATAGTGTATAACAATTCCCATTTGCCCCATGCCATCAACAGCCCTGGAATTATCAATCTTTCAGATGTCTCCTGTCAGAAGGGCAAATTTGATATCTTCATTTTTTTTAACTTATTTTCTCTGATCGTTCATTGTTCACTGTATATTGGCAAAGTAGGTTTCTCATTATCTGTCATGTTGAAGATAAGCTAATACCTACAAAATGGTACCCATTTTTAAGTATATCTGTTTAGCAGAGTTACCGTTATGCTGTCTGTCTCTGGTAAGAAATTTAGACCCTGTAACCTATAAAGCAGTTATGGGATTCGAACATATTTTCATAGACTCATACTTAATATTGGCCTTGGATAGAGAACATTTTAGTAATTAGAGGAAACTTGTAGTTCTCCTGATGAAATATAATTTTAATTTATAAATGCAATCATTATCATTCTCCCCTTGATTTAAATTGACAGGTTTGGCAGTTTATAAAGTCTTAGTGTTCTCTTTTTAACCTTTTTTTTTTTTTTTGGTCAATATGCTTCTCAGTTTAATAGAGATTTTTTTTCCTTTTAAAAAAAAACAAACCAAAACAGTATCAAGCTCCTTCAAATTCTTATTTCATGTACTACTATGTCAAGTAAGTTGCCAGACCAATCCATTATAGGAGGCATGTATCTCCTAAGTAAATGCCAGTAAAAGGAATAGATTTAGTAAGATTAATAATCATTTTAATTTATAGTACTCTTTTCCCAAAGACAGTTGGGAAGCTTTGCAAACATTTGAACCAAAAATGCAGTTTAAACCACTGGGAAACAGATATGTAAACCTGCTAAAAAAAAATAAAATATGAGCCTCATATAGTGGTCCTTCATATTCAGAGATGACACATTCATATTATATAGTTATCAGTTCAACAAGTTTTTACTGCATTTTATTTGTTCTCCCCAAGGCTTATTTTTGATAGATGGTCGCTAAGATATACAGGGAGCGTCCTTTCAATAGCGTGTGAGTGATGAAAAGCAAAACAAAACAATTTATCAAATCACACTGCATACATCCCTATAAATTTAGAGAGTGATGAATCTGTAGACCCATAGAACGTGGCATGTCATGTATTCATCAAAGGTAAAGCCCCAAACATCTCAAACACTGCTGTTGATAGGAAGGCTGGTATTGCTTGGAAAAAAGAAAAGAAAAGGAATTACCCTCTGAAACTATTCCTACGCTGTAAGAATTCTTTGGAAGATTAAGCAGTTGTCTGTAGCATTTAAGTTCAGAGTTGTACAGAGAATTTGATAGGACTATTTCAACAGAGGATGAAGCCACTGCATTCCTGTTTAATAAAATGAAGTGAATTTGCAAAAACACTCAAGAACGCCTACTATGTGTATGCTATATCTAGAATTTATAGCTGCTAATGAAGAACCAAATAAAACACTTCTTTAGAATGTAAAAAGAAAAAAAGAAGACTAGACCTTTGTTTCTTTCCCATCCTGCTTCAAGGAAGACAATGGTTTTTCCCATCACAGATATTTTGCAAGTGTGGATAAAAAACATAGTGACCTAAATTCATTCCATAATGGCAAGGTACCCAACTGATACCTAATTAGAGGTGAGTCTCATCTTTTGTCATTTGGTGAGCAGACTAATAAATTATCACATTATGCTTTAATATAAAAAGATCAGATAATAATAGTTATTATTATTATCTTCCTTATCTGTTTTAAGGACCCAAGATTTTTAAAGGTCACTATTGTCACCAGGTCCCAAAGCATTTGTTTCCAGGGAGCATTAGGAAATTGGTGGCTTGTTAGGATCCTCTTTAGCTCTTTTCAGAATAGGAAAGAATTAATCTCCAGTGCTGGCCTGGCCCTCTGCACCAGCATGCTCCGAGTAATGGTGCATTTCTATTGCACGGGGATTGATATGGTGGATGAGCCCCCCGAGGGAATGTGTCATTCTGCCAAATTTCAAATTACTTAGGGGAAACTTACTTCAAAAGCCCTTTTGTGATTGTTTCTTTCAAATCTATAATTCCAGAAGTACAACTTAGTACATAATTTCGACAGGGTGGGGTTTCTTTCCTCCTTCTATTTTCCCCATTGGGTTCTTTTTTCTTTTTGAGAATAAATAGTTCTGTTTAATTAAGGAAAATGTCTTCCAAATCAACCAGAAATGACTCTGGTGAATAGCCCCTGATTATGTGAAAGCCCTGGCTTCTTTCTATAATATCCTGATATTTCCAAGGTTATTTGAGTGAGAAGTATGGCAGTAAGGGTATTTGAGAGAAAACACTTTCCTGTAGAGTTGTAAAGACATTAGAAATTGAACAAATTAACATTGTAGGGTAGGTACATTTTCACATGAAACTCTCAGGTTAAATAATCACACTACCTTAACACAACTTTATTTTTAAATAGCCAGCAGCATTTGTTGTTTGGGTGCTGTATGTAATTTGGTAAGGAAGGTAACGACTATAGCAAACCAAATAATCATGATGTTAAATAACAGTGACAATACTGTTGAAGAGGAAAAATCCAAAATAATTGAATACCAGACTATTTTTCACTTCAGTGTGGTGCTCTGATAAACTTTACTCATTTACCTTCATTAAATCAGTTATAAGTTAGTGTCATTTGTCCTGCCCACTGTGGCAAGCTGTTTTCTGCCCCAGGGGTCAGACACACTTGTCCACCCCACCTGGACACTCTTCCTAGCCTGACCCCTACTCATCCTTAGGATCCAACCCAAATGCCAACTGCTCTGAGCAATTCTCTCTAAACTCTCCTACCAATTTGTTTGTTCTTATTACTCTCTTTCACATAACCTTATTTATTCCTAAAATATAATATTCTATATTTTAAAATTTTTTTGTTATTTCATTTATTTTTCCTCAGTAGACTGCAACCTCTGTAAGGAAATTTTGTCTGAATCACTTCTGTATCCATAATGCCAAGGACAGTGAGTAGGACTTAACTATTTGTTAAATGCATGAGCTGAGTGACTCTGACTCTGTCTCTAAAACATAACATTTAAAGGGTTATTTTGAGTAACTTTTGTACTTTTGATTGGTTATAGAAGAGATACATCTTTATTATTGGGGGTTTGAAAAACTCAGAAAAGCATAAACAAGAAAAAGAAAATTAACCATAGTGCCAATACTTAGAAACAATCACAGTTAATTTAACATTGTGGTGTATATCATTCAAATATCTTTTCTCTCAGTGCATGCATTTATAAAGTAAATCATTTTAAATGGAGCATTTAGAGAGTGTATTAACTTTTCAAAGACAATATACTTAAAGACAAGCTTTTCTGTGTTTGTGAGACCTAAGTTGCCAGTCGTAAAAAGTTGCCAAGAGATCTTATTAAAACTTAAGCAGGGCGTGGTGGCTCACGCCTGTAATCCTGACACTTTTGGAGGCCAAGGCAGGAGGATCACCTGAAGTCGGGAGTTCGAGACCAGCCGGACCAACATGGAGAAACCCTGTCTCTACTAAAAATACAAAATTAACCAGGCATGGTGGCACATGCCTGTAATCCCAGCTACTCAAGAGGCTGAGGCGGGAGAATCTCTTGAACCCGGGAGGCAGAGGTTGTGGTGAGCTGAGATTGCGCCATTGCACTCCAGCCTGGGCAACAAGAGTGAAACTCCGTCTCAAAAAAAAAAAAAAAAAAAAAAAAAAAAAAAAAACCACCAAAAAAAAAAACACTTAAAATGCTGCTCTAAAGGTGAAGCAGTTTGGCTAAGTTAAAACACTTTGCCCAAACTTAGTTTGCCTAGTTTATGTAGCTCGTTAAGTGTTGACATTCTCCTTTCTTTGAATGCACTCCTCCAGCATTTCTGCCTTTTAAGTTCCTACCCTTTTATTACATATAAAAGGACCCCTCCTCCTTGAAGCCTTTCCAAATTACTTCATTAAAATATCACCACTAATCTCCAAAACAAGAGAGTGCTTTATACTGCATATAGCCTTAGGTCTCCCAACTTTAATCATCTTACTTTATCTCCTCCCACCCCTGTACTTCTTGATAATGAACTCCTAGGGGAGGGCAAAAATCATAACTTTTAATTGGAGTACTGCATACAGAACCTGACCTGGTACCTGTAACACAGTAGGGACTCAATAAATGTCTGTGGAATTAATTAATAAATATTAATGTGCATCCCACTGACAGTAATGGACTAGCATCGTTTTCACATATGACACATAGAAAATAATTGTATAGGTTGCCAAGGTCCAATTCACTGGCCAGCCATGGTCTGAGTGCTTTTTTTTATGATGATGCTAGTGGGACTGGCAGAGATAGATTCTAATTCCATGCATAACCAAGCCAAATTGTAGTTGGCTTGGGTTCTTTTGGACAAACTAATTATGCCATTGTTCTGTCAGTATTTCAACTCTATATTCTGTCGCAATGTTTCTCATGCTTCAGTACCCTTAGGATAGACAAGAATTTATAGATAAAGGATAAGTGCCACAAAGATAACTCTTATTAAAGAATAAGCCTCAGCTCACGGCCCTGTCCTCATCACAGGTCTTTTCCTTAGGTCTTTGCACTCATCAAGAGAAAGTCCATGAGACTTGGGTGAAAGGACATCTGCTTAACAGAATCCCAGTTCCAGGGCAATGACTTTAGAGATCGTCAAGCCTGCAGACTGGGAACCTGAACCCCAGCTTCACTGCAATGGCTGAACTCAAATCCCAGCTTCCCTACTGAGTAATGAGAGACAAGTGTCTTACCTCTCCTAAGTCTTGGTTTCTCTCTCTCTCTCTGTAAAAGAGGATAATGATAAAAATCTGTTTCAGAGGGTGGCTGTAGAGATTAAATTAGATAATCCTTTCAAAGCACTTAGCACAATGTCTGACATAAATGAGTTCTATAAATAATAGCTATTATTATTAAAATTGAGCCAGAAGCAGTAGTTTTGTGTATATGTATGTGTGTAAATATATATGGTGTGGCCTGAAAAATGCTGAGCTCCTGTTGGCTGGATTATTCAAATTGCAAATAGACAGGTCTGATCTCAAATACTGCCTTCCATCTCCCCCAGCACACACGTGTGTGTGTGTGCACACCCATGCACCCTTACATCCCCCAGGTGACTTCAGGCATGGGCAGTGGGTGTGCTCTGAGGGACAGCAGTGAGAAACAGCAGCTGCTTTCCTTCCCTGGCCTGCATGGATCCTGAACCTGCCCAGCTGGCATCTGTAGTTTCAACCCTGCTGGAGGGGGCAGAGCGTGTGTGACCAGAGAGAGCAGAGGCAGGAAATTTCCTCTGAGACTCCATTTTTTTCGTCTACCACAGTGAAAAGCACACATATCTTGTAGCATTGTGGTAACAACTTGTAACCACATAGCTGAAGCACTGGGCAACTTAGGGGAAAAGGCCGAGTGGCAAGGAATAGGCAAGAGAGACGCGTGGTGTTGCCAGATGAGAGTGGACAGAAATGAAATTTTTGGTCCTTAGAGAAAGAATGAAGAGAGCTAGCTATCTCTGCCTCTTTCCTTGTCCTGTCTGTCAGACATGCCTGCATATTATTTGTAGTTTGGATGCGAGATTACACAGGGTAGGTGAGACAGAAAGAGAGAACCCAGGATTTGAAGTATCACTCTGTTGGAATGACCTAGCAAAGGTTTCCTTGTATTTGCAACTTTTAGGAGGTAGAAGGGTTTAACAGCTATTTTATGCATCTTTTAGAAAATGATAGTTAAATCAAGGAGGCCCTGTCTATGAATGGAGAAGGAAAGTGAATCATGGCAAACCATATTTCAGGAGCTGTGTCATCTGATTCAGAAATGACTGCTGTTGATTCAGCCCCCTCATGTTACGGAGTGAAGCCTCCATTTATTTAGTCATTTATTCATACAACCATTTTTTAAAACATTTAAGTGTCAAGCCCTGTGCTAAGAGCTTGGAAAACAGAGATAAATTTAAGACACATCAGTAGGCATTCAGAATAATTAGTTGACCAAAATGAATCAATATATGATTCCTCACTGTCTATTATAAATAAACATTCATAATTAAGTCAGATGGCTATCTCCTCACAACTATTTACAAAGTACCATTGAAAATAAAGCAGTTATCTTCTAGCAAGGAGAGGATGGAGGGAGGAAGATCAAACAAAGGTTCATAAGAAAAGGCTTGTTAGAACTAAACCTGAAATGATATGTAGAAGCTTGCTAAGTAAACAAGAAATAAAGGTAAATATGGTGTATAGGGAAGAGAATCTTTGTGAAATGGCCTGTGTTCCAGAATTACTTGAGTATAGGAGTAGAACAAAGGGAGAAAAAGGAATGAGGGAATGTGAACTCACATAGATTGTCAGAGGTCAGGCTATAGGAAAGGCAGAGTAGCCTAAGGGAAAATGCAGGACTGGGGTCAAACATACTCGGTTGGAATCCCATTTCTGCCAATTAATAATAACTTTTTGACTATGGAAATTTCCTCTGAGACCCCAGTTTTTTTTTGTCTACCATAGTGAAAAGCACATATATCTTGTAGCGTTGTGGTAAGGACTTGTAACCACATAGCTGAAACTCTGAGCACATAGAAAGTACTCAATTTTTCACTGTGATCATTACTATTTAAATGCCTTGCTAAGGAAATTTTGCTTCATTTTGTTTGTTTCAACAAGACAATAGGGGTTTTAATCAGCAAAATGACATGGTTTGCATTCACACTCTAGTTGAATGGGAAGGATAGAACTTGCCTATGATTTGGGCAAGTTGCTTAAACTCTCTGAGCTTTAATTTGCTCATATTTAAAATGGAGACAGGAATAAAACTTACCTTATGCTATTGTGAAGGGTAAATTAGATCATGGAAAGCATTTAGCACTGTGCCTAACCCAAAAGCAATCTACCAACACTTCTTAATTATCATGTCGCTTATTTTTATGCATTATCATTTTTTATAGAGGCGGTCTCTTGCTGTCACCCAGGCTGGAGTGCAGTGGTGTGATAAAGCACACCGCAGCCTCGACCTCCCAGGCTCAAGTAATCCTCCCTTCTCTGCATCTCAGGTAGCTGAGACTACAAGTGCATACCACTGCACCCAGCAATTTTTAAATTTTTTTGTAGATATGGAGGTCTTGCTATGTTGTCCAGGCTGTTCTCAAACTCCTGGCCTCTCACGTTGGTTCATTATCTTTATAGGGGTAAAGTTGAAAGCAAAGTGACTAGCCAGCCAGGAGGCCTTGTTGATCTAGTAGAGGAGGAAGCTAGGGCCATGCCTTGTGAGATGGGCTGGAGGGCACAGATATTAGATATTTATGAATGAAAATTGACAGGCCTGGAATTCATTGAATGTGAAAGACAATCTTGTTAATATTTTTTCCTCCACAGTTTGCCTTTTCCTCTATTGAGTATGCTATAGTTAAATTTATTTTTCTAAAGCATACATCTCATATTAAAACCTACACTTCCAGAGCAGTGAGGTCCACATTCCGTGAATGTCCTTATTAAATGAACCATTGCAGTTGAGAGCCACAGCTTAAAGGAAGAGGTGACTGTGGGTTCAGCAAAACTGGAACAAGTATTAGAGACCACAGTTGGATTTTAACAAATCAACAGAAGTCCTGCTGGAGCTGTGACTTCCAATCTGTATCAGATCTGTCCCCCTCTACTTTCCACACAAATTTAAATATATTAAAAGGATTATTAACACTATTAAACAGTTTAACAGAAATCAACCTAAGCAATGAAAACCATCTGGATATATCTAGGATAAACTTCTATGGCTTCACTGATAGAAAAACAGTTCAAATCATCTCTGATTCTCAACAAAAAGGAGGAAAATAAAAACTGGCTTACTTGCAAACAAATGACAGTAAATCGCACCAAAGTTCTTGAGCTGACGGAAGCTAACTTTCAGGAAGACTGAGTTGGCCTTATATGGAAGATTTGGCTGTCTTCTTGCAAACATTTATAAAGTGCTGTTTAATTTTTATTAGAACTTTCAACTCGAAGAAACCTATGACATTTGTTCTAATCCCTCAAGTTCAGAAAGGCCATCCCCACACTACTCAGACTCATGAGAATATGTGCAAATTACAGTGACCTCCTATTCTTTTCTTAGCAATTCCCATCAAAACCTTATCCTTCTGTAAAATCCTGTATGTTGCAGTTTAAGGCCACCATGATTTGCTCTCTTTTAAATTGAAGAGCTGCAAGTTATATACATCTTCTTTCACATTTGCAGGCTTCCATTAAGCTTCTCTTCGATTTTCAGAAAATTTCAAAGTTTTTTCAATCCTCAGTGATTAGTTTTGTGAGTTTTTCTTACTATACTTTCCAGGTTAACCTTTCTTCTCATAGCAGAACCAACAACTAAAATGATAGTCTAAATTCTAGAGTATTGCTCACTAAAGTGCAATTACCCACTCCCTCATTCCTGAGTCCTTCTGGTTAGCCTACTATGATGCCTCTCAGAGGGCAGTGGTAGGTGCTCCCAAATGTCTCCTGGTGAGGCTATCCTGGTAGTCATGCCTCATATGTTCCCCTCCCCTTGAGTATGGGCTAGACTTATTGGCTTGCTTCTAATGAAGAGGATACAGCAGAAATAATGGGAATTTACTTCCAATATTAGGTTACAGAAAAGACTGTGGCTTCCATCTTGGGCACTTGCTCACTCTTGCTCTGTAGGATCACTCACTTGAAGGAAGCCAGTTCTTGTGTCATGAGGCAACTCTGTGGAGAGGGCTATTTGGTTTCAAAGGATTGAGACCTGCAACAAAGGCCTACAACAACTCAGCTCTGTCAAGCCTTCAAGTGAGACTGCAGCCTCAACCAACTCTTGTGTATAATTTCATTCATTGTGTATACTTGATTTCATACAATTCAGTGAGACCTTGAAACAGAATCACTCTAAGCCATGCCTGGTATGCTGACACACAGACGTCATGAGATAATGAATTGTTTTAAGCCTATTGGTTTAGGGCTAGTTTGTTACACAATAATGATAACAAATACAAAAGGCTAAGATTATGGATCCTGGAATCATAATGTATATATGAAAACCCTGCCTGCACCATGTTTTAGTTAAGTAGCCATGGGCAAGTTATTTAACTTTTGTGAACCTCAGTTTTCTAATCTGTAACAAAGCAACAGTAATAGTGCTTTCCTCATAAAGACGGTTATTTGGAGATTAATTGAAATAATGTGTGCTAAGTGCTTGACAGACTACCTGGCTCATAAACAAGTACTCAATGAATATTAGTTGCTTTATTGTTATTGTTTTCAGTGTTCATCATTTTTTAATATTGACTTTGCCTAGGGTTTTATACTTTAGTCTCTTCCCATTGACTCTCCCTTGGTATATCCCATACACTCAAAGATGTTAATTCCCACCTCTGCACTGATAACCACCAAGCCTGTACATCTCTTACAAACTCAAGATGGGTATTTTTTGTTGCCTATTGGATAACTCCACCAGGCTGTTTTGCCCACAGGTACCTCAACTCAGAAACTCAGAGTTTGTTCTTAGACCTTTCCTTCCAACCCAGACTGGCTGGAGCTCCTATATTCTCCTATTTAACAGAAGTTATGATCTAAGAACTTTGCTTTGAGTATGAATAACCGTGATTATGCTAATGTTTTATATCAAAAATTACAAGTATACAGTGATCTTTGTACAAGGAAACTTATTATAATGTTGTGCTAAAACTTAGGAACCATCTAAGTATGTATCAATAGGAAATCAGATAAATTATGCTCATAAATAATATTAATTAACATTTATTTAGTCCTTGCTATGTGACAGGCCCAATTCTAAGAGCATTGTATATGTTGTATCACTTAAATCACTGCAAGAATTCTATTTATATTTATTCAGGGGAATACTGCACGGCCTATTTTAAAGGATGCTATAGGTATAGATTTACTGGTATGCAAAGACAGTCATGAAATTTTGTACAATGAGAAAAGCAAATTATTGAAGGATACATATAATAGCATAATATTAAAACACTTATATGCATAGATGTGAATATATATAGTAAATAGTTTTTATTGTAGTCAATTACTTTGCATGGTTTTTAAATGCACAAATTCTCCATTACCGTGGTTTAGTAAAATACCAGTTCCCCAAAAACACAGTTCAAATTTCAGTTACTATAGTATATTACCGTGAAAAATAAAAAGCAAACTAGCTGCTATAGTTTGCAGATACAAAGCTATTTTGCTGTTAGCTTTTCAGCCCCAAAATCACTATGTAAATAACAGATGCACATCACGGTCAATGACCAATCACATCACTTCTTTTCAAGTCTCTCAGATTAGTTCCTGCACATGTGTGTGATTCTGTTCATGCAGGTGTGCAGTTGTGTTGCTTCCTTGTCTCCTACTGATAAACCTGTGTGTAAAATTAGGTACTTGAAAGAGGGAATTGACGAAGAAAGATTAAAGTACAGCAAAGGAACAAAAACTGATAATGCTGGAAGTCAGGTGTGAATTTTATATAGAATTCTAGAAGAGACCACTGACCCTGGGAATGTTGGCACTGCTGCTATCCTGGATGTGCAGCCAGAGGAGCTTAGTGAAGGCGGACAACCTAACAACATAAATGAGGAAAGTGGTTGTAATGAAAAAGATGAAGACTTACCAGGGAACATGACCACAAAAAATAACTTCACAGTAAAGGAACTCTCAGATATTTCACATTGAAAATGCAAAGGATAAAATGCTAGAAACTGATCCAAACTTAGAAAAGGGTGTGATGAGTCACTAAAGCCTGGAAAAAAATGCACATTCCATATAAGAGTTATAAGACCAGGAAATTTATAAGTTATAAGACAAGGAAAAAGAGGCAAGCACTGTTCAAAGTACTCTTCATAAGTTTTTATTTAAAAAAACTTTACTTCTCAGTGTTTCTAATGTTTTAAATTACAGTGTACTGAATAAATATTAGTTTTACTATTTTTTTCATTTCCCTGTATAAGTATAGCCAACAGTAACAGAGATTTCAATGCTTTGAAAAAAACTTTTAGAGGTCACAGAACAATTATAATATTCTTCATTGATTATTAAGATAATACTATGGTCCAAATGTTTGTGTTCCCCCTAAATTCGTATCTTGAAATTCGAATCTATAAGGTAATGATGTTAGGAGGTGGGGTCTTTGAGAGGTGACTAGGTCATGAAGGCAGAGCTCTCTTGAATGGGAATAGTGTCCTCATAAAAGAGACCCCAGGAAGCTTGGTCATCTCTCCTGCCATGGGAGGATACAGGTAGAAGGAGCCACTTTTGAACCAGAAAGTAGGCCCTTACACGATGCCTTGATCTGCCAGTGTCTTGATCTTGAACTTCCCAGCCTCCAGAACTATGAGAAGTAAATTTCTGTTGTTTGTAAATCACCATTTTTGTATTTCATTATAGCAGACTGAATGGACTAAGACAGATCACTTTGCAGTTTCAGCTTACACTGTTATTTTTGTCATCCTCTACTACTGTGCAAAGCAAGGACTGCCTGTATATACTAGTAGGAAAGTCTTTAGGATGTACATTAGGATGTTAATGTTTATTTTGAGGCGATTGGATTACAGGTGATGTTTTGTTTATCTCCATTCTATAATGTCTCTACAGTGAATACGGATTTTTAAAACATAGTGTAGTTATTTAACCATCTCTTCCTTTAACATACATTTTTTAACCCTACTCCTGTTTGGCAATGTGACAAGTGCTGGGCATTTAAGGATGAAAAAGACATGGTTTCTTTAAACAGGAGGTCATGGATTCATACAAATGTCTGCCATGTTACATGGAATTTTTACCCTGTATGCCACATATAATAGAAATGTGAAAGAATGTCGGGAGAACATCAAAGAGAAAGCCCGAACACCTCCTGGGGATGTTGAAGAGGGCTTCTGGCTTTTTATTTTTAGACTCCAATATTAAAGCTTTTTTTTCCCAAGGGAAAAATGGATCCTCATTGCCTAGAACATTTATTCTAGAAATTACTAAAACCTAGAGCCCTCTTTCTAGAAAAACAGTTTCTGTTCTAGGCCTCACAAATGAACATAGTGAAGCTACTGAGGTCGTGGAACAATACACTGAATGTTTAACCATAAATTATTCAGATACTTGTTTTATCTGCTTCCTTCTGTCACTAAAGCTTGATCTGAGGAGCTTGATCTGAGGGATCTCACACTATTTTGTCTTTGCTTTTGTTTTTCACACTGCTTTTTTTTTTAATAAAAGCCAATCATTTGTTATCAAAATTTTTGCTAGCAATGAGCACAAAGAAACTAAGGCAATTTAGCATTCCTTGGGCCCAGGAGTGTGTGACTGGCAGAGATGCTTCCTAGGCCACCAGTCTGTGTTATCACTGTTTGGGTTTTGTCTGTAGTTTTGAGAGTTTTAAAATTAAATTGTAATGTGTTTATGGTGACTTAAAATCTGTTGATTTCCCCAATCACATCGCAGGTGTAACATCACGTTATTATAAAACTGACAGCATCAAGGAGGGACACTTCTTAACATCAATAAATAGAATTCAGAAATGAAAACTGTACCAACTGAAAGGATTGCACAATTGGGCTTCTTTTTCAGGTTTCTTCAATGAATTGTTTTTTAAAATGGTTTTATCTTTGATTGTGTGACCTCATTCAGAACAATACTTTCTACCTAGTACTTTGGGATATGGTGGTGCATAAGAAATGTCCCTGGTGTCTTGGCAGCTAGGCCTTCCCTGCAGCTCGGCCACAATGCTTGTTCTTCATGGGCTTTCTGCAGGAGGCAGCACAGCATATACAGCTTTTCCCAAAAGGCAGTGGGGCTTTCGTGGTCAGGAGATGATTGAGGGTGTAGTAGCAATGTTGAATCACCTTGTGAGAAAGTTACCTCACTTGCAGTTTGCTTCAAAGCTTCAGTAAGTCAAAGACCACATCTCTACCCCCCATGACATTTACTAATCTTTCTTTTTAGCCAAGAGAACAGACTTTGGGCTTGGAGCTTTCAGCAGGCTAGAATATCTAGCTAAAACTCAGTAGCAATGTTTTTATTTTCTGTTTTTTGTTTGTTTGTTTGTTTTTAATTTAGGGTAGTGATTTATTTATTTAAAAGAAACGAGTCTTTTTTAACTTTTATTTTTTGTTTGGAACTAAACACGTGAAGGTTTGTTACATAGGTAAACTCATGTAACAGGGACTTCTTGTACAGATTATTTCATCACCCAGGTATTGAGCCCAGTACCCAATAGTTACCTTTTCTGCTCCTCTCCCTCCTCCCACCCTCCACCCTCAAGTAGACCCCAGTGTCTGTTGTTCCCTTCTTTGTGTTCATGAGGTCTCCCACTTTTAGCTCCCACTCATAAGTGAAAATATGCAGTATTTGGATTTCTGTTCCAGCGTTAGTTTGCTAAGGGTAATAGCCTCCAGCTCTACCCATGTCCCTGCAAAAGACATGATTTCATTCTTTTTTATGGTTGCATGCTATTCCATGGTATATATGTATCACATTTTTTTATCTGTTTCATTGGTGAGCATTTAGGTTGATTTCATGTCTTTGCTATTGTGAATAGTGCTGCAATGAACATCTGTGTGCATGTGTCTTTATGGTAGAAATAGTTTATATTCCTCTGGGTATATACACAATAATGGGGTTGAATGGTAATTGTGCTTTTAGCTCTTTGAGAAATTGTCATACTGCTTTCCACAGTGGTTGAACTAATTTACACTCCCACCAACAGTGTAAGGGTTCCCTTTTCTCCACAACTTCAGCAGCATCTCTTATTTTTTGACCTTTTAATATTAGCCATTCTGACTGGTGTGAGATGGTATCTCATTGCGGTTTTGATTTTCATTTCTCTAACGATCAGTGATATTGAGCTTTTTTTCATACGCTTGTTGGCCACATGTATGTCTTCTTTTGCAAAGTGTCTGTTCATGCCCTTTGCCCACTTTTTAATAGGGTCATTTATTTTTCTTTTGTAAGCTTGTCTGTTTCTTATAGATACTGGATATTAGACCTTTGTCAGAGGTGTAGTTTGCAAATACTTTCTCCTATTCTGTAGGTTGTCTGTTTACTCTGTTGATAGTTTCTTTTGTGGTGCAGAAGCTCTTAAGTTTTACTTAGATCCTGTTTGTCAATTTTTGCTTTTGTTGTGATTGCTTTTGGTATCTTTGTCATAAAACATTTGCCCATTCCTATGTCCAGGATGGTATTGCCTAGGTTGTCTTCCAGGGCTTTTATAGTTTTGGGTTTTACATTTAAGCTTTTAATCCGTCTGGAGTTGATTTTATATATGGTGTAAAAAAGGGGTCCAGCTTCAATCTTGGGCATATGGCTAGCCAGTTACCTCAACACCATTTATTGAGGAGGGAATGTTTTCCTCATTGCTTGTTTTTGTCAGCTTTGTCAAAGATCAGATGACTTTAGGTGTGCGGCCTTATTTCTAGACTCTCTATTCTGTCCCATTGGTCTATGTGCCTCTTTTTGTACCAGTACCTTACTGTTTTGGTAACTGTAGCCCTGTAGCATAGTTTGAAGTTGCGTTATGTGATGCCTCCAGGTTTGCTCTTTTTGCCTAGGATTGCCTTGGCTATTTGGGCTCTTTTTTGGTTCCATATGAATTTAAAAATAGTTTTCTCTAGTTCTGTGAAGAATGTCATTTGTAGTTTGAGAAGAATAACATTGAATCTATAGATTGCTTTGGATGATATGGTCATTTTAATAAAATTGATTCTTCCTATTCATGCGCATGGGATGTTTTTCCATTTGTTTGTGGCTTCTCTGATTCCTTTGAGCAGTGTTTTGTAATTCTCATTGTAAAGCTCTTTCACCTCCCTGGTTAGTTATATTCCTAGGTATTGCATTCTTTTTGTGGAAATTGTGAATAGGATTGTCTTCCTCATTTGGCTCTCACCTTGGCTGTTGTTGGTATACAGGAATGCTAGTGATTTTTGTACACTAATTTTGTATCCTGAAACTTTGCTGAAGTTGTTTATCAACTGAAGGAGCTTTTGGGCTGAGACTATAAGGTTTTCTAGATATAGAATCATGTTGTCTGCAAACAGGGATAGTTTGACTTCTTCTCTTTCTACTTGGATGCACTTTATTTATTTTCCTTGTCTGATTACTCTGGCTAGGACTTCCAATACTATGTTGAATAGGAGTGGTGAGAGAGGGCATCCTTGTCTTGTGCTGGTTTTCAAGGGGAATGGTTCCAGCTTTTGCCTATTCAGTATGATGTTGGCTGTAGGTTGGTCATAGATGGCTCTTATTATTTTGAGTTGTGTTTCTACAATATCTATTTATTGAGTTTTTAGTTTATTTAGAGTTTTAGTTTATTTAGTTTACTTTTAATATAAGGGTGTTGAATTTTATCAAAAGGCTTTACAGATAATCATGGGGTTTTTGTCTGTAGTTCTGTTTATGTGATAAATCACATTTATTGATTTGCTTATGTTGAACCAAACTTGCATCCTGGGGATGAAGACCACTTGGTCATGGTATATTAACTTTTTGATGTACTGCTAGATTTGGTTTGCAGGTATTCTGTTGAGGATTTTTGCATCGATGTTCATCAAGGATATTGACCTGAAGTTTTCTCTTTTTGTTGTGCTTCTGCCAGGTTTTGGTATCACTATGATGCTGGCCTCACAGAATGTGACGGGGAGGAGTCCCTTCTCCTCGATTTTTGAAATAGTTTCAGTAGGAATTGTACCAGCTCATCTTTGTACATCTGGTAGAATTTGGCTGTGAATCCATCAGGTCCTGGGCTTTTTTTGGTTGGTAGGCTATTTACTACTGATTCAGTTTCAGAGCTCATTATTGGTCTGTTAAAAGAATCAATTTCTTCCTGGTTCAGTCTTGAGAGGGTGTATGTGTCCAGGAATTTATCCATCTCATCTAGGTTTTCTAGTTTGTGTGCCTAGAGGTGTTCCTGATAGCTTCTGATGGTTATTTTTATTTCTGTGGGGTCAGTGGTAACATTCTCTTCATCATTTCTCATTGTTTTTATTTGAATCTTCTGTCTTTTCTTCTTTATTAGTCTAGGTAGCAGTATATCTATCTTATTAATTTTTTCAAGAAACCAACTCCTGGATTCATTGATCTTTTGAATGGTATTTCGTGTCTCAATTTTATTCAGTTCAGCTCTGATTTTGGTTATTTCTTGGCTTCTGCTAACTTTGGGGTTAATTTGCTCTTGCTTCCCTAATTCTTTCAGTTGTGATGTTAGGTTGCTGATTTGAGATCTTTGTAACTTTTGGATGTGGATATTTAGTGCTGTGAATTTCTCTCTTAACACCACCTTAGCTGTGTCCCAGAGATTTTGGTATGTTGTATCTTTGTTGTCATTAGTTTCAAAGAACTTCTTTATGTCTGACTTGATTTAATTATTTACCCAAAAGGGAGCATGTTGTTGTTTTTTAGTTTTTTGTTTTTGTTTGTTTGTTTTGTTTTTGAGACAGAGTATCTCTCTGTCGCCCAGGCTGGAGTGCAGTGGCACGATCTCAGTTCACTGCAAGCTCTGCCTCCCGGGTTCACGCCATTCTCCTGCCTCAGCCTCCCAAGTAGCTGGGACTACAGGCGCCTGCCACCACGCCCGGCTAACTTTTTGTATTTTTAATCGAGATGGGGTTTCACCATGTTAGCCAGGATGGTCTCTATCTCCTGACCTCGTGATCCGCCTGCCTCGGCCTCCCAAAGTGCTGGAATTACAGGCGTGAGCCACTGCGCCTGGCCACATGTTGTTTAATTTCCATGTAATTGCAAGATTTTGAGCAATGTTCTTAGTCTTGACTTCTATTTTTATTGTGCTGTAGTCTGAGGGTGTGTTTGGTATGATTTCAGTTCTTTCACATTTGGTGAGGATTGTTTTATGTTCAATTATGTGGTCAATTTTAGAGTGTGTGCCATGTGGTGATGAGAAGAATGTATATTCTGTTGTTTTTTGGGTGGAGCGTTCTGTAAAGGTCTATTAGATCCATTTGGTCCAAAGTTGAGTTCAGGTTCTGAATAGGAATGAGCCAATTTTTAAAAGAGACTAATAAAATACTATAACCAGGTGTATCGTGGATATGGCAAAAAAAATTGTTAGTAGTCTATGAATAACGAAAGTTTGGAATCATTGGTAATTTGGAGAGATCATAGGCTAGGAGTCAAGAGGCCTAGATTTGCATTTTGAGTATTTATAATTTTAGAATGTTTGTAAGCCATTAGATTTCTTTATCTCAAAATGTTCACCTGTTAATTTTCAGGTAAAATTATATGTGATTCACAACAATAGCTATCATTGATAGACCCTTTGTTATGAGCTTGAATGTTTCTAAAGATTTTATACACACTACTGAATACTCACAACCACCCAGCAACGTAAACAGTATTATTATCTCTGCTTTGCAGAAAAGGGAGCTGTCTTAGTTCATTCAGGCTATTATAACAGCATACCATAGACTGGGTGACTTATAAGCCACAAATTTATTTCTCTTAGTTCTGGAGGCTGGGAAGTCCAAGATCAAGGCAGCACCAGATTTGGTGTCTGGTGAGGGCTGCTTCCTGGTTCATAGATGGTGCTTTCTCACTGTTTTCTCATATGGCAGAAGAGGTAAGGGAGCCCTCTGAGGTCTCTTTTATAAGAGCAATAATTCCATTCATGGGAGCTCTGCCTTCATGACCTAATCACCTTCCAAAGGCCTCACCCCCAAATACCATCACACTGGAGATTAAGTTTCAATGTAGGAATTTTGAGAGGACAAAAACATTCAGCTCATAGCAGGAGCCAAGATACAGAAAAAGATCTTATTCCAAGATTACACATTGAGTAGATGGTGAAACCAGGAGTCAGACTCAGATAATCTGGCTCCAGACGCTACGTCCTTAACCACCAACATTGTCTGAGAAACATTTGCAAAATTTATTTTAAATTACAGAGGCTCAATATGTTCATCCACTTCTCCAACATTATCTTTGAGTCACACCATTTTGTTTTATTGAAAGAGCTGCAGACTAGTATGGACCTGTGTATCATGCAGTTCTGCAGTGTAGTCTTGGGAGTGGGTCTCTTAATATTCTGGCTACCCTGCATAATAGAAGACTGAGCCTCATTTCTCAGCTCTGTCAGAGAAGAGAGAAACCATCTCAGAAGAACCAAGTGGTTTTGGTAACATTAAGCAACCCCTAAAACATTCTCCAAGTAGTATTTTTCCAAAGCTCATGTGATCAGAATACACTGTGGATGTCTCAGCCTTCTTCCTCATCTCCGTCTTCCCCCACCTCAAACACACTTTTATAGGTTGTTTTAATTTAGAAAGTCAGCACTTGCAAGTACATTTTATACACCCAATGAAAACTGTAAGAGGTTTCACAGGTCATTTGCCTCGTCTGAGCCCAACCCCACAGCATTCTATGGAGAAGGCCCCAGAATACTCTAGAAGAAGGTGTATTTGCTGGGATGAAAGGACAGGTGAAGGCCAACCTAGAAAATTTTCTGCTGCTCTTAGGTTATGTTATTAAATTGTAAGTTTCTTAGAGGTCCAAGTTAAAAAAATAAATGTCAAGGTTATTACAATTTAAACTTTTAAAAATCTTTGCCAGGCTTATATTAGAAAGGATTTTACCTGTGGCATAAACAATTAAATATTTCTTTTTTTGTTTTTTTGAGACAGAGTCTTGCTCTATCACCCAGGATGGAGTGCAACAGCACGATCTAGGCTCACTGCAACCTCTGCCTCCTGGGTTCAAGTGATTCTCCTGCCTCAGCCTCCTAAGTAGCTGGGACTACAGGTGCATGCCACCATGCCCAGCTAATTTTTGTATTTTTGGTAGAGACGGGGTCTCATCATTTTGGCCACGCTGGTCTCGAACTCCTGACCTCAGGTGATCCGCCCACCTCAGCCTCCCAAAGTGCTGGGATTACAGACATGAGCCACCACGCCCAGCCAAGAATTAAGTATTTCTATATATGACTGATCTATGACTTTGTTTCTAATTTTTTTTAGGACATTAAGGCAGTTCATAGTAATCTGTATATTATTTGATTCATTTTATTATTAGGAACAGATACACAGTCTAAATAAACTTGACCCATATAGACCAACCAACTTATATATTTTTCTGGGAGTATTACTAGAGAGAAGCTTCTGTAAACTTATGCCATTGTTTGTTTTGAAATTAAACTGTAAGACAGTTTTATTTTAAACATATGCACAGGCACAGGCAACAAAATAAAAAAACAGACAACTATATCAAACTTAAAAACTTTTTCACATCAAAGGAAACAATCAACAGTGAAAAAGCAACCTACAGAATGGGAGAAAATAATTGCAAATTATATGTCTGATGATGTGTTAATATCTAGGATATAAAAGCTTCTACAATTCAACAAAAACAATATATAAATAACCCAATTAAAAATGATCAAAGAACTTTGAATATACATATCTCCAAAGAATAAATACAAATGACCAATAAACACATGGAAAGATGCTCAACACCACTAGTAATTAGGTAAATGCAAATCAAAACCACAAATGGATATTGCCTCACACTTGTCAGGATGGTCACTATCAAAACAACAGAAAATAACTAGTGTTGGTGATGATGTGGAGAAATTGAAATCCTTGCACATTACTGGTGTGAATGCCAAATGGTCCAACCATGGTAGAAAACAGTATGGAGGATGCTGAAAAATTAAAAATAGTGTTTCCATGTGATTCAACAATCCCACTTCTGTGTCTCTATCCAAAGGAATTCAAAGCAGGATCTTGAAGAGACACAGGCCCACCTAATGTTCACTGCAGCATTATTCACAATAGCCAAGAGGTGGAGGTAACCCAGATGTCCAACAGCAGATGAATGGATAAAGAAAACATGGTACATACATACAAAAGAATGTTATATAGCCTTAAAACGGAAGAAAATTCCGCAATATGTAACAACATAGATGAAACTTGAGGATTTTATATTAACAAAAATAAGCCAGTTACAAAAAGACAAATACTGTATAATTTCACACATATGATGTATCTACAGTAGTCAGTATGATAGAAACAGAAGGTAAAAAGGTAGTTGCCAAGGGCTTGGGGGAGGAAATTCAGGAGTAATTGCTTGAATTGATGAATTGATTAATTTATTGATTCATGAAGGTGGTTTTAAAGAGCTGGAGGGGAACCGATTAAAAGGTTTAGTGGGCATAGAGTTTTGGTGGTGGAAGATGAAAACCGTTCTAGAGATCTGTTTTACAATAGTGGGAATATACTTAACATTACTAAACTGTACACTTAAAATGGTTGAGATGATAAATTTAATATTATTTGTTACCATGATTTTTTAAAAATGCACAGATTCTGGAGCATGTGGGTAAGGATGATGCTAATTCTTATAGGCTATGACAAGGTATCATTCATATTTTATTTTTAGACCTCAGGTCACTTTGGATGGTGGGCAATTGATTCTAGACCGTAGATTTTAGATTATGGAGAATTATCTGACTCTTCCATATCCCATTCAGCAGAAATTACAATATGCATTTTATGGAATTAAATATGAGAAAAGTTGTATAGCATCTTCTACACCTCTTGCCTTTACCATACCTCACTGTGATATGAATATTATCATCACAAGGAAATACAATTATTACAAAGTTGCCAGTTATCAGCAGAGGCTAGAGCAAAACAGAATGAATTAATTATTATAAGTTTCTACTTTACTGAGATACAGAGATAGCAGTGAGCAAAGGGCCATCAAGACATCACTTAACAAGCACTGAAATTAAAGAATGTGTTAATGACATGTGTTGAGAAAGGATGTGAGTACATCCCACAGGACTGTGAATGAACCATTGTGGAAACTGCATTTTCATGTGGGGATCCGAGCACAAATATGTGTGGCCAGGACAGGTACCATCATTAAATAGCGTTGTATTTCTCTTTAACAACCATATTCCTTTGGCAAGGGTATATGAGGACCAGATATACAGGGAAAAGGGGTAGATGCATGGACTAGGGTTAAATTCAATGGCGAATTATGACAAGGAATAATGAAATACAGATAATTCCTAGAAAAAAAGATCAAAATAAGAAGTGAATTACAAGGCAGAGCACATAATTCATAATCAACTCTATCACTACAGTCACCACAGTGTACCACTAACTTTTTATATATACCTTTTCCCACCTCTGTCAACATTGAGCTCTTTCAGGGAAGATCCTCTTATTCTTCCATGTGCCCTTGTCACCTATTATAGTGCTTGACACAAATTGAGTATAGAGTAATTGCTTGAATTAATGAATTGATTAATCCATTGATTAATGGATCTGTCAGCTAATTGTAGCCATAAAGCTAAGAGTAGCCATCCTTCTTTTGAAATCATTGGCATCTAAAAGGAACTTGTGATGATTAGCTTTATGTGTCAACTTGACTGGGCCATGGCTACCCAGATTAAATATTATTTCTGGGTGTGTCTGTAAGGGTGTTCCTGGATGAGCTTAGCACTTGAAGCAGTGGACTCAGTAGAGTAGACTGCCCTCCCCACTGCGGGAGGGCATCATCCGGTACATTGAGGGCCTGAATAGAATAAAATGTGGAGGGAGGAGGAATTTTCCTCTTTTCTCTGCCTCACTGTTTCAGCTGGGACATTGCATTTCATCTTCTGCTGCTTCTGGACTGGAATTTACAGCCTCAGCTCCCCCTGGTTCTCAGGCCTTTGGACTCAGACTGAATTATATTGTTAGTTTTCTGGGTCTCCAGCTTGCCAAAAGCAGATCATGAGACTTACCAACCTTCATAACCACGTGAGGCAATTCCTCATAATAAATAAATATATACAGACATATTTTGCATTTCACAAATATTGCATCTTTTATACATTGAAGGTTTGTGGCAGTCCTGAATTAAGCAAATCTATCAGCACCATTTTTTTTTGCAACACCATGTGCTCACTTCATATCTTTGTGTCACATTTTGATAATTCTCACAATATTTCAAACTTTTTCATTATTATTATACCTTTTTCAGTGATCTGTGGTCAGTGATCTTTGATGTTACTGTTGTAATTGTTGTGGGGCTCCAAGAATTGCACCCATATAAGATAGTGAGCTTAATCGGTAAATGTTGTATGTATTCTGACTGCTCCACTGACCAACCATTCCCCCATCTTTTTCTCTCTCCTCAGGCCTCCCCATTCCCTGAGACACAACAACATTGAAGTTAGGCCAATTAATAACCCTACAGTGGCCTTTAAGTGTTCAAGTGAAAGGAAGATTCACACTTCTCTCACTTTAAATTAAAAGCGAGAAATGATTAAGCTTAGTGAGGAAGGCATGTTGAAAGCCAAGACAGACTGAAATCTAGGCCTCTTGCACCAGTTAGCCAAGATGTGAATGCAAAATAAAAGTTCTTGAAGGGAATTACAAATGTTACTTCAGTGAACACACGTGTGAGAAAGTGAAGCACCCTTGTTGCTGATAGAGAAAAAGTTTTAGCCGTCTGAATAAAAGATCAAACCAGCCACAATATTCCCTAAGCTAGTCAAGGGCAGTTCGTGAGGTTTAAGGAAAGACACCATCTCCATAACATAGAAGTACAAGGTAAAGCTGATTGAGAAGCTGCAGCAAGTTATCCAGAAGATCTAACTATGATCATTGATGAAGATGGCTACATGAAACAACAGAATTTCCATGTACACAAAACAGCCCTCTATTGGAAGAAGATGCCCTCTAGGGCTTTCATAGCTAGAGAGAAGTCAGTGCCTGGCTTCAAAGCTTCAAAGGACAGATTCTCTTCTTAGGGGCTAATGCAGCTGGTGACTTTAAGTTGAAGCCAGTGCTCATTTACCATCTAGAAATCCTACAGCCTTTAAGAATGTGGTGTTTTTTGGCTGCATAAATGTCTTCTTTTGAGAAGTGTCTGCTCATGTCCTTCACCCACTTTTTGATGGGGTTGTTTGTTTTTTTCTTGTAAATTTGTTTGAGTTCATTGTAGATTCTGGATATTAGCCCTTTGTCAGATGAGTAGGTTGCGAAAATTTTCTCCCATTTTGTGGGTTGCCTGTTCACTCTGATGGTAGTTTCTTTTGCTGTGCAGAAGCTCTTTAGTTTAATTAGATCCCATTTGTCAATTTTGTCTTTTGTTGCCATTGCTTTTGGTGTTTTAGACATGAAGTCCTTGCCCATGCCTATGTCCTGAATGGTAATGCCTAGGTTTTCTTCTAGGGTTTTTGTGGTTTTAGGTCTAACGTTTAAGTCTTTAATCCATCTTGAATTAATTTTTGTATAAGGTGTAAGGAAGGGATCCAGTTTCAGCTTTCTACATATGGCTGGCCAGTTTTCCCACCACCATTTATTAAATAGGGAATCCTTTCCCCATTGCTTTTTTTTCCTCAGGTTTGTCAAAGATCAGATAGTTGTAGATATGCAGCGTTATTTCTGAGGGCTCTGTTCTGTTCCATTGATCTATATCTCTGTTTTGGTACCAGTACCATGGTGTTTTGGTTACTGTAGCCTTGTAGTATAGTTTGAAGTCAGGTAGTGTGATGCCTCCAGCTTTGTTCTTTTGGCTTAGGATTGGCTTGGCGATGTGGGCTCTTTTTTGGTTCCATATGAACTTTAAAGTAGTTTTTTGCAATTCTGTGAAGAAAGTCATTGGTAGCTTGATGGGGATGGCATTTAATCTATAAATTACCTTGGGCAGTATGGCCATTTTCACGATATTGATTCTTCCTACCCACGAGCATGAAATGTTCTTCCATTTGTTTGTATCCTCTTTTATTTCCTTGAGCACTGGTTTGTAGTTCTCCTTGGCCATCAGAGAAATGCAAATCAAAACCACAATGAGATACCATCTCACACCAGTTAGAATGGCAATCATTAAAAAGTCAGGAAACAACAGGTGCTGGAGAGGATGTGGAGAAATAGGAACACTTTTACACTGTTGGTTGGACTGTAAACTAGTTCAACCATTGTGGAAGTCAGTGTGGTGATTCCTCAGGAATCTAGAACTAGAAATACCATTTGACCCAGCCATCCCATTACTGGGTATATACCCAAAGGACTATAAATCATGCTGCTATAAAGACACATGCATATGTATGTTTATTGTGGCACTATTCACAATAGCAAAGACTTGGAACCAACCCAAATGTCCAACAATGATAGACTGGATTAAGAAAATGTGGCACATATACACCATGGAATACTATGCTGCCATAAAAAATGATGAGTTCATGTCCTTTGTAGGGACATGGATGAAATTGGAAATCATCATTCTCAGTAAACTATTGCAAGGACAAAAAACCAAACACCACATGTTCTCACTCATAGGTGGGAATTGAACAAGGAGAACACATGGACACAGGAAGGATAACATCACACTCTGGGGACTGTTGTGGGATGGGGGGAGGGGGGAGGGATAGCATTAGGAGATATACCTAATGCTAAATGACGAGTTAATGGGTGCAGCACACCAGCATGGCACATGTATACATATGTAACAAACCTGCACATTGTGCACATGTACCCTAAAACTTAAAGTATAATAATAATAATAAAAGAATGTGGAAATCTACTCTACATGTGCACGATAAATGAAATGATGTAGCCCAGACTTCAGCCATCTACAGCATAGGTTACTGAATATTTTAAGTTCATTGTTGAGACCTACTGCTCAGAGAAAAAAGATTTATTTCAAACTATTACTGCTTATTGACAACACACCTAGTCACCCAAGAGCTCTGATGGAGACATACAAGGAGATTAATGTTTTTGTATTGGCTACAATGTCTGTTCTACAGCCTATGGATGAAGGAGTAATTTTGACTTTAAATTCTTATTATTTAAGAAATACATTTCCTAAGAATATGGCTGCCATAGATAGTGATGCCTCCGATGGAGCTGGGAAAAGTTAATTGGAAACCTTCTGGAAATGATTCACCACTCTAGATGCCATTAAGAGCATTTGTGATTCATAGGAAGAGGTCAAATACCAATATTAACAGGAGTTTTGAAAAAGTTGATAGCCATTCTTTTTTTTTTTTTTTTGAGATGGAGTCCCACTCTGTCGCCCAGGCTGGAGTGCAGTGGCGCACTCTCAGCTCACTTCAACCTCAGCCTCCTGGGTTCAAGTGATTCTCCTGCCTCAGCCTCTGAGTATCTGGGACTACAGGTGTGCACCACCACACCCGGCTAATTTTTGTATTTTTAGTAGAGACGGGGTTTCACCATATTGGTCAGGCTGGTCTTGAACTCCTGACCTCGTGATCCACCTGCCTCAGTCTCCCAAAGTGCTGAGATTACAGGCGTGAGCCACCGCGCCTGGCCGCCATTCTTATAGGTGACTTTGAGAGGTTCAATACTTCCTTGGAGAAAGTAACTGCAGATGTGGTGAAAATAGCAGGAGAACTAGAATTAAAAGTGGAGCCTGAAGATGTGACCTAATTGCTGCAATCTCATGATAAAACTTAAACAGGTAGGAGTTGCTTGTTATGGAGAAACAGAAAGAGTGGTTTCTTGGGATGGAATCTACTCCTAATGAGGATGCTGTGAACATTGTTGAAATTACAAAAAAGGATTTAGGGTATTTCATAATTAGTTGATAAAGCAGCAACAGGGTTTGAGCGAATTGACTCCAATTTTGAAAAGTTTTACTGTGGGTAAAATACTATCAAACAGCATCAAAATGCTACAGAGAAATCTTTCATGAAAGGAAGAGTCAATTGATGCGACAAACTTCATTGTTGTCTTATTTTAAGAAATTGCCAGTCACTCCAACCTTCAGTAATCACCACCCTAATCAGTCAGCAGTCATCAACATCGAGGCAAGACCCTCCTCTAGCAAAAAGACTGTGACTTGCCAAAGGCACAGATGATCCTTAGCATTCTTTAGCAATAAAGTATTTTTAATTAAGATATGTACATTTTTATACATAGTGCTATTGCACACTTAATGGACTAGAGTGTAAACATAAATTTTATATGCACTGTAAAAAACGAATAATTCATGCGACTCACTTTATTGCGACATTTGCTTTATTGCAACATTCACATTATGATGGTGGTCTGGAACTGAACCTGCAGTATCTTCAAGGTATGCTTGTATATGTGTGTGTGTGTGTGTGTGTATATATATATGTATATATATGTATATATGTGTATATATGTATATATGTATATATGTATATATATGTATATATGTATATATATGTATATATATGTGTATATATATACACACACACACACACATCCTATTGATTCTTTTATTCTGGAGAACACTGACTAATACAAAACTGTATGGCCATATGAGAGACAGTTGCAGGATCTTCTATGACTGGGAGGCCAAATTAAGGTGGCAGATTTTCAGGAACCAAAGTATGTGTATTAGCATAAACAGACATATGTCCAAATGATTTATATGAGTGTTGATAATGAAATGTATATGCTCTGGGACACAGCACCCCAGGGCTCACTACTGTCCCAAGATGGATGTTGAGTTGGACAATGTCATCAGCCTGTAAGCACCCCATTCACTGCCTTTCCCACCTGGTGCTTTACTTCTGTATATATAAATGGTCAAAATTTGTGCCCTGAAAAGAAGTATGTTACAACAATTTTTAAATGTTCTATAGCTGACCATAATTTGGATATTCAACAAAAGGTTAAAATCCTGTTGATTCACACAGGGACAGTTCATTGCAGATGCATCATCACCAAACCTTAATTACATTGTTCAACAATGGTTTGTTCTCTTGTCTTCCTCTAGTGAGGAACCTGTGACGAATCCTAAAATGTTAAAATAATGGTTTCCAGCCCATACCAAATAAATCATCATCTGTGAAGGTTTGGGAGCAAAATTTTAAAAATCTTCCCTGGGGATCCTACAGTAAATTCGGGGTCAAGTGCTGTTACATTAAAATTTGGGAGAAAAAATAAAACAGGAAGACACACTTAGGGAATAGTCCAACGAGGTGGACCCTGGGTAGAAAGTGGGACAATAGATTGTGACACATTACTAGGACTTCGAATCAATTTAGTGGGTTCCAAAAAAAAAAAAATTTAAAATAGAAGAGGAAATAGAGTACAATACACATAGTAAGGTATCATTTTGTGACTTTTAGTTATGTCTACATATTTATATATCTATACATGCATATGTGTATTACATCATAATGTACATGCTAGATCAAAAGTATTGGCAAAACATTGATCTAGGATAATGAGTACATATATTAACACATATTTTGCAATCAGTGTGAGGTATGCAAAGAACCATGTAGTTCATTACCTGAAACAAAGAGCTTTTTGTTTAGCTCTTATGAGTCATTTTTGGCTAGGTTACACTGCAGTAACAAATAACTCAGTGGCCTACAACTCAAAGAAAATTTTGCTCAGTCTATATGTTTACCATGAGCCATTGTCTTCCTTCCAGTTTCCAGATTTAAGGAGAATATTCTGTGTGTGATGTTTTTTTTTACTTGTGGCAGTAGGAAGAGAACATAGTGGAACCATGTGATGGCTCATACAGCTTCTGTTGGGAAGTGGCATATGTTGCTCCTAACAGTTCATCAGCCAAAGAGTCATGTGACTAAGCTTGGTACCCATGGGACATCAATTAATAATGCTTTTACCCGGAGAAACAGTGGCTACTGTGAACACCACTACAATCTACCACAGTGTATCAGATGTTTCCTTAAAAATTTACCTTTAAGAACTATCAAGTTATCATATTCCTTGTTTTCAGGACTTTATTGAGATTTTGGAAAGAATTAGTTTTCCTGAACCTTTTCAAGTAAATATTGCTGGTTCTAGTCTCAAATAACTTTTGGTACCCTTGTCTCTTTGATACAAATAAGGAAACTTTCTTGGTGATATTGAATACTTTAAAACCTTCTGAGACTCAATCACATGTCCTCATCTTTCTTTTCTTTTGCTTTAGATGGCTTACTTTTTGTATTTTACTTTTATCAACCAGACTGATTCTTTTAAAAGAAAAACAGGCATTAAACTGGACTAGGATTTGATGTAAGTCAATTCTAGAGATATTCCTTGGAATCTGGAGGTGGAGAAAAGGTATGAATAGGATGTAAGATTTGAAAACCCTTTAGCTACCACACTCTGTCTGGTATCAAGTGGCTCATTTTGTTTCCAGAGAATTAATGTTGTTTCCAAAAATTAGCTCTCATATGGCTCATTCAGGTAACCAGCGTTGAATATGGAAATTAGATTTTTGTTCGTACAAGTTTATTGCACTATAGTTTATGAATCACAATGGCTAAGTGCCAAACTCCCTTTCAAGCTAAGCAGCCTCTTTGCTATGTTATTCCAGCTGAGTCTTTTATTTGAAGTGTTTCTTCATCTTGGCTCATTTAGCCACAAATAGAAGTTGCCCTATGGGAGATAACATCTTATGCTTATTTACTTTATAGGATTATCACCTCTGGGCTCATCACAAGTGCAAAACATCAGAAAAGAGAAAAACCTGATTTCAGAAAGTCAGAATTCCCGTAACCATGACATTTACCTAATTTTCTTTGGGTAGTGTGTGTCACAATCATTGGATTGTGAGTTAGGAGACCTGGTCCCTGATATTTTTTGCTTATTTGATGCTGTATGACTTTGGGCAAGTTATTTTACATCTCTGATTCTGTTTCCTTATTTGTAAAGCACACAGTGAGCTAGGTGAATCTTCCAAATCTCTTTTAGTTTCAGGACCCTGTTCTATTTATGGAATTTTGCAGAAGTCATATGGATTGTTCAGCAAAATCATTAAAGGAGAGAGTTCGGCTTGGAAAATACAAAGATAAAAATGTTTCTTTATATACAGATATGGTACAAAAATTGCCAACAATATCTAAGCTTAAACCTAACATTTAAGTTCTGTAGATAGGCCCTTGCTTTCTTTACCTAATGATAGAAATTTAAATATACTATTTGCAGTGATATATTTCATTCAGAAACTTGTCTGATAACTGAAATATGAAATTAATCTTAGTCTCATTTTTTCATGAGGTTTGTTGAGATATAATTTATATACCATGAAATGTATCCATTTTAAGTGTACAATTAGGCAAATTTTAGTTAACTGATAGTTTTGCAGCCATCACCACAATCCGGTTTAGAACACTTCCATCAGCACCCAAAATTTCCTTAAGCTTGTTGCCATTTAATCCCTGCTCCTACCCTCAACCCCAAGGGAATGCTGATCTGCCTTTTGCCTCTATTTTTATCTTTTCAAAAAATTTCATATAAATGGAATCAGGTGTCTGGTTTCTTTGTCTTAGCATAATGCTTTTGGGGGTTTAATCAATGTTGTTGCATGGATCAGTGATTTGTTCTTTTTTCTTTTATTCCATTTCTTTTCTTTTCCAGTTCATTTCTTTTATTCTATAAACTAAATATTATTCCATTGTGTAGATACACCACATTTTGTTTACCCATTCACTAATCAATAGACATATGAATTATTTCTAAATTTTGACTATTATGATTAATACTCCTATGAACATTCACATATAAGTCTTTGTATGGACATGTGTTTTTGTTTCTCTTGGGTAGAGATAATTAGAAGTGGAATTGTTAGGTCACATATTTTATGTGTGTTAAAGATTATAAGAAACTGCTACTCTTTTCCAGGTAACTGTACTATTTTATATTCCCGCCAGCCCTGTATGAGAGTTCCAGTTTCTCCTCATCCTTGCTAACACCTGATAATAGTCATTCTTTTTTTTATTTTAGCCACTGTGGTGGGTGTATAGTAGTATCTCATTTTAGTTTATAATTTGCATATATCTAAAGACTTGTGATGTTGAACATCTTTTCATGTGCCTATGTCTATCTTTTTGGTGAAATGTTTATTCAAACCTCTTGCCCATTTTTTAAATCAGATTGTTTGTCTCCCTATAGTTATAAGGCTTCTCTATATGTTCACCCCTAAGTTTTAGGGGACTTTCCCTGCCATCAGCATCTATATATTTCAATATATATACACTACTTAATTCTTTCATACCAATGCTTTGAAGTAAAATCCTGTTGCAATAACTGAGTGGAATTTTTAACGTTGGACAAGAAACAGAATAATTTTTAAATGTTCATTGACAATAATTAAGAGTATTTTGAGGACTTATCTGTAAGCTATCAAAATGGTAAATTTTTTTTTTTACAAATCTAACAGTAGCTTCTGTTTTCTTAGTTTGTGTCCTATTTATAGAGAAGGAAAAAAAACACCTTCTATAGATGTATAAAAGTCTGTGAAAATCCAGCTATTTCTGAGGAGAGAAGAGGAAGTATCTGAGGAACCAGAAGGAGAGAGAGACACTAGAACCCTTGTTTTTAATGCTTCCTATTCTACTGTGAGTTAAGACATCTGCCTTCTAAAGGGTGGTTTGTGGAAGGAATTAATGAGTTACTGACCTTGGCATCACTTTTTCTAGGTCCCAATTTAAAATACATATACATGTTCATGCACACACACAGGCACACACACACACACACATACACAAAAGTAGCATATTTCTTTGCCCTAGGTTCTCTCTGCCAGTTATTCCTAATCCTCCCAGCCCCTGAAACAAATTAGTATCACTTACGCGAGTGTTGGAGTAGTTTTGGGAACAACACAGTGAAATAATAAAATCCCTTACTCCACCCTGGAATTGTAACTAACAACTTGTATAACTATAGAGGACATCATCTTTCCTTCATTCCTGACTTCTAATGCCAACCTGGCCTGATATCTTCTGTCTATTCTTATCTCCACAAATGGAAATAAACTCAAAAATATTCTACCTACAAATGTTACTCCAAATGACTTCAGCAACAGTCTCCAAAAAACTATAAAGAAAAATTCAAAATTGGTTAATGTTAACTCTTTGTAGGAAATATACTACTGTATATTTGTATACCATGCTCTATTTCAAAGTCCTCAAAGCAAAATTAACATAAACAAAATCTCATTCATTTAACTACAAAAGAGAGGTAGCTCATCAAAACAAGATTCCCTTCCAGCCACCATGGAAGAAAGTCCACCAGCCCTGCAAACACACACACAGCCTTATTGCAAATATGAATGGATGCTAAGGATCTGGAGCTAGTGAGGAAAGTCGCCATCATGAAAAAGAGAAAGCATAACTTTAAAAACTGAAACAAAGAGACTTGGAGAAAATAGACAATTCAAGGAACATGAAAAAAAAAATCCCAAGAAACTATGTTTAATAGTCTTAGAAAAATAAGAGTAGAAATTGCATTTATGAATCAAGAATGACATGCAGTTTTCATAAGGTATAATCGGAGAGTATAAGAGAACTTTGGGAAATTAGAAATCTAAAAGTAGAAATAAAATAATCTATGAAAGGGATAAAGTCAGGAAAATCTGTCAGTAAGTGGAGCAAAAGATAAAGTGATGGAAAATAGGAGAGGAGCTATATGAAAATTACAGGACCATATGTCTGACCATATTGAGAATTTAGAGAGCACTGAAGGAAATTGATAAGAATTAGTGATGAGTACATAGAAATGAGGCACGTGCAAAAACAAAGCAATTGAACGCTATCTAAATAATGAAAATGGTGTAAACATTGAAAGTTTATTTCACAAAACATGTGGGAGGGTACAGACAAGATGGGGTAGCCTAAGCAAAGGACACTGCAAGAATTAAGATGTCTAAAATATGTAAGAGGTTATCTATAATAGAATTTGACAATTTGCAAACTATAATGATTTCTGTATATAAATATGATGCTGTGCCTTCTATGTCCCATGTTCTAATACTGGTGATGATGGATTTCCTGAAGTAATCATACACTATTCATGCAGTGACTTAAAATCACCAAAGTCAGGAACTGATCTTTGGAAAAGAATGTTATTTTCCCAGTTGTAAAGCCCTGTAGCTCATGACAACACCAAAACACTGCCCTTCTCAGCACCGTGTGCTGTGTAGAGATATTATTAGTTTTTGCTATGTTAATAGTTTATCCAATATTAAAATATGGGCATGAGTTAACATATTATGAAGCAGGTATAGCATATGGGGCCTCAGGCTTTTCATTATCTTCCCACTTCAGTAAACTAGAGTATCCTTGAAATGTCTTTTCTGTGATTGTGATAAGCTGTGCTTGATTATTTTGGTGTTGATCTGCAGAATTTGGAACTTTGTTTCTCCATTGACAGGGGTTGATAAAACGTCATTTGTTAACTTGACTATGCATTTATACATCATTCTCATTGATCTGTATATTGTCATTACCAAGGCTTTCTGGGCTAGTCCTCTGTAATAATTTAGTTTCCACAAAACTGTGGGTTCTAATTTTTTATTAAACATTTCAAAATCAAATGAAAGAAATTATGAGTTAATGGAATTGATATCTCTTCCATGGAGTCCAATCAAATCCCATCTGTAAAGTAAATTAACAACTGATCATCTCAGAAATTACAAATTTAGTTGCATGGTTTTCTATTTTAATTAAGGGGCTGAAATAACTTCAGTTATGAATCGACTTCCCCCTTTCAGATTGTCTAGGCCGTTGAAACATTTTTGACTCGCTTTCTCCTAAGATCCAGTGCACTTCAGAGCCACTTCTGTTCCCCTGAGTTTGTTTGCTTAGAGAATACAAAGCCTAGAATGTTAGAGTTTCTTTCAGAGCAGGCAGGTTATTCTGGTGCCTCATCTGTGACCAGCATATCATATATGGCAGCCCTAAAATAAAATCTAAATTAGGCAAATAAAGAAAGTGGTCAAGTGAATGAAAAAATCTTTAAAATTAGTACTTTATTGAAAATGTTCAGGAAAAAAGGGTCAGGAGAGAGCCATGATTAGATTTGTATTTTAGATGATCCCAGGTATTGGTACAGAGATAATATAATAAATAATAACAATAATAGTAACTAACATTTTTGATGCTTACTGTGTGAGTCATTGTGTTCAGTTTTTTATATTCATCAATTTATTAAATTCTCACATAAGGAAAATACCATAGGGTATTCATTTTACAAATGAGGAACCGGAGGCAAATATAATTAAATGGACCAAAGTTACCAAGGTAGGAGTTGGCAGAGCCTGGGAGCTGAGCCACACAGTGAGACTACAGCACCCTCGTTCTGGGTAGTGACATTAGCCAGGAGGCTATTGCAGTCATGCACATGAGAAAGGATGAGGGTTAGAACCCTAGAACCCTGCTAATCCAGGGTTAAGTTAATAGAGAAAGGCACTTGAGTGGTGTGGTCATTCATCGTTTGTGGGGCCTGCTCGAAACTCAATTAAGTTTTAAATGATAGTTTTAAAACTCTACCTTGACATTATTTCCATGGTGCAAACCTAAGCACCCCTCCCAGATTAGAAACAACAACAACAACAAAGTTCTAGACTTCTCTGGTTGAAATCTTACATAGATACAAAGAAGCACTTACAAATCACTCACTTGATCAAGGCATTAGTATTAATATAATTCTGCTAATAGAATCGAGTTTACAAGGCACATTCTACAGACAAAGCTTTATTTGGATCACAAAATTACATAGATGAACTGACAGCTAAAGATTCAGCTGGTATATGGCTTGAAGAGTTATGCTCTGGAGGGTGAAAATACATTTCATCATATTCATGTTGATTTTGCTCTGAATTCACCTGAGAAATTCCATGGAGAAATATGTGACTATTCAGCATTACTTGCTTTTACATTGCCATTATTTGTAAAGCTTTGATTAAAAGTGCTTGAACAGTGAATATCTTTGCAGGAAAATTAAATCAAGTTTTAAGTCAAATGCTATCCTGATAGAGTCAAAACGTTTCAGAGTAAGAGGCTTCTTTATTCTTACAGACCGTTCTAGAGTGGTCACTAGACTAAAGATAACAGACCTTTCTAGACTGGTGCAGAAGTTACCAAAGAACAGAGAGCTGCATTATTGATAGCCTGGAAGTGACATTTTATACAGGAATTTTTCATTTATTTGCTGTGAAGCAGAGGGTGTGTGAACACCAGATGTCAATCACATACCACCAGTAGATTTGCAAGATTATAGGACTGGGGAAAAAATGAAGGTTAAGCACAGGGGACAATAGAGATTACTTGGGGTAATGAATTGCATAATTTTTCTAGACAGAGTTGGATTAATGTTCATCCTGAGAAGAGATTACATCAGTCTGATTCTTGCAGTAAACAAATATTAAGCAGATAACTTTACTCAACAAGGGGAAAATTGACCTAATTCCTAACTGTACCCGTGAGATGCTCTTGAGTTTGGCAAGGAAGTAGACACTGTGTGCTGTGTGTCACATGTTTCTTGCTTCGAGTAGAACCTTGAAGAGACCATCAGGACCTTCAGTTGTCAAGTCCAACAGCTGCACTGCAACTGTGAAAAGCCTTTCTCCCTGCTGAGGTTGTCAAAGGAACCGATTCTGCCTGCCTCATTTGCATGTCACCTGGACACTGGTGAAAGTAATGGGGTATCCTTAGGTTGCACTGTGTGTCCATACTTTGTACAGTTAGAGCAGCTAAACCTCAGTGTCTACTCTTCATTTTTGGAGTACAGTTCAGGTAGGTTCTGCTTGTCCTCATGGTGAATTTCAGGCTGATTCTCCACTTAATTGACTTAGGAATGTTGAGCTTTTTTAAAAAAATCAACCTTTGATTCATTTGTAGACTGTACTTTTTGTCATCAACTACTTTTTAGAAGGCAGTGCCTTCTGTACATGGATTTCACTTTTAACACCAACATAGCATTTCTTTCTTTTTTTTTTTTTTCTTTTTTGAGATGGAGTCTTGCTCCATTGCTCAGGCTGGAGTGCAGTGGCGCAATCTCGGTTCACTGGAACCTCCATCTCCCAGGTTCAAGCGATTCTCCTGCCTCAGTCTCCTGAGTAGCTGGGAATACAGGTGTGTGCCACCATGCCCGGCGAATTTTTTTTTTTTATGTATTTTTCATAGAAATGGGGTTTCACCATGTTGGCCAGGCTGGCTTCGAATTCCTGACCTCAGGTGATCTGCCCACCTTGCCTTCCCAAGGTGCTGGGATTGCAGGTGTGAGCCACCACACCCAGCCCCAAAATAGCATTTCTTTATTATTTAAAAATATGCACCTAAAAGGACATATCACTTCTGTAGAATTATTTCTCAAAATGTTATTATTAATACCTCAATCTAACCATGAAAAATATCAGACAACCCAACCCAAATGGAGGGCCATTCTACAAAATAAATGACAACTACTCTTCAAAAGCAGTATGTTTATGTCATGTGCAAATCAAAAGATATCAAAGATCAAACCTTTGTAATCTCACCACCTGAGATTAATGACTACTAACATCTTAAAGTAACATATACCAGACTTTTCTCTTTGCATTTTGCAACTACTTTGTAAAAATCAGTTGTCTATATTTGTGTGGGTCAATTTCTAGGCTCTCTGTTCTGTTCCATTAATATGTTTGTCTATTCTTTCATCAATACCACACTCTCTTGTTTCTTATGGTTTTATATTAAGTCTTAACATCAGGTAGTATAAGTCTTTCCACTTTGTTCTTCTCCTTCAATATTGTCTTTTGCCTTTCCATATAAACTTCAGAATCAGTTTGTTGATATCCATAAAACATCTTACTAGAATTTTGATTGGGATTGCATTGAATCTGTAAATCAAGTTGAGAACTGACTTGACAATATTGACTCTTCCTATCCATGTGCATAGAATATCTCTCTATTTCAGATCTTCTTTGATTTTTAATCAGAGTTGTATAGTTTTCTTTATATAGATTTTATACATATTTTGTTGGATTTATACCTAAGAATAAATTTTTTCACTAAGTTAACTTTGTATATTTTGTTTTGATTAATGTAAGTAGTATTGTGTTTCTAATTTCAAATACCAATTGTTCATTGCAGTTATATAACAAAGCAATTGACTTTTGTATATTAATCTTGTACCTTGCAACTTTACTGTAGTACTTCATTAGGTCTAAAATTTTGTTGTTACTGATTCTTTGAGATTTTCTATGTAGACAAAGAATGAGTAAGCAAAACCACAGATGTGCAATTGCTTACAAAATATGAATAGCAGGGAAAAACTAATCCTGCTGTGTATATCAGCTACTTTCAAATACTCTTATCTCAGTCTGAATGATAAACCACCAAGGTTGGTATCAACATTCTCCTTTACAGGTGAAGACACTGAGGATCTACATAGATAGTGTACCGGATTTAAAATTTCCCCATGAGTCAAATGTGCAGAAATGTAAATTTATTTCTTCATATCTGAACTCAAATTTCTCTTGAGCCCTGATTTCTGGTGATGACTGAAAACACTGAAGACTTCCAGTGACAATAGTCTGGTCACTTCTGGTTTAAAACCTAGTCCCTTTTGTAAAACTATTTAATAAAATTTAAGACTCTCTCCCCGCCCCCCTTCCTTTCTGTCGATGGCAGTTCTTTTCTTTTCATCTTCCTTTCTTTCTTCTCCATTTGTATATTTTTAAATTTCATTTTCTATCTTACTGCATTAGCTAGGACTTCCAGAATGATATTGGATAGCAGTGATGAGAGGGACATTATTGCCTTGTTTCTGATCTTAATGGGAAAGCACCTACTTTCTCACCAATAAGTATGATGTAAGCTGTAGATTTTTTTGTAGATGTTACTTATGAAGTAGAGGAAGTTCACCTCTGTTTCTATTGTGCTAGGAGTTTTATCATGAATGGGTGCTGGATTTTTTTTTACATTGGTTGATCCCTTAAGATTTTTTGTTTATTTTATTGTGGTAGGAACACTTAACATGAGATCTACTCTTAATAAATTTTGAGGTGTACAGTACATTACTGTTGACTATACATACAATGTTGTACAGCAGCAGCTCTCTAGAGCTAATTCATCTTGCTTAACTGAAACTTTATACCTGCTGATTAGAAACTCCCCATTTCCTCCCTCTCCCCAGCCCCTAGTAACAACAATTTCACTCTTTGTTTTATGAAATTGGCTATCGTAGATATCTCACATAAGTGGAATCATGTAGTGTTTGTTTTCTGTACTTGGCTTATTTCATTTAGGATAATGTCCTCCGCGTTTATCTGTGTTGCTTCATATTGCAGAATTTCCTTTTTTAAGGCTGGATAGTATTGCATTGTATGTTTATACCAAATTTTCCTTATCCATTCATGTGTCAGTGGACATTTAGGTTGGTTCCACATGTTAGCTATTGTGAATAGCCCTTCAAGAACACTAGAATGCTAATATTTCTTCCAGATCCTGATTTCATTCTTTTCGATAAATATCCAGAAGTGGATTATATAATTACTAGATCATATGGTAATTCTATTTTTAATTTCTTGAAGAAGCTTCATACTGTTCTTCATAGCAGCTGCACCATTTTGGAGTCCCACCAATAGTGTACAAGGGTTCTCACTTCTCCACATCCTTAGCAACACTTGTTGTCTTTGTTTTTTTGGATAATAGTCATCCTGACAGGTATGAGGTGCTATCTCATTGTGAATTTAATTTGCATTTCCCTGATCATTAGTGACATTGGCATTTTTTCAATACCTGTTGGCTACTTACATGTCTTCTTTAGAGAAATATCTGTTTAAGTCCTTAGCCCATTTTTTAATTGGGTTATTAGGATTTTTACTGTTGAGTTTTAGGAGTTCCTTATTTTTCAAAACATTAACCTTTTATCAAATATGTGGTTCACAAATATTTTCTTCCATTCTGTAGGTTTTCTTTTGACTCTGTCAGTTGTTTCTTTTGCTATGCAGAAGTTTTTCCATTTGATTTAGTCTCGCCAGTTTATTTTCGGTTCTGTTGCCCATGCTTTTGGTGTCATATCCATGAAATCATTACCAAGACCAACATTAAGGAGCTCTTTCCTCATATTTTCTTCTAGGAGTTTTACAGTTTTGGGTCTTGCATTTAAGTCTTTTTTCCATTTTGAGTTTATTTTTGTAGGTAGTATAAGATAAAGGGGTACTGGATTTTGTCAAACATTTTTTTCTTTATTGATATGAGCAGATGATTTTTTTTCTTTAGCCTGTTGGTGCAATGGATTACATTAATTCATTTTTGAATGTTGAACCAGCCTTGCATACCTGGCGTAAATTCCACTTGCTCATGGTGTATAATTATTATACATTGTTGGATTCAATTGATAATTATTTTATTGAGAATTTGTGCATCTATGTTTATAAGAGGTATTGGTCTGCAATTTTCCTTTCTTGTAATGCTTATAATGTCTTTGTCTGGTTTTGGAATTAGGGTAATGCTGGCCTCATGGAATGAGTTAGGACATGCTCCCTCTGCTTCTATTTTCTACAAGAGATTAATGTTAATGTTTGATGGAATTCACCAATGAGACTATCTGGGCCTGAAGTTTTTCCCAGGTCACTGTCCTCCTTAGAGAGTCCCAGCTTACCATGATGCAGTCTCACTATTCCTCTGTCCTGCCACTTCTTTTCTTCTTTCTCTTTCTCTTTAACGTCCCAACCCCCACATTCTTGTTCACTTCTTCTATAGAACAATCTCATTATCTCTTAAAGCAGGTCATGCCCAGTGGACCACATCGAAATTATCAAACATCCAATGAAACTTTGCTTCTAAACAAAGATAGTTCATTTTCTGAGAAAGCTCTTTGCATAGCATATTTTTGCCTGCTCATCTGAAGTTACTGAGTTCGTGTTTATCTGGGCATTTGGCAGTTTTACTTAACTGATGTGTTGAAGGATGAAGAGGGCCTTCAGACCTGGGCAACTCCTTGAAAGGTATAGATAAGCAGAGAGAGTTGACAAAAGAAACAGTTCAGGCAGAGAATGAGTAAGCAAAACCACAGATATGCAATTGCTTGCAAAATATGAATAGCAAGGAAAAACTAATCCTGCTGTGTATGTCAGCTACTTTCAAATACTCTTATCTCAGTCTGAATGATAAACCACCAAGGTTAGTATAAACATTCTCCTTTACAGGTGAAGACACTGAGGATCTACATAGATAGTGGGCCAGATTTAAAATTTCCCCATGAGTCAGATGTACAGAAATGTAACTTTATTTCTTCATATCTGAACTCAAATTTCTCTTGAGCCCTGATTTCTGGTGATGACTGAAAACACTGAAGACTTCCAGTGACAATAGTCTGGCCACTTCTAGTTTAAAACCTAGTCTCTTTTGTAAAACTATTTAATAAAATGTAAGACTCTTTCCCCCCACTTCCTTTCTGTTGATCTGATGAGTCCTGTTGTGCAAATGTTCCTATTGGTCCTCTTTGGCTTCCCCAGGGTGCCTTCTCAGATATCTTTGGGTATAGCCCTCCACCTTTGCGTTCATTGCTAAAATGTGCCCAGTTGGTTGTAAATCTCACCTCATTTCCTGGCAGAGCAATACATTGTGGCCTTGTGCTTCCTTGTCCCCACCAGGCCTCTCACTGGGGCTTCTGGTCTCCCTAGACTCAGCCACATCTTCCATCTCCTCCTCCTTTGGGATCTCCCATCCACAGCCTTGTATTGAGATACTCCTCTTCCCGATATCCTGACAAACATGCAATTCTTGATTATCAAGAGTTGTTAGAACATTTCTAAGTTTCCTTGTGCTAACATCAGAGCCCAAGAAGTGTGCGGGGATAAAGAGTGTTTCAAGAATTCAGTTCCAAGAGGTACTATGAAGCAAATTACATTTTCCATTGAGGTTGCTGCCAAAGTAAGTCAAAGAACGGTAAAACACAGCAGCTTCCAAAGTGCCTTGCTCAAAAAAAAAAAGTCGTTCAAACATTCAGAATTATCATCAGATACTGTAATGTATATCAGTTGTGTAGTTTCTGAAATTTTAACCACATACACAAAAAGAAAATCTTCATTAATTCAGGAAAATAAAAAAATAAAACTAAGGCACTGTTACATATATTCGGTCACCTAATACAAATATATTACATCTTTAAGCACTTTTAATAAATACGTAATTTTATTTTTTCTAGTTAGTGTGCATGTATAAAGGTTGCTCACCACCTACTTAGGAGGTTATTGCAATAACCTGAACGCCTAGCCTAGAATGATTACAGGAAAAGTGGAAAAGAAGAAATTACTCTGATAAGTATAGATTGCTGTAAGAAGCGCTGGACTTTTTTTTTTTTTTTTTTTTTGAGATGGATTCTCACACTGTCACCCGAGCTGGAGTGCAATGGCACAGTCTCAGCTCACTGCAACCTCTGCTTCACAGGTTCAAGCGATTCTCCTGCCTCAGCCTCCCGAGTAGCTGGGATTACAGGTGCCCACCACCATGCCTGGCTAATTATTTGTATTTTTAGTTGAGACGGGGTTTCACTATGTTGGCCAGGCTGGTCTCGAACTCTTGACGTCATGATCCGCCCACCTCAGCCTCCCAAAGTGCTGGGATTACAGGCGTGAGCCACTGTGCCCGGCAGCGATGGGCTTTAAATGTTGAGGGGAAAAAATGTGCAATAGGTCACTAGTCAAGTTTTTAACATGTTTATTTAACTACAGGTATAGCATGAAGATGAACTTCAAATATTATGGGAAATTAAATATTCTGTGTTGGTCTACTCTTTTAAATTTCAGAGTACCTCTTCTTAACTAAAGAGAAATGTCTTAAACCTCTTTACACTTTACATCCATTTTATGTATTTAGATTCTTCTCCAGTATTTCATTTTATTTATTTCATTTTGTTTTATTTTATATTTTATTTTATTTTATTTTATTTGAGACAGAGTCTTGCTCTGTTGCCTAGACTAGAATGCAGTGGTGCGATCTTGGCTCACTGCAACCTCTGCCTCCTGGGTTTAAGTGATTCTTGTACCTCAGCCTCTTGAGTAGCTGGGATTACAGGCAAGCTTTACCCTGCCCAGCTAAATTTTTTGCAGTTTTAGTAGAGAAAGGTTTTGACTGTGTTGATCAGGCTGGTCTCCAACTCCTAGCCTCAAGTGACCTGCCCTCAGCCTCCCAAAGTGTTGGGATTACAGGCATGAACCACCACTCCCCGTCTCCAAAATTTGTTTCCAGATAACTTTGGACTGTAGATGACATTTTGCACACACTTTAAGATGTGCCCTACAACTTGTATGAAAGAAACTGTAAGCACTGATGCAATGGTACTTGCATAGAACTTGGGTTTAGTTATCAAGAGCCTGTATAAGCTCAAATTTGTGTGATGTCTTAGATGTGTTCTTATAGTTTTTTAAACGGTAATGAGAAGATTTGAGGAAATGTATATTGTTTGAGATTATGAGGGAGTAGGGAACATAGTATTTGTTAGCTCCCCATCATTGCTTTTGGACCTATTTCATTTAAGTTTTGAAACTTGATCAACCCCAACAAGCATCCTATATCCCTACTCAGCCATGGGCAGTGTGTATTTCATTTTCAAAGTCACAGAGCATGAGAGAGACAAATAGCAGTATTTGCACTGTGCTGTGTGTCATCAGGCCTTTCTCGATCATTATGGTGATGTCTTTCCTCCCTAAATAATTTTTACAAATATACTGATGAAGACAGATTTCTGTTATCTATCTTCAATGGGTCATAAGTTGAACAAGCACTATATTTTTTCCTGAAAATATGCACAGTTGTGACATGGTGTTTAATAGTCTTAAGCTTACTGCTGCCAAAATAAACACAGCTGTAAGAAATGATGACCCTCTCATCTTTGTAACAATAAAATAGCTTCCTAATGTGCTTCCCTAACTCTGAATGTTAAGTTAATATCCCCTGGATTTCTGAGCCCTATCCTTTCCCCTGGCGGAAACCCCATGAAGAATACAGCTTTTGACCAAATAACAGAGCATAGAGGATGAAATTAGTTGCTTTAAATTAGAATATGACAAAAAGCTTTTCTAAATCTTTGTCAAAATGCAACATTCAAGCAACATTAAACCAAACAGAGTATAAGTAGACCAAGGAAGAGAGTTAATATTTTGAAAAGAAATTTGGTGAACTAGATCACTTGCAAATTTGAAAGGGTCATTGATAGCATGTGAGCTGTGGCAGTTTGTAACTTGGGGATCCTACTCTACAGTTACATGCGTGGTCTCCTCTTGTTCAATCTTTGGATATGGAATTAACTGTATTAATGGTTTTTTTGGTTTTCTTATATTTCTCATAAAAGCAAGTCTCCATTGCTAAAGCCTGCATTCAAGAAAATAATGGGAGAAAGTATAATGAGTAAGATTCCCATCTCTATGCAGTGTTTCTTGTTTTCCTATTTCTAAGTATGTGCATTTAAACAACAGTATACATTTTGTAAATTAGCATTAAGATAAATTGTCTTCTAAAAAGAGAAAGCAAAATCTTTCCTTTATTTCTATCATAACTTGGATTTATTTTGACATTCTTTCCCCTGAAAGATCTGAGTTTTATTTTCAAAGTGAAATTCTACCATGTTGGATTGTGGGAAAATAAAAGCCTCTGATATGGTTAATCTAGCTACATAAAAGTCCATGCTGGGTATGATCATAATCTTGATCTTTGATTAAATCTGAGCTAGTAATATCTTGTGATTAATCAAAATGAGTTGCACTGCATGTAGCACAAGTCGTCTTCACAGATGGGCTTTCAGAATCAGAGTTCTTTTAAATATCTGTTTTAATCCTTTCTAGGATAAAATGGCTTTGTTTTCTGTTTTTGTTTCTTTTTACCTTTTTTACTTTAAATCAGATTGAGTTCACCAAATAAATAACTAGGAAGACATTTTGAAGTATAATCTTGCTAAGATTACAAATCAACAAAGAAAAAACTTGTTTTTTAACTGATAGTATTCCAAAGGATTTTTTGTATGTTAAAAAATGCAAATTATTAGTAAAATTTAACAAATCGTCTCAATCATTGGTAGCTTGAATAAAAAACTTTATGAAAGACTAAATCAAAATAATACCTCAAATACATAATATGGAGATTTTTATAGTTCTCAATTTAAGATTATTATTTCTCTTCTGATTATGTATTTCCAGTCTAATTGACATCTGATAACAAAGAGCTTTACTCTGGCAGCTAAACTTTCCAACTTCTAAAACCCAGGGCACAGCAAGAGCCCTCAGGTTCACACACACAATGTCTGTCAGCTCTGGCAGTGAGCTGCTTTGGTGGTTTTTTTTCCCTAGGTCCACAGGTTAACTGACTAATGTTTCTAAAGGGGCCAGAGAGCAGCTGTGGGACTCCAAGTCTTGCATCCTGGTACACAGCTTGTCCTTACATAGTTTCATGACTTTAAGGAAACTTGTTGATCTCTTAGGCCTTGAGAACTCTTACCTATAAAAATGAGAAATTGCATGAAAGTCTCCAAGGTGCCATCTAGTTCTAAACTCGGTGATAAATCAATTCAGTGAAAAATTTCACAACAAATACTTGAATATGACTTGCATATCCTAAAGAACACATCTCCATTTACTATGTTAAGTAGACTTAAGTGGCTTAAAAAACTTCAAATCCCATAATGCATCATCCCTCTATACCTTTATTATATAAGAATATAATCGAAGGTTTTTTAAGATTTAAAAAAAAAAGAAAGAAAGAAACCCTCATAGCCTTTATTTGTGGAAAGACCTAAATGCCTATACATGAGTTGGAATTTAAAATGAGGTGGGGTTAGTTTGACTGAGTCTACACATATAAAAACACTGTGCTGTATAGAAAACAAAATAATCAGTAATTGACATTGTTTAGGTGATTTCTGACAAGCAGTTTGACTAGAACTCAGATTTGGCCTGTTCCACTGCACATCACCAAGCACATAGCAGATAACATAAATATTAGTCAAAACTAAGTTTAGGTCTCATTGATGAAACTGATCAAGCAGCATTTATAACATGACTTGTGAAAGACCAATAAAATCAGGCAGCTGATCATTTGTTTTTTATCGATATTATAACTAACAATTTCATAGAGTAAATTATATCAAACAGTTGATTTAGTTTCCCGGAGATCTCCTTAGTCACAGGTACCTACCTATGATGACGGGAAACAGAATAGGAAATAAATAAAACAGATTGTAACTTAACTATCAGGCAGTCATCCAGGCCTTGCAAGACACAATTCCTTCAAAAAATTGCTCACCAGGATGCAAAGGCGTACGAATGATATAATAGGCTGGGCGCGGTGGCTCACGCCTGTAATGCCAGCACTTCGGGAGGCCGAGTTGGGCAGATCAAGAGGTCAGGAGATCAAGGCCATCCTGGCTAACACGGTGAAACCCCCTCTCTACTAAAAATACAAAAAATTAGCCGGGTGTGGTGGCAGGCGCCTGTAGTCCCAGCTACTTGGGAGGCTGAGGCGGGAGAATGGCGTGAACCCGGGAGGCGCAGCTTGCAGTGAGCCGAGATCGCACCAGTGCACTCCAGCCTGGGTGACAGAGCGAGACTCCGTCTCAAAAAAAAAAAAAAAAAAAAAAAAAAAAAAAAAAAAAAAAGAATGATATAATGGACTTTGGGGACTCAGTGGGGGTACCCAGGGGGAAGGGTGGGATGGGATGAGGGATAAAAGACTACATATTGGGTACAGTTACATTGCTCGGGTGATGGGTAAACCAAAATCTCAGAAATCACAACTAAAGAACTTATCCATGTAACGAAAAACCACCTGATCCCCAAAAACTGTTGAAATAAAGTTGCTCACCAGAAGTTATGCATTTATCCATACATACTGGAGAAGCTCAGTAAACTCATGTCTATGATTATATAAGAATCACTGAGTAAGAGAATAGAAAGAAGCAGTGCAATCCATGCAGTCACCTTCTAGATTCAGTAAATAAACCACCTGTATTCGAATAAGAATGATTTGATTTTTCTTTTGTTCTTTTATCTTTTTTTTTTTCCTTGTAGGAGACCCGGTGAGCCTCCATTGATAAAAGGTTGGCTTCCTTATCTTGGAGTGGTCCTGAACTTACGAAAAGACCCCTTAAGGTTCATGAAAACACTTCAAAAGCAACATGGTGACACTTTCACAGTTCTTCTTGGTGGTAAGAAGCACTTCTATTAATACCTTATATATGTCATCATTTTTCACTTGTTCTTTAATGTCTTTCTGTTTTTCTCTAGGCAAAATGTAGAATATTTGTATATTTTTATTTTATTTTGTAGAGCTAATGTGAAAGAAAACTATTATTTTTAGTTCAGTGATCCTCACATTAAAAATCAAATTATAGAACTCTCTTCATGGTACTTAGGGAACCCTTCTTTCCAGCCATCACCTGTCATTTTGGTTTGGTTTAGTTTGGTTTTAAGAATGGTAGAAAAAAAAATATATATATATAACTATACAAAAGCTAGAATGTATTTTTTAAATTAATGCTCTTTATTTGTAGAGGAGTTTTAGGTTTACAGAAAATTTAGTAGTTCAGAGAGTTCCCATATACCCCCTCCCCCCAATCACAGTTTCCCTGATTGTATCTATGTAGTATATTTGTTACAACTGATGAACCAATATTGATCAATCATTAAAAATCCATGATTTACATTACAGTGTACTCTTTGTATTGTGTAGTTCGTTGGGTTTTCACAAATGTATAATGACATGTATCCACCATCACAGTATCATATGGAGTAGCTGTACTCTTCTAAAAATTTCCTGTGCTCCACCTATTCATTCTTCTTCCCCTGCCTCTGAGTCTCCAGCAACCACTGGTCAAGAATGTATTTTTCATTTTAAAACTTTCATTGCACTTCAGACTTTAATAAAGTACCAAAACACCAAGAAAAATGAAGAAAAAAACAGCAGAATTGCTACACACCCCAAACATTCTAGGACTGGGAGGAGAAGCTAGACTGTTACTAGTTCACAACATTTTTTAAGACCCAAACTATGTAGCTGTATCAGCTATTGATTGCTGAGTAACAAATCCCCAAAAAGTTTAATGGTTTAAAATAACAACTGGTCTGGCCTGAGTCACTTGTGTGGCTTTTCTGGACTCTGGATGGGAACTGGATGATCCGAGATGGTCTCATCACATACCTGGGTGGGCTGCCTTTCCACACGGTCTTTCATCCTCAAGAAAAGTTTCTTACATGGCAGTTAGTGTCTCAAGGGAGTGAGAGAAAAAGCTTCAAGGTCTCTTGAGGCCTAGGCTCAGATATTGCAAAACCTTACTTCCACCACATCCTATTAGTTAGACCAAGTCACAGTGCAGTCCAGAATCAAGGGCAGGGAAAGAGACTCCACCTCTTCCTGGAAGGAGTAGCAGAGTCACATTGCATGGGGGCACATGTAGAGAGATGGAAGGAATACATCATAGCTATCTTTGTATACAATCTTCAACATCAGTTTATGGCCTGGGCTAGCTATTCCCTCTCTTTGCTTTTGCATGTCCTGTCTGTGCTCTGTAAGCTGATCTCTACACACTAGATTACCCACACTCCTTTGCTTGTTGAGTGTTGCCAGTGGCAGGAAAAGAAGAGGCTGAGTCTCACTCCCCACTCTCACTGGGGCTCTGGTAACACAGTTCACTCTCCTTCCTTCACAAGGTAACTGAAGATCCAGTATAATCTCCCTTAGATCCCCATGTATCTACCAAATGTACCTACGTTTCTCAATGATTTACCATGTTTTCTCCAATTTCAAAGAATGTTCAAGACACTCCATCTCCCTGTCCCCATGACCCTTTCTTCTTGCCGCCTCTGGACTGGTACATCTAGATTCATTCCTCTCACACATGCATCTTCATTTTTTTCTTTCTTGGGCTCTTACCATCACTTATAACCATGCTTAAGGTTCCCCTCTAGTTACTTTCCACTTTTCTTCTTTTCTTTTGCATTCAGCTCTTTCAAGAGAGTTGCATATATTTGCTATCTCTAGTTGCATATCTCCCAGAGCCCTCCTAACTATAACCAGACTTCAGCCTTGCTGAAGTTATTCCCTGGTCCACCTACCTAGACCTCTCTACCTGGTTTGACAATGCTGATCTCTTGTTCCTTCCTGAAATACTCTGCTACTCCTTTACTCTCTATACTCCCCCTTCTAGTTCTTTATCTAAATCATCTACATGCATGCCTTTTTCTTAGCTCAACCCTTACATCTTCCTTCAACCAGCCTTGGAAGTTTATGTTCTATTCTTAGAGAGCCAGTAATTTTTTTCTGCCTGTAACTACTTTGCTGAGGGTCAGAGGCAACCTTTGGAAACTACAGTGACTTAATTTCAATGCTTTATTATGCAAATAATGCATTTTATGCAGTATTATGCAAATAATGCATTTTATGCAGTATTATGCAAATAATGCATTTTATGCATTATTATTCAAATAATGTATTTTAATGCAGTATTTGGGAGAAATGATCCAACTGGAGGAAATTATCAGCATGATTGAGTTCTCCCATGGACAGACAGTATCAGTTTCATCACAACTTACTCCTTTGCCTGGAAGCTGGCCAGTCTGAGGCGGGTGGATCACGAGGTAGGAATTCGAGACCATCCTGGCCAGCATGGTGAAACCTCATCTCTACTAAAAAAAAAAAAAATACAAAAATTAGCTGGGCATGGTGGCATGTGCCTGTAGTCCCAGCTACTTGGGAGGCTGAGGCCAGAGAATCGCTTGAACCCGGGAGGCGGAGGTTGCAGTGAGCCGAGATCGTACCACTGCACTCCAGCCTGTTGACAGAACGAGACTCCATCTAAAAAAAAAAAAAAAAAAAAATTGTATGCATTCTGATTTCAGAAAAATTGAAATGGAAAAAAATCATGCATCTTAGAGGAATTATATTATATACAGTAGTCCTCATGAGGCTCCCCAAGATCAGGTCTCCACCAGCCTTTCCAGCTCAGTCTCTTGCTGCTGCTCGCCTTGTGCTTCACACACCATGAATGCACCATGTTGTTTGAAATTTCCTCCTCACACGCCATACCTGGTGGGGCCTCTGGGTTTTCTTTATCTTGCTGTTCTTTCTGCCAGAATGTTATTGTTTACCTGACTGACATGGACTCAACTTTTGAGGCCAGAGTCACACATTGCTTCCTCTCAAGAGCCTTTGCTGACTCCTCCTATATTTGGTGCCTCTTCTCCAGGGTCGAGTTACTCCCAGTATCACTTCTGTAGGAGCATTTAATACATTGTGAAGTTATTACCAACTGACTTATCTGTCTCCCTTCATTATTCTGTTAGCTTCTCTATTGTCAACATTTAGTCTAGAGCTCAGAACTGATTCTCAACGAATATTGGATGGGGAAGCCCCTAATTTCTTAGAGCTGATGAAACACTGGAATACTGTACAGATAAAAGCCTGAGCTGGTGCTTCTCCTCTAAGTGAGCCTTGGGCTTTATGGTACCAAAACTATATTGTTCACTTAAAAAGAGTCATTCTTACTTTAAATAATTAACACTGGTGTTTCTAATGAATAGATAGAACAAGTGATTGAAATGTTCAGTTTTTCTTTTTTTAATACCAATGTACAAAAATAACCTAAGATGATTATGCAGAAAGTTGTGGCAGATTTGAATCACTTTATTCACTTTTCAAAAAAATAGCCAATTTCTGCTGATGCTTGATTTCTTAATCTTAGGTACCAAGAAGCTTGCTGAATTTCTAACATCTGAATAATTTGACCATGGTTATGTTTGAACTCAACAGTAGACAACCAGTTAAATGTGCACGATACCTCCCTTTTGCTTCTTACTAGAATTTGAATAAATTCCTGTCAAGAAATCCTGTTAATGTATATGGTTCTAGTGATCAGTTTGCAAAGTAGCTCATTTAGAAAATGTGAAATGAAGAACAAAGTCTTCCGCTCTTGTCTCATAATGTGATTTCACTGAGTATATGTTCTTGCATGATGAGCAAATGATTGTCATCCCCAAAAGTCTCAAGGGACACGGATGTCATCTTAATAAAGAAATTAAAAAGTACATCTTTTCATGAGAAACCATGTAAATTCTTGACCTGTCGCAGAAAATAGTTCTCTAATTGGTTTTGTGTGGTGGTGCAGTGGAATCGTTTTCCCTAGATGTCACCCCAGCAAAGCACCACTGTACATCATTGTCAGCAGCTAGTGAAATCTTCCTAATAAGCGGGGGGATATGTACATGTGGCCATCCTCATAAAGTACAAAGTTGACTCATATTTCACTCTTCCAACCGATATTTTCAGCTTGAGATTAAAAACTTCTATTGTAAAACAACCTAAACACAGAGATGAAAAGCTTCTAATTATGAAAATTGTTAAAATTCAAATTTGTCTCTTCTTTTTTTAGAGATAGGTTCTCCTTTTGTCACCCAGGCTGGAGTGCAGTAGCATAATCATAATTCACTGCAACCTTAAATTCCTGAGTTCAAGTGATCATCCCACCTTGGCTTCCTGAGTAGCTGGGACCACAGGTGTGTGCCACCACACCTGGCTAATTTTTTTTAAGGTTTTTTGCAGAGGTGGGGTCTCCCTATGTTGCCCAGGTTGGTCTTGAACTCCTGGCCTCAAATGATCCTCTGGCCTTGGTTATATTTTTTTTACAGGACATTTCTATGCCAAGCAGCCAATTCTCATGGATATATGTATATATATCTATATCTTTGTATAGCACCAAATATATAAAATGAAAACACCAAAATTCAATTTATAATGACCCAGATGTCAAAACTTTTTGTTTGACATTAGGGTGAATGACTGAATTTTTAAAATACATTTACCAACATACTTTGAATTATGTAGCTTTACCTTCCTAAAGAATTAATTTTAACGGAAGTGGAAAGGCTACTGAGGTGGTAAAGTCTCTTATGCAGCTTATACAGGAATGCTACAGTTAATATTGTAAGGCCAGTTAGCTCCTAAAAAGGGAAGAGAATGAAATGATTGGCAAGGAAGATATCAAAAATTTGGAGCTGACTTCAAATTTACTGCATCTAAGAATGATTTATATTGTATTTTTCTTGCAGATATCAGCCCCACTTTGACATTTATATTTTAGACAAATGCAGACTTTGAAATTCTTTAAATCAATATTTCATATCAACTGCTGACAGCATTCTCTTCTCTTTGGAAAACATGGCAAAGGGTATTGTTTTTACCTTGTGATCTTTGTAAACTAGGTAACATGCCTGCTGACACTGGCCATTCATTTACATAAAATCACCCTGGAGCAAAAGTTAATGTTGCTGCAAGAATACACGGCCTTCAGAATACCTTTTCAGAAGATTTCCTTTGTTAAGAAATTTAAATTCATTTTATGAATGTATATGAGTTTTCCTAACTGTCTGATTAAAGATCACAAAGAAACTCTGGTTTTGCATCTCACATTAGCAGATGGTGGACAGATGGTTTAAATTAATATTAATTTTGGAAAACTTAGCTTAAATTGTTTATACTGAAGATTAAAAGTTGGAAAGCCAGCTAACATCTCCAGGGTTATTAGTACTTCCAAACCCACATGAAAAGTAAAATCCGGAAAATCAAAACATCTTCTTCTGAACCAATTCACATCTCAATAAAAAAGATAGTAGGTAAAACACAATGCCTTGATATTGAAGGACACTGAAATAAGAATGAGAAAGAGAAAATACAGATCCTAGACTGAAAAGAGCCTTGAAAGGAGTGAGATTAGATCTACAAACAAATGAAGTTAACAGTACTGATTTTTATAAAGAACTGATATACAAACAACTGCTTATATTTTTAAAAACAATTTATTAGTAATTGGTTGCTAACTTGAACCATTTTGTCCACATTCAACTTTTATTCCTTTTATTTGAAATTAACCTCATTGTTTTTTCCCATACCCTTATTCCCAAGAGGATGGGGATAGGAGAGAGGAGGAAATAGAGAGACAGAGGGAGAGAGGGAGAGAGAGAGAGAGAAAGAGAGAGAGAGAGAGAGAAAATGAATGTGTGTATTTGTAATGATTGTAGACAAAACAAAAATTGTAACATGTGTACAGCCTCTACTTCAGTAGGCCCAATAACAGGTAGCTCATGCTGTCATGTCTGAATATATTTTCTGTTTCCATTTAGATTTAGATGAATATAGAAAATTGTAGGAAAAAATTCAAAATATTCTCTAAATATTGTGTGTTTTACTAACTGAATCTTTTATACACTCTGGTAATATTAGGGAATAATTTAAAATAACCCCAAAGATATTTAGCAAAATCCTTTTATTTAGTGAAAGGAGAAAAGTATGAATCACCACCTGTGAAAATACACAACTTTGCCTAAAATTATATCTTTTGCAAAATAAGAAAATTGATTTTTTTCAATTATTTGACAGGCAGATGCTGGCAATTTTATTTAATTAAGCTGTGATGGTAAAGCAGGTGTCATAAAATATGCCTAAATTGGGTTGAATCCTTTTTGCTCTCCCCAGAGCACATACACACACACAAATTTAGTTTACCTTGTAGAAGACAGCTTTGGGATCTGACCAGAATGAATAGCCACTTCTAGCTTTACTGGCATCCTAGATCCACTCACATTATTGAATTAATCAAGGGGAAAATGAGTGAATAAAATTTAAGTCATCTGAGTCATTTTTAGAAAATAAATCATAGCACATGTATATTCATGTATATTAAAAACTTGTGTTTCAAAATTGTGAAACAAAAACATATTTATCTGTTTCTAGGATGAGGTTGAAAATTATTTCAAAACTTTATTTGAAATATCTTGCACCAAATTGAATTAAATTTCTATGATGCCGTTTGAGTTACCATAAATAACAAGTGAGAAGTTGTTCCGCTAACAGAGCAACACACACACACACAGACACACAGACACAAACAGGAATAATGACATGAAGACAATAAATAAGTAGATGTTAACGTTTTTAGGATCATCTAAAGTTTATGCCTGTTCTGTACAGGAAAGACATTAAATGTCATTATTTATTACTATCTGCTTAATATTTCTAATTAGAAGGAATCTTAAAACAGCACTCTAGTGAGAAGACAAAGAATAGTGCATGGTGAGTAACTTCTCATCAAGGGTCTACCACTGAAAATGGCAGCATGATCTTGACCCGTAACATCTCTTGACTTTCTTCAGCTTTATCAACTGATAAATGCAGATGGTAAACAAGCAATTCTCCAAGGTCTCTGCCAATTTTGAGAGACAGACTATAGTAGACTGTGTCCTTCAAGGTGCATCCTTATAAGAATCACTTGAGGACCTCATCGAAAAGGACACTGGTAGGACCCCCTCCAAGCCTTCTGAATCAAAATCTTGCAGGAATCTGTATTTTTCGCAAGCATCCCAAGTTTTTAAATTGATAAGTTTGGGCAACACTGATATGTTGAAAAGGTAAATGTCATCACCTCAAAGAGACCTTGGTGATAACTCCAGGCTGACTGAAGCAGACTCTACTTTCTGCTTTCCTTATGCTGTGTTTCACCCCTGCCGTATCACAATCCATAGGGATGCAATGATTTCTATACATAATTGTATCTCAAAAAGAAAGGGATCCAACCAAGTTTCCAGATCTTAATAAATGTGGTGAATGGTGAATGACTTCCTGAAGGAATGGATGAATGGATGTGTTCTAGTTTGGAATCCTGTGTCAGTCACAAGTCAATATGTGACCTTGAACATGTTATTAAATCTCCCACATCCATAAAAGTGAAAATGCTGGCATTAGTGGATTTTTGCCAGTGTTGAATTAGACATTTATTTGTGAGTACCTGCTCCATACAGTATGGTCATTTATTTGAGTTAAAATTGTTGTATTTGAACAAAACTCAGATGACACCTAAGCATGAAAAAGCTCTTTATGAAGTATAAATACTCAGAAATGGAATGGCATGTTGCCAATTTGTTTTCTGCTTTATTGAGGGAAATATATGAGAAGTATTTAAGTCAGGGGATTATGAGAATATTTAAAGGATATTTAAAGTGTTCAGGTACTTTAGTTAAAATAAAAATTGGAAGAGTAAACCATCTTTGCAAAGGTTAGTAAGAACTTCAGGATATTTAACTTCACGTTTCTAGAGTGTTTTCCACCATCTTTCAAAGGAAACATGTAGTGTACCTTCGAATGAAATGGATTTGTATTAAACTTTTTGCCTTAGTTATTAGGGTCTTTCTAATTTTGATTAACATATTTTTTAATTTGTGGTGTTTATTTCTGTTTTATTAACAAACGAACTCATATTTTCTCTCTCTTTTTTTTTTTCTAGGAAAGTACATAACATTTATCCTGGACCCCTTCCAGTACCAGCTAGTGATAAAAAATCATAAACAATTAAGCTTTCGAGTATTTTCTAATAAATTATTAGAGAAAGCATTTAGCATCAGTCAGTTGCAAAAAAATCATGACATGAATGATGAGCTTCACCTCTGCTATCAATTTTTGCAAGGCAAATCTTTGGACATACTCTTGGAAAGCATGATGCAGAATCTAAAACAAGTTTTTGAACCCCAGCTGTTAAAAACCACAAGTTGGGACACGGCAGAACTGTATCCATTCTGCAGCTCAATAATATTTGAGATCACATTTACAACTATATATGGAAAAGTTATTGTTTGTGACAACAACAAATTTATTAGTGAGCTAAGAGATGATTTTTTAAAATTTGATGACAAGTTTGCATATTTAGTATCCAACATACCCATTGAGCTTCTAGGAAATGTCAAGTCTATTAGAGAGAAAATTATAAAATGCTTCTCATCAGAAAAGTTAGCCAAGATGCAAGGATGGTCAGAAGTTTTTCAAAGCAGGCAAGATGTCCTGGAGAAATATTATGTGCACGAGGACCTTGAAATAGGAGGTAAGAACTTCTGAATGAGCACTTGCCTAAAATAAAATCATTTACAATAGACCTCTGAAATAAAAAGACAAAATGGCGACCTTGAAAATTTTTTATGCTCTTTCTAATTGGCTAATGATAAAATGTTTTACTCTGATATAACCCTCTATAATTGATATTTTTTTTTTTTTTGCTGAGGTGGTAAAACAAGATACTTAATGGTGATAATGAGAAAGAGTATAACTAAGCTGCATTTACTCCTCTTATCTCATCCCCCACCACACCGCCCCCCCCATACACATTACATTTTAAACTATTCTCATTAAGCAGAAAATTAGACTTCAGAAGCCTATTGGTTCTCATTAGCATGCACTGATCCTTGGCTGGGTCTGTGTCCTAACATCTTTTAATTAGCACACTGCAAATCTAATCAGTGTAATAAACGCTATTAATCTTCCTTTTCACTTATTTTCTCCCAGCACATCATTTAGGCTTTCTCTGGGCCTCTGTGGCAAACACTATTCCAACTATGTTCTGGGCAATGTATTATCTTCTGCGGCACCCAGAAGCTATGGCAGCAGTGCGTGACGAAATTGACCGTTTGCTGCAGTCAACAGGTCAAAAGAAAGGGTCTGGATTTCCCATCCACCTCACCAGAGAACAATTGGACAGCCTAATCTGCCTAGGTAATTTATTTTTATCTGTTATGAAGAAAAGAAGGTACCTCTCTGCAAACTCGGTTTATCACTCATAGCTGTTTACCAAGAGGTAGAGGACACAGCTGCCTAATTGACATAATAACACCCATTTACATCAATTATAAATTATGTAGTTTATAGCCGTAGATACTCTCATTGCATGTAAACATTAAGGCCTAGGTAATTAACTGTGCAAGGTATGCAAAAGGCTAAACCAAAGCTTTACAATTATTTGAAAAAAAGTTTATGCCTATTAAATCATTTGATTCTGAGCATCTGTTGATGTGCTAATGCTTTCCAACACTGCTGCACCATCTTGTCAAGAAGTATTTAGGGATTGAAAAGGAAAGTATTGCAAAAAAGGCACCCTGTGTGCAAATTGTATTTCTTCCCTAAAATGATGTCTATATTTTCAAACACAGGTTAGACGTTTTATGGAGTGTGTGATTCTCAAAAACACAGAAAACAGTTTTCCATTGGAAGTTCGTGATTTAAACCCACAAAAAAGGAAAAGAGGGAAAAAATAGAAAAGAAGAAACGGAGGAGGGACAGAGGGAAGGAAGGAAGAGAGAAAGGGAGAAAAAGAAAAGGAAAAGCAACAACTACAAACTATTCCTGTGAAACATTGATATTTTATAAAATACTCACCGACTCATGAGATATACATGGTCACTATTTCAAGTATGTTTGAGGTTGGTAGTGACTAAGGTTTTTTTCTATTTCTACATAGGTCTGTACCTCAATGACTGGAGCTTTTAATCGCAGCAGATTTCGTTTAATTAGCACGCTGCAAATTAAAGATTTCGTTCCCCTTTACTACTTTGAGAAGGCTGTTCACTACCATTCCCTGACTGAACTTCTACTGCCAAAGTTAAATTCCATACCAATGAGTTATTCTCTATTCTCTCTGTATTGACATTTCATCCTGCGGTATCCTTTAGGGTACAATATTCCAAGTTTCTTTAGACAAACGCAGGAACAAATGTTCACATATTTCTGTTTCTTTATTCCTTTGACAATGTAGGCGAGCATTTTAGCCTATGTTGGTCTCAATTTTTTATCTTTTAAATATGTTCCAGGTTCTTTAATGGGACCTTTCAGGAGCAAAAGTCCTCCCAGGTTTGGTCAATGTTCACCCTCAGTGGCCATTGAGGAAAATGCCCCAAGTGTTCTAGAGATTGTTCTCACTTCTCAGGCTAAGGCCCATTGAGACAATGCCAGAAAGCATGCCTTATACTAGCAGTCAATTTGGAAGTTTGTAGTTTGTGTCTTTAGCATAGGTTATCAAATAAATTTTATATTTTCTTTTAAAAAAATCTCAACATTACTAAAATACAAATATTCTTTTATTTTTCTTTGCAGAATTATTGGGGAACAAATTCAGAAAATTTGTGTAAAATTTTGGGTAGTTGCTCCACTTGGATACACAGTATTTTCTGGCATATTTGTAATTTCTATGAAGATCTAGGTTGCATTTCCCATACATTCAAGCAGTTTCCATTGCATTTTATGAATAAGATGACGCATACTGGGAAGTAAGGCAAATACACTAAAAGGAATATGTGTTTGTATTCTGTATAGTTATTACTCTTAAAAAATGTAGTTGTAATTCATCCACTCTTTTTACTTTCAACTTTTTGCTATTAAAAAATCATTTTTAAATTTCAGTATTAAAGCAGAAACATTTAAATTTATTAGACCAGAAAAAATGGCAGATTCTAGAACTATAATTTGAATCCATTTAAGCCCATAGCTAGAGCTAGAGATTTTCACTGTTGGATCCCTCATAAATTGACAAGTCTCCTATCATTGACAAATGAATAAAAACAATAAAAATCCCAAGCAAGTTTAGATCCACCTGGATAAAGGCAGTACCTTCAGCAGCCTGGATGGTTCATCACGACCTTGGTTACCAGCAGAGGCCAGTGTTGTTCATTACGAGAATTTAAAATGATGGGGCTGTTTGTGATCTAGAAAATAGTGTGTATTTTTTTCTTTCAAAAGATAGAAGGTTTTATGCAGATCAGAGCAAACTTATATGTGAATTAGTTACACAACAAATAACCTCTGCACATAGTCATAGCTCAGTTGTATTTCTCTATATCAAGAGAGCATGAAGTATATGTACAAAGGCAAGACTTACACAGTTAAATATTTACCATGTGCCACGTGGTATGTGTGTATGTGCTTATCCTTCTTGTCTTCTTAAGGAAAGAGTTCTATGTATTTTAAATGCAATGTCTTAAAAAAAAGTTTAAACTTTTATCATTATAAGAGGAAAAAAGATTACAATGATAAAATGATTGCTGTACTTTTTACCAGGAAGGAGGATTTGGGCACTATTACAGTAAAGAGAAAAGAGGTTCTTCTTTTTACAGAAATTTTGCATGTCAGCACACTTTGATTATAAAGCAGGGTGAGAAGAAACGTTAGACTGCCAAAGTCTGTTTAAGTAATTTAAAGCAATCATCTGCTGTAAGAGGTTATGATAGATTTGTCCTTTTTTCAATGCTTTTGAGAATCTCTCTTTAAAACTATTCTACTCTTATTTTAGGCAAAGAAAACACAACTATATATTTTATATATTTACGTATCTTGTTAAGATTCTGCTTATGACCTCAGTAAAACATTTTATCTATTAATAATTAGTTAAGATCTCTATAATTACATTTAACTGAAAATTTAAAATAAGTAGATATAAGGTTTCAGTAACTGTTACTTGGGGCTTAAATCTCAATAGGAAAAAAATTGCTGATAGAATGGAAGTTTGAGAAACTCTGAGAGAAAAGTAAGAATTTTTCAGTTATCTCAGAAAAAAATCTGGGGTGGAGGTAGGATTTAGAACTGCGGGTTTAGATATAGGAAAAAGAAAAGTATAAAAGATAATTCAGAAAGACAAAGATAAGAAAAAAAGATAATGCAAGCAGTAAAAGCTCTCAAAATTGGAATTTTGATAGATCAATTGCAAATAAGCTTGATGAATACCACTTCTTAATGGTTTATTTGAATAATGGATAAATAACTTAGTATAATGGTACACGGTATAGGCTCAATAAATGTTATCTGTTGTTATCACCAAAATGACATTTAACCTCTGCAATGTCCCTATGTAGTTTATATTGTTTTCTTCATTTGCAATTATTTATGAACATCATGCTCAAGTCTACCTTACCTCACAGGAGCGCTCTTTCGATGACTCACCAGTGAAAAGAGCAAACATACTCTGGAAAGTCAAGGTAAATCAGAACTGCCACATGGCTCAGGTGAATTGTAGACACCTAATGTTGTTGAGTGACGTATCCTCAAATTGAGAAAAGTTGCAAACATGGTCCAGGTGAGGGATGTTAAAGTAAAGGGAGATGCCTTAAAACTGGAACTGGGCAAAATCTGTAATACTTTTTTAAAAAGAGAATATTAAAAATTATAACTCTAGAAGTATGAGCTTGCAGTGAGTCCACATCGAAATTTGATGAAAGATTTTGAAGCCGATTGTGAGTAGTTGGTGTGGGAGGAGAATACAGAAAGGAAAAAATTAAGGTCCTTTAATAACAAATAATAATGATAATTAGATGCAATCCATGTTAAATATATTAACGATTTCAATATTTCAAAGCAATCTTATAGACATTGTTTCATGTCATCAGCACCAGGATACTCTGGAGGACAGTGACAGCTATTATTTTGTCACTTTCACAGATGAGAAAATTCTCAGGGTGCTAAATACCCCGTCTAAGATCATGGAGGTGATTAAGAAGAAAGGCAGGTCTTTAACTCAGGTTTTCTGACCACGCCCATGCTTTTCCCCTCAGGCCTGTCTGATACCAGAGCCCTTGAGATCTTTTTTCATTATCCCAGCTGAGAGCGGAGAGGAATTCTTTGTATCTCAGTTCTACAAAGCCAGGCATGATGTGCATGTGGACAAGATCAGGCAACATGGGCCAGAGGATCATACAGTTGGCTGAATTTTTAGCTTCAGGATAAGATATTATGAATGATAATATTAATAATTATTATTTGAATATGTGCCTGCCACTGTGTTAAGTGTTTTATGTATATTAGGTTATTTGTCAAGTATTATTTTTATTCAATTATTGAATAATGAGGTTCAGAAATGTTGCTAAACTAATGCAAGTCATACAGCTAGATAGTGGCAGAACCAGAAGTTGATGCCAGATCTAACTTTAATGCCTACCCATAATGACTGTCGCCTCAGACAAAAATGCTCTAGAAATGGACTGGAGACCTTGACCAGTATTTTTTATAAGATATATATTACTGATTCTCAAATGCAGTTGGGTTTAAGGGTAAGGATAGAACTAGAGGTTCACATTAGAATCTTGTGGGTATTTTTTTAATAAAAATGAACTTTTTATTTTAGAATAGTTTTAGATTTATAGAAAAGTTACAAAGATAATAGAGAGCATTCCTATATATCCCCCACACAGTTTCCCTTATGAACGTTTTACGTTAGTGTGATATGTTTGTAAAGATTATGGGTGTTATTTTGAAAAAGCTCGTTCAAATATTATAAAATAATTGTGTATTCAAAAGCTTAAAAGATTACATAATTCAGACAGTAGTGAAGTTTTGCAACATCCTCTCTTCTAATGAGGATTTACAGAAGACATAACTTTATTTAGGAACTTCTAACTGGAGGAAGTGGGTGAAGCATCTTCCACAAAGAAGTACATCAGAAACTCAGGGATGTAAATAGTGAAAATTTTATATCTAATATAAGGAAACAGCAGTTAAAAAGTGAAAAATACTGATTTCGATGTTCATCGGATTTTCAACTCAGCACAAAGCTAAGGTGGTTAGATAATATAAGGAATGCTGGAAACAGAATCTGAAAGGATTGAAAAGCAACTTTAATTAAAATGCAAATTATTGTATTTAGATCTAAATATCAACTTTGTAAGAATAGGATGAGAAACATGTGACTCAGCAGAAAAGGGTTTGAAGCAATGGTTCTTAGCTTTGATTGCTCATTGGAACCACCTGGGAGGCTTTAAACACTTTGCATACCTTGCCCCACCCTTAGAGATTCTGATTGCATTGGTCTGGGGTGCAGACTGATGGCTTTAAAAAAAGCTCCCTAGGTGATTCTAATGTGCAGCCAAGATTCAAAGCCTCTAACTGAAAGGTTTTAGTTAATGCAGTGGTTCTGATTCCATTAGACTGGAATGGGGCATTTATTTTTTTAAGCAATCCCAGGTGATTCTAATGGCCATCCAGGGTTGCTGATAATCTCTGGCATATCAGAAAATTTAAAACAATAGTGATATTATTTCAAAAATCTGTTGCTCATCTGCTCCCAGGAAATAGTAATAGAAGCATGGTGTCTAGGGACATAAATTAATAATTCTGTACTTTTCCAACTAAAATAGTACACACCTAGTTGTGCCAAGTCTTAAGAGGCACATTGACTAATTGAATTCATCCAGCATGGCAAAGGCTAAACACCATATCATCTCTGATACACAATTAGAAAATGGCATGATAGTTGTCTTTACATACTTTGAAAGGGTTGTTATGTGGAAGAATGATTAGACTTTTTTGGCCTGTGTGTTTTATAAAGGGTGGAAATTAAAAGGAGGAAAATTTCACCTCAGTATGAAAAATGGCTTTCTACTAAAATGGGCTTTCTGAATGCTATCATTGGAGTTATCCAATTAGAAAATGTGTAGTATCAAATTGCCACAGGAGTAGATTTTAAGTTTTCTCACCACAAATAACTGATCAGTATGTGAGGTAATTGCATATGTTAATTATTGGACTTAACCATTCCAGAATGTGTGCGTATTTCCAAACAACAAGTTGTACACCATAAATATATCCAATTTTTATTTGTCAATTAAATAAATAAAAGCAACTGTGCAATATCTTCAGTAGGATCTTGGGAGCATTCCTGTTTATATGTATTTTCCAACTTTGAACTTCCTAGATTGCATTGTCCATGAAGGCCAAGTCCATGTGCTGTGTTCCTTTTTCACACCAGCAGCAGTGGCCCAGTGCTCCAAGCAGAGTAGGGCCTTAACAAACATTTATGGAATATATGAACGCCGAATTTACATGTCTGTATTTTAGCAGTGAACCAAAGACTGTGTCTGAGATGCAGAGTGAAGATAGGCATTTGTACCAATTCAGATTTATTTTTAACTTTACTTAAGATGTACAATTGTTGAGCCAAAGATTAATTATTTTGCCTCAAATTATATGATTATCACAATTTCTTATTTACCTTCTCAACTGCCTTGAAGACACTTATGTAGAAATGCACATACACATGCACACATCATGAGCTTCACTCCATTCCATGACACCTTCCAGAGCACACCACCTCCATACCCAACCCCTCTCCCCCTTTTATAACCACCACCACCTCCATACCCAACCCCTCTCCCCCTTTTATAACCACCTTCTCTTTAAGATCACCCAGTGTTCAGCCCCAGTGACTGCAGCAGGTTCTGGCTGTTCATTTCACTCTATCCATTGCTGCTATCCTCTGATCACCATGGCTAATCAAATGGCATGCCAGCCTGCACCAATCATTAAGATGACCCAAATTAACAGCCTGGCCATGTCACAGTACATTCATTCCACATATACAGACAGGGCCTAAGTGTGAGGCAGAAACCCAGATATGCTTATTTGTTTTTGTGTTGTAACATGCATTATTGATTGTCATAAGCTGCTTTAGTGCTGTAAATCTGCAAATGAGAATCATCCATCCTTTATTACAGCCAGAATTGAGAACTGAGAGCAAAAGAGAATATGTGCATGCCTTTTTTAACCATAATTTTTTATTTGTTATTTTTCTTCACAATTGTGTTGTAAAAGATTTTAGCTCAAGACATTCCCTGGCATTTCACTTAGAAGGGATACTTAATCAAAATAATTTTGTATCCTGAAAAGAGAAAGAAGTCTTCCCTAGCCAGGTGAAGAATGTAGTGCATGCTCTGAATTGTGAGATCATAGAGGGAATTTTGGAATCCAATTTCCTAGCATATACTGGTCAGTAAAGCTCAGTTCTTAACAACTCACAGGCAGCCTTATCTTAATCACAGTTGCAGTTGTTGGCAGCTTGCAGTGCCTGGTGTAAATTTTATCTCAAAATATTTGCATTCTTGATGGTCATTTTTCGACAATGCATTCTAATAATTAGAGTCCTATTACCTGCTAAATGTTAGTATAAATTAACAATCCATTATACACAATAAGTTTTATAAAACATTTACAGATAGAGATCATCTTTAATTAAAATTAACTTCCATATGAAAGCCAAGTGCATTAATGACTCACAATGACCTTTTATTACCTGCAGTCCCCTGTTTTGGCTGGATGATTGACAGCTTGCTGTTTGGCTACCATGTTGAATTTCAGCTGACAAGACTTTTCATTTTAACTCAATTTGCCCGCCTATCACAAGCTGGTGGCAGGCCAGACCCAAGTCACCCAGCTTTGCCTCAGCAGCTTGCTCTAGTTCTCATTAGTACGCATTTATTCAGTGGAAATTGGAAGACAAATGCTTGAAGGCATGTGAACTAAGTATAGCAAATTAGGTTTAAAGACTGAATATTTATAAGTATATGGAAAGTTTTTTTTTTTTTTTTTTAATTCTAGAGCGAATTGAGAACTGAGTGCTAGCTTTGGTATAAAAGAAATTAAGATAGAAGGGGGAAGATTCTAAGAATAACAATACTATAAGCTTTTTCTTTCCACTTTGGAAACATGTAAAATCTCTCTGACAACACCTTATCAAATAAAAACCTGGCTTCTCTTTCATGGAGTGCTTGCACAAAGAAGTTTAGCACCTCATGTGTGAGAAGGGGGAAAAAATGAGGGTCATGTTCATTTGTTGCTTGGTTATCCCTTGGTATGTTTTAAATTGCCTTGTTTGTTCGGCACTAGCACAGAAACAGATGTTGCTCTACCGTGCAGGATAATTTACTGTACCTCCTGGTGCAGCATGGAAGTCCTCCCAGGGCCCAGCTGGTCTGTCAGTGGCACTGGCTGGTGTCTGCTCAACTATGACAACTACAAGTAGAGGCTGCAATTTTTTTATTGTGCAGTTGTCATTCTTCTCAACGTATAGCTCTGCCTGCATTCGTACTGGGGCTGGTGGAAAAGCTGCTCGCTTTTGTGTCTGGATGTTATTCTGCAGAGCCACGTAAGCTCTACTCTCCATTGTTGATAATAACGCAACTCATTACTTTTGTCGTCTATTGATTATCGGCATGATGGCTCAGAGCGAGAGCCAACCTCATCTCGCACACATAACTGGTACTGGAAGGTAAAACAGATTTGTCACTTACTATCTGACCGCTAAGCCACACTTTGCGCTCCATTATTGTGATTAACTTCTACATAAGATATGCTTGCCCAATTGTCATTTGTGATACTGTGGTGGGCGCAAGCTGCCATGCTTCCCGAGAGCACATCAGCCAATCAGATTTGACCATGTTATTCGGACTGTTATATGCCTGCCCTGTCACAGCAGCCATCCCACAATTATTTTGCTTTTGTGTTTCTTCTTCCCACACCCCTACTGGACTTGTTGAGTGAATAGCATTGCTACATATGTCAGCTACCATTTCACACCACAAGCTAAAAGGATGCTGTGCTATTGTTGCTCCAACAGAGCCGGCAGCAGTACATGGGAGGCCGAGCCTTGCTTTTCACCACAGAAATGTTGGTCCTTGGTGTTCTGCCAGCTGAAATCCATCGTGTCAGGTGCCTCGTGGCTATCTGCAGTAGAGCCCATGTTCCAAAACCAAAGTTCTTTTCTGGCCTCATCACCAACAAACCGATTTGACTCTGCCTGATTATAATAACGAAGGCAGTCCAAGAGAATATGCACTGCCTCACTGTACGTCACATTGAATCACCACACTGGCCACACAAAGCTGACCGCAGCCTCATTTCTTTAGACAAATGCATGCTTAAGGAAAAACCTCCTGGGAGAAAGCACCCAAAGCTACTTGATAGCCTTATGCAGGCTGTGCATAGATTTAAATTTTACTGAAATAACATTTATTTTTATTTTTGGCTGATGCAAGCCCTCACGGATGGGCCTGCCTTTAATAATCTAATAATTGGGTACTCTGTGTTTCAGAGCTTTGCTGAACACTGAGAAACGGGGCTCTGTGTGTGTGTGTCTGTGTGATTTCTAAATTGCAAGTCATAAACACGACCATTTGTTATCATGTGAAGGGGGAGAAAACTCCATTTGGGGCTTTTTTTTCATATTGCTGATTAGAGAGAATCAAGCTTTATATTCTAGGACCCATTCACGCTGGTGGAAACATAGTCAGTTTTGATTATGAAGGGAGAGATGCAGACCTAGACAGGAGCTACACGCTGATATGCATGCTATCAGAATGATTTATGCAAATTATGCATATTATTCCCAAAGGAATTCCTCCTCAAACTGCCAGGATAAATTGCCGGAAATTAGCCATAAAATCTGTCGTGCTAGGAGTAAAAGGTGAAGGCCACTGGGAAAGGAAGGACATTAGGCTTCTGGAATCTTCCAGGATATGATGGTGCCTGTTATTTTCCCTGGATGCTGAGAAAAATGTGGTTTTCTTCTGAATCCTCTAAAAATATTTTCCTTTTGAAAATTTTCCAGCAAATGTTGACTCACATTTTATTTACAGCTAGCATAAAAGAAATTAAGTGTTAAGCTGTCTCAGAAAGCACTACTACAATTACTTTACTATTAACTGCCTAAGTGGTTATTAAATGGCTAAGTCTGGCTTTAAAGCATCAGAGTTCTAAAGGTTTGTGGAATGACTCACCAGCTGTGTATTTTAACTGGGATATGGTTTTAATTTCAAGCATATATACCCATAACACAACATTCCTCTCTAGCAGATCACCCTCTCCTACAAAATCTTAATGACTTTCTGCCCAGGTACAACACTGCTGCCTTCTACCTGTGAAATGCCCCCAAGCCTTGCTGGAGCCAGACCACCGCCCCTGCTCACATCCTGTGCACAGCCACCCTTGGCTCCCTCTTGGTGCTCAATGTATGTGATGAAGAAACAGTTTCCTTTTCAATCAAGGCTATTAGTAATGAGTTTTATTGCAAACTGAGAGCAGTTTTCAGGACCAGCCCTATCTTAATAAGCTATCGTTTGTTTTTTTCCTTCAGAAAGCAGCATTTTTGAAGCTTTACGACTGTCCTCATATTCAACCACCATTCGTTTTGTTGAGGAGGATTTGACTCTCAGTTCAGAGACCGGGGACTACTGTGTGCGAAAGGGAGACTTGGTAGCCATCTTTCCTCCAGTCCTACATGGTGACCCTGAAATCTTTGAAGCTCCAGAGGTAAGTAAACATCAAGCCTATGATTGCTACTTCTTAGATCCTGTGGGCACATTCCTCTTCCATCCCTATCTCTTCCTCTTGCCACTTTGGTCCAGAAGGGGTTTGAGGCAGCTTGATGGCTTCTATTATTCCTCCTAATAAGAAAGCTTTCCTCTTTACTGAAGTGTTCCCTAAGGATATCTTTGAAAGGTTCCATGATCTATAAAGAGAAATACAGTGATGAGACTAAATGCTAGTTGCTTCAAATGAAGTGGACATTGCGCCTTGGCCACTATTACGTTTTGGCCAAAATTACATTTTGCTTGGTGGAGAATTATTGAAAACCATGGAGGGCTAGCTATTGACAGGTGGCTTAGAGAATAAATGATGATAACTATTTTGCTAAGTGTTTCCAAAGTGAGGTTGACTGTTCCAAAGTCAAATAGTATCATTGCTGTAGTTAAGCCCATATACTTTTCCACCTCTTATGAAAGGTATGTGCCCCTTCTTGATCAATTAGTATGGCATTATGAACTTGAGATTGTAAAGCTGCTGCTCACGGGTGAAGCTCTGAGGGTAATTGTGTCATCTCCCTGTGTTTTTTTCTGAAGCTGGAGTTAATGAATATCAAAGACTGGAAATTAATCCACCCTGGTTCATCCCTTAATACCGCTTCAGAGATTCACCACCTGCATGCAAATTGAATGCAGTCCTATTCTGCCTGTGTTTCTTAGGAAGTAATGTTGCTGCAGTAGTTTTTGTGTGTAAAATGCCTTTTTTCAAAGGGAAACTTTGCTGCTCTTTTTTAGCAGTTCATAGCTGGACCACCTCTAAATCTAATTGCTAAGATAGATGTTTTGCATCCAGGCTGGATTACGATATTGTTGAATTTTGAAAATTAACAAGAAGAGAGCAGATTCAAATACAATTAGAAAATTTGCATTTATTTCAGCAGCAAAGGTGAATGACTTAAGTGTGGGGGGAGTGTACATATAGTTTCTGTGTGTTTCAAAAGGAGGGACATTGTATGAATGACAATAACAAATAGGTTGTAGAGTATTAGCAAGTGAAGGAACATTCTGCAAACAACAGGCTTTATCTCCACATTTGTAAGTATCAAAGAACAAAATTATATTCAATAAACAGGGCAAATGAATAGCCAATAGCCAATATCTGGAAAATATTTTTAATTTTTATTTTTACCTACAATTCTGCATTTATTTAATTTCAACTTACTATTTTCATTATGTGATTATTCCACTAGTCATTAAGTTTACTATTCATATCATGATGGTAAAATCAACATTAGTGTTATCAAGAAACAATAAATGTTTACCAGATTACCACTGTCTTTATATCACTGTGCTTTGGACTCCTATTTCTTACCCTCATGATGAAAAATACCTTGATTTAGACTTAGGAACTTAAAACTCAAAGTTAAAAATCAAAAATATGCTAATTTATATTTTTTTCTTTTGGAATACTCAATAGCAATGCCCAAACTTTACATAATAAATCAAATAGTAATCAGAAGGGCTTGCCTTATACAAAATCTGTGGCAGAACAAAATTGCAATATTGTGAATACTGATTTAGCATCATTAGGGTAGCTTTAACTTGAGTTGATGAACACTCTCTATTATTTACTAGATTTAACATTAGCCAATTATGCCTGACTAATGTTAAAATTAACTAATTTATTGTCACGCCATTGTTTCCTTGAAATTAGTTGGAGAATGCTGATAATACCTGGCACAGAAAAAAAATGATATAGCTCAGAACCAGTTTTATAGAATTTGGGAAGGTTTTATCATTCATTGTATAAACATTTTCTGAGTGACTACCACTCTCAGACATATCAGTTATTCCTTTGATTCTTAACAACTTCATATGGCAATAAGTAGATGCTATAGATGCTCTTAAAAGAGATGTCCATCCCAAGCCACCATATATTGACAGTAAAGAAAAGGAGATTGTTCTAGAAAAGTCTACCGTGAGCCATTTGTTGCTGAGAACATGGTTCAGGAGCTCATCAGAGACACATTCATTACTACCTGCCTTTTGTATCCAACATACCTTGAATGAGAAGATCAAGCCTCAGATGTTGATAACAGGCAATAGGTGTTAGGCCAAAAATATAAGGAAGGCAGCTACAGGGATAGTTATTCTTGGAAGACAGAGAGACAAGAGCCTCAGCAGAACATAGATTCTCCCAGCCCAACAAGGCAGGGTTTCAGAATTTCCAACCTCCAAAAGACTCTAAAATTTGGCATTTCAAAGACAGGCCATGGTCTTCCAACATACTTGAGAGCTGTTGGATCTGCATCTCCCTATTCCTGGAATGCCCCTCCTTATTTGTGCACCCAGCAGGCACCAAACTACTCCACAGGAATCACCTAATCACCTCTTTGTTGACAGTGTGCCTGATTTCCACCTCATTCCTCAGAGAATTTGCCATTGCTCACACTGTGGCCTGTGTTTAACTTTGTAGGGGGGCATAACACACAGTATTTTGCAATTATTTATTTACTTGTCCTTGCTCCCATATGCTGTAAGCTCCAGAAGAGGAAGGACTATGTCATTCCCATCTCTGTATTCTCAGTGCCTAGCACACAGGAAGCTGTACACTACACATAAGTTGAATAAATAAGGGGATGCTTGGATAGATAAATGTACTGAGAGTGAAAATATGCTTCAGTTATAATTTTAAATCAGGACAGATATTGCACATTAACATATGTACTGGGCCTAAATAGATCAAATAAAGAAGTGATTTGTGTATAAATATAGCAATACTATTAGAAGTGTTAAGAACTATGGCAAAAGGAGATGCTAGGAGACATCTAAATAGGACCACTGGCTACTTCTGAACTAGCCCTCAGCTCTTGCAAGCATTTAGACCTAGTTTGGTGAAGTCATTTTGATTTTTTATTTAAAAAATAACCTGAAAAAATAGGCTTTTGAGTGAAGGTTTGAATTTTTAAATATTTGGAAAAATGAAATTTAAAACACAATATCTTACAATAATAAATAAAAGGTGTTTGGGAACTTAATTGAGCCTATAAGCTACCAACATGCAACCTCTATATTAAGAATTATTATTTCCCTGAATATTGGTTGCTTAACTTATTGTAATGTTAGCCATTCAGGTGGCTCAGTAGTAAATAGTGATGATTTCTTTTCTGCCACAATGCAAGATACAGAACCGGAGCTATAGAGAAGCTCCATAGAGAAGATCAAATCTAAATCTGTTCGTTGGCTTTCCTAGGTCCAGAGGTACTGAGGGATAAAGGGAGACCTGGTGACATTGTGGGGTTTATAGGGAAAAAACGTCAGACATTTAAGATGGCAATGCATTATATAACCATGTAGGTAAAGAAACAATGGTGAAATAACAATGTAATTCCAAAGCCTTTGGAATATCCCCCAAAAGCTCTGAAGATGGAAGATCTTGTTTGTTTAATCTAATGCAATTCTGCCCTATCTACTTCTTATAGTTGTTGAGATAATAAAATGATTAATAAATTTGAAAGCCCTTGAAAAAATTCTAAATCACTAAAAGAATTGTGGTACCAATTATTATTTTGATTATTGCCACTGTTCTTAGAATGACATGGCAGATAAAGAAGTACTCTCAATAATTTTTTATCTGTATTGCAAAATGGAATAGAGATTGTGCCACTAGTAGACTTAAAGGAAACAAACATATATCAATTAATTACTATCCAGAAATCACTTTGATGGGCATAGTGAGTGACAAAGAAATAAAAAGGTCCCTTCCCCTACAAACTTGCAGTATAGGGACTCAGCCCTGTCACATAGCTGATTTCTCATAGTGAGGTGCTTCCTATTGAGAAAAGTTTTCTGCCATACCAACAAATTGACACTTCATACCTACCATATTGGAACTAGCAGTGTGCTGGTAAACCAGGGCTCTGAGCCCTGATTTGTAGTGTTTGTCAATTTTCGTAGTATAAACTACCCCTTTGGCCAATTTCATGTTACTAATGTGAAGACCCTAAACACAGAGTCACTAAGAGATGTGCACACTCTGACAAGCTGGTCAAACTGTCTGCAGCACACTACCAATTTGAACCCAAGTCATGAAGATAAAAAGGGACTTCTGTACTCTGCCATCTTGCTAAGGGGCAACAGTGTAGCCCCTTAGCCATGCATTCAAAACACTGACTTTTTTTATTATGAGAAAGTCATATCTTTTGTCTAATTTATATTTGTCTAATTTATATTCCCATACCCAAAATTATGAATTGAGTGGATTCAAGACATGATCCTATTGTGTGTCACCTACTTCAGCAAGACCATGTTTTATGCCTTGTAACTTCAATGCTTTACATACAGGAAGTGCTCCAAAAAAATCTGTTGAACTGAACTAAACATAGTATTTGGAGAACACAAATTAGGGTGTTATGCAATCTTCCTTTGTCACGAATACCAAAATCTTTTCTCTATCCAGAAAATTGTGTCCTCTATCCAAACTTGATTTCTAGTGCTTCAATATTATACAATTTCCTACTATTTGTAAACACTGAATATTCATCGACTCATCATACTCTACATATTTATTTACTCATTCAATATCTATGTTTTCTTCAAAAGCTTGAAAATGGTTTTTAAAATATACTTTTTTCTCATGTATTTATTCATTAATTCAACAAACATATATGGAACCTCTACTATGGGAATAGCATTGTGTTGAAGGCTTTAAACATGCAGAGATAAATAAGAAAATGTGATAGCTCCAAACTCCTGGGATTTCTTGGCACTGCCATCTCCTGTAGGTTAGCTCTGTCTTTAGCCTGATAGCAGTTCCAGACATCATAGTCACACATGATGAGGTCCAGAGGAGGAAAGGTAATCAACCATTTCTTTTTGTTTTATTTTCTTCACAGAAAGGGGACTTCTCCTAGATGTCCCCATAGATTTTTCCCTTGTAGCACTCACCAGATTGTTTCACAATTCTATCCCAAACCAGTCAGAGACCAGAACAATGTAATTACCAAGATTAGTGCCTAGACAAATTTTATTCAGAAGAACAATGTTGGGGAGTCAACTGCAACAATCATTAGAGGAACAGTGAGGAACTTCCGTGTCTTATACCTTCTCTTGTGATTTTTCTATTCTCATCTATTTAATTGGCTCTCTTTAATTGTGAAGCAACATGCTTATTATGGTCACTGTAAAGAATTTCAATCAGCGGCCGGACACAGTGGCTCACACCTGTAACCCCAGCACTTTGGGAGGCCGAGGCCGGCGGATCACGAGGTCAGGAGATCAAGACCATCCTGGTTAACGCGGTGAAACCCCATCTCTACTAATAATACAAAAAATTAGCCGGGCGTGGTGGTGGGCGCCTGTAGTCCCAGCTACTTGGGAGGCTGAGGCAGGAGAATGGCGTGAACCCAGGAGGCAGAGCTTGCAGTGAGCCGAGATCGCGCCACTGCACTCCAACCTGGGCGACAGAGCGAGACTCCGTCTCCAAAAAAAAAAGAAAAGAAAAAGAATTTCAACCAGTTTGATGAATTCCAAGTTTAAGTTTTTCCAAATGAATGGATACATCTTGAGCTTCCTGTACCTTTGTTCTGTGTCACTGTGACCCCAGAATCTCAGTGGTGAGATTATTATACCCCTTCCTTTTTCAGCTAAAACAAAACTGTACCCCTAGCAGCTGACACAGGCCCTTCTTAACATTGGTTCCTGCTTAGGTTTTCCATGCCTAGGCAATAGGGCAAATTGCAAATAAATTTTAACTAAAAATATATTTATGCTCCTGCACCCTTTGAACTTGGTGTTGGTCACAGAGCTAAAGACAGTGGCCATTTCCATTTTAGTTTCATAAAATAAACAACCGAATAGGAATTTCTAAGATGTTTACTATGAGAAAATTGAATAGAACATCCTGGAAACTAGAGGGATGGTGTTGCTCGTTGAGTAGAAATTTGAGGGAACTGAATATAAACACTAGCTGAAGGTCATGGGTAAGGAGCACTCCTGCATCACGTGTTTGCCGTGGGCCTCTCAGAGGTTAGCACATTCATTTTCACAAAGAGGAACCAGAAAACCATGGTGATTTCTGGCTTATTTATGATATCAAGACACTAAAAAGTCATAATCCAAGCTAAGTTTTCATTTTGCGTTTGCTGGCTTAACTAGTGGGGCTACAGTGAGAGGCTTCCTAATAAATCATACCATAGCAAAGCTCACTTAGACTGATTTGGGTTAGGTAGATAGAGGACCAGTCTCCTCAGATTGGTCAGCGTGAAGGAGGAAGCAGCAGGACTAAGCTCAGGCAAGCAGGCTTGAGCCCCAGGAATGGAAGAAGTTCCCCAGGAGAGTGTTACATTTAGTAACTCTATCTCCAGTGACCCTGTATGTCAACAAAGGGTGTCCTTGTTCTTTCAGCATTGATTAAATACCGTTTGGATACATCCCAGAACTATGGTAAAATACGTGTTTTAAAGGGCTCAAATATTCACTATCAGGAATTGAGCAGTTATAAAAATGCAGATAAATTTTGCCATTATCATTGCATCCACTTGCAAGTTGGAAGGAAATGGGAACTACTGAGAATTTTTCTAAGCTCAAATACTTATCAAAATAAGTATTCTACATAAATGAGGACAAACCTAATAGTTTTAAAGGAAATGGTTCACTGTCATTAACAACACTGGCTTTGAGTGAGAAAAGTAAATCATTTGTGATGAATTCAGAATCTATCCACATATTGCAAGGTTTTCACCTTAACCTGAAATGCTTTGGATCTGACCTACTTTTTTGCATTCGTCTTCATGTAGGTCATATCAAAGTTGTGTGTGAGCAGGTCTAATGTTAATGAGCACCAACTACAGGAAATACTTGGTCGTTTCCATGCAAGCCACGGACATTAATTTAATCAATGGCTTAATTCACCATAGGCTAAAATAAGGTCACTCAGTCCCCTCTAAGAAATTCAAGTGAGAGTTGAACCATAACCCTTTGGCAGCAAGGCAAAATTAAGATGGCAGGCCCAACACTCTAGGTAAAGCAGTCCCATGATTTCCTGTAACAAACTAATATAACTCATTTATGAAAACATTTCAGAAACACCTGCCACCCTAGAGTAAACTCAGAGAGCTGATTTTAATAGAACTTTCATAGAAGAAATTAACTACAACATCAAAAAACAAACAAGATTAATTTTGGGGCTTAGTTCCTCTCTAGTGCTTTATCTGAATCTTACGATTTTATATTTGTTTAATCCAAACATCAGCACCGGATCCTAAACTCATAGTTCTCATCTATCAGTAGCTGGTGGGGAAGGGATAAGAGAAACTCGAATTAGGAATCCACAGTTAGGCAGCTCCTGTGGCTAGTTAGGATTCATCAGACCCGGGTAACAATGGCAGTCTCACCAGAGCCCTTGCCTTCTACCTAACATTGGTATAATCAAGTGCCCATATGTCAGGACCCACCTTAGGGAGCAAAAATAGTGATGTTGCCACTCTACTTGGGAAGCTCAGCTTAGGAGAAAAATACAAGTGGAGAAAAAAAGTCATACAGCTTTTCAGACTTCACTTTGATATGGGAGAAGTAATTTCCTAGTAATATTTGAGTTTTTTGAAAGTTCATGCTTAATTTGCACTCAGCCAAGTTTTTCTGGTGTTCACCTGATTAAAAGGAGCTTTTTAAGACAGGCAGAGAGAGCTAGCAACTTTGTGGACTTGAACTCAAACTATTTCATATAAAATGTTAATTTTAACACTATTCTTCCTTACAGGAGTTTAGATATGATCGTTTTATAGAAGATGGTAAGAAGAAAACCACCTTTTTCAAAAGAGGGAAAAAGCTGAAGTGTTACCTAATGCCGTTTGGAACTGGAACCAGCAAATGTCCAGGCCGATTTTTTGCACTTATGGAAATAAAACAATTGTTGGTTATACTTTTAACTTATTTTGATTTAGAAATAATTGATGATAAGCCCATAGGACTAAACTACAGCCGCTTGTTGTTTGGTATTCAGTATCCAGATTCTGATGTTTTATTTAGATACAAAGTGAAATCTTAGAGAAGCTAAAAGGAAAGAAAATAAATCTATCAAAATTACCCTAAACATCCTAAGCTCATCTATTTCTTTTTAATTTCTGCAAATGTAATTGATTTATTTGTTTAAAAAGCGCTAATTTCTATTTGATCTGATATCAGTCCAGTTTGTCCTTAGTCACAAAGCCCATCATAATATAAAACAGGATGGTGGCAGGAAAATGGACATCAAAATCAACTTAAGGGTAGGCTCAAAACAGGGTTGTTGTTGTTTTTTTAGTTTCTCCTTGTTGTGATTTTCACCTGTTATAATAAATGTACCTTCACACCAATAGATTGGGCACTGTGGAATTTAAATCACTCAAATTGTTCTCTAATATGTAAAATTACACTTTGAACTACTAGAAAATTGTGCTGGAAATGGACACAGTCTAACAAATTCCAAATTCTCACAGAAGAAGGAAATTGAATTTCCATGAGTTACACTGGATGAAAATGTTCCCTTCAAGTATAATATTAATAATACCTATATTTCCAGGGTATGTGTGCATTAAATGAGTTTCACAGTAGATTGAATGCTTCAACTTCACTTCAATATTTAATCATGCATAAATGTTCCTTATTACTTTGTATACTATGGCTCAATAGAACAAAATTTCTGGTTACATAAGACCTTTCATGTTCAAGTTAGATACTGATAAGATTTAATGTATAAGAAAACACAGAACCTATTATATATTCAGAAATTGCCCTAGACATTAGTATTAGGTTTATTATGGGAGCAAATGTTGAAATAATTACAGCATTGATTATATCATTTGGCTTTAGTATAAACTATACAGGTTATGCAAATATTGCAATTAACCCTTTCCTAAATGCTTTCATATATATAAACTGAGAAGCTAGATATAGTATTTGGTTTTGATGTCTCACCTTTTGGATTTGGAGTTCATGTGTTCTATTTTGAATTACAACATCATGTAATGCAGTGTAATTTCATATGACACATGCAGCATTGTGTCAATAATTCAAAGATTTTTTTTCAATTGAGAGAGTATCTGGCTGTGTTGCCCAGGCTGGTCTCAAATCCTGACCTCAAGTGATCCTCCCGCTTTGGTCCCTTGGGAACCTGGACTACAGGCATGTACCACCAAGCCCAGTGATTCAAAGATTCTAATATCAGAGTACCACATGATTGGCATCTGATATAAATGATGATGCAATATATAAGCAGGCAAGGCAGGTAATAAAGTCCAGTTAATTCATGCTTCGTTAATTGGAACTTCTAATATTTCAGAAATCTGCTACTGTTTTGAGAAAAGGAAACTGACTTTAAAAATAACATTACAAAATATTTACATTCTTAGTAAGTAAATAAGACAGTCTAGCATTTATTTTATCCTTCCTGAAGTACATGTTCTGAATGTTCCTTCAGTGAAGGTCTGCTGGTGCAAATTCTATTTTTGCTTGATTTAGGGTGTCTTTATTTTTACTCTCCTTCTTGAAAGATGGTTTTGCTGGATGCACAAATCTAGATTGACAGTTATTTCCTCACAGCACTTTGAAGATATTGCCCGTTCTTAAGGTATCCATTGTTGTTATTGGGCGGATAGCCGTTAGTGAGTTTAATTACTCAATAGGTAGTCTGTCTCTTCTCTCTGACTACTTTAACGTGTCCTCTTTGTCTTTGATGTTCTTAGTTTCTTTCTGTTTCTCATGCTTGCATGTCCTGCTGCTTCTTGAATCTGAGCACAGGTGTCTCCCATCAAGTATGGAATCTTCTCAGCCATTCTCTCTGTGAATATTACTGTTCTCACACTCTACATTAGATCCTCTCACTCTACATACATCCTTTGATCTTTTCTCACCACACTTTGTATCTCTAACTTACACTCCATGTAATTTCTTTAGATGTCTCTTCCAGTTTCTTCTTTGAACAGTATATCTAATCTCTCCAACTCATCCACTGAGTTTGTTTTTTCCTTCTTTTTGTTTTAACTCTAGGTTCATCGAGTTGAGTGATCACTCTCCTTACACTCTTTAGTTCATGATACACAATTATAATTGGTTCTAATAAGGTCCCTCTGGCTTTATTTACTTATTCTGTTTTGTCCCTAATACCCACTTTCATACCCCTTCCTAATATCATAGGCAAATATTCTAATGTGTTTGATGCATATCTTGGTATGTATATGTTTTCATGTAACATATATTATCTTGAGTACCTATTTTCTGTAAGTTATATTCTTCCTAATTTTCTTATGAAGCTCTGTGATTTTAAAGATATATTCATATTTCTGTAGTATATACATAGTATACTACTATATTTAATCTATTGCTTCTAACTGCTGCACAGCAATCCATAATGTGCACACATTATGTTTTAATGATCTAGTTACCCAGTGATGGACACTGTCAGCAGGACAGTTATTGTGGGACAGAGGCCAAAGCAGAACTTAAAAGCTTTTCCATCACCTATCCTCACACTACTGTGCCTAACCATCTCAGCCCAGGGCTGCTAAATGCCTTGTCCCCAAGCCCCACCACCCACCCCCCACATACACACATTTAGTCCATGATAACTTTAATTCTTCCTAAGATGTTCTAAATTTGTTATGTCCCATCCTCAGATCCATCCAATCCTCTCCATTCTGTAGGGTCTCCAAGGTTGATTTTGAGTCAGAGTGTCAGTCTCCAGCTTGTTAACCTTCAGGTTTTCCATTCCACTGAGTTTGCTAAGTTCAATCATTACATTTTTCAGTTTTACGATTCCCTTTTGTTCTTCATATATGCTGCTTATTTTTTATAATATCTTGTACCTTTATTATAAACTCAACATCCTTTTTCATTTCTTCAACTGTATGAAGCAAACATTTTAGATTCTGTATCTGATATTTCCAAATCATTGGTGTTTTGTGGATCTAATTCTGTAGTTTATGTGTTTTGCTGTCACTGTTACCAGGAATGGCTTGTTTACTGAGCCCATGTTCCTTGGATTTTTATCTCTGAAAAATCTTTAGACCTAGATTTAAAGTTCATTCCTCAAGAGAGAATTTGTATTTGCATTTTTCAGACTGCTGATACTACTACCAAACTCAGATCACCTTAAAATTTCAGCTTGATTATCTGGGAGTGGGGAGGGAACGCTACATAGGTATTGTGGTTTCTAGCCCTAAATCAGGTAGAATGCAACCATTTTATTAGGAATAGACAGGGGACACATTTGGGGGTTCATTTTTTTGTTTATTTTTACCCGGAGCTAAGACTGAGATAGGCAAATATACTGACAGTTTTGCTCTGTGGAGCACAGTTTCTTTCTAGTTCACCTATTGAGTATGTTGTCTTTGCAAGTTCTTGGCTTTATGCAAAGGCCTTGGATTACACACACACACACACACACACACACACACACACACACACACACACACACACACCCTGGGCCCTAGCCTTTAGTCCACCACAAAGCATACTCTGTCCTTTTCGTACTTGGACGTCTAGTTCGCCATGTTGCCTAAAGTGGAAGTTCCATAGCTTTAAATTCAACTTAGTGGTACACTTTTGTGATGTTAAGGCACAGAGAACACAGGAAATTATTCCATTCCAATTTCGGCTTATTTTATAACTGGAAATGTGTACAGGAATTTAGAAATGGAAAGTAAGGATAAATGAAATGGTTGAGAAAAGATGACATAAAAGGAATGAATAGTAGAACCAAAACAAAACATTGAGAATCTTGTGACAGTCTTAAATCCAGTAACTAAATAGTATTTACAAATAGAAAAACATGTCCTGGACAAATCAGTTAAAAGATGCAGATTCTGGCTGTGACATAACTGGCTTATTATTAAACAATTTCCGTCTCAGAGCTTCAACGTCCTCATTTGAAAAATAAAATAATAAGGCCCTTTGACATCAGAGTTCATTGTAACGATTAAACACAGTAACGTGTATGGATTTATGGTATAATGCAATATACCAATGCAAAGTTTAATGAAGATACTTCAACAGTGTTGTGCCTTTAAAAAATTGCTCTTGTGTATTGTTCAAGGGAATCGTTTTTTATAGTCATTTGTTAATTCATTGTTCATTTATTCAACCAAACATTCATTGAGCATTTTCTCTGTTCTAGATATGATTGATGCTAGACACTGGATTCCCCTTCCCCTTCAAGAACATACTATTTGTTAGGGAAAACAATACGTAGGCAACTAATTTATTATAAATGCAGTTGTAAGTGATAAATTCATCTCTTTAAAACTATTTTAAAATTCTGATTTATCACTAGTTCTAACTAGCCTTCCATCAGTCATTCCAAAGTAATGGTCTGTAATGAGAAATCACTATGTATAATTATACACAATAAAAATATATACAACAGGTATTTTGATAATATGATAATTAAAACCAAATATAGTCATTGAGGCTTAGAATTTTTAAAAACTGTATTATATATTGTAAAATCCCATCCTTTTTTTTTTTTAGATGGAGTCTTGCTCTGTCGCCCAGGCTGGAGTCCAGTGGCATGATCTCAGCTCACTGCAACCTCCACTTCCTGGGTTCAAGCAATTCCCTTGTCTCAGCCCTCCGAGTAGCTGGGACTACAGGCACCCACCACTATGCCTGACCAACTTTTGTATTTTTAGTGGAGACGAGGTTTCACCATGTTGATCAGGCTGGTCTCGAACTCCAGACCTCAGGTGATCCACCCGCCTCGGACTCCCTAAGTGCTGGGGTTGCAGACATGAGCCACCGTGCCCGCCCCCATCTTTTCATTTTTATAGCTTCACCTAAGTTTTGAATTAAAAGAAATAAATAATTAATACCCAAAATATTGTTTTATATCAATGACCAACGTAATGAAACACTCAGCAGAAACTAAAGCCCTGAAGTGGTTAAGAAAAAGCTACCTATCACTAAATCAGGCATGCTTATAAGCAACCTAGAAGAAAACTTTTATCTGCCTTGTTTTGGCTTTCCTGGCATACTTCCTTACTTCATCTCCATTTTATAATTAAGTTTTGGGTCACAAGTCTAAGGCAAAGGAGCTTCCATACTGAAAATCTACATTTTTAATGCTTATTTTATCATAAAAATAATTTGGGTAATTTTCTGCAAGTGACTTCTAACTTAACAGTAGAAGTTTAAAACTGTTCAAAGACCAAAGCACAACATTTATCTAGTGTTTGATCCTAGTATAAAAGAATGGCAATAATTATGTGAACAGGAATTACATGCCCTTAGAATGTGCATTTTTTAACCTATTAAATTTGCCAATCTTGCAAACTATTGTTTACTTGTATTGCATAATTAGATACTCATATTAACATATTGAATTCAGAAAAAGTTAGCAAGCCAAGATGACATTCTCTGTAGCACTATTTTAAATTATAATGAATGATCACATAAAACTCTTTAGTATTTATCTAAAGTAATTATTACTCTACTTCATTTGTTTATCTAAATCAGTGATCATTGATGTTTGAACTTTTTGGCTTAAATGTTTATTTTGTTTATACTACTTGCTAGAGTAAAATAAATTTAATACATGAAAAACTCTACACAATTTAAAATAGGTTATAATTTGTCAATACTTATGTTTTAAAATATTTTTAGAAGGAGGAGTGCTGTATATTATTAAAACAATTTTCTGAAATTGTTTAATATTATCTTTGATTTTAAAATGACATATATGTGGATTTACAATGAATCAAATTGTCCTAAAAGATGTCAGATAAGAAATGCAAGTGCTTTGCAAGTCTAATACTTAATGTTCTTTTATGTACAACAAAAATTTAATAAATTAACTTTAAAGCACAGATGACTGATTATGTCTCTTTATTGTCCTACTAGGAATATGTTGGATAACAGAAGATTTGATTACAAAAGAAAATTATTTGGAAAATAATTTTGCTCTCTGAATATCTCCTCATCTCCATTTCTTGCCCCCGTACACATATATTCTTATCATCTGATGCTCTCCTGAAAGTATATTAACTATTTCAGAGTATGTTTCAATATATTTTAACTTATTATTTATTTGTAAAATAACAAACTCAAAAAAAATCACTAAGTTTTAAAATGTTTATTCTAGGCAGGCTGACCTTGCTAGGTTACAATTCTTAATAATCACTATTAGTGTGGACAGAAGTATAAGCACAATAAATGGGAGAGAGTTTTCAGCAGGTGTAATCTTTGTCTTCAGCAGATCTCTTTACTACAGATAATGAATAAAGCTGGGTAATATTTGGACAGTATTCTATTTGTTCATAAAACTAAAATAAATTGTAAATAAAGCATATACTACAGAATGGTGGTGATGAAAATGAAATGTGGGTTTTTAGTAACCCTACGTACAGTATTTTCCTGGGACACTGGGCTTTTCTCAGAGACACTGGTGTGAGTCACTAACATTTTACAGGGACTGGCCTGAGACTCCGTGAGAAGTTGGCTAGAAGGTGTTCTGTTCATTTGAACTAGTCAGCTCATTATTGTTTATTTACCAACTGGGATAAATTATGTCACTAAATAGATAAACTGTGAAATAATTATCTTTTGTTTTCAACTTTATTCTAGATTTGCAGAACCTTCCAGAATTAGCAATGATCATGTGAATAATAATGTGTATTTTCTTTTCAGGATAAAAAAATGCCCAATGGCTGTGCTGTGTTTTTTGAAAAGTGCTTGATACTGTTTACTGTTAATTGTTTATTGTTAATTATTTACTGTTGATTACTTTTATAAGGAGAGACATGATGTATCACAGACTACACAAAAAGTAAATGTTCAGAGATATAATCATGAAGTATTTTACTTCCCTTACAGCAAACTGTGCTCACAGGAGAAACTAGAGGAATGGAAATAACAGGTAAAGGTATTACTATCTAATGATTCATCATTGAGTCAAATTTAAACATTTCTAAATATGAAACATATTAGTTGGAGATTCTTATTTGTGTGCAAGAGAATATTTACTACACATAACTTTTATTTCTAAGAACTAGCCATCGTAGTTACCAAAAAATCTGTGTCATTATTGCCTGATAGATACCAAACTTTTTAATAAATGCTTTTGTTTTTTATATTAAAATTAAGGTTTGAATGAAATTACTTCAATTCCATAATTCTAAGGACTAATGAGTTTATTTAAAGTTTTATAAATGTATTTGTTTTCTACGTCAAATGGAATACCGTTAAAAGTATTTGTAATCATTGAATGTTTTATAAGTAAAAACTATACATGTGGTAGTACTTCCTTCATACTGAGCAATTACACATTTAAAAAAAACTTTTTATTTTGAACTAAGTTTAGACTTAAAGAAAAGTTACAAACAGTTTTTATTTTTCAAGAAGGAGGTACTCGGACTAAACAATGCTTGCAGAAAATTAAATTAAGGAGTGGTCCTAGAACTTAACCAGTTCAAGATCTTAGTTGATTCTTGATCTTTGAGGATAATCGTCCACATCAACTACTCCACGGGACAACATGCTGTAAATCCAACAGAGGAGCAGGGATAGTTTGAGTGTGTGAGCTACCCACATCTTCCATAGGCCAAATAATTGTTTTGCTTTCATAAACCATAATTTTGTAAACTTTTAAAGGAGCTTACTTTGTTGAATAATTACAGATTTTACTTAAGTTCACTCTCTTAAGAAATCTACACTTTAAAGAGATGTATGCCTGATGCTTCTCCAAAGGAAATTAAAGTAAGTTATTTAGACGCAGGTATTAACTGACCCTGCTTCCTGATACATCAGGCATTTAATAGATAGATATCCTTTCTTCTTTCCCAACTCTTCACATTTCTGTGGAGGCCTGCTTAGGAAAATCATTTCCTTTCATCAAAATCTTAGATGGAGAGCACCGACTCAGTCAGCCTGGCATCTGAATTTTGACCATAGTACTACTGCAGAAATAGACTGCACATGGCAAATGTAGCTGTACTTACTTGATTGGACAATGCATGATTTATTATTTTGACTAGTTAGGTACAAAAACTGAGTCTCTCTCATAATCAGAGATTGTTTATCTCTTTTCAAAAAGTGGGTAAGGATATGTAACAGAGAAATCCTTGCACCAAGTTCTTCAGTAATTGCCAGAGCAGGATAAATGTATAAAATGAGGTTAGGCCATGAAACATTTTTATGTTTAAATTTAAATTCTCATCTCTAAACACCTCTGTTAACAGGAGATTTGAGATGCAACCATCCTCCTAATAAAAAAATGAAATCTTTAAGATTGAGAAACATTTGTAAATAACGGATCCTTTAAATATCTCTGAACTTTCTTCTAAAACTTATACGGAGAAATAGTAATTGCTTTATATAACCAGTGATACCATTTTAGCATTTGATGAAGATGTTAATTTATGGGTGGTTAGCAGTTTATGGCTGCCATTAGTTTTTCGGTTTGGTCCACATTAGAAATCTATTTTTCTTTTTTATTTTAATCTCAGACAATTTATATAAAGATATGGTTATGTTTTATCTAAAATGTATCATTCTTCTATAGCATTTCAAATTATTCACAGATCATAGTTCTTATATGTGCATATATGAATTTAAAAATACAGCAATAAAATGCTTGAAACAGACCATAAATTTGCTTCATATTTTATTGCATCTCTGAATCAGGTTGAGGAGACAAGGGCAACTGTGGTCTTTGGGAAAGAATTAACTCTTTCCCAAGCTGAGAAGGAGAATAACACATTGTGCATAATTAAAGCCAACTCCCCATCCAAGCATGGTGGTGACTTGTGAGCCTTGTCCATCATATATGTAGTGGGGTTGGGGATGGTGAGGATTGATAACTGACAAATCCTCTTTTCCTCTGCAGTCTAACCTTCCCAACCCATTCATTTCTCTTTCAGAGCTCTCAAATCTGTACTTCTGTACTGCCTACAGTAGAGAAAAGTGGAGAAGAGAAAGAAGGAAAATTCACACACACATTCTAGTATACTTGATAATTTTGCAATAGTTAAGAAACAGTCTCCTGGATTTGTTAAGACGAGTAATTTAGAAAAATTAGTAGAATTTAACACAAATCTAACCTCAGGGAAAGCGAGCAGAGTTTCCCTGCTGCGTGAGGAAGCGAGCAGCTCTTTGGGGTTTAAAACCGGGGCGCTTTCGCGGATGCTTCGGGTTTGGTGCGGCTGCGGGGTGCCTCTTACAAGCCTGGCAGCTGCGTGTGAACCCACATGCCTGCTGCCATACAGGGGACAACCCGATCCTCGAGCCACCCTCGAAGGACAGTTTGAGGCAGAGCCCCTGAAGTTCTCTTTTTGTCCCAAGGAGCTTGGCGGTTGAAGGACAATTGCGCCCGCAGGGGTGACTGGAAACGTCGGTCCCAGGGGAAGTCCTGAGAGAAGGGGTGCTCTTCGGATGCGGATCCCGAATCCCTCCGGATGCGGATCCCGAATCCCTTCGGGAGCACTGCGCAAGCAAAAACAGCGCGGTGGGCGCGAGTGCTGCGTGGACGTCATTTGGTGTGTTTGCAACCTAGGGATGCTGGACCTGCTGGAAGGCGGCTCCTTTCCTCCTCCAGTCCTGCCAGGTCCCAGCACAAACACTCTCCTCGTTATCCTACCCAGCCCTGTTTACTGGAACCTTGGTTCTAAACACCAGTCGATCAGAAGAGCCAGAGATTTGCCGGGCAAAAAAGACTCTCACCGTAAGAGTTGTTTCTACTGTTAAACTGAAGTTACTGACTCCTTGTTTTTCCTTCTCTTTCCCTCCTTCCACCTACTGTGTCTAAAGTTTGATTTAAAAGGCCGAATTTAAATAAACCTGCAGCTCATTGGCTTGGCAAATCCAGAGACTTTCAAGTTGTATATGCCAATACAGAGAGCACAGGAGCCGGGCTCATTTACTTTGCCCACACAACAAAAAAATGTTAATTGATGTAAAGTTGCTTGGCACGTGGATAATTTAGTCTTACCTGCATTTTAATTGAAAGAAACCTATTCATGTTTCTGATAGTCAGGTTTTGCCATTTAATTTTGTTTAAAGGCACCTTTGTGTAGTTGTTCCCTCCCACTCCTGCTTTCCATGTGAATCACGTTTTCATTAAAGGTTTGACTAAGTAGTCTCACCTGACCAGGATTCATTACCTCCTGCATTCCATGAGCACACTTTCGGGTTTCCACTCGTTTCCTCGCTCCTCCCGGCAGGGCCGCCACGATGTGCTGCGAGCCGGGAAGTGAACTCATGATTATTTTTCAAAGTCTGGGAAGTGTATTATCCTTTTTTCTAGTGGTAATTAGTTACCATAGCATCAAATACGTAAATGTGCCCAGAGCACACCATTAACAGTTAAACGGAGGATTCAATTTAACACATGATTATATCTTTCATAAGTCATTACATTGGAAAAGTCAATGCCACTCATGCTGGAGCAATCGCAAGGTCGGGCCGCGTAGAAAGGTTCGGTTTCCGCGTGCTAGACCAAGAGTGCGAGTTGGTGGAGAAGGGAATTCTGTGAGTCTCGGCCTCCCTGCTGTAAGGATGGATGGTGGGTACGATAGGAGGGAGAGGAATTTAAGCGTAACACAGGGTCTTGGAGGGGTTGCCCAGCTGCGGGGACTGGTGAGGGCATTGCAGACTGCGTGCGGGTGCGCGCGCGCGCGCACACACACGCACACACACGCACACACACACACACAAACACATACCATAGGGAGGGAGAAGCACGGGTAACTAGAGAGCTCTATCGAAGATGATCATTTGCTGGTCCTGCAGTCGTACACGCAAAGCTAACCCTTCTGTTGGTCCCCAGTGTCAAGCTGGCGACGGGACCCTAAGTGAGAATAAAAAGCCAGTGGGACTCAGTTTTTGCTTGGCCTCATCTGTCCACTCTCAGCTCTGTAAGGAACACCAGCAGAGAGATCGGACTGGCGGGATGGGTGTGCCTGAGAGAAGCACCCCAAGGCGTGGTGGATGCCAGAGCAAGCTCAGGGGTGGCCAAGATACCCTTGCACTCTGGCACATGCTGCAGTCTTAGGAACCAGGCTGTCTGCTCTAACCCAAGGAGACTTTTGCAAGACCACACTGATTCCCCTGGTGCTCAGTCCCCCATTTCCGACCTGTGCGCTCCATGCTGGACAGACAGCTGGGGTCAATGGTGTGTGGGCTAACTCTTCAGACTAGGCCAAAACTCAGGGCTCAGACCCCAGAAAGAAAGTAGCTCTAGGGCTTTATCAGGAGTGGAAAGTGTTGTCCCTCCAATCACTGGCTTCCTTTTCTTAAAGCTGCTGCTGAAAACCCTTTAGAAAGGTTGGAGTTAGGGCAGGGAGGATCACCTAACTAAACCACAGAAAACTCCTCTCCTGTTTCTTTCAGATGTCCCATGTTAATTGCTAAAACCACAGGCTGGCCAATTCCTAGGTTTGGAAAGAGGGTTGATTTGTCTAAAATTATCAAAATGAAAATAAATGTTAATAAGCCTAATACACTAAATAATTATGCCTATTCATGTGACATTTGAATTTATTCTCAATATCTTCCTATCCCCACCCCCATCCAAGTCTCCTTCAGGACTAAGATTGAAAGCTGAGTGGTTAAAGAGAGGAGGATTCTCATTTCTTTATTTTTTCCCTAAAGTTCAAGATGTGTTCTTCTGTACAATTTTTAATAATAGTTGAACAGTACAAAGGTTGCAAAGGAAGTATTTCAAGAAGGCCTTCTAATAATGAGAAATATTAAGCATTAAATCTTGCAGCAAATGTGTCCCCTACAATGTTAATATGCAAAAGGAAAAAAAAAAATCTGACTGGTGGTGGCTGTGGCTAATTCCTAATCAGAATGATGGACAGCAGGGCCAGAACAATACAAACTAATGGCTGTGTTGCTGATCACTTTACCCCTTGATTAAAGACACCCAATTATGGCGCAGAACAGTGTCGTAATTATGTTTCTTAATCACATCCAGGAGGTTTAATTGCCTTAACGATGTGTTTCATTAAATGAATTTAGGTATTATAGTCGACAGTTTTCATACACAGTTGTTTTCAAATTAACATAATATTAGACATCGTCATGGAAATTGTTTTAATAATCATAATTAGACGCACCCAGGCTTTGTCTGGTAAATGCTGAGAGACAGGTCGGCTCCTGCCTGGGGGCTGCCCTGGTCTCCTCCCTCCTTCTGCCCTCACTCCCAGTCTGGGAGGGCTCCAGCTTCAAGGCCCTTTGCAGTTATGTTTTCTGAAAAGTTACAAGTTCTGATTAATCTTTTTTGATGGCAAGTGGAGTAGAAAATATCCTTCCTCACCCCCCACTAAGTTTGATGGCATTTAGGGATATCTTTATGAGCAGAGGCTGTATAGAAAAAAATGCATTTAGCATACTGGGTACAGAGGAAACATCTAACTTCTGCACCACCACCACTACTATCTCTGCAACCTGTGCCACAGTAAAAAATCACACCTTCTATATTTGAGGGCAATATAAAGGTCAAAATACAAGTCTCGACAGTCATTCTTTAACAGAATCAAAGCCTAAATCCAAACACGGAACCTAAAAATCTCATCATCAAGCAACACTAGTAAAATTCTGATCATCTCTATGGGCATTGTGTATGCTTATATGATTCAAGTTAATTCTTTTTATCACAAAAAAGTAGAAAGTCACAGTGAAATCAGTGCTCAGAGAATCCAAGTCCATTTTTTTTCCTTGCCCTTCACGCATTTGGAGGTAGAAATTTTGATGACAAACTCTTAAGAAACTTTACCCTCTTTGACGGGCCCTGGCATGGTTAACAGTGCCATACAAGTGGAAAAAGATTTCCAGGGAGAATGTGGCCTTCAAAGTTCATGCCAGTAGCCAGAAACTTGGAATCTCTTCTGGGTTTCACCACTGACCCCATTCATCTCTCCTCCTTGTAACAAGTAAACAAGTAAATTAGGGCTACTTCTAATTGTGCATCCCTGCAAAAACTTTAGTTCCACCTTCTCTGAAACTCCTTTCTTTTTTGTTACCTTTCAAGCAAAGAGTAACACAGAAGAGAGGTGATTGCTTCTTCCACAAAGCACAGCATAATAAAATGTTTGATCAAAATATTTTAATAAAGATTCTTTCTGACATAGATACACATACAAATGGTCGTACATAGCTGTCATAGTCTGATTGACCTATTTAATATATATATCATTCTTTACACATCCAAAACCCGCCAACAGATCCATCACAGCTCCCAACTCACCATCCAACCTGACAAACTGAATTTGTATTATCTGCAAGGAGTGGAAAATAGCAGGACTCCATTTTTAAAAAAGATTTTCTTGATTTTCATAGGGCGGAAAGGCAGTCAAACAGCCATGCAAAACTAAAACTGAAAGCTCACTTTGGGTAAATAGCTTCTTGTTCTTCCTTAGTTTTCTTTCTTTTTAAATTTTATTTTTTTAGAAAAATAACAAAGGATTTCACACCATAGGCAAATCAAACCAGTCTTTTAACTTAAATAATTCTCCACAGTTAAAATAACATATATGTACATATATATTAAAAGCAATTAAATTAGACCTTTTAAAAATGCACAGCACAGCCTGGAAAAATATTTGCTTAGCATGTTCTTACGTATAGCAACTATTGCTGTGATGTTTTTCCCTTTTGGAATGTAAAGGAGTCCCCTTTCAAAAAAGAGATCAATTCATTCATCAATTAAGAATACACCTTTCCTGTAATTTTTGGACTGAAGCAATTTATTAAAGCTCAATTTAAATACAGGGATGATGCAACTGAAAATATCCAGGTGACCTTTCATAAACCTAAGCAGCTCAGATACATCAATATTTCTCTTCATACTTGTTGGCAAATAAACCTTTAAACACTTGGCACACAGCATAAGTAATCTATAAAACAATTTTAGAGGCATTAAAAAAATCTGCACATAAGACCCATGACTTTAACACATGATAAATACTGTTGATGTGGAAGGGTCATTGAAGAATAACAAATAAATACCATGAATTGTTAATACATCATTGCAGAGTAGAAAGTAACAAGGTGCACATAAATATTTTTAAATGCAATTCTTTCAGCCACAGTCAGTTTTTTTATATCACTCTCGCCAAAACTTTGAGCATTTTCACAGGATTAAAGTTCAGAGACAATAAAAAATACAAGTCTTTCATAGTAACATGTCTCTCTCTCTCGCTCTCTCTCTCTCTCTGGGTTTTATTTCCCCCTCACTTAAGTCAACATTTCAAGTTTTTCTCCTGGCTCAGAATCAAAATTTATTTTCAAGTGCCCTTTCTGATTTGTCTGAATGAATATTCCATCTCTCATGCTACCCAACCCCTAACCCCTCCTCTCCCCCTCAGCACTAGCCAAATCCACAATTATTAGTAGGATTAGTATTTTGCCATTCAAACACTCTCCAGGCTTAATAACCAAGCACTACTTCTCAACTTATGTTTCACCTTTAAGGAAGATTCCACTTCCTCGCGGTCTAGGCTGCCACCAAAGTTGCCACTTTTCTGAGAAAAAAAAGACATCCATACTCCATCCCAACTCCACCTCCCTCCTCCCTCCCTCCCCACCCCAAAGACCGAGATTCTGGGGATGTCAAGGCTAAAAGTCCCGTTTGTCTCTGATACTTCTCCTCAGTTCTTGCCTCTGCTTTGTTTGCTCTGCAAGTGTTTCACAACTACGAGAGGACCAAAATAAAGGGGGTGGGGAGCAGCTTTTCGCTTTCCTCTAGATTTTGGGTCGGTCTTGTGTTTTTCGGGGGTGTGTTTAAGGCTTCTCCGTGCACTGTTTGCAGAGGCTGGAGGAGACGCTGTTAAACAGGGCGCACTTCTCCGGGCAGGAGGCAGCCGGGGGCAGTCCGGCGCTGAACGGGTAGCCGGCTGCCTGCTCGTAGGCGCCGAGCGCCGGGTGCAGGGCAGCAGCTGCTGCCGCTGCAGCCGCCGAGCTGGGCAGGGAGGCAGCCGAGATGGCCTGGCCCTGGTTGAGGTAGGCGACTAGGCGCCGCATCTCCTCCAGGGCCTGCGCCTGCATGAGGATGTAGTTCTTGGCGAGCAGCAGCGTGGCGATCTTGGAGAGCTTTCGCACCGAGGGGCTGTGCGCGTAGGGGATCACCGCGCGCAGCTCGTCCAGCGCGTCGTTCAGGTCGTGCATCCGCCGGCGCTCTCGGGCATTGATGTTAAGCCGCAGCGCCTTTTGCTCTTTGGATTTCTTGCTGCTGCTGCTGCTGCTGCTGCTGCTGCCGCCGCTGCCGCTACCGCTACCGCCACCGCCGCCACTGCTACCGCTGCTGCTACCCCCGCCGCCGCCGCCGCCCAGGCCCCCCGGGGGGACGCTGGCGCCGCCGTGGAGGTGGGCATTGGAGCAGCCCTCGGCTGCCTTCGCGCCACCACCTCCCGCTCCCGGGGAGGCCCGCGGGTCGGCTACTCCGGCCCGCAGCACGAGCTCGCAGCGACCGTCGCTGTCGTCGTCGGGGCTCTGCTCGCCGCCGCTGCTCTCGGCCACCGAGCCCCGGCTCGCGCTTTCGCCGTACTTGAGGCAAAGGGCGGCCCCGGCCGGCAGGCTGCTTAGGCTAGGGTCGCCCCCAACGCCGGCTGAACCTACTAGCAGCCCGGGGACACCCACCCCGCCGCCGCCGCCGCCGCCACTTCCCGCGCTGCCGCCGCCGCCTCCTCCAGGCGGCGGCAACAGCAGCCCTGCCCCCTCGGGGTCAGCCGGCTCGAAGCAGCCCAGGGGCGACGAGGAGGAGGACGCCGGGCGTTCCCGAGGCGGCGGCGCCAGGGACAGGTCCATGCCCGGGGGCGTGGAGCGGAAAGCCGCTTCCAAGCGCTTGGAGGTGGAGGCGCTCAGGCTCTTGTGCAGGAAGAGGTCGTCCTCGCCGGCGGCCGCTGCACCGAGGTGCATCCCGCGCTCCATGGTCCCGCGCCGGCGCGCAGCCCGGGCCGCCGCGCCCGCTGCCGCCGCCGCCGCCTCGGCCCCGGAGTCAGGCGGCCCCACAGACGCGCGCGAGCTGGGCTCCGGAGCTGGTGCGCGCGTCGGTCCTGGTGCTGCCGGGAGCCCTCTCCCCTTCTTTCTTTTTCTTTTTCGCCTTCCCCCGCGCTCGCCGCCTCCTCTTCTTCTTCTTCTTCGTCTCCAGCCGATGGTGCTGGCTGCTGGGGCTCACCATGGGCCGCGGCCCCGCATGGTGGGAGGGTGGGCGCGGAGGGAGTGGAGCCGCCGCCGCCGCCGCTCTGAGCCCAGCCCCGCGCCTCCTCTCCGCACCGTTTATCTTGCTTGGATTCACCTTCAAGAGATTTCCGGACCCATCAAACAGCCGCCGCCACAGACGGGGGAGTCTTTTACATCATTATCTCTGAGTAGGTTATTATGAAGAAGACTCGCCTGTTGGGACAGCGCTTTCTACCCAATCAGGTTAACGTTTTAATTAATAGGATTAAAACGGTAACAAACAATCGCAGGCGCTATCTGGCCGCAAGTCTGAATAGTTTCATTTCCCAGGTCTGAAGACAGGCAGCAGCTAGAGCTTTATAAAAGGCGCCTGCTCCATTATTCTGCCTGCCATCTGTATACACAGCTTAGCGCATATGTTTGCAAGGCGCTGGGTCCTGTTAGTAACCCAACAACTGCCTTTAGCTTGACATGTGTGGCGACTTTCACTCATCAATGAGCACACTAAAAGCCCTACTTAGAGCCGAGGATGTTCTTTGCTCCTTCAGCAAATTGTAGATCGGCGGCGAAGCCTGGGAGTCCTGTGGAAAGCAGACGCCCCCACCCACCGCACCCCACCCCCCACTGCCCTTCCCTCGCCACTGCTGTCTCAGCTTGTGCTAAATTACCCTTCCGGGCGAGAATTATACTCCACCCCTGTTCGTAGGATGACTGGTCTGGATTTGGGGATGGGACTTTCCGAGAGAAGGTGGTGTCCCAGCTGGCTTGCCCAAAATTCACTCTAGGTTTTCAGCTGGTCAGAGAGCAAAGCAGTCGTCCCCCCGAACACTCTGCCTCGTTTCCACACCCGCCACTGCCCATTTCCTACCCAGATTGGAAAAAAAGAAAGAAAAAAGCAAAATGAAGAGCAAGTGATCATGCAGCCCATTTTTTTTTAAGGTGGGGTGGCAGTGATTTTGCAGTGGTCTCCAAATAACTGTTACAGTGATGGTAATTGTGAAGTACACAATTTCCTAAACAGGAAGAAAACAAACAAACAAACCGGTTTCTCAAACTTTCCTTAAGATGAAAATCTGATTGCTTCAAAAGAGTCAACTTCACCAGGAGTCAAATCCGCTCCCACACGAAGTGAGGCATTTATGCATATTTATTTACCCGGAAGCCATTTAAGGACATCTGGATCAGCCTCGGTTGTTCTTGGAGGGTTCGGGAAGGGAGAATGTAAAAACAAGTGCTCCTCTCCGGATGGGCACTGGTACACGCGGTCATCTCACTCCTGAGTTCGGTCTCTGGGTACACATGGTATTTAGCAGCTGGTTTTCATCCTTATGACATAAGTAAAAACAATATTTCCCAACACCTTCCAATAACTCTTTCTTATATGGCAGAAGTACTGAAGACTATGCAATTTTTGGTTTCTCTGGTTTCATTAAAAACCTTTTAATTGTGGCTTTCGGAGTTGGCCCCAGGTGTTGGACTCTTTTCATTACATTTTGCTCTAATGTGATGAAATTCTAATTCTCTCCTTACCATATGGTTAAATTTCCCCACTGAGAATTAGTTGAAAAAGGAGAAATAATCTATTAATCTCTGTAATAGATTCACAAATGAGGTTCGCCACAGAACCTGTTTTTGAATGGTAATATCAGAACAGTTGGGCACCTTATTTCATAAAGGAAGGGTGAGGGCGACACAAAAATGTCTGTATTTTCACCTGGAAAGGATGAAAGGGGCTCAGCAGTATCTTCCATAATAATTCCCTGAGATCCAGTCTTCCGGGGACAGAAATACTACGTAGACGTCGGTTACCTACGCTCCTTTGGATGTCCTGGAACCTAAAGACTGAGAAAGATCAGGCGGGGCTACGGGAGGCTCTTGTGCCTGGGACCGAGACCGGGGGTTCTGCAGGCTTGAGCGGTCCCACTTGTCTCGTCTGGGACCCCGAGGCTGTTTACATGCAGGGCAGCCCCTCGCTCACCGCACCCCTCCCACCGTCCCTCCCCCGGCGTTCGCAGCTGTTAACCTCTCCCTTTAGAAAGCTAAAGACACGCTAGTGTTATTGTTTTTCAATTAGCAGCTTTGTTTTCACTGGGATCATAAACAAAGGTTCTCTCTAAACATAGGTGGGTCGTGTATGCATGACACTAACTTATCAAAGTCCTTGGGTCACTTTCGGGAGGGCGGAGGCTGGCCCGGTCGTGGCTCTGGGCAGGATGGGGACACATCTCACAATGTCTGACTTAGTTCTCCAGCCAGCTTGCCCTTTTTGTGGGCTGCCACCTTCTGCGGGGCGCCAGGATTCTTGCCGGCCCGAAGTGGACATTTGAAGGGCGAAGGATCGATCATGTCAGGGACTGGTGGGGGGTGCCATGCGGGGCTGTGAGCGGCAGAGCCGGGATGGCAGAGCAGGGGCGACACTGAGGGCGGCAAAGGCCCTGCCAGCTCAGCTAGACCCAGGATCTTCGCAGGACCTTTGTCTTTCGCCCTTAGGCAACAAACACTTGAGCGCATCTCGTGGCCCTTCCCGACCCCATCTCCACGACCTCCTGCCACCTCCCTCCTCTCCCTGGCCATCCAAGCTTCTGGAACAAACTTTTGCACAACTTCATTTTACTCGGTAGGAGCCAAAAGCCTCTTCCTTTTGTAATTCAAGAAAATCCCCCTAGTCTTCCCGGAGGAGGTGGCTGCTTAATAGTCGCTGAAAACTTTGCTTTGGGAAAAGGCCGAAGAATTTATGGAAGCTCTAAATACCGGCCTTATAACAACCGATAGGGAATGGTCTTTGAGGTTTATGCACTCGTAAACTTTTGCTGATTGCTTCTGGGAAGTTGTCAGGCACTTAACACTGCATTTATCTTACAGGGCAATGAAAACACATCTGCCCGGTGTCTCGTTACTTGGTTTAATCGTCGCCAGCCCTAAGTCACGGCCTCGGCTCCCTCTCCTCAACTGTGTGGGATCCCGCCGCCTGGTTTCGGCCGGGCGGAGGGGTGACGTCAGCCGCTCACACAGTGCCCCCTGGCCGCTGGAGCTCGGGAAATCTGTGCGCTCGAACTTGGCTCCGCCAAGAAGCTGGGCAAGGATCCGGGCTCCTGATGGAACTGGCAAGTTGGAAAAGTGGCAAAGGAAAAGCCAACATGAGCGCTTTCGGCTTGCGCGGGCAGAAAGGGTGGGAAATCAGGCCACGGCGAAATCTTCTGACTCACAGATGACCGCTTAGAATGAAAACTACGGAAGGGAAGTCCTCTGACTCTGCAGTTTCACAGAGAGTCACTGAGTTACCAAAGCAGTTGGGAAACAGAGGCAGAGGACTGCCCCCACTCTGTCCGCAGCAGGGGTATGGGAGGCAGCTCGGGACACTCCAGGGACCAAGCGGGCAGTGGGCGCCGTCCCCGAGGAACACCCAGCCCAGCGCCCCTGGTTCTGGGCTGGTTGGCTTATCGAGGCCGGTTGGCCAAAGCATCAGGAAAGGGAACATTCTCGGCCGGGTGTTGGATACCAAATTATAAACGCCAGAGCACCTTGTGTAAAGATGAATATCGTTTTGTTACTGCGGGAGGGAATACACCTACTGCTTTGAAAGGAGTTTAAAATATTCAGCAGACAGCACCGCATTGAAATTAGTGCATTGAGCTGCAGACCAAACTAATTTCTAGGTACTATTTAAATTTCTTAATGATCATCTTGATATTTGCTTGAAATTTGAGATAGGAACCCAAGTAAAATCAGAATGGAACATAATCTACTCTAAAGAGTAAAGCCAGAAGTTCGTCTTTGTTATTTTTATAGTACTGATAAATAGTTTATTACTTCACTAGTTTGAAAAGTTACAAGTCTGAATTTGGGTAGCTATGTGTATCTTCTGAGAAGGAAAATTGTCTCTCTGTGTTTTTCAATTTATCTCTTTCAGAACAGTCTAAAAAGTAAAAACAAAGTTTGGCAAAAATGACAACTTTGCTTGAGAACAGCTCTGGAAAAGCGAATCCACTGAGAGCCGTGGGAATTCTCCGCCAGCTGTGCTTCCCCAACCGAGGAAGAATCCAACCCGGAATATCGTTTCTGGACCCCACCGCGGAGACCCCAGCTGGACCCTCTCCTGAAAACTGCCCGGGGAGGGGGGTGCGGTCTCAGCGCCCTCCACTGCGGGGTCCAAGGCGCAGTAGCGGGGCGCGACCCCAGCGCTCCAAGCCCAGCATTCTTGGCAGCTCTCCAGGCCCCAGTCAGAGGCACATTGACCTTGAAGTTGCACTTGACTCGCCCACTCGGGGCTGCCTGGTGGCGCCTGGGTCAGCTTGAAACCCACGCAGCTGAGGGAGCTAGGTGTGGGGTTCACCATACTGCGCCCCCGCCGGATTTGGGAGCGCGGGATCTACTCGGAGGCAGAGAGATTAGCCCCAGAGGTCAAGCCTTTCGGCGTCGTTTTGTCATCTGTATTTTCTCGTCCCCTTCGCCGCCGAGTCCTACAAAGCTCACTTCAGAGAGACTGGGTCCACATGTGTGGGCTCATGAGGAGGAGGACAGCGAGGGTGACGACGCTGGGGGACTAGCGCGAGCTGGCGCATTCCTGGCAGTGAGCCAAGGGCCCCCCGTCTTGCTAGTCTTTCCAAGTTGCTTGGCAATTCCAAAAATTTCGACTGTGGGAAAGTTGAAACTTGTTCGTATAGCGTTCTTTCGAAAAGATTTTCCTTGTCTGTATCTATTTTACAGAAAACATACTGGTCCTCACTACTGTTTGGGGACGAGTTAGCCTAAATTTGAACAGACCTTGAAGACAAACCCTGAGCCCCGGGAGGCAGCCTTCTCAGCGCGAGGTGCACACACAAGTCCCCGAGCCCACCGCGAGGGTCTCACCTGGCTCCTGCGTGGTCTTTCCCCACTTTGGCGACTTTGAAGGCCAGGGGGACCGTACAGTGAGCGAATAACTTAGCGCCTGCATTATCACTGCTGAAACCTCAGAGAACAATGTAGGACATGCGGGTGCAGGTAGAGCAAAACTAGTGAAAAGAGTTTATGAGGAATTCATACCGCCTCGCCTACTTGGGACAACTCCTTCATTCAGTTGTCCTCCCTAGGGGGCTGTTATGCTTATTTGTGTCAGACCCTTCTTTCCCCTGGAATCTTATCATCACAGAATATTAAACATTTGAAAAAATTTTAAAGATTAAACTTGTTCGAGGAAAAAATGGTAAACACTGTTAGGGATTGCCTGGCGTGCACAAATTAAGGAAAGAAAGAAACTGAAAATTTCAGCGCGGCTTTGGGAATTTTTAGCTTTGCGATTTAAAACCCACAGCGCCATCTCCTGGTAATGAGGAGAATATAGCGATGGATGACAATACTGAAATGCTGACTATGAAATACTCAAATATGAGAAACGCCTCAAAAATTATTTCAGTGATAGGTTGATTATGATTACAAAATATGATCTGACATGGACATTTATTATCATTAAAAGTTATCAGACACAATCCTGGAAGCTAATTATTTGTAAATAGAAGTTTGTATATTTATACATACATGTATTTTATAGATTCAGACGCTTATGCTGTGAATTTACAAGATATGATTCTATAATTTATCATAAATACATAATTTTACAAAACAGTTCCCTGTTTTACTTTTTGTGAATGATTTTACCATATATGGTAGAAAAAGAATAATAGGATGTGGTGATCTATGGAGACATAAAATCTTCTAGATCCTCATTGTATTTTACTAGTCAACATTAATAAATACTTTAGCCCCATTGTCTCAATAACTTCTCACTTTATCTATGTCTTCTCATCATGCAATCTTACAGAATGTCTTACTGTCTTAATGTTAAGACATCATGACAAAAATGTGTTAACATTATTCAGACATTCTGATCCTGAAATATCATCTGAAGTTAAATTATTTTCCAAAAGTTTAATGCACATAATAGAATCATAAATACTTAATACTTTTCTATTAAAATGTTTCTGAAGTATTCTTTCAAGCTTTTCTCCCTTTTATAAATAAGATTGAAACACACTAAAATTTAGAGATGATATCCCTATTAAAAACATTTCTCCTCTATGATTGTATACACAGGCCAGCTGCTTGAAATAAAAATAAAAGTAGATATGCTTTTTGTAGTGTACAAAATATTATGAATATCCTTCAAAATTGTAGATCAAACAGACAAATGTAAACTTCAGTTGAAAGATTCATTTTATTTGATTAATTAAAGTGAAGATCTATTAAGCCAAATATTTGGACTCATTTATTTTGTCAATGTAAGAGTTCCTGTTTGAAAGAAAGTTGATTATATATAGGAGGAACTAGATAAACAGATGGTTATCTAGAGAGCTTTTCACAGTTACATTTTGAAATTTAACATGGATACGTTTGATATCTTCTCAAACATCTTTGATGAGGTCATTTGATCTCTTCTAGCAATGCGGTATTGTTGCACATCATCATTTTAACTTATGTTTAAGAAAGATTTAACTTGCTTTTTATTTCATTTGGCTGAAAACTGTACTGATTGAATTGTCCACGAGGGAAATACACACACGCGCGCACACACAAGCATGTATATATATATGTATACCTATATATACGTGTGCTATATTTACACAGTAATAAGTAAGTCTTGTGAAAAGGAAATCAACAGCTGCAAGGAATCATGACAAGAGTGTCTTAACATACAAATAACATTTCTCTAATGAAATGTTTCATCCAGTTACCTGAAGGCAGGCATCATTGGCTTCCAATGGTGTTGGCAGACAAACCAAGCTGCCTGTCTATTGCAGTACGGTGCCCACATGGAGAATGGACATTATCACTTGGGTGGCATGGAGGCATTAAAGTTAATCTTAAAAGTAATTTAAGAGCCTTTTGGGCTTTAGGTACTTGTGAGAAAAAAAAATCTCCCACTCCCTCCATGGGTGAAAAGTTGAGATTTTCCCAGAAAGATTGTTTTGCAATACATGTACTTAAACATTCTTACTCGCTTGAGTTGCTTCCCATGTTTTCAAGAAGAATGCTCATGGGGGAAAAGGGCAGGGGAAGGAATAAAGGAAGGATGAAAGGAAGGCAGGCAGAGGAAAAGTAAGTATGTCGACTTGAGGCCAAATAATGTATTTCATGTGTTTACTGAATGTGGAAATTATTTGTCTAATAAAGATACTGTTTGCTTTTCTTTTATAAAAAAGTTTTTGAGGTACAATTTTTACATATTTCCAAACCTGATTGCACTTCTCTGTGAATTGCTTTAAATGGTTGGAGTAGGTATAGTAGAAATAAAAGATCCCCAGCAGAGTATGTAATCTTGGGCAATTTCTTTGGTTCTACTTAGCCTCGGGAGGAGAATGAATCTATTAATCACACTTTTCCTGACTACTTCAGGGTACCTGAGGGTATTAATCAAATAAGACTATGGGAAAGCACTGTGTAAACACTAAAATGATATGTGAATTTAGCATCAACACTTTATTATGCTTTTTTTTGTATTTCATCTAAACCAGTTCAGTCACCTTTCATTATCATTGTTGGTTTGTAATTTATTTACTTTTTCTATCACAACTTTCAGGTAGTGGCAGATTTTAGAGCATCTTCCCTTGCTTGGGCCATGTCTGAGGGTCATGGGAGTAGGAGCCATAGCTGTTTTGACTTTTATTTCCACATCCACAGTGCCCTCACCCACCACTGCCTCACCTTTCTCTGGCTAGGAGTATCCCTATTGCTCTTCCTGCAGAGTCTTAAACTGAATGCATTTGTCTCTAGTCTGTTACACAGTGGTCACCATAAGTGCGAATTGACTGAACTAATTTTATGTGTATAGAGAAATGATCATGGGGTTGGCTCCAAGTCAGTTATTATTTGGATATCCTACTAGGGTTCTATCCTTCACAGCAATCTTCTATTATAATGCGTTCAGGTGTGTAGAGTGCACTTTTTCTTTTAGTGACATTTCTTAAATGAATAATTACTTCATTTATCTTTATTCTTTCCAGATTATTAATATAAAAGCTTTGTGAATCCAGATCTATCATTGATCTTAGTGTGATATTTGTTTCTTCTTCCCTATGGCTAGATGCATCAATGCTATTATTATTTTCGTTGTTTATGATCTATCAGGCAGTTTTCAATTCAGATGACAGTGTTCACCTTGAAGAAGCCAATTTGAATTAATTTTTCTATGAAAGATTGATGGAGACACTGTATGTCAAAGGTCTAAATTTATTACACATCTTGCTCTCCCTCCACTAATTTAGTTTTTTTTTTTTATCAAGAAAGGTAATCAGGTTTGTCTGAATTATTTTTTCTTTTTAAATCTCAGCTATTTATTGACCCAGGTTTCATTATTCTGCAAGTGCTTGAAGATAATTTCTACTTAAATTTTGTTCTCTTACTAAAATCAAAGTTAAATCAGTTCTGTGTGGATTGAGATATACGTTTTAAGTAATGAATCCATACATTACTATTTTTATAGAGACGGTTTTTATAGACTTAGAGTGGAAAGGCTTTCTAAGCAAGACAAAACCCAAGGAGTCACACAGGAAAAGGATGTCACATTTAAGTACACACAGAACAATTACAATTTCTGTTCTTTGAAGAAAAATACCACAAAGAAAGTTGAAGGACAAATGACCAACTGGGGGAAAAGAAACACATCAAACATACAAAGAGCTTCTACCAAACAACAAGAAACTCTTCACAAAAATAGAAAAATAATTTAATCTGGCAATTAGCAGAAAAAAAATAATTGTCCAAACAATGGATAAAAAGATGTTCAAGATCATTAATAAAAAGAAAATATGAATTAAGGTAGTTTTAAAAATAGGCCAAATTTTAAAAATATATGTGGAATTATAATGAAAATGGTTGTGGTAAAAATTAGTACAAAAACTGAGGGATGGTGATTTGGAGTCCAACATCTAAAAATCCACCCTACAGAAAGAATGGCATGAGTACATATAGATATATGTATGAAGATTTTCTTAAATGGCAGAAAATATGAACACCTAAATGTTCCTTAGTAAGCAAATGATTAAATAAGTTATGATGCCTCCATTCCATAAAAAGCTATTATAAAAAGAAAATGTGGTATATCTATATATACACTGACCTGGGAAACCATTTCTGATACATAATTAAGTTTAAAAGCAAGATGTAAAATATAACATGGTCATAATTGGTATTTTTTACAAAGAAGTGTGTGTCCCTTTCTGATGTTCAGGATGTTGAAAATAGGACATGGTGGGTCTTCTGGTGCAAAGTTCCTGATTTCCTGGGTCATTTGGTGGGAGGCGTGATCAACTGTGCAGACTGCATGGGATCCAGAAATCTGTATCTCATCACTGTGACGTGGGCATCGACAGGCGGCTGAGCCGACCTCCCGGCACTGCTGGCGGGGGAACCACGCCGATGGCCAGGGTCAGGGAAGGCAAACCAGAGCGCAGAGAGAAGGTGCCTCCAGCAGCCGAAATCCCACCGCGAAAGTATACCAGAGAAGAAATGGCACGTTTCTTATTTTGAAGATCACGTGGAGATCATAGCAAACAATAAAGGCCAGATGAATGGTTCTGCTATCCCAAGACCAGCCGTAACACAGATTAAAAAAAACCAAAACCGTTAAAATTATTTGCCACCGCTCCTCCCTATCTTATTTTTTGTGGGTGGATACATGCAGAAAAAAAAGTTACTGAACAATTATTTATAACTTTAATTACTGCTGGGAACTGAGATTTGAGGGTCAAGAGTGAGGTTTTTCATAAATTACTGTAAATACTTCCCCAAAGAAGTAGAGGGATTGTGGGCAACAGATATTTACTGTCTGTTTTGTATATATAGTTTTTTTTTTTTTTTTTAACAATTAAAGAAGCTTAAAGTAAAATATTAAATAAGTAAAAGTGTTAATATTTCGCCTGGGTCATTTGCTTCGTGATTCATTCTCTTCTCTATTTAAAAATATTGAAAGCAGTTTTCCTAATTTTAAATACTTGCACTCCGTAATTTTATCCCTCCTCCTCCAAATTCCATTGCCTATAACCATTTCCTTTCATGTTATTTGGGTTAAGAATTTGTTTTAAATTAATCATGACATTTATGAGCAATTTGTTTTGTTTTGACTTAACCACTGATATCAACCTTTCTTTACTAGTCATTTAAGTTTTGAAGAAAATTGATAACATTAAAAGGCAAGGTGATCATATTGCAAAATTAGTAACTTTATTGAATTCCAGTAGAGTAACTCAGTTTTACCTTGTAAATTAAGTCATTTTATGTTAATATTTTAGCATGATCACAGAACTGTTTTTTAAATAGCAGAGAAAATATAGATTTTTGTAGAGCAAGAATTCACACTTTGAGCTTTGAGAAAATGATTTTGGCATTTTATTTTACCCTTTTTATCTCTTTATGTGTGTATGTGTTTTAATTCGCTCAGTCTACGTCCTGGTTCAAAAGTGAAAGAACAATGGTTTTTGCTTTCGAGGTTACTAAAATTCACACTTTAATCTTTCAGGGACTGCTATTTTCCAGTCACACTCAGATGTCTGATTGTCAGCTTTATATCTCAGAAAGCATTCCCCGCAATTCAGGTACAGTAAAGTATCTAGCTCCAGCTAGCCTCTGTGTACTATATAACTTTTATAGTCATTATAAAAAATAATTTATTGAAAAAACTTAAACCTTTTCCAACTCAGGTGACTTTTGATTTAAATGTCTGTGATCTTGGTTATGGTAATCAGTTATGGTGGATTTTTTTTTTCTGAATTAAGTTTGCTGTTTATATTACAAAGTTTAGAAAATATGAAAGTAACAGCAACTCAAAGATAGCTGGTTAGAAAAAATGAAGACTCTGTAGCTCACATTTTACCATTACTTGCTTCAGATTCACATTTAATACAAGGCCTGGAGAAATTTCCTATTCTTTGTGTCATATTTTTCCTCTTCTATATATTTTTACTTTATTTGGACTGCTACATAGTAAAGTCTAAAATATAGTAAGCCTCACTCTGCTATGATTATTTATTAGAAACACTTTGTTAGGTGAAATTATGAGATGCAACTTAAGCTATTAACAGTAACATTAGACATTCAGAATAACAATTAATTATTAAAAGATTTTTAGAGGGTTACTTAAAAGTGATGGCATGGGTAACAAATCTCTGAATGCTTAACTGCTTAACCTCTGAAGACATAAACTCTCGATATATTGTGATCTGAATTTGAAGGAGCTGTGCTGACAATGTTATTTCCTATGCACACGAATGTAGCTGACAAGATCAATGTGTCCCCTGCAACCCTTAGATGCTCCAGCCAGGAATTGCATTTCTTGCTTGCAAGGTGTGTTTCACTACCTATGGGTTGCTTTGTTACCTAGACTTTGGGCATTAAAATGAAATCACTTCTTGCTCAAATGCAAATGCAAATAGCACCAAGCTATTTTTATATTTGCCAACTGAGCTATTCTGACTCGGACTGTGGTCAAAGCAATTAAGTCATCTTTCATCTGTGGGTAGTTTGATGTGCCAAGACCCAGAAATATCATTCGTGTTGATCATGCTACCATTTAAAAAAAAAGCAATTTGCATACTACTTAAGCTCAGAACAACTCTTCATTGTTTTTTGAGTTGTTCTTTGGTTTTTGTATTATCAAACAACCTATATTTTCTAGTTAAAAATGCTGATTCAGCTTTTTTCTTTTAAATGCATGGTCTTACTTTTTAATTTTTGAAAGATATAATGATACAGAATAAACTTGTTGAAAACAATCTCAGACTAAAGTGAAGAGGGAAGCTTTTCTCCCTTGTTTAGTGAATACAGGCACTTTTTGTGGAATCTGATGCTAATTAAGATATGATAACATGATTGTTATATATTGCAGTTTTAAAATCAATCTCTTCTGTCTGCTTCTAAGAATAATAAAAAACAAGAGAGCAAAACCTCTTCAAGGAGACACTGGAAGAGATCTGAAAGTTGCTAACTTGTTTAATAGGATATCTTAGATAACTGTGTGGAAAAAATGAATCCCTCACATTAAAAGAAGCCTCAAAAGAGGAAATGTATCACAGAGGCTAACAGATGACAATGTATCTTAGAAACTATTGATTATTAGTGAGTGTGACTCATAACAGAGGTGACAGTTTTGTACCATGGATAGGTTTGCAAAGGAAAAGAAAAAGCAGAGTGCTCCAGCAAGAATTCCTTCAGTTTATTTTTGAAGCATAACAGTCCTGCAAGGTGAAACTGCTTCAGGCCTCATTGTCAGGAGAAAATGTGATGCATGATTTTTATAAGAGTGAGCGCGAGTTGAAAACTCAGCTGAAGGAGAAGAATCAGGAAAAATCGTGCCCCTATGAAGCATGTCAGAGTAATTTTGTAACCTAAATTAAGGTAGGTAGTGACAAAATCTATTTAAATATTTCTACCATGCATCTATCTGTGCTAACTTGATTCTGTTCAGGGCAGTACAATTCAACTCAATTTGATGAAGAGCGATGCAGTAAATATTCAAGTCATCTATCTACAGGGCTATCTTCCTTTAAACCTTGAGTCTAATATTATTTCATTGGGAAACAGATATCTAATTAATGTTTTATTTGTGAATTCAGTTGTTTTTAAATAACAAAAAAATTTTTTTGAGGGTGATGTATTTATCACTGGAAAGCTCCAGATGCTACGGAGAGGAGCAATTGTGTTAATCCAGCTGAAGCTATTGAAGGTCCATACTACCCTAGGTAGTGCCACTGCCACCTAGTGGTAAATACCTGAATTTGTAGACGTGGTTCTAGCCATAGGCACACTGAGTATGTAGTTAATACCATATGATTTCACTAGCAACAGCCATTATATTAGATATAAAAAAATTTCTGCTAGTGATTGAATGCAGCAACATTTACTTTTTTCCGTACTTAAGGAAAGACACTTCCTTTTATCACAATCTCCCGTTCTTCTTCGCTCTATGTGCATTCCATTGCCCTTATAATTGCATATAGAGTTTACTTTAGAAAAGAGATAGAAAATAATCATAGACTGCTAAGCTTGTACATTTATTTGGAGGTTACAAAGACACTTATTGCAAAATGGGCTATTAAATAGACAAACAGGTATTCTTAAAATCTCATTTTATAATATAAAAATAGATTTTATGGATTTTCCATTTGCTCAAATGCATAACGTAATTTCAACACTTCACATCCTTGTAATTATTTAAGATTTTTATGGTTTTCTGGTGAATGCCTTTATATATCTTAGCTTTCTCTCTTTCACTGATTGTTATCTTTGTTTTTTAACACATCTGTAATCACATTTGAAATTTCATACTCATATTCAGATTTCATTTTATTTTCATTGAGATTTTATTTTAATTTGCGACTGTGAATAATTACACACTTTGTCTTATGCCTTAAAGACAGAAAACATACTTGCAGTCGTGTTCTGTGGACCCTACACAGGAACATGGATTGCTCCATTACTTGCCCATTCACATTCCAGAGCACTAGGTGAAATAAGGGAAACAGAATCAAATGTGATGTTCCTGGGAAAAATAGGAAATCAAGTGCATTGCTGGCTAAGCCTAGCATTTTCTTGCATTCCTATAGGAACTTTAAGAATTCATGGAACCTGCATTCTGGTTTTATTTTTCTCAATTAAATTGCATGAACCTTAGACAAGTCTTTTAACCTCTCTGAGCCTGTTTCTTTTTAATTTTTTAATTTTTATTTTATTTTACTTCAAATTCTGGGATACATGTGCAGAACATGCAGGTTTGTTACATAGGTATACATGTGCCATTGTGGTCTGCAACCTATCAACTCATCATTTAGTTGTTAAGCCCCACATGCGTTGGTTATTTGCCATAATGCTCTGCTTCCCCTTGCACACCCACCACAATTGGCACCAGAGTGTGTTGCTCCCCTCCCTGTGTCCATGTGTTCTCATTGTCCAACTCCCACTTATGAGTGAGAACATGCAGTGTTTGGTTTTCAGTTCCTGTGTTAGTTTGCTGAGAATGATGGTTTCCAGCTTCATCCATGTTCCTGCAAAGGGAATGAACTCATCCTTTTTTATGGCTGCATAGGATTCCATGGTGTATATGTGCCACATTTTTTTATCCGGTCTATCATTGATGGACATTTGGGTTGGTTCCAAGTCTTTGCTATTGTGAATAGTGCTGCAATAAACATATGTGTGCATGTGTCTTTATAGTAGAATAATTTATCTCCTTTGGGTATATACCCAGTAATGGGATTGCTGGGTCAAATGGTATTTCTAGTTCTAGATCCTTGAGGAATCCTCACACTGTCTTCCACAATGGTTGAACTAATTAACACTCCCATCAACAGTGTAAAAGCATGCCTATTTCTCCACATCCTCTCCAGCATCTGTTGTTTCCTGACTTTTTAATGATCACCATTCTAACTGGCATGAGATGGCATCGCATTGTGGTTTTGATTTGCATTTATCTAATGACCAGTGATGATGAGCTTTTTTTCATGTTTGTTGGTCACATAAATGTCTTTTTTGAGAAGTGTCTTTTTATATCCTTCACCCCACTTTTTGATGGGATTGTTTGTTTTTTTCTTGTAAATTTGTTTAAGTTCCTTGTAGATTCTGGATATTAACCCTTTGTCAGATGGATAGATTGCAAAAATTTTCTCCCATTCTGTAGGTTGCCTGTTCACTCTGATGATAGATTCTTTTGCTGTGCAGAAGCTCTTTAGTTTAATTTGATCACATTTGTCTATTTCATCTTTTGTTGCCATTGCTTTTGGTGTTTTAGTCATAGAAGTCTTTGCCCATGCCTATGTCCTGAATGGTATTGCCTAGGTTTTCTTCTAGGGTTTTTATGGTTTTAGGTCTCACATTTAAATCTTTACTCCATCTTGAGTTAATTTTTGTATAATGTGTAAGGAAGGGGTCAAGTTTCAGTTTTCTGCATATGGCTAGCCAGTTTTCCCAACACCATTTATTAAATAGGGAATCCTTTCCCCATTGCTTGTTTTTATAATGTTCATCAAAGATCAGATGGTTGTAGGTGTGTGGCATTATTTCTGAGGCCTCTGTTCTGTTCCATTGGTCTACATATCTATTTTGGTACCAGTACCATGCTGTTTTGGTTACTGTAGCCTTGTCGTATAGTTTGAAGTCAGGCAGTGTGATGCCTCCAGCTTTGTTCTTTTTGCTTAGTATTGTCTTGGAGAATTTCCCCAACCTTGCAAGACAGGTCAACATTCAAATTCAGGAAATACAGAGAACACCCCAAAGATACTCCTCAAGAAGAGCAACCCCAAGACATATAATCATCGGATTCACCAAGGTTGAAATGAAGGAAAAAATGTTGAGGGCAGCCAGAGAGAAAGGTCAGGTTACCCACAAAGGGAAGCCCATCAGACTCACAGTGGATCTCTCTGCAGAAACCCTACAAGCCAGGAGAAAGTGGGGGCCAATATTCAACATGCTTAAAGAAAAGAATTTTCAGCCCAGAATTTCATATCCAGCCAAACTAAGCTTCATAAGTGAAGGAGAAATAAAATCCTTTGCAGACAAGCAAATGCTGAGAGATTTTGTCACCACCAGGCCTGCCTTACAAGAGCTCCTGAAAGAAGCACTAGATATGGAAAGGAAAAATCAGTACCAGCCACTGCCAAAATATACCAAATTGTAAAGACCATAGATGCTATGAAGAAACTGCATCAACTAACGGGCAAAATAACCAGCTAGCATCATAATGACAGGATTAAATTCAAACATAACAATATTAACCTTAAATGTAAATGGGCTAAATGCCTCAATTAAAAGACACAGACTGGCAAATTGGATAAAGACTCAAGACCCATCAATGTGCTGTATTCAGGAGACCTATCTCACGTGCAAAGACACACATAGGCTCAAAATAAAGGGATGGAGGAAGATTTATCAAGCAAGTGGAAAGCAAAAAAAAGCAGGTGTCGCAATCCTAGTCTCTGATAAAACAGACTTTAAGCCAACAAAGATCAAAAGAGACAAAGAAGGGCATTACATAATGGTAAAGGGATCAATGCAACAAGAAGAGCTAACTATCCTAAATATATATGCACCCAATACAGGAGCACTCAGATTCATAAAGCAAGTTCTTAGTGACTTACAAAGAGACTTAGACTCTCACACAACAATAGTGGGAGACTTTAACACCCCACTGTCAATATTAGATCGATAAGACAGAAAATTAACAAAGATATCCAGGACTTGAACTCAGCTATGGACCAAGCAGACCTAATAGACATATACAGAACTCTCCATCCCAAATCTACAGAATATACTTTCTTCTCAGCACCACATCGCACTTATTCTAAAATTGACCACATAATTGGAAGTAAAACACTCATCAGCAAATGCAAAACAATGGAAGTCATAACAAACTGTCTCTCAGACCACAGTGCATTCAAATTAGAACTCAGGATTAAGAAACTCACTCAAAACAACACAACTACATGGAAACTGAAAAACTTGCTCCTGAATGACTACTGGGTAAATAATGAAATGAAGGCACAAATAAAGATGTTCTTTGAAACCAATGAGAACAAAGACACAATGTACCAGAATCTCTGGGGCACATTTAAAGCAGTGCTTAGAGGGAAATTTATAGCACTAAAGGCCCACAAGAGAAAGCAGGAAAGATCTAAAATTGACACTCTAACATCACAATTAAAACAACTAGAGAAGCAATAGCAAACAAATTCAAAAGTTAGCAGAAGACAAGAAATACCTAAAATCAGAGCAGAACTGAAGGAGATAAGAGACACAAAAAACACTTCAAAATATCAATAAATCCAGGAGCTGGTTTTTTGAAAAGACTAACAAAATGGATAGTTCGCTAGCCAGAATAATAAAGAAGACAAGAGAGAAGAATCAAATACACATGATAAAAAAATGATTAAGGGGCTATCACCCCCGATCCCACAGAAATACAAACTAACATCAGAGAATACTATACACATCACTATGCAAATAAACTAGAAAATCTAGAAGAAATGGATAAATTCCTGGATACATACACCCTCCCAACACTAAACCAGAAAGAAGTCGAATCGCTGAATAGACCAATAACAAGTTCTGAAATTGAGGCAATAATTAATAGCCTACCAACAAAAAAAGCCCAGGACCAGGCATATTCACAGCCAAATCCTACTAGAGGTACAAAGAGGAGCTGGTACCATTCCTTCTGAAACTATTCCAAACAATAGGAAAAGAGGGACTCATCCCTAACTCATTTTATGAGGCCAGCATCATCCTGATACCAAAACCTGGCAAAGACATAACAAAAAAAGAAAATTTCAGGCCAATATCCCTGATGAACATCTATGTGAAAATCCTCAATAAAATACTGGCAAACCAAATCCAGCAGCACATCAAAAAGCTTATCCACCATGATCAAGTCAGCTTCATCCCTGGGATTCAAGGCTGGTTCAACCTACACAAATCAATAAATGTAATCCATCACATAAACAGAACCAATGACAAAAACCACATGATTATCTCAACAGATGCAGAAAAGGTCTTCGATAAAATTCAACACCTCTTAATGCTAAAAAAACTGTCAATAAACTAGGTATTAATGGAACATGTCTCAAAATAATAAAAGCTATTTATGTCGAACCCAAATCCAATATCATATGGAATGGGCAAAAGCTGGAAGCATTCCCTTTGAAAGCCGGCACAAGACAAGTATGCCCTCTTTCACCACTCCTACTCAATGTAGTATTGGAAGTTATGGCCAGGGTAATCAGGCAAGAGAAAGGAATAAAGGGTATTCAAATAGAAAGAGAGGAAGTCAAATTGACTCTGCAGATGACATGATTGTATATTTAGAAAACCTCATCCTCTCAGCCGAAAATCTCCTTAAGCTGATAAGCAACTTCAGTAAAGTCTTAGTATACAAAATCAATAAGCAAAAATCACAAACATCCCTATACACCAATAATAGACAAACAGAGAGCCAAGTCATGAGTGACCCATTCACAATTGCCACAAAGAGAATAAAATACCTGGGAATACAACTTACAAGGGATGTGAAGGACCTCTTCAGGCAGAACTATAAATCACTGCTTGAGGAAATAAGAGAGGACACAAACAAATGGAAAAACATTCCATGTTCACGGATAGGAAGAATCAATATCGTGAAAACGGCCATACTGCCCAAAATAATTTATAGATTCAGTGCTGTCCTCATCAAACTACCATTGACTTTCTTCACAGAATTAGAAAAAAACTGCTTTAAATTTCATATGGAACTAAAAAAGAGCTCATATAGCCAAGACAATTCTAAGTAAAAAGAATAAAGATGGAGGCATCACGCTACCTGACTTCTATCTATGCTACAAGGCTACAGTAGTAACCAAAACAGTTTCTTAAACTATAAAATAAGCAGAGTGTTTTCTTACCTGTAAAATTAATATTATCAACCTGAGGGGAATAACAGAATCATTTTGAGTAGTGTTATTAATGGTTGTTATTTCTCCATAGGGTATATCAGAACTTCTGAATGAATGGGTATTGGAGCGTGTGTTTTATGAAAACTCCCCCCAAATATTTCACCTCTCCTCAAACTTCCACCTCCAGCCTAAACAGTGTTTAATATTTTTTTTAACATTCCATATTTCCAATTTTTTCCCCTATGGGCTAACATAATTTTGAATGGAACATGTTTTACTTAGAATAGTTTTCAAACACACGTTTTTGTAGAAGCTAACAAAAGACATTTCTCAGCCCAGCGGGCCCTCTTTGGAACCCATGGAAACATTCGAATACCCAGCTCTCAAATCTAAGAACAAACTCGGTACCAAAACGACTTATGATGTGAAAAGCTATGGGTCCTTTACCAAGAGAAATGATCATATGGAATATGGAAATAATAAGTCTGTGTGAGGTTTTTATCTTTCATAAACAGAATAGCCATTTTGATTCTTTAAGTCTCTAGGTGGGTTAAGGTGATATTGTTTTATGCCTTACAGCAATATTTGACTCTTAAATATCTTTTACTCCCATTGTGATATGATTTTTTCAATATCATTCTTTTTGTTGCTCTTTACTTCAAGATCCAACTCACCAATTTCAGTTTATTTTAGGCCACCTGCTTCTTTGAAAAAGAAAATAATCTTAAAATTATCTATAAATATCAGCTTTTCAGAAACTCCAAGATATCCTCATAATCCTAGGTGAGCTGTTTGCAAAATTGAAAAAAATAGTTTTTAAAAGTTATTTTTTCTTTAAGTGATATGAAACATGACAGTAATATCAGCATTTAAAAATCTTCATTTTGAATACTTTTTGTCTAGGCTGCTGGGAAGGAAAGCACTGGATATAGGACACACAAGATTTAAATACGTAATTAGTTAAAGTATTTATTAGTACCATTCAAACCATAATAAGAGTACATCAGATTAGATGCTTGGGAGAGTGGCGGTTTTTTGTTTTGTTTTTAATACTTCTGGGTTCATGGTACCTAATCATAATTTACTTAAAAAGGATATTTGAGGCAGGGATAGTTTCAAAAGCAGAAATTATTTTTGTTTAAAAATCACAGTATTTTTTTTGTGTGTGGTAACTGCTTTGTGTCCATTACTTGTATCCCGACTTCTCTTGCTGGAATGCCCAGAATGTCTTTCTTAAAGTCCCAAATGACACCACTGCAAAATTAAAAACATCAGAAGCACCAAGTAATGGAAACACGGCTGAAAATCAAATTAGTGATTAAAAGAAAAATTTAAATTCAAAGGAAAAAGGCATAAATGTTACACAGAAAAATTCATACAAGGAGAAAAGATATGGTCTAATATGAAAAATAAATGTGTTTCTGAATTTGAGAATGCAACAAATAAAACAGAGAAATAATTGAAAGATGCCCATTTTTTAAAAACCCAATTTCTTTTTTTTTTTTTAACATGTTAGTGGTAGATCTTCTTTTTTTTTAATTTTATTATTATTATACTTTAAGTTTTAGGGTACATGTGCACAATGTGCAGGTTAGTTACGTATGTATACATGTGCCATGCTGGTGTGCTGCACCCATTAACTCATCATTTAGCATTAGGTATATCTCCTAATGCTATCCCTCCCCCCTCCCCCCACCCCACAACAGTACCCAGAGTGTGATGTCCCCCTTCCTGTGTCCATGTGTTCTCATTGTTCAATTCCCACCTATGAGTGAGAACATGTGGTGTTTGGTTTTTTGTCCTTGCAATAGTTTACTGAGAATGATGATTTCCAATTTCATCCATGTCCCTACAAAGGACATGAACTCATCATTTTTCATGGCTGCATAGTATTCCATGGTGTATATGTGCCACATTTTCTTAATCCAGTCTATCGTTGTTGGACATTTGGGTTGGTTCCAAGTCTTTGCTATTGTGAATAGTGCCACAATAAACATACGTGTGCATGTGTTTTTATAGCAGCATGATTTATAGTCCTTTGGGTATATACCCAGTAATGGGATGGCTGGGTCAAATGGTATTTCAAGTTCTAGATCCCTGAGGAATCGCCACACTGACTTCCACAATGGTTGAACTAGTAAAAACCCAAGTTCTTGAAATAAACACAAAATTGAATCTGTGGAGTGAAAGAACCCACCATGTTCCAGAGACGGTTAATGTAGAGCAAGAAATCACAATTCACGCCTTTTAAGTTATCAAACTTTGCAGATAAAAAAATGAGTCAGGCTTTTAAGTTGAAATGGGATGTCATCTATAAGTTGGAAAATCATGCTGGCTTTCGATTTCTTCATAGCAATGTTCAATGCCCAAAGACAATACCGTAAAATAAGCTTAATACTGAGACCATGTGATCAAAGAATATTACACTCATCCAAACTGTCCATTAAGTGTGAAAGCAGGAGGCCATCATTCCCAAACATGAACAAAATTAGCATTGTTGAGTCCTTCCTGGAAAAACTAGTTCATGCTGACATTCAGCCAGCCATGTAATGAGTTAAAATAGAGAAACCAGGAATGGAGAAAATCTGGTAAAAGCAATTGAGGTATGTGCCACTTCATTTCAACATAAAGCGAAGATTAATTGTCTGTGGGAATTATTGCAATAGGACAGAAAATAAATGTGGTAAATGGTGACAGCCCCCAAATAATAGTTAATTAACACAAAATAAAATGAAAGGCAGAAGAAAGTGTATGATAATTTTCTTATCTTTAGATATTATTATCAGTAGTATTTAAAAGTGAAATACGGTTTTTAAGATGGCCATCATACTAGCAATCACTAAATGTTTTTCTTTGTGATTTTCTTTGTGATCATTTTATCAAAGCAATAAATTAATTTTTGAATAAATGAATAAAATCTAATATTTTAACTTCAGCTCACACCATTCCCTTTTCCTATAAGTTTTGGCTTTGGAGCTTTGTTGATTATAAATTTAAAGTGAAGCATCTTAAATGTTTTGTTATTTGGGGGTAGTGAAAAAGATGGTACTACTTGACATGCTGAGTGCATAATACAAAGATAGTATTCAAATGAAATATTATAGCAGATGTACCCATACTGTACATGTAGTTTGCAAATGTTGCTTGTTGTGCATTATGCATATTATGATTTCCTTTGATACCTAAAACTGTGAACTTTTGTTAGAATATGCTTTATTTTAGTTTCAAACTCTTAACTCTATGTTGTTAAAATTCTCTATGTTAATATCTGATTTTTGAAAGGAAGGCTCTTTGAGCTTCCCAACTGAAGTCTGAAAAGGGGTTAAAATCAATGTAAGTAAAAATCATTTGCAATATGAACATGGAAATGAAATTTTAAAATTAAATATAGGTTTTGAGGAAAAAGTATTTTTGGAATATTGGATAGTGATTAATTGACAATAATACATTGTTTTGACTTTTTGAGTGCACCCAAAAATAATTTAAAAATATTAGGGTCTAGTAGAGAGCAGGAATGTGCTATTCTTGTCCACCCATAGTGGCATAAATTCCATTGTTACCATCATGTTTAAATCACTCAAATTACCCTTGCAATTATTATAACACTTTAAGTAATCTATACTGCCTATTACTTTTCCATCTTAGTTATTTCTTGATTAAGTTTTACTTTAAATTTTTTTATCTTTCATTTGTCTTTCTTTGTAATATTTTAATTTTATCCTGCTGTGAATATTGAAATAGTCATAAAGAAATTAATTTTAATGCTACATTCACTTATTGGGCAGCTTCAATAATTTAAGCACTGCGCTGTGCATAAGTGATACAAAGGTGAACAAGACCTTGTTCCCAGAATGTTGACAATATAAGAAGTAAGATGTGGGAATCATATAGAAATTCTGATTTGTTTGTCTCCAAAATGAATGTTCTTTCATCGACTAAGGCAATGGTAATTTTGAAGTACAATGAGAATATGAGTTTTTAAGTCAGACAGATGTAAGTTTGAATCTTTTTTACTTAATAACTGTCAACTGAACTTCAGTTTACTCAAGTTAAAAAAAATGGAAATGATACCTCATGGAATTGTGATTAGAATAGATGGAGAAAATTTGTAAAACCAGCCCACTATCTGGCATGTTGTATTCCCTTGATAATAATTAGTTTTCTTCTTCTTCACTTAACTAAGAATATCTGCACAATGAGTCTCAAATATATTGCCAGTATCTATGAAAAAGCTATCTATTTTACCCTATGTATTTTATTTACTACATTTCACACATCTGTATTCTATATGAATCTATCTGTAGATCTATATTCTTATAGTTTTATCATTATCTTGTTTTTATATATTTTTAACTCATTTAATTGTATGCACATTATCTCAATATTACTGCCATTTCTTTTCCTTTTTGATTGAAGAATTCTTTCCTATGTTTTCCAAATTCTTTGCAATTCTCATAGTAGGACTCCCACAGTTCACAGCCCCACCTTTTCTGGCCTTGTGTTTGAGGGGAAGAAGTGCCTTTCTGCCTTTAAGGCAAGGCTCTCAACAAATACTTTGTACCAGCCTCTCTCATTTTCTCAGGGAACTCTTCTGCATCTCACATGATACCCATTCTGCTGTAGCTTTTCCACTAGCATTTAAGTATCCACCAGTCACTCCCAATCTTAAAATAAAATATAACAAAACAAGACTGTCCTTCATCCTTACAGCTTCCTCTAGCTACCCTCCTATATCTTTCTTCCCTTTTAATGCCAAGTTTCTTGAAAAAGTATTTTACATTTCATTTCTCTACTTCAGTTCCCTTTCAGTCCTCAATCCACTGCAGTGTGACTTATTCTACCAATACTTAATGAAAATTGCTTTCACTAAAGGAAATTATGACATGCTGGTTCCTAAATTCAAAGCACTGAAAGGAACCTTATCTGACCTTTCTGCTATATTTAAAAATAGACCATTGTCTATCTCTTCACTCCAGACATCCTGACCACCTGATCATATTTTCTCACTTCTCCACTTTACATATTTATTCTTCCAACTAGAACTTTTTCTTTTTCCCCCATCCCTTCATTCTTTTCTTTTCATAGTCTATAATACTTGTTCATTCTCATAACTGCATGTTTAGTTCAAAAATCTGACTTCCAAAATAAAAATATATTACTAGGAATGGTAGGTAATGAACAACCCTGAAATACCAGTGGTTTAGCAAATAAAACTTTATTTATCACTAATGCTTGGTCCAACGTGGATGTTGCTAGCTGGGCAGCTCTCATGGGTTTCTTTGTTCAAGTAGAGGTTCTGGGATTCAGGATCCTTCTTTTTCTTTATGCTATTATCTTCAGCATGTCTGTTCCAGGGTTACTGTGGGAAGGAAAATGATTATAGTAAATGCATAACTGCTAATTATCCACCTGAGTCTGGAAATAGCACACATTATATTTCATCAGCCAGACTAGCCACTGGCCCCTTTTGGATGCAAGGCTTCTGGAAAATGTAGTTCTTGGCTGGACAGGTGCGTCCCTGCAGCAACTTAGACTCTAGGAGGGGAGCACAGATCTTCATTGCTAGCAGCCACAACTTATTGCATTTTTCAACTTTTATATGACTTTAACAATTCTCAGTAATGATGGCATTTACTCTCCCAAAGGGTAATTAAGTGCTCTTTTGTGTCTCAGCAGTGATCGCCATTAACATTCATGTTATTTGAGATGCTGATGCATTTAATGTTTTAATTAGGTGCCAAGAGAATGTAGCAGATTGTCTAAGGAGAAACCTTGTCTATATCTTTTCTCAAGTAGAACAGCTTCCTAGTGTCTCTCTGCCTCATTGACTCACCATCTTTTTTCAAATCTCATCTGAAAATATGCCCTTCTCTTTGGACTATGCCTCTTAATTTATTTATTCCTCTGCTTTCTATTACTTAACTTTGTATTGTTTAAATAAATTAGGTTACATTATTGTGTATGGAAGATGCTAATCAAAGAAAGCTATTACACAATATTTAGAATTTGTATTTTACTTGATGTTTTAAAAGAACTTTACAGTATCAATTAGTAAATTATCACAGCATTCTAGACAGGTAAATTGATTATATCTTTGTTGTTGTTATTTTTGATAAATAGCCCATCTCAGAGAAGGACAAAAGGAGGCATGCTTTGCTTCACAGACACATGTGTGCTAAACTCCTTCCTCTTGGTCCAATACTAATAGAAGTTCATAATGATAGAAATACTAGCAATTATTCCGTGAGGTCCTACAATGACACCATGGTAAACGATTTACACAGGTTAAAACTTCAATCTCTCCAATATTCCAGTTGGGTGCTATGAGGGACTATGCCTTAGATCGCTCACTTTGCAACCTGAGTTGCTTCATTCACATTGTTCAAAGAGAGTCTAGTACAGCACTAGATCAGTAACTTGCAATTCGTTTATTCTTAGTAAGTGATGAATGAATACATGAAGAAGTATTCTTTTTCCTTCTTCTGCCTCTTGCCATCTGTTTTTAATCTTTTCACTACCAGCATGTCAAGTTAGCCAATTTGACCCTGATGAAGCACTTTCACAGGGACATGGCATGGTGGGGGTACTGAGAAAGCATAAGGAGGAGAAGAAAAAATTGTGATTGGAAATTAAACCATTATAAATGTTTAGTCTTTGCTGAGTTCTGGGCCTGTACTATCAACATTTGTTATAACTCATCATTAGTTACCAAAAACTTTCTTGTCAGGATGTTCTGTGGAAAAGACCTCTTTGATACTAACGGTGGCCTCAATAGAATTTAATCCAAACTTCATTTTCTATTTCCAAGAATAATTGAATAGGTTTAAAATTTGGCAAGCTGGCAGTTTAGATTAAAAATGGAATCATAGGATGCTTGCTCTGGGTCTGGAATTAAGGAATTTTTGGTGAGAATCTCTAACTAATGAAGCCAAACCCAAGCAAGATTTTGAAGTGTCTTTTTGATATCAGCTTTTTTTGCATATTATTCTCTTCTATGCTCTTTCCCTGATAATGGCCCCACCCTATTTAGAGAGTTCCCATTCTGATCTTGTTTACTGTTTCTTGTCTTGTTGGCTAGGTAGTGATGGTGTAAGCAACTTCAGGCCAGTACAATGCTTCACAATTGTACCAGTCTCCTCTGAGCTGCCTCAGGAGGCTTGCTACAGTCACAAACCCATTCAAAAAGGATTCTCCCTTGTACCTTTATTTACTTTGTCCCTTGTGACTCTGCCTTTTTAGCTAGTACTAGCTAACTTTAGTACTCCCCATATTAGAGAACCAAAAGACAGTGAATTACTATAGAGGTGACTAAAGATATTATATAGAGGTGTTGGTATAAATGTAAGGACTTCAATAAATATACACACTTTCCTAAACACTAAAGGAAAATAAATAGGAAGGAAAAGAGACCACATAGTATGTGGCAAATGTAACATACAACAATATGATAATACTGAAAGCAAACATATCAATAATATTCATAAAAGTAACAGCTTATCTTGATTACTAAAATAAATTTTCATATTGACCAACAAAGCTAACCCTACACTATGCTGTATTCAAGAGACACAATTGAAATAAGCAAATTCAAAAAGTTAAAATTTAGATACTATTTAGCGCAGGGCCTGGTGGCTAGGCTTTTTCTTTCCTTTTGAGTCAGAGGCCTCTGCCACAAACATGCTCCGCTAGATTCTCAGTCAGGCCAAGAAGCATCTGAGCTTGATCCCCCTCTTTGTATTTATTGGAGCTGGAGGTACTGGAGCAGCACAATTTGTCTTGCATCTGGCATCATTCAATCCAGATGTTAGCTGGGACAGAAAGAACCCAGAGCCCTGGAACAAATGGGGTCCCAATGATCAATACAAATTTTACTCAATGAATGTAGATTACAGCAAACTGAAGAAAGAAGGTCCAGATATTTAAATGAAATATTTCACTATAAAGCTGCTTTAGAATGAAAGTCTTCCAGAAGCCATCTGCACAATTTTCTACGTAACCAGGAAATAGTTCTCCTCTAGATGTATGAAATCATGTTGATGAATGTGTTGGAGATTACACTGATTAATACATAACTGAAACTTGAAACAAATAAAAGGTTAAAATTAAAAGGATGGGTGAATATACAACAGGTAAATGCAAATAAAAATGAAGCAGGAGTTACACTTTTGATATCTGAAAATGTAAAATTCAGGCCAGAAAACATTAACTAAGACAAAGAAGTACACTTCTTGAAGCTAAAGTCTGCAATTCATAACAAATGACACAATAGCAACGGTTACAGAGGAGATACTACAGGAAATGGAAGGGAAAATAGAGACACTCTAATATCAGGAGACTTTACCACATCTTTTTATGAAATAGGTAAATAAGTGGACAAAAAATGATAAAAATATAGAAAACACAAACAAAAAATTAATAAGCAACTGGATAGCAATATATTATTTTCCTCTAAATTAAAGAATATTCCTTGTTCAGTGCACTTGTATATTTATAAAAACTAACTGGACTAGACCACAAGTAAAGCCTCAACAAATTCCAGAAAGTAAAATAATTCAAGTAAGATTTTCCAATCAAAATTTAATAAAACTAGAAATCTGTAAGAAAATACAAATTTTTTAGAAGATAACAACCCTGTAAAAATTTTAAGTTTTCTGGCTGGACGCAGTGGCTCTAGCCTGTAATCCCAGCACTTTGGGAGGCCGAGGTGGGTGGATCACAAGGTCAGGAGATCAAGACCATCCTGGCTAACACGGTGAAAACCAATCTCTACTAAAAATACAAAAAAATTAGCCAGGCGTGGTGGCAGGCACTTGTAGTCCCAGCTACTGGTTAGGCTGAGGCAGAATGGCGTGAACCCGGGAGGCGGAGCTTGCAGTGAGCTGAGATCACGCCACTGCACTCCAGCCTGGGTGACAGAGCGAGACTCCGTCTCAAAAAAAAAAAAAAAAAAAAAAGTTTTTAAACTTTCTGTGAAACAACTCTTGGATCAAAGAGGAAACATAAAACAAAGCTGCAAAATTTATAGGAAGTAATAGCAAACACATAAAGTAAATCTATGGAAAACTGTTAAAGTAGTAAATTTTCTGAGGAAAATTTATATCCTTTAATAACTATATCAAAGATGATAAAATAAATAAATTAAAATTTTAACCCCAAAGCTAAAAGTGCTCAACAAAGTAAACCAAAAGACAAAAGGAAAAATTAACAAAGATAAAATTAGAAGTAAATTAGAAAAGAGAAAAACAATAGAAAGAGAATCAGAGAAATGAATAAATTGATTATTTGAAAAAATAAAACCTAGACAACTAAATTTAGTAAAGGAAAGGCACCAATTAAATAAGCATAATAAAGGAGAAATTATCCAATGAAACAGAGAAAAACTTTTAAAAATCACTATTGTGCAACTATATAATAATACTAAAAACTTAGATAAAATTAAAACTGTTTAGGAACATATAATGACCCAACCTAACCCCAGTGGTAAAGGAAGTCTAAACAAATCAGTTATTGCAGACAAAACAGAATCTTGAGGGTTTTCCTCAATGAAAAGACAGGGACTACTAGATGATTTCATAGGGAATTCTACCAAGCTTTTAAAGTTTAGATACCAACTTTTCTTAAAGTGCTCCAGATAGAAAAAGAAGGGAAACTTCCAGATTTCTAGTTCTATAAACATGATATTCATATCAACCTCTGATAATGATTGTAAAAAAATAAACCAATATATCATACTTACTAATGTTGATCAAAAAATCTCAAAAGCAATAATAAATAGAATCTATCAGCATATTAAAAAAGTACATAATATCCAAGTGTAGTTCACTGAAAAATATAAAGATGGTTAATATAATCATCTCCATGAATATGGTAAATACATTAGACAATATTAAACACCTATTTCTCATTTTAAAAAATTCAATAAAATAAGAATTAATAGTTTATCAGTCCATTCTTGCATTGCTATAAATACCTGAGACTGGATAATTTATAAATAAAATAGGTTTTATTGGCTCACTGTTCTGTAGGCTGTACAGGAAGCATGAAGCTGGCTTGGCTCCTGGGGAGGCTTCAGGAAATACATCATGGAGGAAGCAGGAGAGGGAGCAGGCACTACTTACATGGCAGGAGTAGGCGTAAGAGAGAGAGAGGGAGGAGGAAGGTGTTACACACTTTTAAACAAATCTCATGAGAACTCACTATCATAAGAACAGCACCGAGGGGGTGGTGTTAAACCATTCAGGAAAGATCTACCCCCATGATCCAATCACCTCCCACCAGGCCCCACCTCCAACATTGGGGATTACACTGTCACATGAGATTTGGGCAGGGACACAGATCCAAACCGTATCAAATTGGTTCTTTTAAAATATGAAATATGGCAGTGCATGGTGCTCATGCCTGTAATCCCTGCACTTTGGGAGGCCAAGGTGGGTGGATTGCTTGATGCCAGGAGTTCAAGACCAGCCTGGCCAATATGGCGAAACCCTGTTTCTACTGAAAATACAGAAATGTTAGCTGGGAGTAATGATTTGTGCCTGTAGTCCCAGCTGCTCAGGAGGCTGCTGTGGGACAATCACCTGAGCCCGAGGTGGTCAAGGCCGCAGTGAGCTGTGATCATGCCATCGCTCTCCAGCCTGGATGACAGCAGAGCAAGACCCTGTCTCAAAAAAAAAAAAAAAAGGAAAAGAAAAAAGAAAGAAATATGTATTTCTTAGCACGAAAGACAGTTTCTTACTAAATGAAGCACTAAGTCCTGCTAACATCAGGTATTGTTGTGGCATTAAAGAACAAGAAGGAAACATGGATGAATAGCTTTATAATCTTTAAGTAGAAAAAAAACTGTCTCAAAATTCAGAAGTCATGGAGAAAATATCAATATATAATATGATATGTTAAAAATTCTATGCATGGCAAAAACAAAAGGAAAACAGCACAAGGGAAATACATGTATGCATTTTTTACCAAAAAAAATCTAATATTTAAAAATTCCCAAGATGGAAAAAGAGATCGACAATCCTACAGCAAAATGGGCAAAATATATGAGCAAATATTTCACAGAAGACATGAAAATGACTCTTAAACACACAAAAATGTACTCAAATATACTTAATATAACAGCAATGCAAACTAAAATTCTCCAGGATATGCTTCTTACATTGCAGACTGACAAAATTCAAAGTTCACTGCCTTCTCAATTGATAAGACTGTGAGGAAACAGACACTCTGTTATATATTGTTATTGAGAATGCAAATAAAACAACTTCTATGGAGAGGAATTCGGTAACAGGTAGCAAAATTACATATACATTTATCCTTTACTTAGCAATTTCATTTCTAAGAATCTACCTTAACATACATTTAGGTATAATATGGTAAAAATATGAAATAATTTGTTCACATGAAATGAAATGATTTAAAGTTATTCACTCTGTTATTATTTGTAGTAGCAAAATATAAGAAATTAATGTCTGCCAAGAGAGGACTGGTTGAATAAATTATTATTCATCTGTACAGTTGAACACTATGCAGATGTCAAAGGCAAATTTATAGAGACAGAAAATCGATTAGTGGGACTGGGGATGGCAAAATGGATTAACTGTAAAAGGGAATTAGAGATCTTATTGGGTGATGAAAATGTCCTAAAACTGGATTAAGAATGTGCAACTTAGTAATTTACTAAAAATCATCCAATTGTATATTTAAAGTGGGTCAAGTTTATGGTTTATAAATTGTAACTCAATATAACATCCATAGGCTAAGATAGAATGATCTCTTGCATATATTAAGTGAAAAAAGCAAGAAGAAGAATGGGATGTAGAGCATATAGATTTCCATCGCTTTTAGATATTTTTAATGAACAGGGCAAGGAAATATGTACTTTTGAAAAATGAAAACTATCATGAATTCATATTGACACTTCCAGTGTAAATTTAACATTAAAGAATTTGTACTTTCACTTTACGGTTTTTAAATTAGAGCATGAGATCTACCCTCTTAGCAACTTTTAAAAGTGAACAGTACAGTATCGTTTAGTATAAGCCCATTATTGCACAGCAGATCTCTAGAACTTTTTTGTCTTCCATGAGTGAAACTTTATACTCATTGAACAGCAACTCACCACTTCCCCTTTCCCCCAGCCCCTGGCAACCACCATTCTACTTTCTGCTTCAACGAGTTTTACTACTTCAGATGCCTCATATAAATGTATTCATGTAATATTTGTCCTTCTTTGATCATCTTATTTCACCTTGATGGGCTAAATTTAGCATTTCTTATAAGGTAGGTCTAGTGATGATGACCTCCCTTGCTTTTGCTTTTCTGGGAAAGTCTTCTTCTCCTTCATTTTTGGAGGAAGGTTTTGCCAGATACAGTATTCATGGTTGGCAGCTTTTTTCTTTCAGCACTTTGAATATATCATCTCATTCTCTTCTGGCCTGGAGGTTTCTGCTTAAAAAAAATCCACTGACCATCTTATGAAGTTCCCTTGTATGTGATGAACCCTTTTTTTTTTTTTTTTTTTTTTTTTTTTTTTTTTTTTTTTTTGCTGCTTTCAAAATTCTGTCTTTAGACTTTTGACAATTTGATTATAATGTGTCTCATTGTAGATTTCTTAACATTTAACTCATTTTGTACTTGTTGGGCTTCTTGAATCTGGACGGCTATTTCCTTCCCCAGATTTGTGATGTTTCTGGTCGTTATTTTTTTAAATAAATTTTCTGCCACTTTCTCTGTCTTTTCTTCTAGGCATCCCATCATATGAATATTGATCCTCTTGAGAGTATCCCCTAAGTTCCTCAGGCTTTTTTCACTCTTTTTCAATGTAATATGCTTCCTCTTTAGGGTCAGCTTTTGGAGATTTATTTTGTTCCTTTTATTGGGCCATTTCCTCATTTCTTCATGTTTTTTGTAACTTTGTTTTGGCATCCACACATTTTCAGAGACTCTGTCTCTGAAAAAAAAAAAAAAATTAAAATTAATTTTATTTTATTTAATTAATTTATTTATTTATTTTTACTGGTAATTTGGAGGTTTTACTTATTGGAAAGAGTTCTTTCAAGAGAACTTTTTTTGCAAGACCAAGAAAATTATGTATTTTCCTTTGGTAAATTACAATTTACATTGGCACAATAAACACCTGGTAACTAATCTATTTTATTCTACGACTATTAGGAAAAACGTTTTTTATTCTCACAAATTCAATTGAGCCTTTGTTTTACTTCTAAAACTTTAAGGAAGGTTTAGTCTACCAGTTATAAAAATGAAAACCAGTTAAAATTGTAACATAAACATTATTTATATTAGTTTATAAAAATACATTTGAGTTTAGGAAAAGTTAATGTTGAACAACTAGTAATTTTTACTTCAGTTTATTAGGCATAATGATTCCTTGATTTTTCAAAGCTGACTCTGTCTCCTTGATTAACAATGTCAATTTAGGCCTTACAGGAAGAAATTTAAGGATCATTTCATTGATCTGTTTCCAACTAGGTAAGTTACTTTCTAAAATAAATTAATCTTTATATGTACCATTGATAGCTTTAAAAAGTACCGTTCTAACTTTTTTGAAGATTCTTTTGTGACAATTATATTACTATAGTACATTAATTTGCTCTATATGATATTTTGGTTCCTTTAAGAATTTGTATATTAAAACTGTCATTGGTCTGGAGACATACCTGCAGGTGGATCAGGCCATAACTGAAGTAGCAAATAAAGTTAGTTGATCTGACATATTTGGAACTAACTGATAAACTCATGTAAAAGCTAAAAATCCAACATAATCATCAAAGCCACTAAATGACATATATTAGGAAAATAATTTAAAACCTTTATTTCTAAAAAGGGCATTTTAAAAATAATTATACATATATATTTTGTAAATGGCTTTGGAAACATATGTGTTGCATAATCATAAAATTAACTTAATAAAAAAGCCATGAAAATGGAAATAAATAAACCTAAATTTATATCAGAGAGAGGAGTGTTCTTTCAATTGAGTTTAGAATAAAGTATTTTGATTATACATATTTATTGGAATATATTTCAAAAGAAAAAAATTGCCAAGAAACCCTAAACTCCATTTAGTAGTCTAATTATCAGTAATGATATTGGTATTGTTGTTTGGTTGGTTGTTTGTTTTTGAGACAGAGTCTCACTCTGTCACCCAGGCTGGAGTGCAGTGGTGCAATCTCAGCTCACTGCAACCTCTCCCTCCTGGATTCAAGCAATTCTCCTGCCTCAGCCTCCTGAGTAGCTGGGATTACAGGTGGGTGCGACCATGCCCATCTCTACTACTATTTTTAGTAGAGACGGGGTTTTACTATGTTGGTCAGGCTGGTCTCAAACTCCTGACCTTGTGATCCACCTGCCTTGGCCTCCCAAAGTGCTGGGATTACGGGCATGAGCCACCGCACCAGGCCATTGGTATTGTTTTGAGACTGTTTTTTATACATCATAAAATAATACTAATAAGTAATTATATCTATGATGTTAGGAGTTAGGATTTTTACTCTAAAATAAAAGTATAAAGTGAAATAATTTAAGTAAAAATTTTATAATGTTAACTTTGCTTTGGAAATATCAGTATAAATTTGCTTTTACCCCAAAATATGTATTTTTAGTTATGCTTGCTGAAAAAGCTTAAATGCAATGACAATGTCATAACAATGAGCACACTTCTCCAGTTTGTAGTCTTTAAATATGATTCTCTACTTAAAGAAATCAGGGTACTTTGATAAATGACTAATTACAAGTCTGGAGCAGGAGAAATACAAGATGGAATCTCAGATATTGAAAACTGTTAATAACCAAGAATGTTTGAGAAACTGTCACAGACAAAAGGAATCTAAGAAGACACAACAACTAATGCAATATGGTGTTTTGGATAGAATCTTGCAACATAAAATGGACATTAGGTAAAAACTAAGGAATTATGAATAAAGAAGGGACTTCAGTTAATAACAATCAACATTGGCTCATTGTGACAAACGTACCATACTAATGTAAGATGTTAATAACAGGAGAAAATGGGTGTGGGTTATACATGGGAATTCTGTATTATCTTTGAAACTTTTCTATAAATGTAAAACTATTCTGAAACTAACATTTACTTAAAAACTTATTAATTTTATGTCAAATGACATTGGAGCCAACATGAAAAGTCCAAATTGGCCAAAATGGCACCATTTGAGCATCAAAAAAAAAAAAAAAAGAACAAATGACTCACACATTGAATATATGAAAACCATAGTTTCATAATGCAAAAAATAAAAATAAAGTACAGTCATTGGACACACCTTGAAGTAACTAAGTGCCTCATTCTTACTCTGAAATTTGCCATTAAAAGAGGAAAATTCAGGGCAATCAATAGCTCTAGTTCATGAGAAAACTAAATCAATCCTTTGATCTGTCTTTCCATCATTAAGTGGGACAATCAGATGTTTGATTCAGATATGAGACTATATGGAGCCCACAGTAACACCTATGAGGTGTTCTTGTAAAACACACATGCACACACACGTGCGCGTGCACACGCACTAAACTCAAGTCTAATTTAGCTTCTAGAGCTAACTTCTATTTACGAGAATTATGGGATAGAGGAATAAGTTAAATGAAACCCTAAGGAAGTAGACAGCTACATCTGAAAAATGGAAACATTTTTTAAGGATCATTAATCTGGCCTCTGCCACAATTCAATAGCAAAAAGAAAAATAAAAGAAGAGGACTTTCTTATATTAAAAGAGATCTAAGACACATGAAATCCGAAGTAGTGTGTGGGACTTGCTTAGATACTGATTCAAACCAACAGCTATAAAAAGACACCTTTTAGTCAACTTGGTAAATTTGATTATAGTTGGGATAAATGATACCAAAAATTGTTAATTTTGTTAGCTGTGAAAATGTCATTGTGGATTTGTAAGAATTATTTTTAGAGATGAACCGTGAATGACATAGGGATGGTATAATGTCAGGAATTTGCTTCAAAATACCTCGGTAAAGAAAAACTGTTAAAATAGAAACAGGGATAAATAAAGCGAGAGTTGCCAATGTTTGGTTAAGTCTGGACCTTGGGATCGGTCTATGTGTTATTCTCTTCATTTTCATATATATCTGAAATTTTTCATAAAATATTTTTAAAAGTGAATATAATGAATATTTCTATTATTTATGCCAAGTGGGAAGGACTTTCTGGAAATTACATCAAGTATAGAAACCATAAAGGAAAAGTTTAAAGATATAACTATGTAGAAATTAAACATTTTTATACTGGGAAAAAAATCAATGTTAGCAAAGTTTAAAGGTAACTGTATTTGGAGAACCTATTTGCAATGTATAGGTAGAAAAAAATAATATTCTTGATATAACAAGATTGTTTTAAAATGGTTAACATAACAAATAGGAAAATGGGCAAATTCATTCTCTATTATGTACAAAAAAGAGTTACCAAATAAAGCTAGGAGATATTAATTTTTACCAATAAGAAAGATAATGCTGGAAAGGATTGTTAACATTCTCTGAAGGAAGAGTGTGAAAAATGGCACCTGTATAATGCTGGAGGGAATAAATTGTTACAGCTTTTTAACACCATACTTAAATTTAAATGGGCACACTTTGACTCAGTAATTCTACACCTAGGAATTAATCTTAAAAAACAAATTGGGGATGCATACAAAGATATATTTAGTAGGATGTTTTTGGAATATTTTTAAACAAAAGTAACATCTTGAAACATCCTCAATGTCTGTCAGAATGGCAATGAACACATAAATTATACATTCCCTCAATGCAGTATTATAAAGCCGTTAAAATTGGTTATGTAGGTCTATATTCATTGACAGATAGTTGCAATGGAGGTGAATGAGTCAGTCTGCTCTGTGATTCTCTGATATGTATTATTAAATTGCCATTCATGCCTAGTTCTTTAGGATAATTTCCAGGAGTGAGAGCACTGGGAAAAGGGTAAGAATAATTCTAAGTCTTTTCATTCATATTCCCAACAATTTATATTTCTCAGAGGGACCATTTTTCTGAATACTTGCCAATCTCCAGGATTTTAGCTTCAAAAAAATCTTTAGCCCAATTTGATGGATAAATAAGAGCATCTCATTATTGTTTTAATGTGCATTTCCTTGATTACTAGTGCTTTGTACATTTTTTATATGCTGTGGAGTAGCTGATTTTAGTTTTTGTGAAGTGCTTTTTCATTTCATTGGTAACTTTTTTTGCTAGCTGTTTTGTTTTTCTAATTTGTTTGTGAGAGGATTTTAGTACCTCAATTCTGTTTCTATCATAAGTTGGAAATATTTTTTCCTAAATTTTCCATATTGCTTTATTTTTTTTACAGTGGATCTTTAATATACATAAGTTCTAAATTTTATGTGATCAAGTTTAATAATATCTTTTTTAATGCTTTCTGCTTTTGGCAAAATCTTTACAAAGGCCTTCTACACACATGATTACATAAATCAACACTCCTATTTTCTGTTAATATTTTATGGTTTTATTTTTTATATTTAAATCTGTAATTCATATGAAATTTATTTTGGTGCTGTATAATATATGAACTCCTTTAATTTGTCATACAGATGATTGTAATTTGTTCCAATACCATTTAGTGAATAATGCATCATTTTCTCAGTGACTGGAAATTTCAACTTTATCAGAAAATATTAATTTTTAATGTAGTATTTATACTCAATGGTTAATAACTTGTAAACGTAATTTCTCCTTATCCCCTACCCCTACTTTTAGTCCCATCATTTTTCTTAATATCTAAGCAAATTACTTGAGATTAAAAAAAGAAATATGTATATATTTTTTGGATGTTGTGTCAAGTCTCTGGAGAAATGTGTTCTTAGTATTATTTTGTTACACATATACACACAGAACACTGTGAAAGACACACACCAAAGACATCATTTAACTCCAGGTAAATTAGAGAGTTGCTGAAAAAATTTGGACCCACTTAAACTGAATGCTACCTTGAGTTCTGGTAATGCTTTCCTTTTGGGGGGATGTAGGAGGATTATTTGTATTATATTCCTTTGGAGTAACTTATAGTACTCATGTTTTATCTTCTTTAGTTGTGAGACATGTACAGTTGAGCTCTAACTAGAAATATCTATCCTCGACAAAATAATATATTTGGATAATCTGAAAAAGGCAGATGAATAATATTTGCCAGGCACTAATGGAGCACTTTGAAGATGCCCCCAAGAAGAAATGGTGGATAAAAATTTGGAGGAACACAAAATTATATAACAATATAATTTCTCCCTGGCTTCATAATTTTGCCCATGAAAGAACTATGTCTCATCTTGGGAATTTCTGCTTTTGAGGTCTCAGAGGGCATTTTATTTTTCTGGTCTATGGGAGGCTGGTTTCTATCACCCAACTCTTTCACTTAAGCAAGAAAGTTAGCAAGGATGATTCATGCCATGATGCTGATGCCAGGGTTGGCTCTGGAAGACGCTCTCTCAGCTGAAATTAAATGATACTTTATGTATCTTCCCTAAATAGAGAGATTAGAAAGTTATAAAAAAAAGTGGTAGGAAAGCACATTAAATATGTGATAAAGTAAGTGGTTTTATAACTGATTTTATTACTTAAGTTCAAGCACTTTTTTGTTACTAGTCCTTGTCAACGATAAATTAAGATAGAAGGAGTTGGACAAGGGGCAACTGAAGCAGTGCAGAATGCTTCAGGGATCACGTTTTTAAGGGTTATTAAACACAATTTGTTTATGTCAGATTCCAATTTATCTGTATCTTAGCAAATCCAGGGAATGTGAGTTGTGACATCTTGTACATCCTTATTAATTATTCACGCTTGAGATTCTGTACTTGCTTGACCTTAAGGAATATGTGCTGTTTACCCCAGTGATAATCTGGTAGAATACGCTTCCCATTTGCAGCTGGCCCCTCCTCTTGTTGTCTGGTTTCGGAAACATTAAATCTCTAGTACCCACCTCTTTTTTGCCACTAATTGCTCCTTTGGAAAGAAATTGATAATATTGAGTGGAAGTGGCCTTAGAGAAGTAACAGTACTATACAGGGACTTTTTAAAGATATAAAGATTTTAAAATTCAATGTTACAAACCCCAAAGTGTTTTATTGTCAGAAATAAGCATTCTACACACCTGAGTTCTGCAATGAATGCTTTTTTTAAATCCACACCTATTTCTGAGAGTTCTTCCAATGTGCAATAAATAAATAAATAAATAAATAAAAGTAACTTCCTTTATCATCTATAGCTAGCACAAGAGCTCTCCTCTCTGATGGAGGAGACAGAAGAGAGTGGTCAGCTTCAATTTTCTACAAAAATCTGAGTGGAAAAAACACAAACTGTTTTTCCTCTGTGGTCACACCAAAACAATCAACACAGACTTCTGTGACCTTATATATGTATAGGCATTTCTTCCCATTATCAGGCAGTCAATCAATTCTGCCGTGGACACAGCTGGGTGTTCTCCAATTCAATTCTGACACTATCTACTTGGAAATAGCATCAGATCCCCCAAGTCAAGGGCTCAGCCCCACAGGTTACCCCACTTCTGATTGCAATCATAAACCCCAGATTGTTTTACCTGTGGTTCTGACTGACTCGGTGTAAATCAGTTTTCCCACAATCCCCTTCTTGGGTTTGATTAATTTGCTAGAGTGGCTCACAGAACTCAGGGAAACACTTACTTTTGTAAACTGGTTTATTATGAAGGATATTACAAAAGATACAGATGAAGAGATGCATAGGGTGAAGTATGAGGGACGGAGTGTGGAGCTTCCATGCCCTCCCTGTGCATGCCACCCTCCAGGAGCTCAGCTATCCCAGAAGCTCCTGGTACCCAGTCTTCTTGGGCTTTTATGGGGACTTTATTGGATAGGTGTGATTGACCATCATGTAGAAATGTGATTTGATAAAAAGGGTATGATCTAATACTAATGGAAACCCAGGAAGGCCAAGAAGATTCTGAGCAGACAGAAGACAGGGTACCAAGGTATGGAGCAGAACTTCTAAAATGTAGGTCTTATGACCTACAATAGACAGGGTAGGTCAGAGAATTTCTTTATGGCCAGCTCCACTACAGAAAGGTGGGGGAAGATTAGAGTCTTGTTTTCTGGGAGAAAAAAGTAATAGTTGAAAGGAAGGCAGGAGAAAGAGAGAGAATGAGAGAGAGAGAGAGAGAGAGATCCTGTTTCCTGAAGCTTGCTTCTGAGGCCTAAAGCACCCCAACGTTATAACAAGAGCCTGTCACAAGGGCTATAGGAGTTATGAGCCAGGAGTCGTGGACCAAAACATACATAATGTCACAGGAAATATAGTTCAGATTCCTCCAGTAATTTTTTTGGTAAATATTTAATCAATTCACAGATACACTCCATTAAATGAGTGGTTCTTCTTTCTTAAAAATTTCGTCCCTCCTCCACCCCACCCCGTCTTCCCAAGTTGCTCTCTGTGTGCAGAGAAAGGCACAGGTAACTTTGTTGTGGGATGGGGGCAGGTGGCTCTGGTTTCTGTGGTATTTTCCAAGCAATGGCCAGTGGTTGTTCACTGCTGGTGTTTGCTGAGATGCGGTCCTGTTCTGGTGGATTGAAGGCTATAGTCCCTGCCATAGCTCAGCTCTCAAGAATGGTTATAGTATAGTCCTGTACGATTTGATATGCTTTACTCCAAGGATCTTCTTGTCCCCCGCGTCTCTGAGAATTCTTCACACCACTACACCCACATTCCCTACGTAGCACATGCAGACAGCTCAGAGCCAGGTGCTACGTCTCGCTCTCCACCAATATTGTGCTCTTTCACTGGAGACACATTGCATGTGGAACTGAACTGAATGCTTCTTGGTGAAGCTTTTCACTTACTATGCTGTGCCCAAGGGAATGGGGGTGTTCTTAGGTCTCCCCAAACCCATCTGGTTCACTCCATCTTGAGATTATACCACCTACCCCACCTAGTCTCTTATTCCCTCATTCAGTGGGAGTCAGAATTAAGGACACTGACACCAACTTCGTGCTTTTCTTTCTTTCTTTTTCTTTCTTTCTCTTTCTTTCTTTCTTTTTCTTTCCCTTTCTTTCTTTTTCTTTCTTTCTTTCTTATTTCCTTCTTTTTCTTTACCTTTCTTTTCCTCCCTCCTTCCTTTCTTTCCTTCCTTCCTCCCTCCCTCCCTCTCTCTTTCCCTCCCTTCCGTCCTTCCTCCCTCTCTCCCTTCCTTCCTTCCTTTCTTCCCTCCTCCCTCCCTCCTTCCACTCCTTCCATCTCTCTCTTCCTTTCCTTTTTCCTTTCCTTTCCTTTCCTTTCCTTTCTTTTCCTTTCCTTTCCTTTCCTTTCCTTTCCTTTCCTTCCTTCCTTCCTTTCTCTCTCTCTTTCTCTCTGTCTCTGTCTCTCTTTCTTCGTTTTTTTGAGACAGAGTCTCATGCTCTCGCCCAGGCTGGAGTGCAATGGCGAGCTCTCAGCTCACTGCAACCTCTGTCTCCCGGGTTCAAGCAATTCCTCTGCCTCAGCCTCCCAAGTAGCTGGGATTACAGGCACACACCACCATGCCCAGCTAATTTTTTTTATTTTTTATTTTTAGTAGAGACAGGGTTTCACCATGTTGGCCAGTTTGGTCTCAAACTCCGGACCTCATGTGATCCACCCACCTCAGCCTCCCAAAGTGCTGGGAATACAGGTGTGAGCCACTGCACCCAGCTCCCTCCCTCCCTCCCTCCTTCCCTTCTTTCTTTCTTTCTTTCTTTCTTTCTTTCTTTCTTTCTTTCTTTCTTTCTTTCTTTCTTTCTTTCTTTCTTCCTTCCTTCCTTCCTTCCTTCTTTCCTTCCTTACTTCCTTCCCTCCTTCCATCTTTCTTTCTTTCTTTCCTCCTTCCTTCCTTCCTTCCTTCCTTCCTTCCTTCCTTCCTTACTTCTCTCTCTCTCTGTCTTTCTGTCTTCTTTTCTCTCTTTTAAATGATGGGGGTGCCTCACTTTGTTGCCCGGCTGGAGTACAGTGGTGTGATTATAGCTCACTGCAGCCTTGACCCCCTGGGCTCAAGTGACCCTCCTACCTCAGTCTCCCCACCCACCCCCAGTACCTAGGACTACAGGTGCACACCACCATGCCCAGATAATATTAAGACATTTTCTCTAGAGATGGGGGTCTCACCATCTTGCCCAGGCTGGTCTTGAACTTCTGGGCTCAAGCAATCCTCCCATCTTGACTCCCAGAGTACTGTGATTATAGGCATGAACCACTGTGCCTGGACCCCTGCTTTTCTTTTTATTCTTCCACCTCATTCTTCCAGCACCATTATGGCCTTATAATGATGATGATGATGATGATGATAGCTGTTCATGCTGATATAGATCTTACCATGTATATTAATTACCATGTTCTATTAATTCACTCCTTCAGACATCACAGTAGCCCTGTGAGGCAAGTTCTATTATTAGTTTGTTTTTACAGATTAGAAAAGTATGCATAAAAACTGAATTATTTGCCCTAGCTTACACAGCTAGTAAGTGGTGGAGACAGAATTTGAATCCAAGCAGTCTGGCTCCAGAGGCTATGTTTTTATCATATGATTTTATTTCTCACCACTCCTCCTTCTATCTGGCCAGATCTTGTATTTTGTCTTATCCTTCTTACTAGGATGGACTTTTGGGAATAAAAAGTCAGGAAACAATAGATGATGGAGAGGATGTGAAGAAATAGGAAAGCTTTTGCACTGTTGGTGGGAGTGCAAATTAGTTCAACCATTGTGGAAGACAGTGTGGCCATTCCTCAAGGATCTAGAACCAGAAATACCATTTGACCCAGCAATCCCATTACTGGGTATATACCCAAAGGATTATAAATCATTATACTATAAAGACACATGCACGCGTATGTTTATTGCATCAGTTAAGATCTCCTACAAAGCAGAGCCTGAGGCCAAACTAATGTGCCAATATTGGATTGGGGAAACGCAACGCCAAGAAAACAGGAGAGAGGGAGAGAAAATGTAAGGAAGTATATTATTGAGCTTAATGGCAAGCAAATTCTTTGGCCTTTGGGGATATCTTTAGGGAGAATAAATGAAGAAACTGTATATCCAGCATTCTGTCTAGGGGCAAGGAAGGAAGCAGCATCTGTCCACTCACTTCCATAACCTATAGGTCAAAATTGGATCTATGGAGCTTTCACTATAACATGAGTGCCAAGTAAGTCCTGGTGTCCCCCCAAACCTCAGCACAACAGGAATGTGGGGGGATTTGGCTGCATTGAGCCTCTAGGTCTGTAGCCACAGTGAAGGCAGGAGACAACTGGCTCCATGATCTATGGAAGAGGGTGAGTTCTATTGGGGGCTTCACAGGTCAGAAAGCAAAGCAAGTGCGTAAATCTGGAGTGATGCGTAAACAGAATCTAGTACCTGCTTCTTTCCCTTTCCTTGTAGTAATAAATGTCATAAAAGAAAGAGGGAAGAAAACAATGTCACCAAAAAGGAACCTTATATTAGGAGCTCTTGAAACTATTACATAAGGAAAATACAACACAGAAAAATTGCGCAGGCCAGGACTCACGCCAAGAGGGTACTTTGCCTTCACATGGGCAGTAGCAATTCAGTGTCCTGCCCACCTCCTCCAAATGTTCCAGTTGTCTCCAGACCACAGAGTTCCAGCCCAGCTAGCTCCTGGCCAATTTCCAAGCTCATACTTCTCCATAGAGTCTTTATTTCCTGCCCTAGAATTTATCACTTCCCAGGATTCTTGGCCGTGGAAATGTTCATTCTCTCTGGGGAAACCTCTTTCTTCATTCCAGGGAAAGACTGGCCCTAAAAATCCAGGAAAAAAGTCACATGATCATCTGCCTTTATCGGCTTTCTGAAGTCTGGGTTCTTTGGTCTTCAAAAGAACGTGTGAGCTCAATCCACATCTTATTAAAATGCAAATATGTTAATTGTATTATATAGTCCACTAAGCAGTAGCCACTGGTCAGAGAGGGTTTATTAACTCACTACTATTAGGTAAAGAAAGAGAGGGGCAATATGCAGATGTTCTGTTCTCCTGGTTTTGTTCCTTTGGACATAATGAAAATGATAGCCCTTGTCCCTGTAGTTGCCTGCCTGGGTACTCTTATATCCACAGTTGTCCTTAAAGACTGATTATTTCTCCCAAATGATTAGAAGTCATAAAAACTCTCTGATTTCTGTTTTTCTTGAGATAATTTTTAACCATCTTTAGTCTTGATATTATTTCACTGTTCTTTATGTTTTTGAGACCTCTATCCATTAACAAACTACCTGTTAATGGAGTTAATGACTTTCCCCTAAATAATGTATATAATGTTAAATAAAATAGGAGGGTACAGTAGTTCCAAAATAATTGAAGATGCCCAAAGTACCTAAAAAGCTTGCTAAACATGCCTGTGTTTCCTCATTACCACAATGCAGTGTTTCATTCAATCTAAGACACCACTGATTGCAGACTCTTCCGATATTTACATACCGCTAAAGAAAAATGGCTGCCAATGAAACTATGGCATCATGATTCCGCTCACTTGGAATATTCATTTTATCCCTGTTAAAAGAGTTATCTTAACCTTGATTAAACCCAGAAATATTTTTTCACATGTTACTCCATGTGAATACAAGAAAAGAGAATGGAAACAGAATAAATTGGTAAAGGTATTCCTAAAGCTTCATCACATTATAGAGTCCAGCTATTCTGAAACACTAATTAAGACAAAGTTGTCAAACGGGTGTTAATGATGCAGCAGTTTGAGAAGTCTGCTGTTGTCTCTGGAGGTTTCCTGAAGCCACGGAACCCTGTTATGCAAGTTTTAGGGAATGGAGGAAGTGGCAATCACGTCTTGAGTGCCAACTTGGTTTCAGAGCTCTGTGAGATTTACCTAAGTGCTCCTCTTAAAACCAATATGTCTTTTCAGTTAATTCATATTTTCATATTTCTGTGAGCAACTTAGCCATATTGCATAATGTTTTGAGGGCAGAAGAAAGGAAGAAAAGTGCCCCAAATCTAACAGGGCTGCTGGTATTTTTGTGTGCCTCTCAACATAAATATGAATGTAATTGTTATAAAAGCCCTAGAAGAAAAACCTAGGCAATACCATTCAGGACATAGGCATGGGCAAAGACCTCATGACTAAAACACCAAAAGCAATGGCAACAAAAGCCAAAATTGATAAATAGGATCTAATTAAACTAAAGAGCTTCTGCACAGCAAAAGAAACTATCATCAGAGTGAACAAGCAACCTACAGAATGGGAGAAAATTTTTGCAATCTGTCCATCTGACAAAGGGCTAATATACAGAATCTACAAGGAACTTAAACAAATTTACAAGAAAAAAACAACCCCATCAAAAGTTGTGCAAAGGATATGAAAAGACACTTCTCAAAAGAAGACATTTATGTGACCAACAAACATATGAAAAAAAGCTGATCATCACTGGTCATTAGAGAAATGCAAATCAAAATCACAATGAGATGCCATCTCACGCCAGTTAGAATGGCGATCATTAAAAAGTCAGGAAACAATAGACGATGGAGAGGATGAGAAGAAATAGGAAAGCTTTTCCATTGTTGGTGGGAGTGTAAATTAGTTCAGCCATTGTGGAAGACAGTGTGCTGATTCCTCAAGGATCTAGAACCAGAAATACCATTTGACCCAGCAATCCCATTACTGGGTATATACCTGAAGGATTATAAATCATTATACTATAAAGACACATGCATGCATATGTTTATTGCAGCACTATTCACAATAGCAAAGACTTGGAACCAACCTAAATGTCCATCAATGATAGATTGGATAAAGAAAATGTGGCACATATACACCATGAAATACTATGCAGCCATAAAAAAGGATGAGTTCATGTCCTTTGGAGGGACATGGATGAAGCTGGAAACCATCATTCTCAGCAAACTAACACAGGAACAGAAAACCAAACACCTCATGTTCTTACTCATAAGTGGGAGCCGAACAATGAGAACACATGGACATAGCGAGGGGAATATCACACACTGGGGCCTGTCAGGGGGTGGAGAGCTAGGGGAGGGATAGCATTAGGATAAATACCTAATATAGGTGATGGGTTGATGGGTGCAGCAAACCACCATGGCACATGTATACCTATGTAACAAACCTTCACGTTCTGCACATGTACCCCAGAGCTTAAAGTATAATTAAAAAATAATAATAAAAATAAAAAAACAGCCAAGAAAATGTTTGCATGCCTCGTGCCACCCTGCTCAAAACTCTCCAGAGTCACAGAGTCTCTGCTTCCTGCCTGCAGAATAGATTCCACGAAAAAAAAATGTAATTGTTGATTACATGAAATGTTGTACACTAATTTTCTCATATTTGTAATGTGATATGATAGTAGTTTTATTAGCTTCAGGTTACTATAATATGTTTGTAGCCATCATTTAAGATTTTACTGAAGAGACTGTGAAATGGGACTCATTTTTTTCAACCCCATGTATCTAAAAGTATTGATGCCTTTTCCTCATTCATGGGCTTTGTGTTTCTTCCTTTCCAGTTAAGTTAAGCAGCTTATTGCCACAGGCCCTTCGTTAGAATTATTTACGGAGTTTTTAGTCATTTTTTTCCAGATTGGTTGGAAAATGATCCTCTTTTCTTTTGTCAGCCTTCCTTTCCAAGTCATCTCTGGCATAAATTATTTTTTTAATCCAGTTGTCTCAGTCAGTAATTAAAATCTGAAATCTATTAGCCAGAAATAAAATACAATCAACCCAACTATTTGTCAATGTACAGCTGAAATAACTATTGGAGAGGTTACATGTTTTGATTTTCAATGATCTGTTTCAGTATCACATAGATTGTGCCAGGCAGTAAGTTGGGTGTGTGATAATTCTTTCTGTTATCCGTGAGGCCTCATAGCTGCTTCTTTTGCTGGCATAAAAATGGCTGTGTTGTCTTGCTCTAGTGACTAGGGTTTCAAATCCTGGGCCAATAAAGACATTTGTTAAAATAAAGACTATTTGATGTTTAAAAGATGATTAAACCATTCTGACTTTATTCATTGGAGTAGCAAAACAACATAAACAGGTTCTTTCTAAATATATGATATGAAGCAGTTGGTAACATTCAATTAAGGATTGCTGTGTCAATATGTTCCCTAAAATAGTTTCTTAAAGCTTTCTGTGAGTCTATAGCTGTTCAATATTCAGGCAAAGATGCACTAACTCTTAAGAGTTCAGATTTTTATTTTTATTTTTTAAGAGAATTTCTTATTGTGGCTTAAATAAATAAGACAAGCTGAAATAGCCATATTGTGAAAGATGTTTAGTTACTCAAAAGGCTCATCATTCTAATGGTCAGGGATTTATTTTTTCATGTAGAAATTTCAGGAGTTGTGACTTCCCTCACATCCAGTGAATCCTGTCTAACCCAGGATAATGGAGTCGAAGAGAGGGCTGCTGGTATTGTTCAGCTCCCACTTATGAGTAAGAACATGAGGTGTTTGGTTTTCTGTTCCTGTGTTAGTTTGCTGAGAATGATGCTTTCCAGCTTCATCCATGTCCCTCCAAAGGACATGTATCCAAAATAATACAGTCAAGTTTTTAGGGGCCCCTGCTTGACACTCAAAAAAGAATAGAAACAGACAAAAGATAATAGCAGCAGAAGTAACTTCTGGGAATCTTCATTCCCAAAATGTTGACCAGTGAGAACTAATGAGTTAAAAGGTACATAAACAATAAACAATAAACAAAAACTAAAAAAGTAATGGTGATACTGAGTAAAGTAGCTTAATATCTTGAAAGTATGACTTAATGTCACCTCCATCAATTTCTCCTCTTTCTCCCTCTTTGCTTTCATTGCCTCAGGGAAGAGATGTGGCACTGTCTCAAGCAGACGGCCTGTATCTATCCCTGTTCTTGTTCTGTTCCCTCCTCAATGCCTAGGGCCTTTTCATCAACTGAAAGACAGCAAGAAAATGTTGAAGAGCAGGTGGAGGAGTCAAGGACTCCATCACAATCCTCAACTAGAAAAAGGCACTGGGCTTGGGAAGAAGGGAAGACAAAGGGGAAGCGATAAGAATGTTAATGTTCATGGGTCCTGGTTAGAAGGGCACTGATGCAATAATGTGGGTCAAAAACCTTGAGACTGGGTTTCCCAGGAGCAGATCTTCCATTGAAGACTCCTGGGCATGTGCTTTATGAAGGAAGAGTTTCTGGGAGAGATCAGTGAGGAACTGAGCAAGGTAGGACAGGAACGGGCAGAAAGCCATGCCAGGGTATGATCTCAGGTGAACACCTGCAGAGTCCTGATCCACAGAGGAGGGCTGGAGAATAGGTTAGGCTTCAGAATTGTCCCGACTTGAGCCAGTGAACTGGCCTCTCTTCCCCTCATACCTCTCTGCCTTCGGACAACGGCTTTCCTCCACAGGAGTAAACCTCTGAGGACCCAGAAGCCTCAGTTGCCCAGTACAACTTTCAGAAGGGCCACAGGTGCTGGTTGTTGGAAACATAACACTGTGTTGTGTGGGTGTGAAGGGGTGAGATTTGTGCAAAAATGGTAAAAACAGGATCCAGTTTGTTCTGGATAGTGCACTGACATCATCTGCTACACCCAGGAAATAAGAAATAAAATACCATAGTCATAAATGTGTGATCTGTGTGTATGTAGCAATCTGCTATTTTTCAAGGCTCTTCTTGCTACATTATCTTTTCTGAGCTTCATTATAACCTTAAAAGATACAATGGCACATATTGTGATATCGGTCTCACATATGTGAAAGGTGCAACATTATCAAGCAAGTTACTCAAATGATGAAAGCCCATGTCTTTAACTTTAAACCCAACAGTCTTTCTCTAGCCTGCAGCCACAAACTAGAGAACATTTTCTGTAACCTTCTGATCCAGATCCAGAACCTGGGGATCATTATAGAATAGACCCTAAGCTGTTCTTCCCACCAAGATTCCTTGGCTCCCACATGAGACCCTCTAAATCAGCATCTGTAAGTGTGAAGCCAAGGGTTTCTATTTTTATGAGCTCTTAGGGGATGCCTGCATAACTAAGGAAGTGCTGTTATCCAGTCTGGATTTGAGGAACCACTGGTTCAGAGCACAGTTTTGGGTTTTAGATAGGATAGGGTTTAAGCCCTGGTTCTGCCATTTGCCATCTGTGTGTTTCGGTAAGTCAGTGAAATTCTCTCAGCCCCACTTTTATCATCTGCAAAACTGGGCAATGTTAGTACTTACCTCAAAGGGTTGTGCTGAGAATTCAATGAGATGATACTGGTAAAGTGCTAAGCCCAGGGCCCTGTATGGAGTAAATTCTAATCAGTGTTATATATTATAATTTTACTATTATTAATCCACATGCTTTTCTTCAAATCAATTGCACTCAGGTCATCCTTCCTCTTAAATGCAGTTTCCCCCTCTGTGAAACACTGAATGCCAGTGTGGACCACTTTCCAGGACTTGAAAATGATTCAGTAAAGTGAACCTTTTGGTTAATGTTGTTTACTGGAGTGGAATTTGAGCTGTGGCAATTCACACACGTAGCTGGCAGATGGTGGATGGCCTTGGGAGGCTATACCATTTGCTTAGAATACAGAGTTTGAAGTCTCTCTTCACCAGCTATTACAAAAATGAGTCTCACTTAGAATTTCACTGAAGCATATGAGTTTGTAGTTAAAATCCTGGTGAAATAACCACTAGTTTAGTATTTATTTATAGCCTAGACACCCACCCAGCAGGTACGATCCCAGGTGTACTTAATCTTAAAGCAAACTCTGTAGTTCTCTTAGAGTTCCTGTTTTTGGGGCATCTAGAAATATACACTTGAAAATAAGCTTTTGCCCAGGTCCCAGTACCATGACAAAAATAAAAAATGAAAAAAAAAGAGAGAATTTTTCTCTCTAGTTTGTAAAGCAAACAAGAGAAACACAAAGAGCAGAGGAAGCCAGCTGCTGAAACGGCACCCAAACAGAACCATTTTCGATAGCTGGGAGAGAAGTCACAGCATTAATAGAGCTAGAATAAGAGTATTTTCTGGGATCATTGATCTTTTACCCTATGCATAAGGGGAAGAAGCAGAAGTGATGACTGAGGGGCAGTGGTGACAAGACTGAGATGAAAAATAACAGTTCATCTTTATGCAGACAGAGCAAGAGTAAAGCCCTTTGAGAAGGCTCTTCTGTCAAGAGCTGTGGGGTTGGACTGTAGGAGGAACTCACTGCAGAAACACTAAGGCAGCCACCTTTGCCCAACCAGCAAGGTAAGTGTGCACAAGAAGGCATGTCTGCACATTACCACCAGCCCTGTTCTCAATGTGCCAGCCTGTGTGAAGCTTATCATGAAATATAAGCACCCAGTACAGATAGACAGAGGGAGGATGTAACTAATAAGAATAGATCACACCTTTATTGTGCCTTTCCTACATGCTGGGACCTTTACATACATTAGGTCACCCAATTCTATGAAGGGTATACATCTATTTTCCCATTTTACAGGGGAAGACACTAACTTTCCAAAGCTCTAAGTAGTAAGGATCAAAGTTCACCTTTTATCCTAATAATTGTTTCCAGGGCCTGTCATCTGAACCTCTAGCTATACTCTCTTATGGCAAAGAAACCCAGTTCACTGCAAAAAAATTGAGGCCCCCTAATGTTGTGGGTAGCAAAGAACAAAGGACAGTGTGCAAACTTACATGCTCCTCTGGTAGAAATTGCTTGGTTACTTTGAGGTGACACCACAAGACATTGAGAAGCAGGGACTTACCTTGTATAAACAAATTCAGAGGGTGGACTGCATTTACACTGTGGCAGTGGTAGGGGCAGAAATAGGGCCCCGCTGTTCAGACCTCTTCTGCTTATTGAGCCAAGGAACCCTTGTCGGGTCCCTACTGTGTGCCACATGCCGTGGTCAGAGATGGGAACACCTGAAGTTGAATAAAAAGTGGTTTCTTGTCATGTAAATCACACCATATCAGGAGAAAAGGCAAACAAATGGATAATCACAAAGCAGTATATTAGTGTTAAAATAGTGGTTTAAACCAAGTCCTTAAAGATCACAAAAAACAAATCAAAAAGGGAGCTAGAAAGCTCCTAACTCAGATAGCTGAATGGAGAGAACTTTGTACGTTAAAGACAATGACAGAGGGAAAAAAAACTTTGGACTTTCACTTGACAAATTTCACAGAAATTTAAGAGCTATTTTTTTTTCACAGAAAACTAGAAAAATAGGTAGACATTTGAGAGACATTGTCTAGTATGTATATATATATATATATTCCATATATTTATATATAAAGACTTAGACATAAAGGCTTTGTAAAGAATAATTCAAGATGGGAAAAACATACATAAGGATGTTCTTATAACATTGTTTATAATAGTAAAATATTAGAAGAAACAACTGACATGTCCTACAATAGGGCAATTGTTTAAATGAAATGTTTATGGTGAAATATTATGCATGTTTTAGGAGAGACTTCTCTTTTCATATTATTAAGCATTTATTAAGTGCACTGTGCTAGGGATACAGAACTCAGGCAGTGGTTTCAATCCTTAAACATCTTACTTAAATATGTACCTAACTCTCCTTGTATGATTGTTTAGGTTTTTTTTAAATCAGAAAATGTGTTTTATCAGACATGTTTCTCATGGATTATTTTTAGACCAATAAGTTGTTTTGTTTTTGCAAATACATACACAGTGATAATAATCAGTCTAATTCTGTTATTCCCTTTTGCAATCTCTTCCTCTGAATTCAAGCAACCACTGATCTGATTCCACCTCTTTAGTTTTGCTTTTTCCCAAATATCACATAAATGGAATCATGTGGAAAAAGTAAGTAGGTTTTGGTGTCTTGCTCCTTTCACATAGTATAATGTGTTTTAGATTTATCCACATTGTTCCACGTATTTTTGCTTTGTTCCTCTTTTATTGCAGAATAGTATTCTATATACAGATGTTCCACAATTTTTTAATCTATCCACGAAGCATTGAACATTTGAAGAGTTTGTAAATTATGGATGAAGTTGCCAAAAACATTTGCAGATATGTTTTTGTGTGGACATATATTTTCATTTCTCCATTAAATATCTAGGAGTGCTATTGCTGGCCACATAAATGTATTTAACTTTATAAGAAACTGCCAAGCTGTTGTGTAAAAGAGATGTATGTACAATTTTGCATTCCAACCAATGATATATGAAAGTTCCAGGTGCTTCAAATTCTGGCCAATCTTGGTGTGTCAATCTCTTTCATTTTATCCATTCAAGTTGGTGTGTAGTATTATGTCACTACATTAGCAATCTCTAATATCATCCTCAGGCTCAGTAATTTACTAGAAGGATTTGAAAAAACTATGATATTCATGATTATATTTTTTATAGTAAAGGGATAAAGACTAAAACCAGCAAAGGGAAAAGGCATATGGAATGAAGTCCAAGAACAACCAGATGCAAGCTTCCAAGTGTCCCTTCCCAGTAGAGTCACTTGGGGACATGCTTAATTCTTCCAGTAATGATGTGTGACAACATGTGTGAGGGTTTTCAACAAGGGAAGCTCACTTGAGTCTCTGTGTCGAGAGTTTTACTAGGGGTCAGTAACACAGGGAATGTGACTGGCAGCTCCTCTGACTGGATGCTGCACTTCATCCCTATTGCAGTAAAACCAGGTGTTCATCATAAATCACATTGCTGGAATAAACTTATCTGGTCAAACTGGTATGGAATCTCAGAATATTCTCTGAATATTCAGGAATATTCTGCCTGACCAGAAATAAGAATAAGAAATCATTATATCAAAGGAACAGCCCAAGGGCTAGTCCTGAAGACAGGTCTTTCTTTGGAATATGCAGGGTTTGAGCAACACAGGCCTCCTGAGTTAACCCTTTCCTGCCCATCCATAGTGGTCTTAATTTGCTTTCCTTTACATCTATTAATGTTGACCATCTTTGCATGTGATTATTTGTCATTCATATATTTTCTTTGGTGAGGTGTCCAAACCTTTGGTCAGTTTTAGAGATTTGGCTATTTGTATGCTGAAGAATGAAACTAGATCCATGCCTCTCACCACATATAAAAGTTAACACAAGATGGATTAAAGATCTAAACATAAGATCTGAAACTATAAAAATTCTAGAAGAAAACCTCAGAAAACTCTTCTGGATATTGGCCCAGGCAAATAATTTATGACCAAGTCCTCAAAAGCAAATGCAAAAAAAAGAAAAGAAAAAAGAAAATAGGACTTAAATTAAAAATCTTCTGCACAGCAAAAGTAACAATCAATGAGTAAACAGACAGCCTACAGAATGGGAAAAATATTTTCAAACCATGCATCTGACAAAGCTAATATTCAGAATATACAAGGAACTCAAACAACTCAACAAGAAAGAAAAATAAGTCCATTAAAAAGTGGGTGAAGTACACAGATATTTTTCAAAAGAAGACATACACACAGCCAACAAAAATATGAAAAATCCTCAAAATCACTAATAATCAGAGAAATGCAAATTAAAACCACAATGAGATACCATCTTACACAGAGTGTCTATTATTAAAAAGTCTAAAAACAATAGGTGTTGGTGAGGATGCAGAGAAAAGGGAAGAGTTATATACTGTTAGTGAGAATAGAAACTAGTACAACATTTATGGAAACAGTATGGAGATTTCTCAAAGAAAAATTCCATTAGATCCAGCAATCCCACTACTGGGTATATCCCCAAAGGGAAAGAAATCATTATATAAAAAAGATACACTATAGAACACTACTATAAAGTGTTCCTTATAGCAGTAAAAACGACATGAAGTCATGTCTTTTTCAGTAACGTGGATGGAACTGGAGGCCATTATCCTCAGTAAAATAACTCAGAAACAGAGAATCATATACAGCATATTCTCACTTATAAGTGGGAGCTAAACAATGGGTACCTGTGGACAAACAGAGTAGAATAATAGACATTGAATACTACAAAAGGTTGCAGGGTAAGAGGCGGTAAAGGTTGAAAAATGACCTATTGGGTACAGTGTTCACTGTTTGAGTGATGGGTGCACCAGAAGCCCAGACTTCACCATGGTACCATATATGCATGGATGATATCTGAACTTGTATCTAAATATATAAAAATAAGTTAATAAATACATGCAAAAAAGATTTGGCTATTTTTTAAAAAATTGAGTTGTAAGTTGTTTTTTTTTTTTATATAGATTCTGGATACCAATTATCAGATGTGTATTTTCCAAATAGTTTCTCCTTGTCTGTGATTTGTCTTTTTTTTTTTTAACTTACCAGTGCTTTCAAAGATCAGAAGTTTTTAATTTTGATAAAATCCAATTTATTATTTCTTATGTGTTCTCCTTTTTATGTCTTATCCAAAAAAATCTTTTGTAACCCAGAGTCACAAAGACTTTCTTTTATATGTTTATCTTATTTATCATATGCTTTGCTTTGTATTAGAACAGGATCCTGTGCCCAGATGCATTTTCTCCTCTTTTCACCAAGGCAGATGGTTTTTGCTTTTATTCTTCTCTCGGAAGCAAATTTACATTTGCCATGTGACATCAGCCTGCTAATGAACTTAAGAAAGTTTATGATTTTTTAGATCTGGATTTTTTTTTTCATTTTTAAAGTGGGAGTGACATTCTCTTGCATCTTTCTGTATTCTTCGTTGAAGTGGAACTCTCGAGAGAAATATTTTGAAATCTGGGAAAGGTTTTATGGTTTTATGATTAAGAGCCATTTCCCAAACTGGAAAATACTAAATATACAAAATTATATAAAGTATAATCTCAATATTCATTAACCTCTTAATACATGTTAGGGCTTTTGGTAGGTACTGATAAGCAAGATTTATGTTGTCCCTTCTTTGCAAAGAAATTATAATTAACATCCTTCTGCATCAACATTGAAAACATCTGCATATCAGAAAATAACATAACCAGAATTAAAAATCCAACAATGATCTTGGGAAAACATATTCACTAAGTATGACAAAAGTTAATATTGATAATGTATAAAAACACTTGTAGTATGGCAAATTATAGCAGAATTATAGTGAACACTGTCAGCACTTTACTCACATTTCCTTGGATCCTTTTCCATTTTTGTCACTGGCTTCTGGTGAGATTTCCCTTGTGAACACTACTAGTACCTGCATGTCTTCTTTGGAGACTGCTGTTAGCCAACCTGAACATGCTTTTACTAACACCTATGGAGAGTCAGAGCTGCCTGGGAATTGATGCCTGAACCCAATCTTTCCAACCCAGGAAGAGTCCTTAACCAAGGGCCAAGAGGTAGAGCTCCCTTGTCTTTGGATCAGGACAATTTAGAGATGTGATCTCTATCATCTCCAGACCTTACCTGGGAGTAGTACCAAAGTTATTTTCCATGGGACTTCAGTGGATGCCACAAACCTGTTCAGCCTCCTCCCCTTCCTGTCCAATTTCTCCACTCCCCTATTAGTTTTCCCTAGGAATAATTCTTAATAAATTGCTTTTGTTCAAATTCTTATCTCAGGGTCTTCTTCTAGGAAAACCAATCTCAAACATAAATCAAAACTAAAACATTAAAAGCACAAAGGAAAGAAAAATGAGCTAAGGACATAGACTAGGAATTCATTGAAGAAGAAAATACATCTTTTCCATAGGTTACTTTTATTATTGAGTGTATTTGAAGGAAAAGGAGATTTCTTCTTAATCTGCTCCCTGTTCCTTTCACGTTCGGTAATTTCTCCATAATGCTTCCAACTCCCCATTTCTCCCAACTCTATTTTGAGTGTCCTCCAGCTTTGTCACTACCTCCTGAAACTCTAGACATACTTTCCTCCTTCAATTCGGTGCTTTCGCTACAGTACTGGCCTTGGTAGGTGGCTAACACTGGAAAGACCACTTTTCCATTTCTTTCCCTTTGTATGCATGTAACATGGTATGCTGAATGTTCAGGGATTGAAAAAACTTAAAAGACTAAATATGACTTTCTCAAAAATCGAAGGGAATCACCATTGTTATATGCTTATTAGTCTTGAGGTGCACCCTACTCCAAGAGAGGGTCTGCCCTATAATTTTACTGTGAAATCCTTATCCAACTTTAGAAAAACTCCATTCTCTGCTCTGGGTTTGGTCATCTCGTGGTTCCATCTTCCTTTCCATATCAAGGTAATCCCTGGGATAAAATTTTCCAAAGTATAATTTATCAATCTAACTGTTAATAATAATATTTCATGGTGTATGAAGTTTGGTGGGGTGAGGTTGGAAGATTAAGCAGAATAATTCAGGTGGGAGGTGGTGCTTTCTGCTTGAGCCTTCTTTTTTGGTCCAGCCACAGTGGTGTGAGAGAGCCAATCATACGCATCTCTTCTTAATTCTTGCTTCAGCACTATCTTGTTGGTTGCTTGAAATCAATCATTGTGGTAGTGCTTACACTATGGAAATCAGCAATTGCTACAAATCAGATACTTTTTCTACTCCAGAGAGCCAACTGGGAATCATTTACCCACCTAATACTGCCCTAGGATATCTTTGGGGGATTGCACTTTTTCCATTTCTTAGCCCAGGTGGTTCATTTGGGGCTGATCCTAATCTCTGGTTCCAAGAGTAAGCAGAGTACCACATCTTTCCTGGCCTTGGTGATTGATACTAAAATGGGTATATATTCCAAGATGGACAAACCAAAGCCCTCTCTGGGATTTTTACTAAAATGATTGGGAAAGAAGTATCCTCTCCTTTTGAGATTTTGAACACTAAGTCCTGTGAATGATGGAGGTGGTGAGGGCCATGCAGACTGCTACATAGAGAAAGCCTGCTTGAGAGCAAAGCCAGCACAGAGGAAAATAAAGCCAAAACAAAGAGAGAGAAAATGATAGGAGTCATGATCATCATTTTAATAACTGAATAGAGCCCCTACGTTTCACTTACTTAAGCGAACGATGACTTATTGCTTCAGCTATTTTGAGTTCAGTTTCTGTTCACATGTGACCATGTAAATTTTGATTTATATAATTGTGAAGAGAACACACACACACATACACACACACACACATCTTTCAAAAGCAGACAATGCTTTTCAGAAAATAAGGAAAATGAGATTTTTTTTTTTACAGGCAATGTGGAGCATTATGTTATTATGCAGTGCAATGTTAATTATAATTTTCTCATCCTTCTGCTTCCAGATCATGCCCAGGAACTTATCAAACAACAGGCCCAGAAACCTTTAGTTACTCAAACATGAGGCAGAAATGTGGAAATTAAAGTTTCTCCTCCCTCTCCTCCATGCCCCACTTAGGCCAGATCAAAATGTTAGGCAGTACTCCTCTCTACTGCCTAGATTCTGGTAAGACAGAAACAATGTAGAAGGTGATATTCTCCAAGTCAGAGCCACCTTTTCAAAAGTGGAGGGATGTTGTTATATTCAATGCACAAAAGACTCTTTTACATTGCAAGAAAATGTTCAAAAAAGTAAACAAATTCCAATAATGTCACTCCAATGTACCTCAATCACATTAGCAAGCTTTGACAAAAGTTGGTACCCAAAGATGAAAATGCTTTGGTGAAACAAACACTGTCTCACAGAACCAGATGTAGGGTCAATCGAAACTCAAACCCCTGGGAAAAAATTCTGGAGAGCACTTTATCAATATAGAAGTTCATATAATTCCATTTCCTTTTACTCAGCAGTTCCACCTCTGGGAATATATGCTAAGTAAATAATCAGAAAATCAGATGGAAATGTATACGCAATGATATTCTTTGCAGCCATGCTTATAACACAGAGAGATTGGGGAAAATCCTAAAAATGCCTAACAATTAATGAATGGTTAATAAATTAGGGCCAGGTGTATAATAAAATACCATTTTCAAACATGACATTTTCAAGAATTTTGAAGTCTGATATAATATTTAAGAAAAAAATACACAAAACTGGCAGAGTATGATCTCATATAAAAATGCACATATGCCTCACAGCTCATCTTGATACAGGCTGAGAACATTCCAATACCTTTATGTTTTTGCATCTGTTAAGACTTCACCCACTTACCCACCTGGTGAGTTCTTATTTTTCCTTCAAAATCCAGCTCAAATACTATGCCCTCTGTGGAAACTTTTCTTGGAAAGATGATGACTAAGAAGAGTAAATCATTCCATCTTGAAGAATAGACCACATTTCACCCTAAGAGCTTACAAGTGCCTCCCTCCATCGGTGCATTGCTCTCTGTGGCCTCCCATCCATTGGCATTGGTACCTGAGGTGAGAGCATTGCTGTTCTGCATCTATCCTATCCTAAGAGGCCTCGATGAGACTGGCCAGCAGGGACAATGAGGGTACCCTGGTTCCCTTCAGCAAGGCTGACCATCAGTGTGATGATCTGAGCAGGACTGTCGTAGATGATATCATTTCTAAAAGATCTTTCTATCATAACTGTGAGATGTTGATACATGTTACAAAATATGGACTTATGCCACTTTTAATGTGTCAGCTATTGGGTGGATTCCATGAATAAAATCAGCCAAGCTTTAAAAATATATATTATTGTCTTTAGAAACCATAAGGGAACCATGGAAATAACTCTTCTGTTACTAACACAGACTGCAGTAGGGGCCCTGCTGCCTCAGGCAATATGAAACCACAGCATGGTGTGACAAGCAAAGAGAAGGTGAATTCTTACCCTATTCTTAGTTGTCTACTAAACAAATGAGCAATGCGATCAATCCAGTCCCTGCACTTGCTTTCAACAAGATGCCCTCTCCATCACAGACCTTTTTCTGCTCAAGCTGCCCCATTTTCAGTTACTATGCTGTTATTGTTGTTATTATTATTATCATTGTTTTTTCCATAATTAGTTGCTAAGGGCACCAAAGCTTACTTTCATTGCCATGCCCTTTTCCTAAAAGACTGGTAGCTTTGAAGTAAACCTACCTCTGCCTTTCTGGCTCAGTGTTCTTGGACAGGTTACTTAACATTTCTGAGGGCCAGTTGGGAAACTTTTGAAAAAACATTGGGGGCAATAGTAAGATCTGGTTTTTATTTTACTTAGTTTGGAGATGGGGTTTTGCTCTATCACCCAGACTGGAGTGCTGTGGGCTTATCATAGCTCACTGCAGCTTCAAACTTCTGGGCTCAAGTGATCCTCCCAGCTTAGCCTCTCGAGTGGCTGGGTATAGGTGAGAGCCACTGCATTTGATGAGACTTGATCTTTAATACAGAGTCTGTAAGGCTTATGTGAGAGATCACATGTGAAGTTTTATATACATATCACTTATATAGTAAATGCTTAATATATGCTAGTTATTATTAGTGTTGCTATGGTTATTGTTACTATTAGGTAACTATGATGAGGGAGTAGTTCTTCTCATCCCATAGTCAAAGTAGGTCCTCACTATTGGAAGTAGGAAGACAAGGAAATCTCTTTGGAGTGGCTTTTGTGTGGACAGACTTCTAGGGGTTTGATAAGATGGGGTCTGAGCTGATGGCTGGCAATAAACAGGGGATATGTCTCCACTACAACTCCGGGGAAGTCAATATTGTCTGGATAGCACTGGGATGTTTTGTAGGAGGTTCTGATCTTGGCTAGTAAGAACATTTTCTTAATATGTCTACCTCATAAAGGTGTAAGAATGGTGGTGGTTGGCAAAATGTTTTAGTGACGAGTCATTAGATTAAGTGACAAGATCCTGAAATACCATGAAATAAGCCAAAGGAATACTTTTATGGGTTTCGTATTCTTACAGTCCTTTATTCTTCCTTTCAATATTGCTTATCTGTGTCTTTCTCCTTCATTATTCTAGATGCTCTTGAGGGCAGGGAGAGTCTGTTATTCACTCATTCAGCATATACTTAGTAAGTGATTACAGTGGGACCACCATGTCTATTGACATAATATTTCCAGTTGCTTAGCAGAGTAGTTGGCACATAACTAGTTTTTAACAAATGTTTGAGGAATAAATGGAAAAATGTATGCAGTTTTATGCCATGTACAGAAGAGAATTGCTGTGACCATAGTGTGAGAGCCAAATTTGTAGTGAAGGGAGAGACTTCCTCTAGAATGCAGACAGATAGAAAATAGTTAAAATTGTCATTTAGCAGGTAAATATTGCTTCATTGAGCAAAGACAGTTATGACAACAGAAAAGGGAAAAGATAAGAGGAAGGGAAAGATAGAATATAAATAAACACTAAATTTAAGGTGGATGTAGTCTTTGAGCAAGAGGGAGGACTTGAGTTTTGGGAAGATCACATAGTGAGATTTATTTATATTTATAGCATTTTATTGTTTAAGTTGGGTGGTGGGTCAGTGGATTTTCCTTATATTTTCCTCTATATGTTCACATTTTATTAAAAAAATAAAAGGACCATTACTGATGCTTCATTTTGAAGAGTTTTGATAATATTATAGAAATTTTATAAAATTATAAAATGAGTCACTAAGTTCAGTCAAGTCAACCTCAGTGAAGCCCCTTCCACTTCGACCCCATCTGTCAGGCCTTCGGTCATCTCTTCTCAAGGGCTCAGTGATTGTCCTCTAGCTGCCCTGGTCTCTAGGTTTTGATCTCTCCAAGCCATCCCTCTCTCTGCCCAGAGCTTTTCTAAAACATAGATCATGTAATTTTTCTGCTTTAAAACAGCTTGTGAGAAAAAGTTTAAACTTGCCAATGTGACATTCAAAGAACCAAAAGTTTAGCTTTTTTTTTTTTTTTTTAACCTCGATCTGGTCTTTTTCCCATTGTAGGAATTGTGTTGCTGGGGCAATATCCCCCTTGCACCCTCCCCCTGAACCTACCTAGTTCATCAGAACCTCATCAGACTTTGCCCTAATTCTGTCCATTACGCTTGTACATATGAATGCAAAACCAGAGGACTTGACTTTACTTGTTCAGTTTGGGAAGATGCCTTAGAATTTTCCCAAACTGAAGTTATTGTTATCTGAGAGCCTCAGGTAGATTAAAGACAAAAGTTAAACATAATAAGTAAGCAATAATTCATCAGTAAATAAGTAATAAGTAAGCAAGTGTTGGCTATACTGGTATCCATAGTGCCAAGAATAGTGCTATTTTCTCTTGCAGTCATAGACTTTCAATACAATACTTGTCCAGTGAAAATGAAATGTAAGGCAAATATTTAGATTATAATAAGTGCAGAAAATTTTTAAAAAATCAAACATTGTGCAAAACCTGAGGATTTGATTTATTGTTTTGTTTTTCAACATTTCTTACATATAGATATGTACGATTTCTGTATTTACTTATGAATTATTACTTAGTTATTAATTATTATGTTTAATTTTTGTCTTTAACTTACCTGAGGCTCTCAGATAACAATAACTTTAGTTTGGGGAATATGACAAGTAGGTAGAGTGCCAACATAAAAGACACAACACCTATTTACAAATCTTGATTTTAATTATAATTTTGAAAATAACTTGTTTTTAATTCAGTGCTTAAACTCTCAGAGCTTCAATGAAGTTTTCTGTTGATTGGGAATACTGGACTGGCTTTAACTTCAAAATCTAATCTGCCTTTTGTTTGCAAGGCTTTTGTCCTATATACCTGAAACCAGGTAGGAAATCCCTATCCATTACCGATTGCAGAACAGCTTACCATGAGGGGTGATTTTGCTTCTTGTGTTCTGTGAATCCCTTGTAGTTATATGTGTGCAAGGAAACAGTCTTTGTTACAAAAGGTGTTAATTTAACAGTCATGGATTGAGCAAGTAAGATCACAGCATACTCTATAAGCTAAACTAAACTTATCCTTCACCATGCTGTCTTTAGTAATACCTGCTGCTTTAGTTGAGTCCAAAAGGTGGTAGATGTGTTAAGAGAAGTGACAGTTACCAGCTCTCTTGTTTAGTTTCAGAAAACCCCTAGACAACCCACCGGTTTCTTTTCATTCAACTCCAAACCTGAAGTGTCATTTTTATAATTCTCTCTTTATTTTTAATACTTTTATTAATTCTGTCTATATTAAAATATTTCGCTGGCATTAAAGATCTGAGAAAAAGCCTTTGATCAGAAAGGGGAAATGCAATAAGAAAATCTACAAAATAGGAATGAGAAATATATGTGTTTCTAAGCAATAGAAAAAGACTAACACAATGGAGGTTGGAGCCATTTAAATTTCTGTTTCTCAATTCTACGAAGACAGCACTTACAGATTATTATTTTTACAATAAAATCCATGTGTTGTAAATGAGAAGAAATGATAGATACTACTGGTAGATATTATGGTATATTAGGTTGTCATTCAGCAAATATTTACTTCTTACTTTTCCCACTCTCCCACCTCCACGGTAGAATTATACTTTCCTCACACCATTGATGTTGGGCTTTGCTATGTGATTTGTTTTACTTTTAATAATCAAAATTTATTAATAGTCTGATATTTTACTCTATTTGCAAGCTAACAAATTACTCTGCCACAGTGTCGTGGATACTTGAAGAAGACATGAGACTCCTATGTCAGAAACAAAAAACTTTATTACTCACAGCAATAACAGTAGCTAGAATATCAATATTTTCTTGTGTTGGTTCCCCAAGCTCCAGTTCCTACAGGACAATATGAAGAAGGCCACCTGATTACTGCACTCACAGTGAGTTGCATTACAAGAGAGAAACTCTGCACTTAGGGAGCCCAAATATTCTATAATGGAAACTCAACATGTCTGCCTTTGATTCTGGAAGGAGATCTTATTTCTGTATTCCAAGGCTGTTTGCCATACATCCTTGAAAAGATGGTCTGAAACAAAGACAGTCAGTGCCTCTGCTCTCAATATGTGCAGAGATGTGAGTGACCCATGGAGCTTTATCTCTCAACACAATCCTCTGCAGGAGAAGAACATTTCCTAGATATCTGCTGTCATGTGGAACCAAATCCAATCAAGTTACGGCCTGACATAGAGCCACCACAGCTAAATTGGTCCCTAGTTAGCTGAACAGTAGCCAGCATGAAGATACGTAAATGTGGGAATGAACGTTTATGACCATAAACCACTAAATTTTGGGTGTCTTTTTAATGAAATATTGTTGTAGTAATAACTGAATGATGTAGTATTTGGCTTTGGCTTTGAGACCAGGCAGTGAGTAATGAAATTGTCATAGGTGGTAGAAAAAGTGGTGACATATGTTATCAAATAACAAAATATTTGAAAAAAACTGTTGCCTGCAGTAACTCAGAAGACAGAAAAATCTACCTAATAAGCTTACAACATTTGAGGTGATATTTTAAAATCATGGACAGATATTTATTAATCACAATTAATAAAATGCTACAGGAAAAAGATGAGCTCAGTTTGCAAACAGGATTTATGGAGACTATAGAGAGTCCAGAAATCTCAGGTATGGAAAATAAAATAGTTTCTTATCAAAACAAGGATGGTAATTACAAAGACCAAGTTAATGATGGCTTTAACATTCTTTGTTAAGACATATGAGATATTAATAATTAAAGGAGGGCTTAGCAGATCCTCTCAGGTGGATGAAACGGCTTCTAGAAAAATTAAGGGCAAGGCCCCTCAGAAGACTAATGTACCCAAAGAGCCCATAACTAAGTCTAGATGGAGGCATGCCTTGGAGAGAATTTTGGGTGTGGCTTTTGGCACTTGTATTTAACTAGAATTTAAGTGTATACATAGAAAACAAAACAAGCTTTTGAGAGACATATATCTGCAAAACAGCCATCAGTCTAGGCTATGAGACAACGCAAGATGTTAGAAATGTAACCAAAACCTCTTGCTCTCTATATTGCCAGAAATTGAATTTAAAACTGCTGAGCCACCAAGAAGGGCTTATTTTCAAATGCCCACTTAGATATAGTCAAGGAAGATGAAGGCAGAGGAAATACCTTCAGGAGGGTCAACCCAAGACGTTTGGAGAACAGTAGGGCATAACTCCAAGAGGGCATAACCTGGGTCTTATCAAGAACCATGGCCATTATTCTTGTGTTTGTGGGTTCCATATTAGTGGAGGACAAAACGAATCACCTTGTCTCAACTCACATGATTGTATAGATACAGATTCCCATTGAGTATCCTTGTGCAGAAAGGCTCATTTACTCCTATGAGGAGTGCCCAAGTGGCACTCAGCATTGCTCCTGTTTCTACTAGCTACAATACAGGATAAATCTTATTATGGTCCATCTTTGGGGCAAGAGCAGTTAGCAAGCAGTGATTTCAGTTTCCTATTGTTTGGACACCTGATTTGCTCTGTGAGGCTCCAAAATTGTTATAAACTAGTAACTGTTAGGTGCTTTCCATTCCTCAGACTTTAACTATAGGATTATTAATTGTGGATACCCTACCCAAGTTGCACAATGGTTTATTGGGTGTGTGGGGGCGCCATAAATTGTGTTTAGCTCATAGGTCACTGGACCAAAAGGAGTTGTATCTAGACCAGATGTAGATCATGAGATTCTGGATTTTGAGTTTGATGCTGTGATTTTATGGATGCAATTAGGGTGAGTGTATTTTGCATATGAAAAGATAGAGAATATTTGAGAACAAAAAGGGTGGATTGTAGTACTTTTTAAAATTGTTAATTAAATATTCACTTTAATACTCTACCTCAATGTGAAGAGCGTATATCATTTCTCCTTGACATTGAGCTTGACTCTGTAACTTATGTTGGCCAACAAAATATTAACAAATGTGCTGTATGCAGAGGATTGAAATGTATTTGCTCAGTTGCGATTACTCTCTTGCACTTTGGTCATGGCCATGGGAAGACCTGATAGAGCAGCTGTGGGCACTCCAAACAGGGCTCCAGTGTTAGATGCATGAAGCAGAGCTGGCTCAACCCACAGACTTGCAGCCTAAAGCAGATCTGCCTCGGCCAGCTTGCAGATAGATGCATGAGAAAGTAATACAGTAAATGCTTTTTGTTATGCAAATGAGATTTTGTGATTGATTGCATTGCAGCAAAGCTGATTTATATTTAAAGATTTATGACACAGAAAATGTTTGCCTCAAGAAGACAATAATGGCAATATTATGGGTTTGGGGTGATGGAGCGAGGGCAGGAACTGAATCTCAGGCTAATTTAGAGTTTCACATAGACAATGAGTGTGCAACAAAGTCTGTGGCCTTCTGAAACCGACTGTTTCTCCGTTCTTTAAAGTTAAATGATTTTGGTGAATTTCTATCCTATCACATAAATCTTTGTTTTGGGGTTCTTAAAATTAAATACTAAGTGTTTGTTTGTTTGCAGTATATCCCTAGGAATAGTGAGCAAGAGCAGAATTTGAGCTCACTTGGATTGCATTGACTTAGCAGTTGATCACATTTTGCAGAATTCTATTTGCAAGCTTAGAAAATTACCACACACAGTTCACCATATGGCACAACTGACTTTGCTTAAGGGAACTATTGTATTTGAAAAATCAAAAACACTCACTAACTCCTCAAATCTCTCTTTTATCCCTACTGTCATGGTTTCCATGACTACATTTCACAGCCCTGTGTTACGTTTTAAATGTAAATTATTTCTACAGAAAAACAATATGAAGATTTTCAGACACAAGAAAGAAGGAGATGTTTAATGGGCAAATGGTATGTGCTGATTTCCACAACTCTGTCTGGGATTGGGTACAACACAAGTGAGAAATATATTTTTAAAGCATGATTTCTCAAGCTTTTAAGATGGGTCCTGTGATAAGCTATAGATATTGAAAGTACAAAACTTCAGTTAGAAGATAAGGGTTGGTGACAGCAAACCTGTACCTAGTGAATTAGACTTTCGTACCCCCCAACAGCCCTTAAATATTTTACTTCCTTCCCTGTACTATAAGTCTCCTTTATGTTTTGTTTTAAGGTGTGCTCTGAGCATTATCTTTTTGATCTTCCCAATGCTGATTGTACAACTTATAGACTTCACTGAAAACATGGAAAAATTTCCTTCAAAGGAAGGAAGAAGCCACATATATATTTCTCTCATGAATTTCTTAGGTTTAAAAAAAAGGCAGATAAAAATTTCCTTTTTTTTTTCCTATTAGGAAAAGGAATGTTGAATTTACTTCTGTGCTTACTACTCAAGAATATTCTTTACAGCTGGCCTTTCCTAGTGTACCTTTCATTTTATTAAAGGCAATATGTTGTTTTCAGTTGCATAAATACTGTTTAGTCCACAAAGTTATTATTTTTAAAGTGAATACTACTGAGATTCTGGCAGGTTGCCTTCAGAGCCAAGGATCTTTACTTGTGTGTTTTATAGGCTCCAGTGCAAGGGCCTTATAAAGTTGTTACTAGAAAACTCCAAATGTGCCTAATCTACATAGAAGCTTTCCACTCTTTGTTGTAGAATAACATCATTCTGCTTCAAGAAAAAAAAAAAATTTGGGCCAGGTGTGGTGGCTCACGCCTGTAATCCTAGCACTTTGGGTGGCCAAGGCGGGCGCATCACGAGGTCAGGAGATCGAGACCATCCTGGCTAATATGGTGAAAGCCCATCTCTACTAAAAATACAATAAAATTAGCTGGGTGTGGTGGCGTGTGCCTGTAGTCCCAGCTACTCAGGAGGCTGAGGCAGGAGAATGGTGTGAACCCAGGAGGTGGAGCTTGCAGTGAGCGGAGATCGTGCCACTGCACTCCAGCCTGGGTGACAGAGTGAGACTCCATCTAAAAACAAATGAACAAACAAACAAACAAAATAACATTTGACAGGTAGGTTTGATGCAACTTGTATATTTTAATGTTTAACACCTTTTCTCGTTAGCAATTAGCATAACTAAAATTGGCCCAACATTAGCAATGCAATTTCTACCTGTTCAAAGGAAACTTTTCCAGGTTTTCAGTGAAGTCTGTAAGTTGAGCAGTCAACATTGGGAAGATCAAAAGTTGGGTGACCTGAAAATGCATAGATCACATTAGAAGCTATTCCAGGTGACTTAAAGTCCTAGATCTTTGTCTTCTATTTCTTATCTAAGTGAAAAGGAAGGTGATATGAAGAGAGCCTTATTGCATTTCCAGTTTCTTTTCTCTTCAACTGTTCAAGGCAAAAGTTTCTGATAAAGGTTGAAGGTGGTGTGACCTGAGGGGGTAGGATCATTATTCTTGCAGAAATTGCTGCATCTGTCACACTGTAGCTCCTACTTGTTTCTCTCCTGCATAACTATAAGTAAGCCAGTTGGCATGCATGTAAGGACAGAATTAGTGAATGCTAGAGTTCAGTAGGAATTTTATTGGGTTGGTGACGGGGAGGGGGTGCATTTGTGTGTGTGTCCATGACTATCGGGATTTTGCAAATAATGTGTCTCCTTTTGTAGCTATTTGTACAAATCTGTATATATGCATAGGTATAAATAAAAATTGATTAATAATATTTAGTAATTAAATGAGACCCCAAGGAAAACTCAACATTCCAAACCTGAGCAAAAAGTTTGCTCAAACAGATTAATAAAAAGATTATGTATCAAATTGGAGAATGAAAAGAGGATTCAGTGAAAATGGCAAAGACCTCCAAAAATATTCTCCTTCATAAACACAATGAAAATACTCACAAAAAAGCCAAAATTAACTTTTTCAGCAATTTGAAAATTTTAAAAAGCTTGGAGAAATCTGCAGTTTAGTTAAGACAAATAGGCTAATCTCTGCAGAAACAGTGAAATATGTGACATTTTAACTTGCCCTGTTCCCATTTCCTTGCCCAGATCTGCAGAAGCCTTAAAAAAGAACAGCTTGCAGTCATAGCTCATTTAGTGTGGATAACCTTTTCTCCAGGGGCATTTGTCAAAACAATGAGAGGCAATTGTTTAACATTTTGCCTGCCTAAGGTGGTAGATAACAGCTGGGGGGCAAATAGGCTAACAAAAGAGCTCAAGAGAAAATTCTGGGGAATAAAATGTCTGTAAGGAACTTTGAAAAGCTCTAACATGTTTCTGGAAATCTTGACATTGATGCTGTTAAAAACAAAAACAAAAACAAACAAAAAACAACTTCATCCGAATTAAATTTAAAGGAGTTTAGTTGAGCAATGAATGATTCGTAAATCAGGCAGCCCCCAGAATCACAACAGATTCAGACAGTCTCCAGGGATGCCTCATGGTCAGAACAAATTTGTAGACCAAAAAAAGGGAAGTGACATACTGAAATTGGAGCTGAGGTACAGAAACAATTGGACTGGTTACAGCTCCACCTTTGCCTTATTTGAACACAGCAGTGTATGAGTAGTTGAAGTAGGGCTGCTGAGACTGGCCAAGACTCAGCTGTTGTTACAGGTGCATACTCTTAAGTTAGGTTTTCAATCCTGTCTACCTATTAACTTAGGTTGCAGTTCATCCACACGGTCTTAAATATAGAAGTACGGAGTCCTTCTCAGGCCATATTGAGTTGGCTTTAACAATGCACATGTGTAGGGCTGTGTGCATGTTCAGGACTGTGAGTATGCTCAGGAAAGACCTGAGTTTCAGCTCTGTATAACTTCTAGACCCTGCACAAGCAAGAAGTGAAGGCTAAGGCAGAGTTATAAACTGCCTGGCTGAGTGTTGAAAGCATGCCCAACACACACATAGAGTATCTTGACAAAGCCTCTACTGGTTCCTTTGCAAAGACTTACTGGTTCCAGACATTTAAAAGAATTCTCTATACAATCATTAGCTGACCACTAAGCTAAATGAGCAGAGGCTCCAGGTGTCAAAAGTGAGAAAAAATACAGGCTTTATAGAGTCAGTTCAGAAAAGTCACTAAAAAGACAATTGACAACAAACAGTAATAAAAACAAACCTTGGAGAGGGAGTAGAACCTGACTTTGCATTTCCGTTTTTAAAAAGTATCAGTTTTCGACAAAAATGTGAGACATGTGAATAAACACTAGAAAAAACAGTCAATTAAAACTGTTCCATGAGGAAGCCCAGATGTTGAATTTATTAGACAAAGACTTTAAATCAGTCATTTTAAATATGCTTAAAGAATTAAAGGAAACCACATCTAAAGAACTAATGGAAATTAAGAATGATGTCTCACCAAAAAGAGAATATCAATAGAGAGATAGAAAAGATAAAACTAGAAATGCTATAGATAAAGACAATAGCTGAAATTAAACATTTAGTAGAGGTGATCAACAGCAGGTTTGAGCAGGCTGAAATCAGAAATAGAGAACATGACAGGTCAATTGAGGTTTTCCAGTCTGAGGATCAGAAGAAAAAAAGAATAAGGAAAAATATACAGAACCTCAGAGACTTGTGGAACACCACCAAATGTACCAACATACATATGATGAGAATTCCAGAAGGAGAGGAGAGATAGAAATGGATAGAAATTAATATTTGAAGAAATAATGACTGAAAACTTCCACATTTGATGAGAAACATTAGTCTACAACAATCCATACTCCTGAGCTTGTCTATAAGGAACTTTGTAAAGCTGTAACATATATCTGGAAATCTTGACATTGATGCACATGTGTAGCATTGTGTGCATGTTCAGGACTGTGAGTCTTTGACACATCTGAACTCAACACACTCCAAGTAGAATAAATTCAACAAGATTCACATCTAGAACACATCATAATCAAACTGTTGAAAACCAAAGACAAAAAAGCATGAAAGTAGCAAGAGAGAAACGATTCCTTACGTATAAGAGATCTTCAATATGATTAACAGCTAGTTTCTCATCAGAAATCACTGAAGCCAGGAGGCAATAGGATAACATAATCAGAGTGCTTTCAACAGTGGTTTCTATACTCAGCAAAATTATACTGAAACAATGGAGATATAAAGACATCTGAGCTAAACAAAAAAGGAGAGAATCCATTGCTAGCAAACCTGTCCTACAAGAAATACTAAAGGTAGTCCTTTAGGCCAAAATGAAAGAGTTCTAGACAATAAATCAAACTGGTATTTAGAAATTCAGAGCACTGGTAAAGGTAATATGTAAGTATATATAAAAGACAATATAAGTGCATTTTCTGCTTGTAATAATTTTTTTCCTATTTCTGATTTAACAGATTACTGCATAAAGCAGTAATTATAAATCTATGTTGATGGGCATACAGTGTATCATGCTGTAATTTGTATGACAATAAAACTCAAAAACTAGGGAGGGAGTAGAGCCATATAGAGCAGGCCTTTGTATACTACTGAAATTAAATTAGTGTTGATCTGAATTACACTAGGTTGTTATAAATTAAGATGCTAATTTTAATTCCCAGCACCATCTCTAATAAAATAACAAAAAACATATAGTAAAATTGACAAAAGAATTAAAATAATACATTAAAAATATTGATTAACACAAAAGAAGGCAGTAATGGAGGAAAAGAAAAAGAAAAAGACATGACATGTAGAAAACAAAAAGGTAGAGGTAAATTTTACCTTATCAGTAAGAATATTGAAGAAAGTGTATTAAACTCTCTTAAAAGACAGAAATTGGGCAGGACATGGTGGCTCACGCCTGTAATCCCAGCACTTTGGGAGGCCGAGGCAGGCGGATCACCTGAGGTCAGGAGTTCAAGACCAGCCTGGCCAACATGGTGAAACTGCGTCTCTACTAAAAATATACAAATTAGCCGGGCATGGCGGTGGATGCCTGTAATCCCAGCTACTTAGGAGGCTGAGGCAGGAGAATTGCTTGAACCTGGGAGGTTGAAGTTGCAGTGAGCTGAGATTGTGCCATTGCACTCCAGCCTGGGCAACAGAGCAAGACTCCGTCTCATTAAAAAGAAAAAAAAAAAAGACAGAAATTGTCTGAATGAATTTAAGAAACATGATCTAATTATATGCTGTTATGAGAGACACAAATTGATTCAAATGCACAAATATATTGAAAATAAAAGGATAAAATATGTACCTTGCAAACTGTGACTAAAAGAAAGCTGGAATGGCTACATTAATATCAGACAAAAAAGTCTGTATGTTAATGTTTTATCCTGCAACTTTGCTGAAGTAGTTTACTAGCTCTGATAGTTTTTTGTGGATGCTTTAGAATTTTCTATATTTGTGTCACCTGAAAATAGAGATATGTTTACATCTTGCTTTCCAAACTAGGTACTTTTCATTTCATTTCCTTGCTAATCATGCCAGCTAGACCACCAAAGACAATCTTGAATAGAAGAGGCAGGGGCAAGCATCCTTGTTTTGTTTCTAATCTTCAATAGAAAGCTTTCAGTTTTTCATCGTTGTGATTTTAGCTGTGTGTTTTTCATAGATTTATTTTGTTAGGTTGAGAAAGTTTCCTTCTATTCCTAGTTTATTGAGTGTGTTTATCATGAAAGCATGTTGGATTTTGTCAATATATGTGCTACTGTACTTATTGAGTGAAATATATTGCTTTTGTATTTTCTACTTACTAGGCTACAGGGAAAACATTCAGTATGGCAAAAGTTGCATATGCAGGTGCCAGAGACTAATTGATTTTGCTTCAATAAAGAGATCACATCTTGAAGAGCAGTTGCAATTGAAATCACAATCTTATTAAATTTATAATTCACTGCTGTTCTCCAAGATTTGTCAATTTCCACATACGCCAAATAAGAAGATTAATTGGGCAAATGATAGGACTCAGCAGTTCTGCAGTCTACAAGTCTTTAGTGATGACACTAATAAATGAAATTCAACCATGTGGGATGTGGTATTGATTTTGATTTATAATTTGAAAGAATAGGATATTTAAAAAGATTTATATTAGCTATTTCTGTCACAATAGGCCATATCCATGAGTTAGAAAGCTAATATGTGGATTGTGTCTGTTGCTAGGGATATTTATTCTGGATTTGCATCCAGAATAAGTTTTCCACTTAGAAACTGGAAAAATAATCTCAAAATGGATTTGTATCCCACTGGGCCTACTATGAGATGGATTTAGGTCAAAAATTTATTATCTGACCTCCATTAACCTTCTACTCTGTCCTGGAGACTTCTATCCATGTCATGGGAATTCGTGTAGGGGTTTGATCTTCTAAGCAAAAATAAAATGGTCATATATGTAACTTAGGTTGGTAGAAAATCCTGGAAGGCAACCAAATATGGAATGTAAAAACTCATTCTAGACTATTGTGGTAGATTTAAATGCTAGAGTTTAAAAGTCTGCCCACTGAGAAGAGTTCTTTTCTTAAGTTGTTCTATAATCTTCCAGATTTCTAAGAATGTCTCTTCCTCAGTGTTAATGCAAAGTTCCAAACTGAGGAAAGCAAAATTCCCTGACACTGGAGATACCATTGCAGGATTATTTCTCAAAGTTACTGGTCTTCCCTGTCATTCAAGAAGGAATTGGAAGAAAAGCTATGATTCTGTACTTATGAACTCAATTGAGAACTCTACTAGACTTAAAAGTTTCAACTGCTATTATTGTATAAGATTGAGTAATACTTATGGGAATGACTAGCTTTTTCCATTCCTGGGCCTCCCACAATCAATTAGCCACCATCAGAGATTCATTTTGGCATTCTCATTAAAGGATGGTTATGCTATGTATTGAGTTAAACAGGTCTACCTTATTTCTAATATTAAGTGCTCCTACTTGTCATGTCCCCCTTGAATACTCCAGTTCTCATTAAGCATCCCATCTGCAAGGTATAGCCACATGATTCTGCTGCTCTCTGTATGCTGTATATTTTCATGTGGAAGGAATGTTTTCTTCCATCTTTTTGGGATACAGCTAGGGGTCACATGATAAACCTGAAAATCATTTTTTACAAAATCAACTTATTTGAGGTATAATTATATACAAATCAATTTCACTCATTTTAAGGTCAAGCACTCTTGATGAAACCAGAATACAAAACGTTTCCATCTTCCAAGAAAGTTTCTTTGTTCTCTACTGCAATCAATCTTACCACTCTATTCCCCAACCCCAGGAAACCACTGATTTCATATAAATAGGGGACTCATGCAATATGTACTCTTGTGCATGGCTTTCCTTTCCATCGTGTTTTTAAGATCTAGCTACTTTAGGGATATTAATAATTTGTTTTGTTTTGTTTTACAGAGTAGTAATCCATTATATAAATATACCATTATTCATTTATCTGTTTACCCATTGATGGCATTTGGAATATTTCCAGTTCGGGACTTTAATGAATAAAGTTGCTGTGAGTATTTGCATACATGTATTTTTATGGATATTTGTTTTTTGTGGTTGTCCTGTGGAGGGCTTTATCAACCCTATGTGGATAATTGGTTTGAATATTTGGAGTATGACGCCACATATATCAAGAAGGCATAAAAGTCTTTATTTCTCACACAGTGGGGCTTTCTTGGGAGAGAAAGGCAAGAAACCAAGCTGGTCCAGAATGGTTTGAGCAAAGGAGGGCCTAGGGGCTTTTGTGTGTGTGTGTGTGTGTGTGTGTGTGTGTGTGCGTGTCAGAGAGAGAGAGAGAGAGAGAGAGACTCTTGCTCTGTTGCCTAAGCTGGAGTGCAGCAGTGCAATCTCCGCTTACTGCAGCCTTAACCTCTCTGGCTCAAGCAATCCTTTCACCTCAGCCTCCCAAACAGCTGGGACTACAGACATGCCCACCACCATGCTTGGCTAATTTTTTAATTTTTTTGTAGAGTTGGGATCTCCCTATATTGCACAGGCTGGAGGACTTGGTTTTATTGTAGTTAATGAGTGGAGTCAAGGTGAGTGTTCCCATGAGCTGAGTTTGCATCGTTTGAATCTCTCTCCAGTACCAAAGGAAGGAAGGGATGCCCATGTTTTCTCACTGTCTTGCACAGATATGGGCAAAAGGGGAAGGGGCTGGGCTTTAACATTGTCGGTACTGAACAACAAAAACAGAATCAGACTCTTTATTACTTGTGCTTTCATTTCTTTTGGGTGAATACTTAGGAGTAGAAGTGTTCAGTTATACAGTAAGTATATATCTAGCATTTTAGGAAAAGGATAGAAATCCCAAGTGGCTGCATCATTTATAATTCTACCAGCCATAAATGAGAGATTGAATTTCTTCACACTCTCCCCAAAATGGACTGTCCTTAGCCCTTTTAATTTTAGCTATTCTAGTAGGTGTGAAATGGTGTCTTGTGATTTCTATTTTCATTTTCTTGATGACTAATAAAATTAAGAACTTTCAAGTGCTTACTGGCCATTTATATACCTCTTTGGCGAAGTGTCTGAATCTTTTTTAAAAATTGAGTTGTCTCTTTTATTATTGAGTTTTAAGACTTCTTTATATATCCTGAATACAAATTTTCTGTCATATATATTTTTAAATATTTATCTCTACAGATTGCCTTTCGATTTTCTTTATAATGTCTTTTAAGGAACAAAAGATTTTGGTTTTGACCAAGTTCAATTTCTCATTTTTTTTTCCTTTGAGGTTGGTATTTTCTTTCTTTCTTTCTTTTTTATTTTTTTTGAGATGGAGTTTCACACTTGTTACCCAGGCTGTTGTGCAATGGTGCAATCTCAGGTCACTGCAACCTCTGCCTCCTGGGTTCAAGCAATTCTCTTGCCTCAGCCTCCTGAGTAGCTGGGATTACAGCCACCATGCCCAGCTAAATTTTGTATTTTTAGTAGAGACAGGATTTCACCATGTTGGCCAGGCTGGTCTTGAACTTCTGACCTCAGGTGATCCACCCACCTCAGCCTCCCAAAGTGCTTGGATTACAGGCATGAGCCACCATGCCTGGCCAGTAATTTTTTTTTTTTTTTTTAAGATGGAGTTTTGCCCTGTCACCCAGGCTGGAGTGCAGTGGCACAATTTCGGCTCCCTGCAACTTCCACCTCCTGGGTTCAAGGGATTCTCCTGCTTCAGCCTCCTGAGTTGCTGGGATTACAAGCATGTGCCACCATGCCTGGCTAATTTTTGTATTTTTAGTAGAGACGGGGTTTCACTATGAGAGATGGGGTTTCACTATGTTGGTCAGGCTCGTCTTGAACTCCTGACCTCATTATCCGCCCACCCTGGCCTCCCAAAGTGCTGGGATTATAGGCGTGAGCCACCGCACCCTGCCCGTATTTTTTTAATACTAATGAATATTTGCTCCAAGGTACCAAATGTTTTCTTCCATGTTTTCTCCTAGATGTTTCATAGTTTAAAATTTTACATTTAGCCCTATGATCCATTTTGAATTAATTTTTGTTTTTGACATAAATTAAGCATTAAGGTTCTTTTCTTTCTTTTTTAAAAATAATAAACATGCAGTTGGTCCAATGCCATTTGTTGAAAAAAAAAATCCTTATGCCATTTAATAACATTAGTTAACATTAGTTAGCATTTGTGTTAGGTTGTTCTTGCATTGCTATAAAGAAATACCTGAGGCTGTGTAGTTTGTAAAGAAAAGAGGTTTAATTGGCTCACAATTCTGCAGACTATACAAGCATGGCACCAACATCTGCTCGCTTCTGGTGGGGGGTCTCAGAAAGCTTACAATCATGGCAGAGGGCAAAGTGGGAGCAGGCACATCACATGGCAAGAGTGGCAGCAAGAGGGAGAGAAGGAGGAGGTCCCAGAATTTTAAACAAACAGATCTCCTATGGAATACCTAAGCATAAACTCATTTATCATCAAGGGGATGGTGCTAAACCTTTCATGAGGGGTGTACCCCCATGATCCAATTACCTCCCGGAAGGCCCCACCTCCAACACTAAGAATCACATTTCAACATGAGATCTCGAGAGGACGGACATCCAAGTCATTTCAGCACTTTTGCCAAAAATTAATTGACCATGTATATATGAGTCTATTTTTGGTTTGTTTATTGTGTTTTAGTAATGTGTCTGCCTATCTTTACATCAAAACCATACTACCTTGAGTCATGTAGCTTTAGAGCAAGATTTGAAATTAGGTAGTGAAAATTCTCAAACTTTGTTCTTTTTATATATTTTGTTTTGTCTATTCCAGGTCCTTTACATGTTCATATAAATTTAGAATTGGCTTGTCAAATTCTATTTTTAAGAAGCTGCTATCATGTGCATACACATCACATTAAACTTATAGGTTTATTTGGTTATTATGTGTCTTTGTATAGTTTTCTTCAAGCTCTTTGTGCTTGGAATTTGTTGAGCTTCATAGATCTTCAAGATTATAGTTTTCATCAGATTTGGACAAGTTTTGTCATTTAAAAAAATATTTTTTAGCCTTTTCCCTCTCACTTCTTCAGGGACTCCAATAGCAGTATATTTGGCTGGTTGATGTTATCCTACAGTTTCCTGAGGCTCTGTTCCTTTTTATTTACTCTTTTTTTAGAGTCTTATTTTGCCTAGGATTTGCTTTGTTTTCAAGTTCACTAATTCTTTCGTCCATAATATCTTTAAAAAATATTTTGAAACATAAACACCAAATGTTTTATTTCATCCTACTATACTTGTGATTTTCAAACTTCAAAAAAATTCAATTGACATATAATAATTGTATACATTTATGGGGCACAAAAATATGTGCTGATATATGTATACACTGTAGGAAGATAAAATCAAGCTAATTAACATATCGATACCTTACAAATTTATCTTTTTATTTTGTGGTGTGAACATTAAAAATCTATTAGCAATTTTGAATATACAATACATTATTATTAACTGTGTGGTCACCATGCAGTGCAGTAGATTACTAAAATGTATTCCTCCAATTTAACTTAAATTTTGTACCCTTTGATTATCATCTCTTTCCTCAAACCTCTCCCTCACCCAGCCTCTGGTAATCACTTTTCTAGTCTCTGTTTCTATGAAATCAACTTTTTTAGATTCCACACATAAGACATAAGTGAGATCAAACAGTATTTGTTTTTCTGTGCCAGGCTTATTTGACCTGGTATTATGTCCTCCAGGTCATCCATATTGTCAAAAATGACAGTATTTCCTCCTTTTAAAGGCCGTATAGTATTCCATTGTGTGTATATACCACATTTTCTTTATTCATTCATTGGTTGACAGACACTTAGGTTGCTTTTCGTATCTTCAGTATTGTGAATAATTCTGCAATAAACATGGGAATGCAGCTATCTTTTTGAGATACTGATTTCATTTCTTTTGGATTTATATCCAGAAGTGGGAGTGCTGGGTCATATGGTATTTCTCTGTTTAATTTTTTGAGGAAATTTCATACTGTTTTTCATAATGACCATGCTAATTTACACTCCCATTGACAGTGTACAAGTGTTTCCTGTTTTCTACATCCTTGCCAATATTTGTTATCTTTTGTCTTTTTGATAATAGCCATCCTATCAGGTGCAAGGTGATAGCTATTTCATTGTGGTGCTAATTTATATTTCCCTGATGGTTAGTGATGTTGATCATTCTTCATATACATACTGGCCATTTGCGTGTCTTCTTTTGAGAAATGTCTATTTAAGTCTTTTGTCCATTTTTAATAGGGCTATTTATTTTCTTGCTATTGAGTTTAGTTTCTTATATATTTTTGATATTAACCCTTATTAGAGGTATGGTTTGCAAATATTTTCTCCCATTCTGTAGGTTCTCTCTTTACTTTGTTAAGTAAAGCTTCTGTGTAAGAGCTTCTAAGTTTGATACAATTTTATTTCTCTATTTTTGTTTTTGGTGCTTCAAAAAGGGGTCCTAGCCAAAAAGTCATTGTCCAGACCAACCTTATGGAGATTTTGTTCTATATTTTCTTCTAAGAGTTGTATAGTTTTAGGTCTTACATTTAAATCTTTAATCAATTTTGAGTTGATTTTTTGTTTATGATGTGAGATAAAGGTTCAATTTCATTCTGCTTGTAGATACCCAGTTTTCTCAACACCATTTATTTAAGAGAGTTTCCTTTCCCTATTGTGTGCTCTTGGCACCTTTGTAGAAAATCCGTCATTTTTATTTTATTGACAAATAATGACTGTATATGTTTATGAGGTACAATGTGATACCCCACAATGTGATACATCACAGTGTGATGTTTTGGCATATGTATGCACTGTAGAGTTATTAAATAAGCTAATTAACATATCCATCACCTCACCTACCTATTATTATTTGTGGTGAGAACATTTAAAAATCTACTCTTTTAACAACTTTGAAATATACAATACATTATTACAAAGTATGGTGACCAAACTGGTCTGTATGAAACCTTGCACCCTTTGACCAATATTTCTGCTTTCCCAACTGACCACCTCTCTTTCATAATATTTTATCTGCAATTAATCTCATCCAGTATATTTTTCATCTCAGAAATTTTAATCTTCATCTCCAAAAGTTCAATTTAGGTCTTTGAATTTGGGTCTTTGTTGTATCTGCCATATCTCTACTTAATCTATTTAATATTCTAGTTTTTTGAATATATGGAATTCAGCTATAACTGTTTTAACATCCTTATTTACTACTTCTATTATCTATGTCATATTGGATCAATTTTAATTAGTAGATTTTTGTCTTCATTATGGATTGTGTTTTTGTTCCTTTTGCATGCTTGGCAATTTTTGATTGCATGCAAGACATTGTGAATTTTATCTTGCTAGGTGTTAGTTATTTTGTATTCCTATAATTATTGTTAAGCTTTGTTCTGGTATGTGATTAGATTAGTTGGAAACAGTTTGAAATTTTCAGGTCTTTTATTTAAGATTTGTTGGGTGGTACAAGAACTGTATTTAATCTAAGGTTAATTTTTCCCATTAAGGAATTAAGACCCTTCTTAGTACTCTAACAGATGGGTCCCAAAATGAGGTACTCTATTCTGGCTGTTGAGAATAAGCACTATTCCAAGCTCTATATTTGATCTGAGCACTATTCTTTCTATTTCCTTAGAGCGGTTCTTTCTTGGCCCTTCCTCACATTTATTCTCTGACTTGTACTCAGCTCAAGACTTGAAGGGACCAGATGCAGATCTATAGTTTTTTTCCTTTATAGTACTCTGCCATGTGAACCCTAGTTTCCTTGGCTTCCCCAGTTATACGGTTTGGCTGTGTCCTTACCCAAATCTCATTTTGAATTGCAACTCCTGTAATTCCCATGCATTGTGGGAGGAACCTTGTGGGAGGTGATTGAATTTTGGAGGCGGGTCTTTCCTGTACTGTTCTTGTGATAGTGAAAGAGTCTTATAAGATCTGATGGTCTTAAAATGGGGATTTCCCTGCACGAACTCTCTCTTTGCCTGCTGCCATCCATGTAATACTTGACTTTCTCCTCCTTGCTTTCTGCCATGATTGTAAGGCTTTTTCAGCCACGTTGAACTGTAAATCCCTTAAACCTCTTTCTTTTGTAAATTGCACAGTCTCAGATATATCTTTATCAGCAGCATGAAAACAGACTAATACACCCTGACAGCCAACTTTTTCTCCTCAACTCAGGAAGACTTAGTTTTGCCTGGGCTCCCCGTCTCTGTGTTGCCATGAAGACACTTTCTCCAGTTAGCTGGATAAATAAGTGTTTGCCTCATTTATTTTTGAAGAATCTCTATTTTTGGCTGCCTGATGTCCAATATTTTGAGTGTTATTGTTTCATCTGCTTTGTCTGGTGTTTTATTTGTTTTAAATGGGAAGGTTAAATTCATACCTTGGATACTCCATCTTGAGAAGTGAGGAGACTTTTTAAATGATAGTATTCAAAGTTAATAAGGATCTAGTGAAATGAATACTTATGTATTTCTAGGGTTTTACAAATTGTTAAATTTAATGAAAAGAAGTTTTGCTATATACTTATACCAAATATTTTCTCTATGCTTCAAAATTTTACTTTACAGAATATGTTCTAAGGGAATAATTTGAGATTCAAAGATTTATGAAGTATAAGCTACACATTATAACATTTTCTATAATAGCTAAAAACAAAAACATCTAAATGTTTAATAATATGGTAATACTTAAGTAAACTATGCTTTATTCATTGATGGAATATTATGGAGCCATTAAAAAAAAGAGAATTTGAGAAACATTTGAATCACAGATTCTTACCATATGCTTGAGGTGAGAAAAGCAGTTTGTGAAATTGTAAAACAATAAGATCTTACAAAAGATCTTATTGCATGATCTTGTGGTATAATAAAAAATGTCTAGAGATCATACATATTGACATGAAGTTGCTTATTTTATTCAGCAATTTCTTTTAGATACATATTATTTTCATAGCAATCTTAAAGATTCTCTGGGGAAAAAAGCCAGGTTAAATGTCAGCAACATTCTTGAAGCAAGATGTGGTGCGTTTTGCAGCCTGTGTTTCAGAATTGAACTTTATTTTACTGCTGATCAGTTGGGAATTGGCGAAGGGGTGGGATAAAGAGCTTCCTAATTAAGCCTGGGTGCATCTTATAATTTGTCTTTTTTTTTTTTTCTGTTAGACGAGGTCTCACTCTGTTGCCTAGGCTGGAGTGCAGTGGCACTATCATAGCTCCTTGCAGCCTCGACTTCCTGGTCTAACGTGATCCTCCCACCTCAGCCTCCTGTGTAGCTGGGACTACACACCATCATGTCCTGCTATTTTTAATTTTTTTTGTAAATATGGGGTCCTGCTATGTTGCCCAGGCTAGTCTTGAACTCCTGCCCCAAGTAATCTTCCTGCCACAGCCACCCATAGCTCTGGGATTACAGGCATGAGCCACCATGACCAGCCTGTCTTTAATATTTTTAATATATTAATGTGGATGGTAGAAGATTAAGAATATAGTCAGTAACTTCAAACAACAAGAATTTTGTGTTCCATGTTGCAAAAGTGGGACTTGGAGCAGTCTGTTCCTTTGATCTGGGAAACCTCCCTACAGGGAATTGTTTAACTCTGCAATTGTACAGAATTGCCAGTAGGAAAGTTGTCTGAGATGACTTCTCTAAATGACTAAACTGCTACTCACTCATGATAATCTAACATTTTTCCATTCAATAAGAATTGTATTTCTTCTGCACTTGAGTCCCTTGAGGAAAATGTTTGGTTTCGTTTCTTCTCTAAAGATTTAGGGGAAACTTTTCTTTCCCCCTTGATGAGATTTCTGTTTTGTTGGAGTAGCTGCTGACGGCAGGCCAGGTGCTCAGAGCCAGAAGCTGAAGGTGCTGACTTCCTGAGAGGCTTGGTGAGACACTGTGCAGGACAATGTTCTTCAAGGGCCCCTGGAGTTACTTTGCTAAGGGGTCATTTCTTCAGATCAAGACATGGAACCCTGGGAGAGTCTGACATGGCTGGAAGCAGAAACTGGGCACTCTCAGTGGAGAGCACTTGTTAGAACTGCACAGGATGGATCTGTGTGCCTACAGAAAGTACTGGCAGCAGCTCAGAACACAAGTGGACTTGAGACAACACACACGTGTACGGTCAGAAGGGACCCAGGACTTTTTGAGTGTGGCTAAGCACCTGCACAAGAAGGTGGAGCTTATAATTTTAGCACTAACTGAAATGAGACCTCAATGGGATCCACAGGCTGGTGAAATCTAACCCATGCTAGTTTCTTCCACGTGGCACCACACTGTGAAGTGAGCAAGAGAAATCCTGGTCTGACTTTAAGTTCTGAAAAATAGGAAACAATATGACATCAAAGATAATGCAATGGCTTCATAAGTAGAGCAGTAAGAGCATCTTATGAGAATGACCTGTGCTATCTGGTCCCATTTACTGCAGTGCGATGATCAAATATTTCTCTTTTTGAAGGGGTCACCCTTTACCACATATTCATTGTCTGTTGTTGGCCTGGTTTTCTTTAAAAGAAGAACATTAGAGGTGCTAGTTAGTAATCCATTACTTTATGGCAGGAGCTCTGCATTTCAAAGCAGCAAGACCTCTTGGAATTAGTTGTGTTAAATTTTCTGCATCTACATTTTTTTCGATGCCTCTATTTTAAAATACAAAGATTTGTTATCATGAAGTTTACTACACACAGCAGAGTATTACAGTAAGATTAGTTTCTGTACATCTATTATCTAGTTGGAAAGATGACAAGCGAAGATAATGCTGCCTCTGGTATGGTGACAGTTATACTTTCAATAGTTTATAGTTCTTAAAATTAAGGGTGAGTCAGATCAGTAAATTAAGTCTATAAAAATATAAAGCAATATGAATAAAACATTTTGGAAATGAGTAGCTTTTAAACTATTGTTCCCTTCATTTTTATACTCACTGAATTCCCTTATTAATAAGAATTACGTTTTCACTAGCAATAGAAGAAACCAAAAAGCTATTACTCATCAGTAAACTGTGCTGTTACTGTCATGCATACAGTTTCAAGCATATATACAGGAAGTTCCTCTGAATGCAAGAAAATCAAAGCCAGAAATTGGACTTTTCTAAAAGGTATTTCAATAGCAAATTCAGGCAAACAGCCAAGGGGTTCCTCAAGCCTTTCCTGGCTTGAAGGGAAGTAAAAGAGAAATGAACTTACGTGATGATTTACAATGAATATCTTGAAGAAACTTTGTGTGTTCACTTAGTTTGTTGGCTGAACAAATTATTATTTTAATTTGGCCCAGAAATCTTTTTATCAAAAGGATCATTATATGTTAGAGATGCTTATTGCTTACAGCAGAACATTTTATGACAATCTTCAATATCATGAACAAGGTTTTGCTTGAAATTGTTACATACTGGGAAAACCTAGTAGGATCTGTGACAAAAGAGAAGTTGAGAAACTTCACACAAACAACCTGAAGATAAACGTGTGTCATTATTTCCCACTGTTTTACTTTCAATTTTTTTTGTCATTTATCACTCTTCTTTCTAACTACTTTTGGATATCTTTAGAGTGTCAGAGAATTAAGACTTCGGGTCATTTGGTTTGGGTCTGCCAAAAGCAGATCCTGAAACAAAGACTTGACTGCATAGTTTATTTGAGAGGAGATCACAGACAGCACACTGGGGTAAAAGGGGGAAAAGTGAGACAGGGAAAGGAGAAAAGAGAATAAACCATGTCTTAAAGAGAGCTGGGAGCAACTAGGTCTGGATGGGCCTAGGGGAGTCTGAAAAGCCAGAGGGAATTCTCCTCAGCATTCTCCAATGAAGGGCGGGAAGGCGAGGCATTTATCCTCCTCTCCCATTCCCCTTTGACTGAGAGCTGCCCCCAAGCACATCAATTTCTCTGCCCATCCCTTGATTTTTTTTTTTTTAATTTTTTTTTCTCGCTCTGTCACCTAGGCTGGAGTGCAGTGGCGCGATCTCGGCTTACTGCAAGCTCTGCCTCCCGGGTTCACACCATTCTCCTGCCTCAGCCTCCAGAGTAGCTGGGACTACAGGTGCCCGCCACCACGCCAGGCTAATTTTTTTTTTTTTTTGTATTTTCAGTAGATACATGGTTTCACCGTGTTAGCCACTATGGTCTCGATCTCCTGACATCGTGATCCGCCCACCTTGGCCTCCCAAAGTGCTGGGATTACAGGCGTGAGGGAGACAAGCAAACCCTTATGAGAAGAGAAAGCCCTCAGGTAGAGACAATGAGGGTTGCTGGTCTTGAACAGCCCTAGCACTCTGAGAAGGGTCTGCTGCTACTGCGGGTGAACTCATGTGGAGGCCACAGAGGCAATTCCGATATCACATTTATATTCAGAGGAAGGTTGTGGAATTCTTTATACCCTATCATACTCCTAACTCTGGCATGTTAGTCAATGCAAACTTAATGACATGGTGTTAGCACTTTTGCAAAAAAGAGAGATGATATCTTAACATGCGCTTGGTTTCTGTGACAGAGACTGAGAATGGTAGTAGCTTATTCAAGAAAGATTTTTTTTCCTACTCATGTAAGAAGTTCAGCCTCATTATAAACTGAATAGTTCAAGGTGCCTTGTTGTTGGTTGTTCTGCTATTCCTAGGGCACTATCTTTTTCACATGGACTAAGATGACCTACAACATCTACTCTACGTTCAGGCCCTCAGGAAGTGAGAAAAGGGAAGACAAAGAGAAAGAGAAAGAGAAAGACATATCTTTTCCCTTTAAGGGCACAGCTCAGAAATTGCATACAATCTTTTCCCTGTTAGACCATTGGCCAGGACTTAGTCCTGACTCCCAGAAGGGTTTGCAACAATTATCCCTATTTTGGGCAGGTATTTGCCTAGCCAAAAATTGTTTTACCAGGAGGGAAGGGGAAAATGGATGTTGGAGGCCAAATAGCAACTTCTGCTACAGACCCCATGCTGACTAATGTGCATCTTCCAGGGCAGATGTGCCTGTATTGTCTTAGTTTCAAAATGGAATCTTTGCATTATATACTATTACAATTTAAGACTCATTCATGCCATTGCGAAAGCTTTAAGACATTCTGAATGTGCATGTGTATGTTTCACTGTGTTGGTACTCATAAAGTTGTTGAGTTGTTTTCACTCTGTTAGGATAGTTTATGGTTGTGGCAATGATCTTATGTAATGGTGGCAACTTACACATGCACGTATTTTAGTATTTTATCTAACGTAGCCAGCTGCTTCAATTCTACCTTCTATTCTCTTTCTCAACTCCTTTGTGTCTCTCTCTTTCTTTCTCTCTCTCTCTCTCTCTCTTATATGCACACACACACTTGGATAACTTCTTGTTTAATGATACTTAACTAATTGCCATATATATATTTATATATTTATATATATATTTATATATATTTAAATATATATTTACATATAAATATATAAATATATATTTACATGTATTTATATATTTATGTATATTTATATTATATATATTTATATATTTATATATTTATATATTTATTTATATATTTATGTATTTATATATTTATATATATTTATATTTATTTATATATTTATGTATTTATAGATTTATATATATTTATATATTTATATGTATTGATATATTTATCTATATTTATATATTTATCTATATTTATCTATTTTTATCTATATTTATATATATTTATATATTTATCTATATTTATCTATATTTATCTATATTTTTATATATATATTTATATATATTTATATATTTTATATATGTTTATATATTTGGAGATGGAGTCTCGCTCTGTTGCCCAGGCTAGAGTGCAGTGGCATGATCTTGGCTCACTGCAACCTCTGCCTTCCGGGTTCAAGCAATTATCTGCCTCAGCCTACCAGGTAGCTGGGATTACAGGCTCCTGCCAGCATACCCGGCTAATTTTTGTATTTTTAGTAGAGATAGGGTTTCACCATGTTGACCAGGCTGGTCTTGAACTCCTGACCTTATGATCCACCTACCTTGGCCTCCCAAAGTGCTGGGATTACAGGCATGAGCCACTGTGCCCAGCGTGTTTTTTAAAAAACTGTTTTATTTTTAATTTTTGTGGGTACATATTAAGTATATATATTTATGAGTTACATGAGATATTTTGGTACAGCCATGCAATGCGTAATAATCACATCAATGAAATTGTGTATTCATTTCCCCAAGTATTTATCCCTTGTGTTACAATCCAAGTATACTCTTAATTTTTTAAAAATGCACAATTAAATTATTGATTATAGTCCCCCTGTTGTGCTATCAAATAGTTGGTCTTATTTACTCATCTATTTTTTTTTGTATCCATTAATCATCCCACAAATAAGTGAGAACATGTGAAGTTTGTCTTTCTGTGCCTAGCTTATTTCACTTAACATACTGATTTTCAGTTCCATCCATGTTGTTGCAAATGACAGACTCTCATTCTTTTTTATGGCTGACTAGTATTCCATTGTATATATGTACCACATGTTCTTTATCCATTCATCTGTTGATGGACACTTAGGTTACTTCCAAATCTTGGCTATTTTGATAGTGCTGCAACAAACATGAGAGGGTAGATATCTCTTTAATATACTGATTTCCTCTGTTTCGGGTATAAACCCAGCAGTGAGATTGCTGGATTGTATGGTAGCTCTACTTTTAGTTTTTGGAGGAACCTCCAAACTGTTCTCCATAGTGGTTGTACTAATTTACACTCCCATCAACACGAAGGTTCCCTTCTTTCCACATCCTCACCAGCATTTACTTGACTTTTGGATAAAAGCCTTTTTAACTGAGGTGAGATGACATTTCACACTTTTGATTTGCATTTCTCTGATGATCAATAATGTCAAGCATCTTTCCATATGCCTGTTTGCCTATTGTATGTCTTCTTTTGAAAAATGTCTATTCAAATAGTTTGCTTACTATTAAATTAGATTATTAGATTTTTTCCTATATAGTTGTTTAAAATTCTTATATATTCTGGTTACCAATATCTTGTTAGATGGGTAGTTTGCAAATATTTTCTCCCATCCTGTGGATTGTCTCTTCACTTCATTGTTTCTTTTGCTATGCAGAAGTTTTTTAACTTGATGTGATTCCATTTGTCCATTTTTGCTTTGGTTGTTTGTGCTTACGAGATATTATTCAAGAAATGTTTGCCCAGTCCAATGTCCTGGAGAGTGTCCTCAATGTTTTCTTGTAGTAGTTTCATAGTTTGAGGTCTTAGATTTAAGTCTATAATTCATTTTGACTTGGTTTTTGTATATGATGAGAGATAGGGGTCTTGTTTCATTCTTTTACATATGGATATCTAGTTTTTCCAGCATCACTTATTGAAGAGATTGTCTTTTCTCCAATGTGTGTTGTTGGCACCTTTGTCGAAAATGAGCTCACTATTGGTGTGTGAATTTTTTTCTGGGTTCCCTATTGTGTTCTGTTGGTCTATGGGTTTGTTTTTATGCTGGTACCATGCTATTTCGGTTACTATAACTCTGTAGTATAATTTGAAGTCTGGTAATGTGATTCCTCCCGTTTTGTTCTTTTTGTTTATGATAGCTTTGTCTATTCTGGGTCTTTTGTGATTCCATATAAACTTTAGGAATACCTTTTCTATTTCTGTGAAGAATGTCATTGGTATTTTATTAGATATTGCATTGAATCTGTAGATTGCTTTGGGTAGTATAACCATTTTAACAATATCTTTCCACTTTTTTGTGTGTATCCTCTTCAATTACTTTCATCACTATTTTATAGCTTTCACTGTAGAGACCTTTCACTTTCACTTTGATTAAGCTAATTCCTAGCTATTTTATTTGTGGCTATTGTAAATGGGATTACTCTTTTGATTTCTTTTTCAGATTGTTCACTGTTGGCATATAGAAATGCTACTGATTTTTCTATGTTAATTTTGTATCCTGCAACTTTACTGAATTTATCAGTTCTAATAGTTTTTTGATGAAGTCTTTAGGTTTTTTTCCAAATATGAGATCATATCATCTGCAAACAAAGATAATTTGACTTCTTCCTTTCCAAATTGCATGCTTTTTATTTCTTTCTCTTGCCTGATTGGTCCAGGTAGGACTTCCAGTACTATGTTGCATAACAGTGATGAAAGTGGACATTCTTGTCGTGTTCCAGATCTAAGAGGAAAAGCTTTCAGTTTTTCCCCATTTAATATGATTCTAACTGAGGGTCTGTTATATATGGTGTATTAGTCTGTTCTCATACGGCTAATAAAGACCAGGTAATTTATAAAGGAAAGAGGCTTAATTGACTCATAGTTTCACGTGGCTAAGAAGGCCTCAGGAAACTTACATTCATGGTGGAAGGGGAAGCAAACACGTCCTTCACATGCCAGCAGGAGAGAAAAGTGCCAAGCAAAGGGGGAAAATCCCTTATAAAACCATCAGCTCTCATAAGAACTCACTCCCTGTCATGAGAACAGCATGAGGGTAACCTCCTCCATGATTCAATTGCCTCCCACTGGGTCCCTCCCATGACACATGGGATTATGGGAACAACAATTTAAGGTGAGATTTGGGTGGAGACACAGACAAACCATATCATATGACTTTTATTATGTTGAAGTATGTTTCCTCTATACCCAGTTTTTTTGAGGGTTGTTATCACTAATGAATGTTGAACTTTTTCAAATGCTTTTACAGCATCAATTAAAATGATCATATCATTTTCTTCAATCCTTCATTCTGTTAATATGAAGTATCACATTGATCGAGTTGTGTATGTTAAACCATCTTTTCATCCCTGGGATAAATCCCACTTGGTCATGATGAGTGATCTTTTTAATGTATTGTTGAATTCAGTTTGCTGGTATTTTGTTACAGATTTTTCATCTATATTCATCAGCAATATCAGCCTGTAGTTTTCTTTTTTTGATATATCTTCGTATGGTTTTGGTATCAAGTTAATACTGGCCTCATATAATGATTTTGGAAGTATTCCCTCCTCCTCTATTTTTTGGAACAGTTTGAGTAGGATTGGTATTAGTTATTATAATGTTTGGTAGAATTCAGCAGTGAGGCCATAGGGTCCCAGGCTTTTCTGTACTGGAAGACTTTTTTTATTATGGCTTCAATCTTGTTACTTGTTATTGGTCTGTCCAGGTTTTGGATTTCTTCATAGTTCAATGTTGATAAGTTGTATGTGTCTAGGAATTTAGATTTTCTAATGTATTGGCAAATAGTTGCTTAGCGTAGCCACTAAAGATACCTTGAATTTCTGAAGTATCAGCTATAATGTCTCCTGTTTCACCTTTGATTTTATTTACTTTGGTCTTTTTTTTTTCTTAGTCTGGCTAAAGGTTTGTCAATTTTATCTTTTCAAAAACCACCTTTTTTTTTCATTGATCTTTTGTATTGCTTTCTTCATTTCACATTCACTTATTTCTTTTTTCAGTTCTTTTTTTTTTATTAAACTTTAAGTTCTGGGGTACATGTGCAGAATATGCAGTTTTGTTACATAGGTATACACGTGCCATGGTGGCTTGCTACACCCATCAATCCATCACCTACCTTAGGTGTTTCTCCTAATGCTATCCTTACCCTAGCCTCCCTACTCCCCAACCGGCCTCAGTGTGTGATGTTCCCCTCCTTGTGTCCATGTGTTCTCATTGTTCAACTCCCACTTATGAGTGAGAACATGCAGTGTTTGGTTTTCTGTTCCTGTGTTAGTTTGCTGAGAATGATGGTTTCCAGCTTCATCCATGTCCCTGCAAAGGACATGAACTCATCCTTTTAATGGCTGCATAGTATTCCCTGGTGTACATGTGCCACATTTTCTTTATCCAGTCTATCACTGATGGACATTTGGGTTGGTTCCAAGTCTTTGCTATTGTGAATACTGCCACAATAAACATACACATGTATGTGTCTTCATAGTAGAATGATTTACAATCCTTGGGGTATATACCCAGTAATGGGATTGCTGGGTCAAATGGTATTTCTAGTTCTAGATCCTTGAGGAATTGCCACATAGTCTTCCACATGGTTGAACTAATTTACACTCCCACCAACAGTGTAAAAGTGCGCCTATTTCTCCACATCCTCTCCAGCATCTGTTGTTGCCTGACTTTTTAATGATCGCCATTCTAACTGGTGTGAGATGGTATCTCATTGTAGTTTTGATTTGCATTTCTCTAATGACCAGTGATGATGAGCTTTTTTTCATGTGTTTGTTGGTCGCATAAATGTCTTCTTTTGAGAAGTGTCTGTTTATATACTTTGCCCAATTTTTGATGGGGTTGTTTTTTTCTTGTAAATTTGTTTAAGTTCCTTGTAGATTCTGGATATTAGCCCTCTGTCAGATGGATAGATTGCAAAAATTTTCTCCCATTCTGTAGGTTGCCTGTTCACTCTGATGATAGGTTCATTTGCTGTGCAGAAGCTCTTTAGTTTAATTAGATCCTATTTATCAATTTTGGCTTTTGTTGCCATTGCTTTTGGTGTTTTAGTCATGAAAGTCTTTGCCCGTGCCTATGTCCTGAATTGTATTCCCTGGGTTTTCTTCTTCTTTTATGGTTTTAGGTCTTATGTTTAAGTCTTTAATCCATCTTGAGTTAATTTTTGTATAAGGTGTAAGAAAGGGGTCCAGTTTCAGTTTTCTGCATATGGCTAGCTAGTTTTCCCAACACCACTTATTAAATAGGTAATCCTTTTCCCATTGCTTGTTTGTGTAAGATTTGTCAAAGATCAGATGGTTGTAGATGTGTGGTGTTATTTTTGAGGCCTCTGTTCTGTTCTATTGGTCTATGTATCTGTTTTGGTACCAATACCATGCTGTTTTTGTTACTGTAGCCTTGTAGTATAGTTTGAAGCCAGTTAGTGTGATGCCTCCAGCTTTATTCTTTTAGCTTAGGATTTACTTGGCTATGCAGGCTCTTTTTTGTTTCCATGTGAAGTTTAAAGTAGTTTTTTCCAATTCTGTGAAGAAAGTCAGTGGTAGCTTGATGGAGATAGCATTGAATCTATAAATTACTTTGGGCAACATGGCCATTTTCGTGATATTGATTCTTCCTATTCATAAGCATGGAACGTTTTCCCATTTGTATCCTCTCTTATTTCCTTGAGCAGTGGTTTGTAGTTCTCCTTGAACAGGTTCTTCACATGCCTTATAAGTTGTATTCCTAGGTATTTTATTTTCTTAGTAGCAATTGTAAATAGGAGTTCACTCGTGATTTGGCTCTCTGCTTGTCTGTTATTGGTCTATAGGAATGCTTGTGATTTTTGCACATTGATTTTGTATCCTGAGACTTTGCTGAAGTTGCTTATCAGCTTAAGGAGATTTTGGGCTGAGACAATGGAGTTTTCCAAATATACAATCATGTCATCTGCAAATAGAGACAATTTGACTTTCTCTTTTCCTATTTGAATACCCTTTATTTCTTTCTCTTGCCTGATTGCCCTGGCCAGAACTTCCAATACTATGTTGAATAAAAGTGGTGAGAGAGGGTATCCTTGTCTTGTGCTGGTTTTTATAGGGAGTGCTTCCAGTTTTTGCCCACTCGGTATGATATTGGCTGTGGGTTTGTCATAAATGTCTCATTATTTTGAGACACATTCCATTGCTACCTAGTTTATTGAGAGTTTTTAGCATGAAGGGGTGTTGAATTTTATGGAAGGCCTTTTCTGCATCTATTGAGATAATCATGTGGTTATTGTCATTGATTCTGTTTATATGATGGATTACGTTTATTGAATTGCGTATGTTGAACCAGCCTTGCATCCCAGGTATGAAGCTGACTTGACCGTGTTGGATAAGGTTTTTGATGTGCTGCTGGATTTGGTTTGCCAGTATTTTATTGAGGATTTTCACATTGATGGAAAAGATAGGAAAAGAGGAAGTCAAATTGTCTCCCCAGAGCACGTCAGCCCATGGTGGTAAGGCTTGCAGAGAAACCCAAGTTCTGACCACTGGGATAGGCAATTCCCCTTTCTCTGGGTTTGTTCAAGTGCTCCCTCTGTGCACAGGTACTGGCTGAGCCCCACATGGCTTTATTCTATGCTGTGACAGGGCAGCATTGAGTTCCATGTAAAGTCTCCCTGTCACTGTGCTCTCCTTCCCCAAAGTGGACAGATTCTCTCTCCAGACTGCTTAGCTGTTGCTGGGGGATGGAAAGCGGGTGTTGTTAGAGCTTCAGAACTGTGTCTCCTGACCTCTTTAATGCCTCTGTCAAGGATGACCTAAAACCAGGTGCTCTGATTGCTCCCTGATTTCTATTCTTGTGATGGTGCTTTTCTGTGAGCAGATAGTTGTTAAAGTTTGGTGTACCAGCAGGGGGAATGAATGGTGTAGGTTTCTGTTCCACCATTTTGTTCTGCACTCAAAATAAATAAAGTAGGTTTTGATAGTACTTTTTCCGCCTTTCCCTTAACTTTGACATTGTTTTCTTAAAAGTGTCACAGTTAGACTTTCTCATGTTAACCTCTTGCCTTCTCCTTCAGTTGGTACAACTAATATCAGTCAATTTCTCTTATGCCAGCTTTCCACTTTTCCTGCCTTGCTCATCCCCTGCAAAAAGACGGCATCTTCACTTTATCTCTTAGGAGTGGAATTAACTCCCATAGTATATTGAGGAGCTACATATGCTTCTTTACAAAACTTGAAAAAAATTTTCTCATTTGTAATTTTAAAACTCACACACAGTTAAATGGATCGCTAGGATGGTATTGATGATTGCTGGAAACAGGAGGAGAGTAGAATTGAGGACAAGTGCTGTGTTCCTAAAGGGTAGGAGATGCACTTATCTCTACCTATATCTGTACATGACTTAGGTATATATGTTATAAATTTACTATAATCCTTTATATTGTGATAGTGATTTTACCTGAAATTCTTCATATGCTGGGCAAACCGCTGACTTCTAGTAAGTGGCAGAGCTGAGATTTGAGTCCTGGGCTGCATCCTTAGGCATATGCTGCTGGGTTTAGGATGGTGGTCATCAAGGAAAGCCAGAAATGTGCCTAAAGTGGGTCACAGGCAAAACTTCCAAAAAAAAAAAAAAAGCTTCTGGAGACCCTGGTTTACCTTTCTGCATTGGTAGTGTTTCAAATCAGAATAAAAGGCTATAAATACTCAGACGTTTGGAGGCTTCTCACCCCTTCCCTTTTCTGAAGAAACGATCTGTGGATTTCCATGGAGGCACTGCAGTCTGCAGAGAGGGCCTGAAGCACCAGAGCAGTTGCAGAGACAAAGGGCCCCCTTTGAGGAGTGGGGAGGGAAGCGCCCACCTGCTCCACGTAAGGTGAGAGCTCTGTGCAGTATAGAACTATAAATGCCCTCATACATCTCAGTTGGCTTTGGTAAAGTAGCAGGTAGGCCTGTTGAGAAAGATTATTGTTTATTCCAAGATGGGAGACTTGACCTCATAACAAAACTGTGTGGGAGTCAGAGAATGGAATTTTAGGAAATGAAATTTCAATAGGGCTAAAAGCTTGAGAAGAATTACCCTCACATAAGATCTCTCTTTTATCCTACTAATATCTCTTTTTCTTATTACTTTTTTAGGATTATTATTCTTATTTTATGGATGAGGAAACCAAGAGCCAAGGAGTTTAAATATCTTACCAATCCCATCACTAAGTTTCAGAGGAAGTGCTTGGCTCTTTCCCTGGATGCACTTCATCTTTGAAATTCAGAACTGATGTGCGATGGGAGACTCCCGCGTAGGACAGATTATAATAACAAAAAATTAGAATGACTCAATTATTTACTCCAGCCCCTTTCCTTCTCTCTCTAATTTCTCTTTCTGATTCTTAATCACAAGCCATAACCGTGTTGCTCAGCACCTCATATGGTTTGGATGTTTTGTCCCCCTCCAAATCTCATGTTGAAATGTGATTCCCAATGTTGGAGGTGAGGCTTAGTGGGAAGTGTTAGAGTCATGGGGACAGATCCCTCATAATTGTAATACTATTGTATTGTATTGTACACACTATTGTAATAAGTCTAAAATAACTTAAAGTGTGTAACTGGATTGTTTGTAACTCAAAGGATAAATTATTGAGGGGATGGATACCCCATTCTCCTTGATGTGCTTATTTCACTTTGCATGCTTGTATCGAAACATTTTATGTATTCCATAAATACATACATCTACTATGTACCCATAAAAATGTTTTTTAAAAGTGAGTTCTTGCTGTTAGTTCACTAGAGAGCTGGTAGTTTACAGGAGCCTGACTCCTCCTCCTCTCTCTCTGGCTTCCTTCCTCACCACGTGACACGCTGGCCCCCCTTCACCTTCTGCCATGATTGAAAGCTTCCAGAGATCCTCACCAGAAGCAGGTGCTGGAGCCATGCATCTGTAGCCTGCAGAATTGTGAACCAAATAAACCTCTTTCCTTTATAAATTATCCAGCCCTAGGTATTTGTCTATGGCAATGCAAAAATGGACTAACATAGCACCCTTGAAGCTGAGGACCCAAAATACCTTCAGCAGGGTTCAAAAAGCATCACCCACTGCTTCAGGCTGAACTGGAATTTCATACATCCTCAGTAACTACTGGGGTGCACTTCCTGAGGAGCCCCAAACTCTACAAATCAGTCTACCTCCTCAGCTTCTCTAAGAGTGATGACAGCAGCCCACATCATGAGCCCACACAAGGGTCATGCATTTGGCTAAGCTCTTTTGATATTTCATTGTATTTAAGCCTGAGATTCACTTTAGGATCTTGGTTATATCATTGCCTCTTTTTATAGTTGAGAAACTTAGAGCTTAGAGAAGTCACTTGTCCAAGGTCACAGCATTGATCAGCAGCAGGGCCAGGATGAGGACCCAGAACTACCTGTCCCCAAGACCTCCACTTTTGGTCACGTTGATAGGTGTCAGCTCCACCACTGAGGAGGGCCTTGGGTCACTTGGATGTGCCTTCCACTTCTACCGAATGATCAGCATCAACCTCATATAAAAGAATACCATGAATATACTGGACAGGGGATACCCACACACCTTGTCTCTTACTTCTGCTGCCATTAGCCAAGAAGGGAGATTTCTCCTTCTATGATTGTGCTTTTGCTTATTATTCAGTGTTATTTCTCTACATAGATATTTACATTATCTTAATTTCTCAAGCTTTCCTCCCCACATTCCTAGTCATAATCCATTTTGTCCTTAACTTTTCCCTTGCTTCTGCCAAACCCTAGTTTTTCATTGAAATTCACAGATATAATGTCTCCCAAAGAGGATGGAATTCCTGGCTGATATTAACCCTTGTTGTCTATTTCATAAATTAATTTTTATAATGTCCTTAAGTTAATATAGGATCATGTGGAGATAATGCTCAAAAGAGTTGCAGAGAAGATGCAATTGAAGGCAGAATTGTTCTTCAAACAATTGAATGATAGTTACCAAAATTGTGTGCTAGGCACTAATCAAGATTCTTGATCACAGTGATATGATTACTCTAATTTTCATGATTTCTATTCTCTATTCAGCCTATGTACATTTCTTCTTGTCCGCCACTTATCATATATTAGGTACACAAAGATTACTAAATAATAAAGTCATAAGTGGGTAACGAGAATTTTTTATGAAAACATTTTTCCTCATATATAAAACCCAAACTTGTTGATTAACTGGTAGGGCCAGTGTGTGCATGCATGCGTGTGTGTGTGTGTGTGTGTGTGTGTGTGTGAGAGAGAGAGAGAGAGATAAAATTTATAAATGTGATTTTACATGCAAGCTATATAAAATGTAAAATATTTGAAACTACATATAAATGTATACTTGCATATAAAATGTATGTCAAATCACACATATATGATATATCATATGTAAAATGTCAAAATATATATAAATAGCATATATGATTATATATTTATCTCATATATATGATTTTTACATATATTTTAACATATATATGATTTAAAAATTTTTAACAAATCTGGGATATTCTTCTAGTCTGGAAGTCTTGGGGCCTCTTCTAAGGGCACTGCTCATCTCCAGAGAGATAATCTGTGTAATCTGTGATCTTCTTCCTGACATGCTCTGGGATATTCCTCCCACTGCTAAACCTAAAGTGGATCCAGGAGAGGTTCCATCAGGCTCAGGGTGGTGAGGTCTGAGAACAGCCAACAGGATTTAATAAATGTTCTAATTGGCAAGCCAGGGCCAAGTATAAGTAGTCTGGGATCACTTTTGCTCGGTGAGGGTGGTAATAGTGGTCCTCACTTGTACTGTGGTTCCTGAGCTTGAAAATGCACTCCCAGACCAACTGCATGTGATCTTTACAGGGAGCTGCTCAGGTAGCATCAGAGGCATTACTGGCTTTATTTTACAGAACGCGGAATCCGATTGTCTCCTTAGGTAAATCATAAAGTGACTTGGTCATGATGTAGCGAATAAACGGGAGATACAGAACTAGAGCTTAGTTTTTTTGTTTCCTAGTTTATTGCCTTTCCTATTACATTTTACTCTGCCTCTTCCTCCCTTCAATTGTTTAATGCATCTCCAGGAGAGAGGGGATACATTAAAAGGCAAGCCCATTGATATTGTACTAATTTTTTTAGATAATATGTGTGCTATCTTATTTTTCATACTCTAACTATGGAACACAAATGAATTATTTTTCCCTTAAGCGTCATGGTTTTAAAGTTCTATCCTGGTTGACAACCTGCTTTCAGCCTCATGTCATTTTACACAGTTGATGTATGAGCCCATCTCTCCTTCTTGTCCTCCCCTCTACCTTCAGTAATTGGGTTTATAATAGAAACACTAACTCAACGTTAACTAAAGTGATACTGTCAAGTGATATGATAAGACGCCTGGGTCATGTTTTATGATAATGGATTCTCTTTGGGCTTCCTTTCCAAGATCATGAGATGGTCCCTCACCCCTTAAAGGGCAAAGAGAAAGTGTGGGAGCCACAGCAGAAGGAAATTTGTGGCAAGTTATGTCTCCATTGTAACTTCATCCCCGGCATAGTAAAACAAACAAACACCCAAACAATCTTTTGTTAAAAAAAAAAAAAAAAAAAAAAAAAAACCATGAGCAGGATTTTTTAGAAAAAGAATCTCTAGGTAATGAGATGAGGCCTGTAAAATGAAATGTAATTTTGTTCCACCAATCAATTTACCTTCCTATGGGGTTGCTTATAGTAGTTAGTTGATCACACTCATGTGAACATTTTTATTTTAACTCTTTAGCACTACAGTGTAATAAATCCCTTCCTTGGTTTCTCTTACCTGATTTAGGACAGATAAAATTTTCAAAAGAAAACAAAAAGGAAATCATTGCACAGACAGTAGGAAGAAATACAAAGAGTATCAGAATAGTAAACCTTACAGAGATTTCTGCTCCTGTCTTAGTAACGTCTAGCAAGGGAAGACTGACAAAGTTTGGTAGGACTGATACAGTTTTGCAGGTGCCAAAGATGAAGCTTTGATCTTTCTAAATATGTTCCTTATGCCAGGCACCAACTTAAAACTTGACAGTAGCACTTATTATCTGTGTCACGTGTTGCAAGTTACAAAATCTCAGCTATTTAACCTAAAAAATGGAATCATATGTGCACCTACTCCATTGGATTTTTGGGAGAATCAAATGAGGGTGAAGCATTTAACATATTGCCTGAAATACAGTTACCCTTTGGTATCCATGGGGGATTGGTTCCAGGACACCACATGAATACCAAAATCCTCAGATGCTCCAGTCTCTTATATAAAATGGTATAGGATTTACATATAACCTATGCACATCCTCCTGTATACTTTAAATCATCACTAGATTACTTATAATACCTAGCATGGCTTAGGGAATAATGACAAGAAAAAAGTCTGTACATGTTCAATACAGATGTGACCATCCATTTATTTTCCTAATGTTTTTGATCTGTGGTTGGTTGAATCCATGGATGCACAATCTATGGATATGGAGGGTCAACTGTACTCATTAAACATCATCTATAATTATTACCATATATGTTGACTGACAAAACTGGGATCCTGAGAATATAATCATATCCTTAGAAAATGCCAGAAAAGAGAGGATTCTAGGTTCTCCACCTCCCTCAGGCTAGCACTCTTAGCTTTTGCTTTGGGTCAGAGGGATAAGTTCCTTTCTTAATACTTACTCTCATAATGCAATGATTTCATCCATCAGCTGAAGTCTCTCCCTTTTAGATACAGTGGAATGGGGGTTTGTCTTACACTTTATACATCTGCTGCATAATTCCCTAAGAAACCGAAGGACAAGAGCCTCCACCAGCCCACAAGCATTGTTTCTAACACATAAAGCAACCCTTTTATGTTTAAAATTATGTATTTCCAAATACATAATTGGAAATACATAATTCTATTTTGTATTTTTTTATTGTTTTCTACTAATCACTTAACATTTTTGTGCATGACATACAGAAACATTTAAAATTCTTGGGAAGATTTTAAGAATAATGTAGAAAGTCTATTGGGTTATTAACTGATGAAAGATTTTGAGGAAGAGAATAACTTTCACAAGCTTCACTTCTAAAGTTATATTTCTAGATTTGTTGGATATTTGCTTGAAGAGTCTTGCCTATTTTTACAAGCCCAAATGTTGAAGACCAAAAGACACTGGCCAGAAAATAAAGCTACATGTCTTTATAACTGTGCAGAATTTTAGAAAACCACAAGACTATGACTCACACTGCTGCTATGTAGACATCCAAGCTGTTGGGGTCACTCGCTGTGCTTACGGTGTGTATTTGCTGGATGAGAGTGCTTCAGAATTATTTTTCTGTCTTAAAGTTTTTGGACATATTGCTGGGTGAGAAGCAGGAAGTATTGCAAATTCCCTTGTTTTGGTTATTTTTGTGATGAGTGCAGAATAGATGTCCCTGGAGGAGACAGCTACGTTCTGAGCAGAGTGCCCTGAGATTTGTGTAAATGTACACGTAATGGTTATAGAGCCCTTCTTCCAGGGAGCATTCTGTTTGCTCATACTAAATGTAGGAAGTAAAAGTCAGGGGGCTCTGTTAGAAAGAGCAGGCGGATTTTTCCCAGTGAGCGGATTGCCCAACCTGCAGAAGGCTCACACCTGGTTGCCCCACTGCTGGGCTATCTAGATGCCTCCCAGGTGACCTGGTTACTCCTCCTCCACAGAGATCAGTGTGCATTTGCACACCATCTTTTCAATCTGAAAAAGGACATGGATGCTTCCAGTGGATTCACATCTAATTTGAGGAGAAACCTGATTCTTTAAGTAAAATGCTGTCTATCAGGAGTGTATCTCTTAACACAGTCTAAATGGTCAAGAATTATCTCCAGATTTTCAAAGGAAAATGTGAGCCCTAACCAGACCCATCTTTAAATGGATCACATAGTAGATCTGTTTCCTTCTTTTTTCCCACAGATTCTTTACAAAGTAAAACAATCTCTAAGGGATTTTGCCCACCTCCGGAAAGAAGGAATTCAATTCAGACAGAGGCACTGTGACCAATTCACCTCATGACCCGCTCTGGTCAGAACCTCGCCCCTGGGGCTTGAGTGTGGAATATTCTCTCCTTACTCAGCTGCTCCTGACAGCCTCTCAAAGGAGCAAGTAGTGCAGCAGGAATTAGTGATGGAGAAGGGAAGATGGATTTCAGAATCCAGGTTGTATAGCTTTGCAGTTATATGCCTTTCACCGAAAGCCTGGCAAGGAGATTTAAGGATGGGATACCAAAGTTTGAGGTTTGACTATAACAACTTGTCCCAATATAAAATGAGACTGTGAGACTGGGCATCACTCTATGATCTGTATGGGACTGCAGCTCAATGAGAATGTCATCGTGGGATGGCAACTTGGAGGTGACAGGATGCAACCCTGAATGAGCCACACACATCATAAACCCCTCAGTACTAGAGAAAGGAGTTTGAGGACGGGTGGCCTGGGCACCAGACCCAGGGATTCTGGTGCCCATTTCTGTCTTGATGGCACAGATTAAAAATGTTATTGTGGCTAAGGTTGTCCGGCAAGTAATTGCCAGGATGGAGTGTTAAGCAAGCAGCTGCCGTGTCAGAGAATCTGACCTTGGGAAGATAATGAGACAAGGAGAATTCAGAACAGATGAAAGCCAAGAGCACCTACTTTATCTACTGACAGCCAGAGAACACCTTCATGCTCAATCAGTTCCTGCTAATGAGACAAGATGGGGCAAGATGGTAAAACAGCAGTAACAGGCAAACTTTTTTTTTCAGCTTAATGATCTATAACTTAGGTAGATAAAATTGTCTTTCAGGTCAGGCAGCAACATAAGTCTGAACATTAAATAAATATATCTATCTATATTTATATATATGTGTATATATGTATATATATACACATATATATGCAACACCTGAATCATTTTGGTTTTGTTTACTTTGTAAAGGAAGTGATGAGGCTGAAGGAAATAATGAAGACTGAGGTTGAGGGAAGCCCCTGAATGCTTTGAACACACCATTTCCTGATGGAGTCTACTAGGCAGACAGTATTTTATATTAAAATGCTGTGCCATGACCAGTGAATTCCTTAAATCATTCTCTTTTACAAATCCTGTGACTAGCTGTTTTAACATCCAACAGGAATTTTAACATGCGCCTGACACTTTTAATTAATCAGTGCTTTAGTCTTTCTCTTCTGTGCTGCAAGTTATTACATGCATCCTGGAGATGACACTGCAATTTCAATGAAGATTGGAACACCTATCAACAGGGGAGTTTTTGGATACCTCCTTCTTGTTTTTACAGTTGCAGAAATGGAGTCCAGGTCAGGAGAGAAGGGCCTGTTTCTGGGTGCCACTGCTTTAGGTACTAAACATACAGTCTCGTTTAATTTTCCCTCACACCCTTTGTGGCACTGCTTACTTAGCTTCCTTTATAGATGAGAAATCTGAGAGCTCATAGAAATTACAAAAGTTCTCCAGAGTCCTATCCACTAGTGTGTCATCATTGATCTTTTTATTGCCAAAGTGTCTGGCCTTTTCACTGTATCCTGATAGCTGAGTTTTCAAGATAGTCACATAGGAAGAGGTGAAGGGTATGATTCATAAAAACAAAATCATTGTCTTTAAGATATGAGAAAGCTGTTTCTGAATGAAACTTTTTTTGTTAAAATATACAATGTTTTTTGAAAGAGTGTGATAAAAGTTAAGTGTAATATCATTGGCAAAATTGGTAGTACCCCATCTGGGTCAGAAATGGTTAGTGGGTTCTTGAGCAGCTGAAGATGATGTCTTGTTGATGCTGCTGAGGTCTGCAGGACTGTTTTCTTGCCTTCTGAAGAGGGGAAAGGCTACATCACAGCTTTATTTGCTCTACCTGCATGCACAGACGCACATACATGCACACACATACACACCAGAGGAATCACAATTGAGCAGAAAGCTGCTTTCAGGAGTAACAGATGAAGAAGGAACATCAACAAGTGCCTGGTTCAGCAGCAGGGTGTTGCAGAGGAGGTTATTTAATTCTGCTGCACATCTCCTTGATGGCTTTCACAAGTTTTTATTATGTTGCACTAGTGACATGACATGATACTGGATGGTACAGTGGGTTGTGCCCTGTGGCAGTTGCACTGCTTCACTCAGCCCCTAAAGATTTTGTACGTCCATTGTTTTCCTCTAAACATCTTAACTTATGTTTACCAAGCTGCTCCTTATGTGGCCACTTAGTTAGCCTTGTAAGTTTGGTTGAAGAAAACTTAGAAATTTTTATAATTGGAATGAAATCTGCTTCTTCTAGATTGTTCCTGAAAACGTTATTTCTGGAAACTCTGATGGTTACGTTGATTATCCTACTGCAGTATTCTCTCTAATACCACAGTAATTCAATTTGTATCATAGCTTTTGAGGTGGTGCTTTGTCAATACTTTTCTAATGGCCTTAAAGTGCTGCTCTGTTGGTCTTCTCCCTGCTCATATACTCATTGCCTTTTCTTTGCTCCTATCATCTCCCCAGAAAGATGAAGCTTTTCTAAATCAGCCCTCTCAAGATGTTGCAATGAAGGGCTTGATGGTCTTATCTATGTTAGTTTCCACTAAGTTGTCAAATTTGGAAAAGTCTCGTAGAGTGTTATTTTCTGGGGCTATTCTGAAACTCATAATTCCAGTTTTGCTCCCCTTGTACTTTACAATAGAGGAACTCCACAGGAATAAAGCCACGCAGCAAAACCTTCTTTCTGCTGTGTGAGTCACACACACACACACACACACACACACATGCGCCCTCATCCCACTTGTATAACTGTTTCAATTTTACATTCTGTGCTCCCTCCTCTACTACATCCCTCCAAGCTTTCCAATTTTCATCATCAGACTATAGAGGAAATAAAGCTAAGTATGTTTCCTGCTTCAATTACTAGGGAACACTTTTGCATTTGAAAACTGCTATGTGAATAATCAATGCCCTCATTCATGACAACAGTTTGAAATAACATGATTCCACATGTACCAGCACTGCAGTGTGTTTAAATTTTGTTCTCTGCCCTGGTCGCATTAGTCCTGGAATTGAAAGGGTCTTAGCATTTAGGTGTGGACTACTAATGATGAATTGAGAGAGTATAGAGAAATCTAAGCTTCCTGCAAACAATGCTAAGTCCTTTTTCACTTTGTGTCTCTTAAGAGACATTTTCCACTAATTTTGAAATAGTTAGAAATAGAAAATGTCTCTTAATCCAGCCCAAAGCTCATTTTATCCTCTCATCCTATTACCTGTGGTAGCATTTTTAAATTGTTACAGTTGTGAATCAGATTATATATTGCTGTCATTTCTTTAGACCATGGCTATTTTGAAGGCAAAGGCTGTATTATTCCAAACTCCTGACACATAACAGGCCCTTAATGAGAGTTCATTGAACCAATAATTGAATAATGTTTATCCAGTTGTGTCTGGGGCATGTAGCAGAAAGGACCCTAGGCTGGCAGGCAGTGGATCTAGGCTGAAGACCTGGTGCTGCCAGTAAATAGCCATATATTCCTCAAGAATTTACTCAACTTTTCTTGTCAGTTTCCTCACTGGTGTAACAAAGGAGATGGTGTAGCTGTTCTCTTCTAGATAAATTCTATGGCATGCTTTTCTTAGTGACATTTAAAGTCATCTCCCAATCACCTATGATAAATGGCTCTTTAGCAAAAGAAGAGGGCAGAAAAGAGGAAGCAGGGCTGAGAAGTGCTTCTGACAAATCTAAGGCCGTGGATAAGACTCCAGTCCCTATTCCTTGCTTTTACAATTAAGCGGATGGCTTTTCCTCCTCACCACAATTTCCTTTCCTAAATGATCAGACAAATATTAAAAATATCTTATTTTTTATTCTTTGAGTACCTGTCACTAATGTCAGTGAAAGGTGGCTCAAAGTCATGCTGGATGGCTAGCAGAAGGAAGCTAGGTGAGGATTACAATGTGACTACTACTCAGATATTGATGTCTAAGCTTTGATTTCAGTAAAGTGATTTTGGCCACCTGGATAAGAGCTATTTTTTAAAATCTCTCTTTTTAATTGCACCTTCTTATGGGCATGATGGATGGTCAGGGTGACAGGCAACATCTGCCCCTGACGGCATGTTATGTTGTCATGCAGAGAGGCAGTGCAGCCCAGTGGACCTCTTGGGGCGGGGCGAGTCAGGGAGCACACGTTCTAACCCCAGCTCTGTCCTTCAAACTTGTGGGATGACCTTATAGAAGACACTTAACTAATCTGTAGCTCTGTTTTTTATCATCCATAAACATGGAGGAAATCACAGCTTTTCAGCCTTTAGTAGAGGACTAGCTAATAAATCATTGGAACGTGCTTGGCAATAAAATGCTCTGCAGAAAAGCAGAGAACTAACAGCATGCAAATGGACTAGAAATTGCGTTTGTCCAGGAAAAGTAAATTTTGCTTAAACTCACATTAGAAGAAATGAATATATTCTTAACAGAATACCTTTAAAATGATGAACATAAGTTTTGATCTGATCTTCCCAGCCCCCTGAACAGAAGAGTCTAGTTGGGGTAAGGGGCGGGGCGGGACCTCAGTATAGCTTGAGTTGAGGAATGTGCTCCCTTACATAATACAGGTATCTTATTGGAGTTGTAATTCTGCTGGAAAGAAGGGCGTCTAACTGGGATACCAGTACTAGGAAGTCAATCTCAAGCCAGGTGTCAGGTAGTTTGGTAAGGAGTATGGGAAAGAAGACCTTTAAAGGAGACAGCCTCCAGTTATGGTGACAGTTTTAGTGTCACCATTCCTGTGCTGGTATGTTTATGATTCAATGGACGAAGCCTAGAGTTTCTCAGACTAAAAAGACTGCTATCTCAAAGGTTTAGTTTTTATTTTTAAATCCAGTTAATGATTCCACCTCGAACTTCAGTTTTTAAATTTTTCTGTGCCCCAGTGCTAGCTGGCTCCCTTTTCTGTGCACTTCTCCAATATAAATCCCATCTATCCTTCAAGCCTCCCTCCTCTAGTAGTTTCTCTCAACTGTGGGTCTTTTTACCTGTGATGACTTTGGGCTCCAAAGAGCCTTCATATTTGGTCTCAGCTCATCGTGCCAATCTCATTTATTTATTTATTCATTTATTTAGAGGCACTAATTTATTTATTTAGAGGCACTATTTATTTATTCACTGTGTTGCCCGGGATGGAGTGCTGTGGCTATTTACAGGCATGCAAACTCTTGGGCACAAGCAATCTTCCCACCTTAGCCTCCAAAGTTGTTAGGACCGCAGGGGTGCTTCACTGTACCCAGCTTCATCTTGCCAATCTTGAGTGCAGCTAGCACATACAGCACCTTTGCAGAAATGTCATAAAGGCTCTCCATCCAGGGGAAGAATAAATGACAAAAAGCATTGCCAGCTCTACCCCAGACTCCTTTCTTCCCTTCCATTTCCTCTTTTCATTCCCATTCAGTCCCTGTTTTCATTGCACAAACTGTTTGGTCATATGTAGGGTCTACGTGAAGTATTTCTATCTTTTCTGGTCCTGTCAATGTGTGGCTTTGCAGTGTTCTCTGGGTGAAGGTGCTGAAGGGCATCACTCTACAGATCCAGCTTCCTAAGGTGCCTGGGCCAAGTCTGATGGACTCACTCAAGAGTTCACAGCTGCAGGGCTAAGCTGGCAATCACACATGTTATTGCCATCAGCCCTGTCTGCCTGTGTCTCTAATCTCTGCTGGTCTTTCTAGGCCACATGATTGAACTGTGGTTTGGTTATCCTTAAATTCCTCCTAAACAGTTTTTTTTTTTTCATTACAGAAACAATGCCTGCTCTTGTAGAAATAATTGAAAAAATAAAGAAGGGCATAAAACAGAAAACATAAATCGTGCAGACTCCCAACTCCCAGCCTTACCGGTATTGGCCCATTTTGCATGACTTTCTGGTCTCTTTTTTAGTGTTGTACACCTATGCACAGACATACACACAGGCATACACATTTGTCAAAATTGGGATTATCTAAAATGCTCTTTTTTTTACATGACATTCTCAGTCAAGAATAAATGGTATATTTTATTATGCTTGTTATTAAATATGATTGGAAAAAGTGATTTTAAATAGCTACTTTGCGTTCTTTTTTTTTTTTTTTTTTTTTTTTTTTTTTTTTTTTGAGACGGAGTCTGGCTCTGTCGCCCAGGCTGGAGTGCAGTGGCGTGATCTCGGCTCACTGCAAGCTCCGCCTACCAGGTTCATGCCATTCTCCTGTCTCAGCCTCCGATAGCTGGGATTACAGGCGCCCGCCACCATGTCCGGCTAATTTTTTGTATTTTTAGTAGAGACGGGGTTTCACTGTGTTAGCCAGGATGATCTCAATCTCCTGACCTCGTGATCTGCCCGCCTCAGCCTCCCAAAGTGCTGGGATTACAGGCGTAAGCCACCACGCCCGGCCGGCAACTTTGCATTCTTTTATATAGATATACTAAAATTTATTACGTCAAATCCTTAATGTTGGACATTAACATTGTTTCCAACATTTTCACTCTGGTAGGTGAAATAAACATAAATATATCTCCAGTCTCTTTTCTGCTCTCCATCTCCGTTGCCACATCCTGGCCCAAGTGACTGCTGTCTCTCTACTGCACAACTATAAGACAGCACAGTGGTTCAGCCTGGGCTAGAGTCTGTCTCTTATGAATGTGGCCTAGAGGATGTTACTTGGTTTCTCTTTGCCTCAATTTCCTCATTTGCATAATGGAGTTATCACTGGTAATAGTACCAACTTAAAGAGGTGTTAAGAAAAACAATAATACACTGTATGCATAAAGCACTTACAATATTGACTGGCATGTGAGAAATTCTCAATAAATTCTGCCTTTTCAACAACTTGCTCATCACTCTAGCCTGAATGTGCTCCATTCTCCTTGTGGTAGCTCATGTTCCATCAATGGACTTATCTAGCCAAAGTTTACAAATACATGCATGTACACTGAATAAATGCAGTAGAGCTTCTACATAGTTTTAACAGGGGAGCTCAAGTGTAAATATGGTTGGAAAGGCGCTATTCATCTCTCTATTATTTCAGACAAAAGTAAAAAGTATGATTTGAAGCATTTTCTGACCTTCATGAGGTGTTTAAAATGAGGTAGTACAGACATGTTTTCTGTATTTTCCAGATATTAGGCTATATATTGTCATAATGTATCCCCAGACTCCCTCCTCCATCTCGAACAGAAGTTACTGATAAGGTCATTAAGAATCTGCAGTAATTCACTGTGAACTTTGTGAGAGAAAGCAATGCATAGTTTATTTTGCAAATTCTTCAGAACACTAACTTAACATCATTTTATCTAATATGTGCTCTCTTTGGTGGGGATAATTAGTGCAGATATGAGTGATGCTGAGTTTGAATCATTTAAAACCTCAGCATTCATAAATAATGCTCAGTGGAGCTTATTTCTAAGATTGATGTTTAAGCAGTAATTCAAATAATGAAGTCTTGTTGTGTTTTAAAGAAATTAACAGCCAAAAAACCAGCTTACTTATTACTGGTATGGTATGGAGATGATTCAGTATGGGTATTTTACAAAAATGAGCATTCTCCCACTGAGTTAAATGGAGTCATAACTGAAGCATTTTGTGGTTTATAAAGGTGTGATCCTTTGAAGAAGCATTTGTTTAAGATGGTGGGGTCTTGGGAGAAATTTGAGTCAAATTATAAAATGTGGCAATGATGAGAATTCTGTGAAATGAGTCAAACTCATATATAACTGCTAATATTAATAATTACTGAGAGATTGACCCAAATTTATGCTTTTAACAAAGCCTCTTCCATCAGGAGGGATTTTGTCTAACTTTTCAGCAAGTTTCTTTCAATAACTTTTCTTAATCTCTTGTAGAGTTATGATATCATTCCTTGGGTTTTGAAGAGTTGACAATTTTCTAAAAACAAATCAGACTGTTAAAAAAAGAGGGCAATTATGAAGACTAAACATAGCTTATATTTTACTTTTGTCAGGAGCTGTGTGTGTTTGTATGTGTCTTTGGGTGGGCATGAGGTGTACACTCCAGGAAATGGAGCACAGAGCTATTTGGATGCAGTGCAGATTAGATCATCTTAGAGCATAAGAGATATTTTTTAGATCAGTGGAGCCAAGTCTTTCATTTTACAAGTGGAAAAACAGCAACAGAGAATTTAAGAACCTACTCCAAAACCACACCAATTTGTGACTTTGGATAGATGGCAAAAAAGGGTAGTTTCCCAAAATTTAGGTATCATTAATAAGTTCTTGGGTTTTTTATTTTTAAAAATTTTTCCAAAAAAGAAAGGACCATGGCAAAACTCGTATTCAGATGAGCTGTTTAGACTAGTTTCAGACCCATCAGATTTTATGTTTTCCAAGGCAGCAGTAGCCTCTCTTCAAACCACTGCAGCAGGGACTATGTCTCTAACTTGCCTTGGCAAGGAATCAGAAGAAAAATGGAGAGGAGGTATTATATAAACAGGTAGCTGGATATGAATATTCAAGCTTATTTTCATATGAAAATTTTTTCCTCCTTTCTTTGCTAATTAGAGGGAATTGAAGTTTTAATTCCCCTGCCCTTGAGGAAAAAGAACTAGCATTAGGTCTATTTGGGAGCATTAAAGGGTCATGAAAGCCTACTGGGAAAGAGGAAAGGAGTGGTATGTGTTGGAGAGGAGAGGAATGACAGGAAAAGGGAATTAAGTGCTGTAGGCACACTGCCCTAGGGAAGCACTGAGGAAAGTAAGGTTTTACCTTCACCTCCCAGACTAAAGATAGCATTCCCTGGGCTTGGAAGAAGGGCCCTGTTAGAGATTAGCCTTCAAGTCCATGGTCCTGGGAGTGTCAAGACCTCACCTCTCAGCAGTGCCATTCCAGAGGTAGCAAGTTCCAAGAGTAGGAGGAGCTGCAAGTTACACGTGGGTTGACCAACCCAGAATCTTGACTAATATCCTTCATGACTCAAGAGTGATGCCACTGTGTAGAGGTGTGCAGAACTTTAAACAAAGTTCCCATTGTCTGAACCAAAGACTTTGCTAGTGCTCCCATATATCAGTGTCCAATGAGAAGTTCAGCTCACTGATATCCAGCATCTCACCAGGGGATGTTTTGTTACTGACTATGGACAGGCCCTCAACACTTAGGGAACCCAAACCTAAGGAGAGGTGGGATGCTGGATACCTAGAGAAACTGAGGTGGAACCTGTAGGGTAGGGAAATCTTTTCCTTTGGATTTGGATAGGCTGACCTGAACTAGCTTAGATAACCTAAGTTGGTAGAGTAGTTAGTTAGTGACATCCCACTAAACGCAGAGGAATCCCAACCATGTCTGAGTTTCAAAATGTCTAAGATAGACACTGAATGCCTCCTTAAGTCACCTTGGTATCTCATTTTCACCAACACTCAGCACCTGAAATAGTGGCATTTCTCAAACTATGAATAAAGACGAAAAATCTCAGTATTGTGTTGCAATGAGGCAGGCTTTTCTCCAAAACTCCAGCTATGACTCTGTCCTTGTGCACATCTCCTTTGAGAGTCTACACAAAAGGTGCTGAGCTATGGAATGGAGACACAATATAAACAAAATAGATCTTTGTCTTACTTGTAGCTCTATCTACTCCAGTTCTTACCTTTCTTTTTCCCATCCATCAGCTTGGGAATGCCTAAGGCTTGCCAAGTTGACAGCTTCTAATCCGTAGTCCTCTACAATAGCTATATTTTGGTGAGATAATTTGTAAGCTTTCTAGACATGATACTTCTTTTGTCTGCAGCAGAAACAGGGTGGTGAGGTTATAAAGAAACACCTGCAGAAACACCTGGCTGAATTTCCTGTGGCTATATCAAGTAACCAAAATGACCAGCCTAGGTTAGTGGATGTCCCTGTGAATAATACAAAGGTATAAATACATTGATAAAATACATTCAGAATTTGGAATATTCTTCATATTCTTCAGGGCAGCTGATCTTATCTCCTTAACAAGGGAATGGCATAAAAATGAAAGGGTGGCAGTTGTAAACTTTAAATGACTTAAGAGACATAATAAACAAAGGTTATCTGTGGACCTTTTCTGGAACTGACTCAAACAAACCAACCAGAAATAGTTGTAGAACTATTGGGGGAATTTGAATATGGTTGAGTATGAGATAATATTAAGAAATTATTGTTAGTTTTATTAGTTATAATGATGATATTATGTTTAGATAAGAAAATATTTTTATAGATGCTTATAGAAGTATATGGTGATGTCTGATATTTGCTTTGAACTACTTCACCAGATGTAAATATGGAAAAATATTAATCATTGTTTAGTGTAGATAATAGGTATATGGAGATTCACTCTACTATTCTATATTAGTCCATTTTCATACTGCTATGAAAAAATACTTGAGACAGGGTAGCTTATAAAGAAAAAGAGGTTTAATGGACTCACAGTTCCATAAGGGTGGGGAGGCCTCACAATCATGGCAGAAGGCAAATGAGGAGCAAAGGTACATCTTACATGGCGGCAGGCGAGAGAGCTTGTGGAGGAAAACTGCCCTTTATAAAACCATCAGCTCTCATGAGACTTATTCACTACCATGACAACAGCATGGGAAAACCTGCCCCCATAATTCAGTTACCTCTTACCAAGTTCCTCCCATGACACATGGGGATTATCGGAGCTACAATTCAGGATGAGATTTTGGGAGGACACAGCCAAACCATATCATATTCTCTATATTTTTACTTCTGTTTTGTAATTAATTTTAAAAAATTAATTTTTTAAAATGTGATCTCTTTGGTTGTTCCTGCTAAATGAATTAAATAATATAGAAATGTTATTTTATTGATTCCCTTTAGTGCTACTAGTATTTATCCAAACTTCAAGTAACCATTATTCATTCGTTGATTTATTCGAACAACCCACAGACTTAGTGCCAACTCCACTCAGGAACAGGAAGCACTTTCTTTTCTCCCTTTAGCTCCAGGGTATGATAATACTCTTCCCTCTGTGCTGCTGTCGCCATTTCCTCTCCTAGATTTCCTTTAGTCCAAGCCAGCAACAACATGCAAGTTATTCTCCCAGCATATTCCTTTTGAGTGGGGAAGGAGGTATGGCAAAATAAAAAACATAACGAACTTCAGAGGTAGATCTGAATTCAACTTTGGCTCTAGCAGTTACTTGCTAAGTGACTCTTGGGTTCATGTCTTTTTTTTTTTTTGAGACGGAGTCTCGCTGTCTCCCAGGCTGGAGTGCAGTGGCGCAATCTCGGCTCACTGCAAGCTCCGCCTCCCGGGTTCACGCCATTCTCCTACCTCAGCCTCCGGAGTAGCTGGGACTACAGGCGCCCGCCACCATGCCCGGCTAATTTTTTTTTTTGTATTTTTAGTAGAGACGGGGTTTCACCGTGTTTGCCGGGATGGTCTCCATCTCCTGACCTCATGATCTGCCCGCTCGGCCTCTCAAAGTGCTGGGATTACAGGCGTGAGCCACTGCGCCCGGCCGGGTTCATGTCTTATCCTCTCAGACCCTCATGATGAAATAGAGGCAATGCGTACTTAATGCCTGATGTAGTGGATGCTTCCTTCAGCCTACTTGTATCCCATTTATACTCATGTTTCTGCACATGACACATGCCAACAGCTTCCCACTGCAAATATTTGTGACTGTTCCTTTTCTGGACACACAAAGCAGGCCAGTAGTGCCATGGGCTGTGAGGTTAATACCCTTGGGGCAGCATTCAGCCAGTAGAGAACAGGATTTGGAGAATAAATATCTGACGTCCTTGGCTATAGGGATGGACAAACACTGAAATGTGCTCCATACCATCTCACAGAGGTCCCAGTGGGATCAAAGTCCAGTTTCACAACAGTAGCCTTCCCATTGGTTCCTGTATTGTTTCCCTTTCTTTCTCTGTCTCACTTCCTACTTACTTCCTGTTCACCTGGGATCACCTCCCAAACCAGTCATTTGTGCCCAAATCCTTGTCTTGGGTCTGCTTCTGGGGAACTCACCTAAGACACCTGCTGATATAGTTTAAATGTTTATCCCATCCAAATACCATGTTGAAATGTGATCCCCCATGTAGGAGGTGGGCCTGGAAGTAGGCGTTTGGGTCATGAGGTCATGGGGCAGACTCCTCATGAATGGCTTAGTGCCATCCTCATGGTGATGAGTGAGTTTTCACTCTATCACTTCACGCAAGAGCTGGTTGTTTAGAAGACCCTAACATCTCTCTCTTGCTTCCTCTCTCATCCTGTGACAAGCTTGCTCCCTCCTTGCCAACCACCATGAGTTTGTTTCTTAAGGCCTCACTAGAAGCTGAGCAGATGCTGGTGCCATGCTTGTGCAGCTTGAAGAACTGTGAGCCAATAATACTCTTTTCTTTATAAATCTCAGGCATAAATACCTGAGACTTTTTCTCAGTCTCAGGTATTCCTTAGCAGCAACACAAAATATGCTAACACATGTGCCATATAGCAGTAACTCAATAAGGGGCAGTTATGAGTACTGCCACCGAAGAAAAACACACCAACCTTTAATTTGATAATCTGGTGACTCAGCTGTAAGAAGTAACACTGCATTTCCAGTAACACCACAAGAGTGAAGATGGAGCTGAAGCAGGATTTGGCAGGAGATACACACACACACAAACACACACACACACACACACACACACACACACACACACACACAAACACCTGAAAGGAACAGATACTAAAAGAACAAGAAAATGACTGGCTCTAAAGAAGTAGCCAAGGGGTCAGGTGGAGGCTAAAGATATCGCATATCTATTTTTAAGCCAGACCATAGTCAGGACCTGCACTCTCCATGGGAGGGGATGAATGTGGTGGTGAGAAATCCAGCAGGCAGTTTGTACTCAGGAATTAGATGAGTGGGTGGCCTCTAGGCAGGAAATTTGTCCAAAAACAACAGGACCAGGTTCAAGGCTGCCAGGCTGGAGTATGGGAAAGACTCTCTGTTTAAGGATAATGACTGTTACCTCCTTCCAAATATCTGCAGAATATCAAAATGAATATCTACTTGTATTAGTCTGTTTTCACACTGCTGATAAAGACATACCTGAAACTGGGCAATTTACAAAGGAAGGAGGTTTAATGGACTTAGTTTTACATGGCTGGGGAGGCCTTACAATCATGGTGGAAAACAAGGAGGAGCAAGTCATGCCTTTCATGGATGGCAGCAAGCAAAGAGAGAGAGCTTGTGCTGGGAAACTCCCATTTTTAAAACCATCAGATCTCATGAGATTTATTCACTTATCATGAGAACAGCATGGGAAAGATCCACCCTCATGATTCAATTATCTCCCACTGGGTCCCTCCTACAACACATGAGAATTATAGGAGCTACGAGATGAGATTTAGGTGGGGACACAGAGTCAAACCATATCACTACTGTTTCATTTCCCTTGAACCCATCCCCTCCTTGCCTCTGCCTTTTTCTTCAGGGAAATGCTCCTTTCAACCAGGCAATTTGGGCAGGAACTCAAATCTCTTACAGATTCCTACTCTCTGAATGGGCAAGAATATTTTCCTTCATTTTTTTTCCATTTGAAACTAAGAGAACAATGGTAGTACCTCTTGGGTAGTGAAGATGGGTGAATCCGGAAAAAAATAAGCCTGGAAGGGAATAGTGACTGTGGTCACTGTTGTGTAAAAGAAAGCAGCTCTTTTATAGGAGGAGAGGGGCAGAGGTGACACACAGAAAAGCAGAGGTGTGCATGTGTGTGCACGTGCTTGTATGTAGTAGAGAAGGAGAATCTCCTTGGCACTGGAGTTCCTGTTTCCTGATACCTGAGGTCTGTTAGAGCTGTCTACTCTCTCTGCCAGGTTTATTTTTTCCAGTAAATTCTCCCATTCCAATGATACTTCAAACTGGGTTCCTGTTTCTTGCAATATAAAGAAATCCAAATAACATATTAATTTATCTAGGCATAAATACTTGCTACAGTTCATCTCCTTTAATCCATAACTATCATAAGTAGTACAAAAAGAGGGGTTGAATTTTTAGGAAGAGTAACATATTAAGAATGCAGGAGTGGGGGTCTGGACTAGAGAGGAAGAGCTGTGCTCAGGGAGCAATAGAGGCGCCTCAAGCATGGTGTTGAATTTACAGGAAGAATGTGTCAGGGCAATGCAGGAGGCCAGCAGCATAGGATCAAGCTTCTATCAGACAGGAGGCACAAGCTGCTGAAGCTCTTTTTGTCTCAGTCAAAATAGCTTAGCTTAGCCTGCAGTTTTTGGTGGTGGTGCGTGGGTGGGGAACTTGCGCTGTGAGTAATTAGAAAGCAGAGGAAGGAGAAAGGTAGAGGAGGCCAATGATGTTTTTAGAATTTTATTGCTCATTATGTTTTTAAAAGCCTCAAGAGATAGGCACTATTCTGAATTATTAAAAGACTGGGCTTGTGTTTGTTCTTCCCAAGTGATCATTTATTTTCAAGTTCTGATTCATAGTAGATGCCCAATAAATATTATTTTAGTATTACCTAAAATTCTAAGCAAACTTATTTAACTTCAGATTAACAGATATATTTACGTTACTTCTAGAACTGTAAAGAATTTTGAATACTTTAATTCCAATTTCCACTCCCCCAAATGCTATTTATGTGAAGGATTATAGACACAAGTTGATTTGATATTATCCTCACAATTTAGGTGTTGTTATTTTAAACAGTTCATATTTATTTAGATTTACCACATATTTTCCCTTTTATGCTCTCACTTTACTTTTTGCATCTCAGATATTCGTTTAGGATAGTTTACTTCTTGAAATATCTACTGAAGATGTTGTTTTAGTGAAGTAACATGCTCAGTTTTTATTCTCTGAGAACAACCCTCTTCTTATATTTCCGTGGATAGTTTCACTGGGTATAGAATTCTAGGTTGCTAGTTTCATTTTTTTTCTTGGAGCTTTAAAGAAATTATTCCACTATCTTCTGACCTTAATTCTGTTGTTACTGAAAAGTCATCAGGAAGGCTGATTATTGATCACTGACAAGTATTCTATTTTTTCTCTTAGGCTGCTTTTAAGATCTTCTTTCTTTCTCTTAGGCATTTTGCAGTATGACTACCATGTGTTTTTGTGTGAATTTCATACTATTTACTCTGCTTGAGGTTTGTTTGCTTTCTGAATCAGAGGAGTGGTGCCCTTTTTTAATTCTGGAAAAAATTTCAACCAATGTGTCTCTTTTGCCATATTATTATGATTAATCATAAATTGTACTTTTTCACTCTACCCTACCTGTTTCTCTACCATTATTTCATATTTTCTATATCTGTCTCTTGTTGTTACATGTAAGAGAAAATATTAAATAAATTATTATATATTATGAACATTAAAATGCCATATGATAATTTCAATATTTGCAATTTTTGCCAGTTTGACCCTATAATTTGCTGTTTGTACTAATTTTCACTCATGGGTACTTTCTTCATTCATATGCTTATTGATTTCTCTTTATGATATTATTCCTTGAAAATTTATCTTTGGGATTGTTTTTGAAGACAAAATTTATAATATATTCTTTAAACGAGATTTTTAAAAATTTGCTTTCATCAAGCTTCTGGAGGAAATCTTACAGTGGAACACTTTACATTAACTTTTTAACTTAGTGTTTTGGTGATTAAAAAGTATTTAATTCTTGCTTAAACCTTAGTGTGTAAGATCTGGCAGTTAGAAATTTTCAGGTAAAATTTTTTCCTGTTATGTCTTTCTTTTTTTTTTTTGAGACAGTGTCTCACTCCGTCACCCAGGATGGAGTACAGTGGTGTGATCTCAGCTCACTGCAACCACTGCCTCCTGGGTTCAAGCAATTCTCATGCCTCAGCTTCCTGACTAGCTGGGATTACAGGCATGCACCACCATGCCAGGCTAATTTTTAGTAGAGACGAGGTTTCCCCATGCTGGCCAGGCTTGTCTTGAACTCCTGACCTCAAGAGATCTGCCCACCTTGACCTCCCAAAGTGCTGGGATTATAGGCATGAGCCACCATGTCCACCCGCTGTTAAATATTAAACAAGAAATATGGACACAAATGTGCATTTCCACTGTCTTTCTGGATAGGTTTATTTCCCTAGTTCATGGGAAGGTCTTTAATATAACCATTTAGTTGTTAGGTGTATTAGTCTATTCTCACACTGCTAATAAAGACATACTCGAGACTGGGTAATTTATAAAGAAAAAGAAGTTTAATGGACTCACAGTTCCACATGGCTGGTAAGGCCTCACAATCATTGGCAGAAGGTGAATGAGGAGCAAAGTCACGTTTTACATGGTGGCAGGCAAGATAGCCTGTGCAGGGTAACTCCCCTTTATAAAACCATCAGATCTTGTGAGACTTATTCACTATCACAAGAACAGCATGAGAAAGGCCTTCCCCCATAATTCAATTACCTCCCACTAAGTCCCTCCCATGGCACATAGGGATTATGGGAGCTACTATTCAAGATGAGATTTGGGTGGGGACACAGTCAAACCATATAATTAGGCTTTATCTTCCATTTCCCACATGCTTGGTTAATGAAAAGTCAACCTTCAGCTGCCAGAAATCAGCAAACATCTCCAGAGCAAGCATCAGTTTCAACCTTTACCTATTCCTATGGATTTTGATTTTATCATCTTTTCCAATGTTGAAGCAAATCCCTAATTGTTTTGTATATGCACAATGTTATCCTGCATTTCCAGATGTACTGTACACACATGTAACTCTTCCTACCTAGTCCTTCATATTGCCCAAAATGAAACATAAGTGTCTCTTAAAAATCACAAAATTAGGCTGGCCATGGTGACTCATGCCTGAAATCCCAGAACTTTGGGAGGCCAAGGCAGGAAGATTGCTTGAAGCCAGGAGTTTCAACCAGCCTGGACAAGATAGCGAGACCCCGACTCTACAAAAAGTAAAATAAATTAGCCAGTGTAGTGGCACATGCCTGTAGTCCCAGGCAGTCAGGAAGCTGAGGTGGATCGCTTGAGCCCAAGAATTTTAGGCTGCAGTGATCTATGATTGCACTGCTGCACTCCAGCCTGGGCGACAGAGTCAGACCTTGTCTCTGAAAACACAAAAACAAAAAGCCCCACAAAATTAACAAAATAAAAAATATCCTTGGCCTGGCATATGCTTTGGAAGAAAGAAATGTATCCTTTACCCAGGTTCCCTACCTCCTATAAGAGGTAGTTGTAGGTGGAAAAACTTTTCCTCTTGCAGAGATCCTGGGGGAGGTAGAGGTGAAAAACAGTGAAATAATTTGCTCTGGAATCCTCATCCCTGAATAAATTAGCATGGGCTCATGGAGGGCTTTAATAAAACTATAGTTTCAACACTTGTGCCATTTCTCATTGTTGCAAAAGGTAGTATTCTTAATCCTTGTTGGATATAGACAGTGCTTTGCCTTGGGAAAAGTACAGCCATGAGCCATTTGGCTGTTACAAAGTAAAACAAAATTTTATTTTGAAATTTGGGACAGTTGGCAGATAAGATCCTCTATATAAATAGGATCTTAATTGTGGTGAGGAGAACTTTCATAAGAGATTATTTACTTGAGCTGATTTCTTTTGGCAAATCCTAGACATGGTCGGTCATGTCCTGGGATTCAGAGAAGAGAGGTCAAGAGAAGAGGTCTTACGATACGAGGAGAGGGGTCTCAACTGTATAGCAACTGGCTGAGTTTAAGGGCAGGAAAGGACCTCATCTGAAAGGGCATGAACAATAGACAATGGAGAAATGATATCTGACACTAAGCTTTAGACTTTCCTTTCTTATGTGTCCATTTCCCTTTTGTTGTCTTAAAATACTAACTAAAGTTGTATTAAATATTTAGGATCTGAATGTGTGGTTAAGTGAGAAAGTGAGAAGAAGACATCAGGAAAGAAAATATAGCAACAGTCCAGAGAACAGGGTGATAACTGACAATTAGTATTTGAAATGAGCAATCCTTAGGAATTCTTGGAAGTAGTTCACAGAGGAGTCTGAATTTCGTGCAGTTACATAAAACATAGTTAGGATTACTTTCCTTTGGATTTTGGGGGGTAGTATTATAATAGTATAATAAGTAATTTAGATAATATTTGTAATATAGTATAATATTTGGTGGATACTACTATAATAGGATAATAAGTAATATAGTATAATAATAGTATAAAGATAATAATAGTATTCATTGACAGCACAAGCATTTTTAGGGATATTGATTCAACTGTAGAAGGTGGCTTGTGATCAGAATCAGTGTCCAACAAAGTATGGTGCCTCATGGGTGGGGCAAAGTTATAAGCTTTTTTTTTATTTTTTTGAGATAGAGTCTTGCTCTGTCAGCCAAGCTGGAGTACAGTGGTGCGATCTCAGCTGACTGCAACATCTGCCTCCCAGGTTCAAGTGATTCTCCTGTCTCAGCCTCCCAAGTAGCTGGGATTACAGGCGTTCACCACCACGCCCAGCTAATTTTTGTATTTTTAGTAGAAATGAGGTTTCACCATGTTGGCCAGGATGGTCTCTATTTCTTGACCTTGTGATCCCCCCGCCTTGGGCTCCCAAAGTGCTGGGTTTACTGGCGTGAGCCACCACGCCCAGAGCAGTTATAAGCATTTCTTGGAAGTAGGCACATTCCTAGGGAAAATATTCATATGGCTCTAGGCAGTACATGCCATTTCTTTTCTCGAGTAAGCAATAATATTCTTCATGGTTTAAACTGGAGATAATAATAGTATTCATCTCATAAGGTGATTGTAAAGATTAAATGCATTTATACATGCAAAACAGATATAACAATGCCTGGCACACAGTATGTACAATATAAGTTTTGGCTAGTTACCATTATTATCATCCAGTTTGCTAGGAGAGGGGTGTGGGGAAAGGCTGGAAGTTTCTAAGCGTCAGATTCTAGTCCCAGGGCAGGGACTGATACATTTATCAGGAACAGAGGCAGAAATCCTAGGGGATCCACTAGACAAAGTGGGCAGGTGATATGATTGGGCTGTGTCCACACCCAGATCTCATCTTGAATAGTAGCTCCCATAATTCCCAAGTGTCATGGGAGGGACCCAGTGGGAGGTAATCAAATCATGGGGATGGGTGTTTCCTGTGCTGCTCTTGTGATAGTGAATAAGTCTCACGAAATCTCATGGTTTTATAAAAGCGAGTTTCCCTGCACATTGTCTTGCCTGCCACCATGGCCATGTAAGATGTGACTTTGCTCCTCATTTGCCTTCTGCCATGATTGTGAGGCCTCTCCAGCCACATGGAACTGTGAGCAAATCAAATCTCTTTCCTTTATAAATTACCCAGTCTCAGATATGTCTTTACCAGCAGCATGAGAACAGACTAATACACCAGGGTTGGGAAGAAAATCTGTAACACAGGGACCCTAGGACTTCCCAGCTATATGGCAAATTTTGTGAGAACAGGCACCATATCTTCATACTTCATCCTTAGCACCTACTGAAGAGTCTGGCATATAGTGGATTCTCAGTAACTGTTTGTTGACTGAATGACAGAATGAAATGAACATGTAGTTTATTAGTCCATTCTCACACTGCTATAAAGAAATACTCAAGACTGGGTGATTTATAAAGAAAAGAGGTTTAATTGACTAACAGTTCAGCATGGCTAGGGAGGCCTCAGGGAACTTACAGTCACGGCAGAAGGTAAAGCAGAAGCAAACACCTTCTTCACAAGGCGATAGGAGAGAGAGTGAGTGCCAGCAGGGGAAATGCCAGACACTTGTAAAACCATCAGATCTAGTGAGAACTCACTCACTATCATGAGAACAGAATGGGGGAAACCGCCACCATGATCCAATCACTTCCCACCAGGTGCATCCCACAACATGTGGGGATTATGGGGATTACAATTCAAGATGAGATTTGTGTGAGGATACAGCCAAATCATGTCACATAGGTTCCAAGTGTTTCCTCCATGCACGATGGATCCTATAGTAACATGGAAAAATACTTCCAAACCTCACTCCTAGTATGTCTACCTCAGTCTCTTAAGATTGCTGATGCTACCTTAAGGTTAAAGGCATCACTACCTCCAGGTGACAGGACTTGTGGAAGGTGGTGAAAGCAAGAGCTCCCTCCTTCCTGACTTTCTTACATATCACTGTCTTTTGGATTTTGGGAATCTCTGTTGTGAAGTTTTAATTATTTTATTTATTTATTTATTCATTTATTTGAGACAGGGTCTCACTCTGTCACCCAGGCTGGAGTGCAGGGGCACAGTCATGGTTCACTGCAACCTCCACCTCCCATGCTCAAGTGATCCTACCACCTCAGCCTCCCAAGTAGCTGAAACTACAGGAACGTGCCATTATGCCTGCCTCAATTTTTAAAATTTTCTGTTTTAGAGACAGGGTCTTGCTATGTTGCCTCAGCTGTTCTCAAACTCCTGGGCTCAAGCATTCTCCTGCCTCAGCCTCCCAAATTGCTGGGATTACAGTCATAAGCCACCACACCTGGCTGAATCTTACTTTAGGAATAAATTTTTAATTTCTTTTCTCAGAAATAAAGTAACTCAAACTTTTTTGGATTAGATGCCATACTGAATTGCTCAGAATAATCTTAGTTTGTTTGTTATTGATTTGGCATGGATTCTGGTACATCCCAAAAATCTCTTTACGTACATGGATATATCCCTCTTATTATAAGTCATCTTTTATAGTGAAGAGGGTGCATTCATTTGGACTCCCAAAACTTGACATATTTTATTCTTTTCCCTGCTTGGGCTTCTTCAGCATTCAAGTTCTTGGTCCGACTCTCTCACATCCTTTAAATAGTTCCAGGTTTTGGCTTAAAAGAGAGCTTTGTTTTTGTTCCTTGCAACTGCATAAGATTTGACTAAGGTACACTCTGCAGTGCTAACATTGAGAACACATTTCTTGTTCTTTTTGATGATACCCTGACTTCTTCCTGGCAAGCCTTTGTTAACCTTGATCCTTCTGCAGAAGGATGTAGTACACTTTCCACTCATCTCCTTTCCCATACCGTATCTCTTGCAAGTCGTTTTCTCTTTTTGATCTGGCTTGTTCTCTTTAAGGACATCTTCAATGTGTATATTAACAATCATTTTCCAATGTTTTGGCTTCACCTCTTATGCTGAGGTAATATCAGGATGCTCTGACACTGGTGGCTGTGGCTGCCACCTAAGAAGCCTCCTTGCCAGCTCGTAATTTGTTTCTTCCCTCTACCTCTTCAAGCCTCCCGGCAGACTTCCTTTTTTTGTTTTAATGTGACTCTGCTTCGGGACACTTGCTTCTAGCCATAACTGAGTGGCTATATTGGTCTAATCTTCCCACTGAAAATAATTATAAAGGCCTGAGAAGATAAATAAAGCAAGTATTTGAAGGCATCTGGGAGTAACCAACACAGAAAAGGACGTGGGGCTATGATTCCTGAGAGGAGGGAAGCAACTGAGGTAAGTGCTGCATACACTCCAAGGTTTATTTTTTCCTGAAAGCATTTTCCAGTTTCAGTGGAAAACAGCAGTTCCATTGGGCTGAGCAACAGAGGTCCAAATTTAGAATTTCTAAAGCAAATAGGACTGAAGGGGCAAAATCTTTCAGGGAAGAAAGCCATAGAGAATTGAGCTAAAAAAAAAAAAAAATCATGCTCACAGTTTCCCCCTTACACCGTGGAGGGAGAAATCCCAAGGAATTCAGCAAAAACAGCAACTGAAAACCTAAATTGCTTAGTAGATATTTTGGTAGCCCTGTAATGCTAGAGAGACAGAGATTGAAGTCCAATTCCTGCCATGGCAGGTTGGCTCTGGCAAACATACCAGGCTTTCAGTAGAGATCCCAAAGAGGCCATGCCATAGAAATAAGGACAAAATTGAAATAGACTAGACCCCAATAAAGCCTAAAACAACCCTTGACAGGATCAAGGTGAATTGCTGATACTTGATATACCTGCCAAAGAAAACTCAACCCTCTTTGGAGGAATAGGGCATCATTCTGTGCCCCTATAATCTTCCATATAAGATGAAGGCATTTAATAAAAAACTCTCTGTCGTGTTAATAAAAAAAAAAAGACCAACTGACTGTATATAAAAAGAAAAGACAAATAATAAAAACAATCCTGTGGGTGATTCAGATATTAGAGTTACCACATAGAAACTAAAATAACTATAATTAATATGTCCAAGAAAATAGAGGAGAAGATGGAGAATTAAAATCTATTTTAAAAAGACAGAAGAAACCTGGAACCTATTTTAAAAAGTCAAATGGGAATTCTAAAGTTCAAATATATAATAACTGAAATGAAGAACCCAATAATAAATCTAATTAGGCAATTAGATATAGAAGAACCAAGGATTAAAAAATGGAAAGTTGGGTCATTACTTAGAAAACAAGGATGGAAAATGCAGTAAAAAGCATAAGATACATATGTGATATGGTAAAAAGGTTAATATACATTATTGGATTTCCAGAAGTAATATTCAAAGAAATACAAAGAAAACCACACCTAATTACATCAGGGTCAAACTGCTAAAAACCCAGAGACAGAAAGTCTTAAAAGCAGCCAGAGAAGAGAAAAAATGTATTATTTTCAAAGTAGTAACAATAAACTTAAAGTTGACTTTTCTATAGAAATGGTAAAAATTAGGAGATAATGAAATATCTATACCAAGAAAAAATATCTTTAATAAATAAAACTGAAATAAAGATTTTTAGACAAATAAAAACAGAGAATTAGTTGCCAGCAGACTAATACTAGAAGAAATATTTAAACAAAATTTTCAAGTTGGAGAAATGTAATTACATATAGGAAAAATGAATGTGCACAAAGGAATAAAGAACACTGAAGAAAGTAAATGTGTAGATAAATATAAATGAATATTGGTTGCTTAACACAATAGTAATGTCTTGTGGAGTTCCAGATAGATAGATGATAGATAGATAGATAGATAGATAGATAGATAGATAGATAGATAGATAGACAGACAGACAGATAGATTAGATATTGAGATGTAATGTATGACAAAAATAATGAGAAAAGTGGAAAGATAAACTGTGGTAATGTTCTTGTATTTTTCGAAGGGACTAGTGAAAGTACTAACTGCAGGTAGACTCATAAGTCAGTAAGTCACATTGTAATTTCTAAGATAATGCCTAGAATAATAACATAAATGTCCAACTAATAAACCAATAAAGTTTCTGTTTGGTTGGAAGCACACCCAGTCCACTGCTGAGATTTACTTAAGGTAGAGGCAGTGTCAAGTCTCAATAATGCTCAGTGAGGAAGACATGCTATGATGTGGAGAGTCTATATCATTGGTTCATTCTAAAATCATTAACATTTGGATTCAGAAGTCATATATTTTCTCACACAGAGTTCTGCTCTTTGGGGAACAATTGTAATTTTCAATAACATACAGAACAAATAGCATGGGCCCAAAATGGAAAGAGAGATCAATGGGAAGCTTATTGCAAAAATCCACAGTAAAGATGCTGAGGCTCTTAATTTGAGGAAATTGGGTGCTCTCTGGTGGGGACAGTCTAGTAGCAATTCGGATGTGAGTCTGAAATTCAGGTGAGACCTGCCTTCCCTGATGCTTACCCTGATGCATGGGAAATACTTGGTGCTTTTCCCCTTTAAACTCTGAAGCTCCTCCCTCCTTGTTCTGCCATCAGGGATAGCTCCAGACAGCCTCTAAATGCAGACATTCCAGGTGAAAATCAGACACCTGCCTCCAGGGGATCTATAATATGCTCTCTGAAGCTTCTTTTGAAAGCTGCGTTTCCCGTCTTCCCCTACCCCCCAAATGTACACATGAACACACACTTGGTTTAACGTTGTGAGAAACAATTGCACTGCCATTACCCTTTACAAATAAGTTTACTTTCATCATTCTGCCAGTGAATCTTGGCTTTTCCTAGCCTGGAGGTCGCTGGGGGGCTAAAGGTTGCATAATTGACAAGCTCTGCACAGATGGCTTAGGACCTGTATCTAGATTGAGGAGCAAGTTGAGGCCTTCTCAGCCTCAACTGAAAAAAAAGAGGGAGAGAAATCTCATGCAATATTCTACTCCAGGGCTAGGCGCCGTGGTTCATGCCAGTAATCCCAGCACTTTGGGAGGACGAGGCAGGCGGATCACTTGAGGTCAGGAGTTCGAGAGCAGCCAGGCCAACATGGCGAAACCCCATCTCTACTAAAAATACAAAAAAAAATTAGCCTGGCGTGGTGGTGCGCTCCCGTAATCCCAGCTACTCGGAAGACTGAGGAAGGAGGGTCACTTGAACCTAGGAGTCGAATGTTGCAGTGAGCCAAGATTGCACTGCTGGGCAACAGATCGAGACTCTGTCTGAAAAAAAAAATACACACACACACACACACACATTTTGCTCCAGTGAGGTATTATTACTTAGTTCTCTCTCATTCAGACATGTCTGTGCAGTGTGCCAATAATACAAGCATGCCCCTGGATTTTCCTAATTTGATCATCTGCACTAAGGTGAGAGTGAAAATTAGAAGGCTGCATTATCGTTCTCCATTTGCAAAGTAATTTGAACTTTCTAACGCATTGTTCGTATTTACTAGCCTTTCTGATCTTCGTCATAACCCTATGCGGTAGAAAGAGAAATTATGATTGTTTTCTTTATTTCAGATTTGGTTAGCACATTTCAGAATACTTAAGAAACATGTGCCAGGTCACACAGAGATGGGACTCCCAAGCTAGCCTGCTACCTGTTGGGAGTCCCAGTTAAAGACAAAGTGGGAGAAGTGGCTTAAACAATCAGTCTGGCTGAATATAATGTGGCTTCATCACAAAGGTCCCATGATTTCTGTTTCCTCACTGGTCCTCCAAACCCATATTTATTGGGATTCAGCTGTATTGCCTCTTTTCATGTTTGCATTCAGGACCCCTATGCGTTTGTAGTTTCATATTCTAGTGATCACTTTCTCCTGTCCATCCACTGCCATGTCCCTTTGATAGTGGCTCTTCAATTTTAAAGTTCTGCTGTTTTAAGAAAATATAGTTTTATTGGGTATTTTTCTTCTTTAAAAACAATTGGTGTTCATTATGGCAATTCAACTCATATTGCCACTCCCCGAGATATAACCATTGTTAATATTTTAATGTATGTAGCTTCAGTCTTTTTTCTGCCTATATTACATTATATTTTACATGTATATATTTCTTACAAAATTTAGATCATTTTTGTAACCAAATTTTTGTTAAAAATATATGAACACTTTTCTGTCATTAAATATTCTTATTCAATATTATTTTAGTGTTTATAATGATAAAGAAAATACATCATCTTATCTATTGTTGGATGCTTTTCCCCTAATTTTTGCTAATAAATGATCAAGTAGTGAACGTCTTTCTATACAGATCCTTAAATTCTTAACTAGATGAATAATTATTTCATCAGGATACATTTATACAAATAACTTTCTGAAGACGGAGGCAATTAAAAAAAAAACATTTTCATGCAAGTGGCAAATAAGTCTCCAGAAAGGTAGTACCAATTAATAATCTTATCTGATTTATTTGTTAAGTTCTTGCTCTGATTTTTTTCTCATTGCAAAGCTCTACAGTGACTCTTATTATTTTTTCCATAAGACAATCAGATGAGAAAAGTGAAGCAACATTAAAAGAGCAAATAGGAAAACTTATTTTTCGGTCGCCTGCTTTTGCTTGTCTCTGTGAGACACTCTCCTGGCTTGATACCATAAGCCACCTTTCAAGCTTCTAAGGTCAGTTCTTGATGATTCATTCAGGTATTTTTTTTTAATGTGAAGGCTCATATGAATATGAAGAACGATAAACTCCAAAGATATATTTTTTCTTCATGTGGTTTTTCCACAGAACTCCCACAGGTCAAGAGCTGCAGTTCTCTGCAGTTACCACTGAGTGTCAGGCAGGGAATAGTCTATCGCACATGTTTTGATTTTTTTTCCAGATTTGTAGCCTCTTTTACATGGGAATGTTCAATAAGATAGCACATTAAATTAGCACATGATGAACTTTCTGTTACATTCCTCTTTAGTTCTTGAGCAGAAAACAGCAATCTAGTGCTTTTCTCTCAAAATTAAAAAAAATCTTCCTATTTACAAAAATGTCTTAAGTCTTATTTCTTCTTGTTAGGTTACTTGATATTTTAACTACTTTTCAATGATGTCTTCATTGTAGTATTTATATTTACAAGAAAGATACAACAAAAGATCTCTGGTTGAATGCAAATCAAAGCCCAAACACTACAAATTAGTAAAGTAAATTTTGTGAAAATAAAATGCTAATTCAACTCCAACTATAGATTGAAAGGACTAAACAAAAACGGCCCCTCCGACACACTCAAGGATTTCCTATTAGATCATGACAAAAATATAGCCTTGTCAAGCAGCCCATAAAACACACGATTTAACTTAAACAATTATGGCTCAACATAGCATTGTAGTCAACAATTTCATAAATAACACTTTCTGGGACACGTGAGAACCCCAGAGTTATTTCCTGCTGCTTAGAAACATTTTCTACCTAGATCAACTTCTAATTTCAGTTTGGAGAGGTTCACGATTATGGAAATTTTGGAAAATTTATTCTTTTAGAGACATTCAGAGAAAGTAAAACATTTTGACCAAAGAGCCAACCAGCCTGTAGAATTAAATGCATTCTAAGATTACTATTTGACTGCAACATACACAGATCTATTGTAAGGTTTAGTTTTGTTATTGGTTGAATTGTGTTTACCCAAAGCAGATACATTGAAGTCCTAACCCTCAGTATTTCAGTATGTGACCTTATTTGGAAATAGAATTATTGTTGGTATAATGAATTAAGATGAAGTCATACTTCAGTAGGGTGACCCCCTAATCTGGCATGTCTGTGTCCTTATAAGAAGATGGCTGGGTGAAAACAGACACACACAAGGAGAATACCATGTGAGGATGAAGGCAGAGATAGAACTTATGCAGCTGCAAGCTAAGAAACATCACAGATTGCCAGCAAACCACCAGAAGCTAGGAAGAGGCAAGGAGGGGTTTCCCCTACAGGTTCCAGAGGAAGCATGGCTCTGACGACACTTTGATTCCAGAATTCCAGCCCCTAGACCTGTAAGGCAATAAATCTGTATTGTTCTAAGCCACTTAATTTATGGTACTTTGTTATGGCAGCTCTAGGAAATCAATAAAAGTTTCTTCAGCACCATACAAATTCATTAAATCTGCTTAAAAATATACCCATTTGTGAGTTAGGAAACTAGTTCAAGAGCTTGCTGGGATTAATGACTTGCCATGTATAATTAATACAAATAAACATATATTCTGTATTTCACAAATAGCACTAAATGACATTCTTAATTTGTTTTGTAATGACATAACTTTGTTCTTCCACAGATTGCCATTGTATGGTGGTGGGAACCAACAGCCCTGGAGAATGCCCCAGATGGTGGGGCATCTATTTGGTGCATGTTTAGGTTTGCCTGTCTACATGCTAGCAAATCTCTGAAGACAGCCAAAGCCTTCGGAAGGTCTTGTGAGGCTCTGAGGACTGATATATGTGAGAAGAGCCTAGACTAAATGCAGTTCCAGGATCATGTCACATGCATGATCCAGTGTCTCCAGTGGAGACTTGGACTTAGAAGATGCCCCCTAAATACCTGTTGAATACAATTTAAAAAGATGTTAATTATAAAATATTTCATGGAGGTAGAACATTTTTATTAATTTATTCACTAAATATTTATTGAGTATTATAATTTTTTTGGCAAAAAAAAGCATGATACCATTTTAGAACAAAACAATTGGAGAGAGGGGAGGGATTGTACTCAAATAGCTAAACTTCATAACTCGACACCTGTGTCAGGAAAGGTCACCTTTGCTCAATAAATACTTGATAATTTGCTGTCTAGAATTAGTCATGATGTATAATTTAACAGTGGGATTTCACCATTATTTTAGATGAATAGAAATTACAGATATTATTATATCATTTCATAATGTCATTGTAGTCTATGCATTTTCAAAGTGTCAGTGTTCAAAAAGAATTTCAATCAAACTCCATTTCCTGAACTTTACATTGTAAAATCTTAGCCAGAAAAAATGAGTATATCTTCAACTCTATGTAGTAAAGGTAAAATTAAACTACTAATTTTTCCCCTAGTGGGAAGGCTGTAGGTGTGAAAGATGTGGACTTTTTTTTCAAACAAAGGACCCAGATAAACCCAAATTATTATCTTCATCACAAAAGCAACCATTTATGGAGGACTCACAATGTGCTACAAATGCACAAATGTGCATGATACCATTTTATTTTCACCACAGCCTTCCAAGGCAGTCATAATGTGAACAGCAAACCCTCAGAGCCTAGTAACTCACCAAGGTCTGACAGCTGATGCATGCTATAGCCGGGATTTAAGCAGGCATTTTAACTCTAGAGCCATCAGCATTTATTGTGCACCTACTGTGTGCTGAAAGTACCACCATGAACAAGACAGGACGTGTGGGAGGTTGAAGCTTATATTCTAGCTAGTCTTACCATTGCAGTATAGATTATTTCCTTCTCTTGAGATTTTTTTCTTTCTTTCACTTAGTAAGCTGTCTCTTGTTACCAATGCATCATCAGCAACTTTATAAATTTGGTGGTTTTTGCAGTTAAAATATCAGGTGTTTTGGGAGCATAATTGTTTGTGGGCCTCTGACTGAGGAGTTGATGGCACTAAACCTTGGATCTAATTTGTTCAGACTACATACAGTTCATTCACAAAGCAAGAAGCACCATCTGACTAATGTTTTGCACATATCATTTCACTTCCAAATGTCAAGTACTATTTTTTTAAAACTGTAAAGTAGTTAACAACACACTAAAAATCCTTCAAATGTGTTACAGTTGAGGTATTCACATGCACATAAGTTGTGGCAGCATCTTACTCACTTTTCACATGTTTGACAAACATGGTTTTACTAGCAAGTTACAGCTCACTAAAACTGACCTTAATTTTGAAAGGCTCACATGCACATTCCTTCATAATGGGTCTTTGTCCAATGTACACAGAGTTATATAATTGCTTTTTTCACAATTGGCAGGCAAGAATTCTGCTCTCTTTTAGGCCATTTTTAACCCTGAACTTGCCTTCCTATTTTCAATGCCAGTTCCTTTTTTCCATTACGAGTTCAAATCAAACTGAGCAGGTGGATCTTCAACTCTTAAAAAGCATTTCAAACCATGGCCGGGGGTGGTGGCTCATGCCTGTAGTCCCAGCACTTTGGGAGGCTGAGGTGGGTGGATTGATTGAGCCCAGGAGTTCCAGACCAGCCTGGGCAACATGGCAAAACCCCGTCTCTACAACAAATACCAAAATTAGCTCAGCGTGGTGGCACATGCTTGTAGTCCCAGCTACTTGGGAGGCTTAGGTGAGAGGATTGCTTGAGCCCAGGCGGCAGAGGTTGCAATGAGGTAAGATCATGCCACTGTACTCCAGCCTGGGTGACAGAGCAAGACCCTGTATAAAAAAAAAATTAAAAAAGAAAGCATTTAAAGCCAAATGATGATCACTTTGTTCATGGGAACAGTGTCACTCTCAAAAAAAGGTTTTTGTTCCAGCCAAGACATATCTATATTTTTATTGGAATACCAAATATTGAATTATTGTTGTCCTTGAAACTGGCTCTGGTACACAGTTTGTCTGCCAGACCCTTTCTGGGGCATTTACTTGACTTTGTCCAGTGTCATTTCTTTCCCTTGGTCTACTGTTTTTCCCCTCTCTAGGGTAGCTCTTTCCAGTTGGGGATCTCTGCATTAGTAATGTAATGATTTTTTATAGCCAGTAGGAAGAGACCCAGGTAATTACATTTAAATCTGTAGAAATATGCCAGAAAACTGGGTGAGTTTTCTGGAAAATCCCAGGTGTGAATGATACAATAATCCCTTTCCAGGATCTGTCCTATTCCCATTGGCATTCAAGCCTCCATCATACTTTATGTACCTGCATTTGGACCTAGCAACACCTGATTCTTGAAATTTTCTCCCGTTACAGTACAACTAGAGAAGGGAGTAATTTTTTCACTGAAAATCATAAAAAGGGGGAGGGGTTAGTGAAATCCTTTTGCTCTTAGCATCACTAAATTTAGGACTAAGAACAGCCAATTTTCTAATGATTTAGCACATTTATTTTTTCAAGTCAAAGAGCACATCTGATCTATCTTTAATATAAAGTTTTTAATGTAGGGCCGAGCACGCTCTGGCACTCGCTACCTGTGCCTGCCTGACTGACCACCCTACAGCTGTTTGACTGAAGTTGCCAAGAAGGTTTGGCATATTTGTCCTCAATTAACAGATTGGATAGTTGCTAATTATCTGGATGAGGGATTTGGCTCCCTGAGCTTGCCTTTTCCAGCAAACAGGAAGAAAAGATTCCACCATAGTGTTCTGAATTATTGGAATTTGTCCCCTAAGGCCTACCACGATGTCACACTGACATTTTCTCACAAGTAACTGTCAAGCTAAATTTGGAGTTTACAGAATTAATCTGGTGGATAAAAAAAAAAGGCTTAGTATTGAAGAACCATATATCTGAATGGTTTAATTGTGAAGCAGACTTTAGGAATGCATGCTTTGGTAAATGTTATTTTTAAGGTATTTATAATCTTTCTGGTGAACTACTGACAATCCATTGGTAGACTTTCGACCAGGTGGATTGCCCATGACAGATTATTTGTCTAAACTGGCTTCATTTGCAACCCACTGTACTTCCGGTGCCTCATTATGTGAGGGTCCGCCCTTGTCAGTAATACAAACTAATTTCACATTAATGCAACAAAATTGAAGCACAAAAGGGAAATTTTTAGCCAAAATATAAACTACAATGACCATAAATAAACATTATACAAAAGTTAACTTAAAATCCCATTTATTTAAAATTATTGTTGCTCATTATTTTTTAAAACATTCAATTTATGTTGTTAATAAGTAAAGTATAGTGATGAACACTGTCCTTTGTGACCAAGAATCTGGTTGAATTCCAGAGACTTCAATCTAAACATCAGTTTTCAACATAGCTTACCAAAGTTCTGTTAGAAGATAAATGATTAGACCAAATATGAAAGTTTTTATTACGTAAAACAGGCAAAAAGAAGATAACAAGAATACTGACAAAAACAAAACAAAACAACAAAAATCAGCTAGAATATTAATTATTTAGCTTGAGCATGTTCTACGTCCTCACCATGTGACCAAGGACAATTACACCTTTTATGTCTCAATATCCTTCTCTGTAAAATGGGGATGATGATAATTGTATCAATCTTATAGATTTGCCATGAGGATTAAATAAAGTGCTTAGCGTAGTGTATGCTAACATCAATAAATGTTAGCTGTTATTAATTAGAGATATTTCAATAATTTAATGTACTTATTTACTGAAGTTCTAAACATACATGTGTAGCAAGTTGCCCAATGTAAAGTAACTTTAATTTAAAAAACCTTTTTTAGAAGAGCTACCGTTTGGAAGGTTGCGGTCAATTTCTGTTTCTAGAGGTGAAAGTACTATATCTACTAATAATATTGACTAACATTATTATTATTTGTTAAACTGTCAAAGATGAATCTCTTAAACAAATAAGGCTTTTTGGAGACACCGAGAAGCTGTGCCCTGGTTAATACGTGTTCTTCTTATGGGGTAAATAGTGCACATCATTGTCTGTGGCTTTCAAGGAGGAAGAAAAATGATTGCCCTAAAATTTTTTAAGATTTAGATTGAAATTCTGGTGCCCCACATAAGCTAAAAATCCTAGGTCTGGAAAATGTATTTGGGACAATTATTTTTGCCTTCTTTAAGCTCTGCAGGCTGCCTGCAGCTGGTGGGTGGGGAGGAGTGATGGCTAAGGAGAGGACTGTATCAAGTTTTGGAGCAAATAACTCGGGGAGGTCTGGCCCTGAGGTAGGTGCTAAAGTCTCTCTTGACCTAACACCAGGAGAAATCAGTGCCCAGAACAGTTGTCGTGGCTTTGCATTGACATTTGTTCCAGATTTCTCTGAGTGTTCAGCTTTAAGGTAACAACTGGCAGCAGCAGCAGTGGAGAATGAGATCCTTTGGTGGCCAACTGAACAGGTGACAGCAGAAGTCCAGAGAGATTCAGTGGCTTGCTAAGTTCATCCAGGTAGCCTGTGATAAAGGTAGGATCAAAGCCCTGGTTTCGTGACTTCCCATTAAACGCTCTTTCAATTTCCTTCCAAATAATTTTAGAAATTTAGAAATGTAGAGAGAGCTCTAATGTTGCTTATAACTCCTGAGAATGATTTAGTTAGATGCTGATGTTGCAAACCTTTTCTGTTACTATGTCTCATTCTTCAATGCTGATGTACATGCCTTTGGGTAAAAGCTACCTGGTAGAGAGTAGCTTCAGATAAATAAATCAAGAACCATGCTTGACAACGTGTGGAATATGAAATATGCTTTTGTCCACTCCTACTCTCTAGTGATACCACTTCTATTTCTGCGTATTGACAAAGCAAAGGACACCAGAGAAATTTCCTACACAATAAGCCAGTCACCCGATATACAGAAGGACAGTTTGGAGCCTGTCTCTCTATAATTAGGGGAGGCAAAGGTGTTTCCAACCTTTTCTTTTCTTTTTAGTTATAAAAATGAATATCTTGAGCTTTCCCCTCCAGCAAAGACTGTCTGTTAATACCCGAAGTACTTTCAGATTTATTGTGACAAGTGATACAGTACCATGTTCAAGGAAGAATTTTGGGATGCGTGCCTTGAAAACTTTTTTTTTTGTTGCCCATCTGTTTTGCTTGTCGCAATTCCTGTTTGTTTAAGATGTACGTGTGCCAGAAATGTGGAAAGAATGTGTGTAGCGACAAGTGCTATCGAGCCATTTTCACACTGGACTTATGGGAAGCATGTGCTGCCCATCTGTGAAGTTCTCATTTTATGCAAATTTAGAAAATATATTCTTATGTCATGTTGCCTTAATGCCCAGGGGTAGATTGGAACATACACAAGGAAGAGAGAGACAGGGAGGAAATAACTTCACACCCAGTGATGGGATGGACTTGTTATGACAAAAGGAAGGTCTAAGATGCATGTTATTTGTCAAAAGGTGGAAGAGAATTTTTCTCTCCAAAAGTGTTGCCTACAGTAAAACAGAATGTCTTTCAGATCAATTTTTAATCTATGAATGAGATTGTAAGAGTTCCTATCTCTAGAAGCTTTGAATGGTAGAGAGAGAGTACATCCTTAGCTGTGGGTTGTTCTTATCTTCTGGAACATTCAGTCAATGGCCTCAAATATGCTCTGAGTTCCAAAGGAGAACATTTTTAAGGACATCAGTATGTTGCCAAGCCAGGAATTATTTCTGAGGGGTTATGCTCTGTGGATCTTTAAGACGATACCTAGGGTCCTATTTATCTCCATGTTCTACCTTCTCAACATGCATGTCAGACCAAAACTCACCAGAAGTAAATGGGGAAAGGAAATGCTCTTGGAAGAAAGCCTTGAGGAGGTGATCAGGTTAGAGAAGCTGCCTGCAATTCTGACTGCTTGGTGGGTTGTCCTGAGACTGAATCAGGTGAAGGGTCTGGTATGTTAAGAGGACTTGTTTCGATGGCTCACGCCTGTAATCCCAGCACTTTGGGAGGCCGAGGCGGGCGGATCACGAGGTCAGGAGATCGAGACCATCCCGGCTAAAACGGTGAAAACCCGTCTCTACTAAAAATACAAAAAAAAAAAAAAAAAAATTAGCCGGGCGTAGTGGCGGGCGCCTGTAGTCCCAGCTACTTGGGAGGCTGAGGCAGGAGAATGGCGTGAACCCAGGAGGCGGAGCTTGCAGTGAGCCGAGATCCCGCCACTGCACTCCAGCCTGGGCGACAGAGCGAGACTCCGTCTCAAAAAAAAAAAAAAAAAAAGAGGACTTGTTTCATCAGTGTCCCCACATTCTGGATGTTGGGTGGAAACAGCTCTCCCCATGCCATGTTAGCATGATTATAAGTACTTGAAATTTATCTAAATCTAGTCTCTGTTTTCAAGAAAATAACACAATATAAAGCTGAATATGAATGAAATTTTTATATGGCTGTAAGAATCAGGACCCTAAGAAACAGATGATGAATGGGGTCTCAGAGAAGGAGCTCAAATGATGGGGTAGGGTTGGTAGCGTTCTGGCTGCTTGGAGCTGGTGCCCTAAACTCAGAATTCTAAGCATAGACCAGGGCAGGCATCATGGGTGTGCGACCTGTGCAGTCACACAGCGCCCAAGCTTAGAATGGTCCTGAATTTGACTTAATGTTCTGCTGTCATCTTAAAGTTCTCAATATATTTTAAACAGGGCGCCCAGCATTTTTGTTTCACACTGGGCCCCGAAAATTATGTAGCTGGTCTTATTGATGACAAATACAAGAAAACACTTACAAACTCAAGTAGAGCTTGAGGAGAGTTAAGGCTGAAAGGTCAAACCTGAAGAACAGGGAGGAGGATCAGGTGTAAACAAGGGTCTGCTTCCCCCTGGCTCCCTCAGCAATACTCTGCCTCCTCTAATACATAGTGGAGGCCTGGAGGTTGCAGCCATGACTTTCCTATGCGGGCTTCCTGGGGCCCGTCCTCACAATTACAAACTCCTTCTAGTTGCTCCCTGCTGGACCACTGACCACTGCCTATTTAGCTGCTGGTGATTGCCTGGAGCTCCTCAACACAATACCCTCTGTTAAATGTTGCCTTCTGACATGAGCTGTAGCTGAGAACTCCACTTGTAGAAGACCCCATTTTTCCCTGCCTCCAAGGGATACCCCTTGTCACACTCCTGCTCCTAACTTGTTTCTCCCACTGTTAGGTTCCCAATCTCTACTTCTTTAGATTTGTCTTCAGAATCTCCTCCCAGTCATGGAAAACTCTATCCCCTCTTGTAAGTATTGTTCTCATTCAGGATTTATGCCTCATTCCTATTAGTACATTATTTAAGTCTGAGATGTTTAGTCTAAAGAAACTATCTGTGGGATTTCTGCCGGATCATCAATGATTTTGCCTCAAATGAAAGTAAAGTTGAAAGTCCAGGATGATCTGGGGCCCTCCAAAATCAGTCTGCTTAAGACCTGCTCATTGATTTTAATTTCTGGCCACTGTATTCTTCCAATAGCCCAGTGAGTAGTTGTTTAACCAAATGTATGCACCTATACACCAAGGACAAACACTAGTTCTCAAGACAGTATATTCTAAATTCTTTTGTTGTTGTTGTTGTTTGTTTTTTGTTTTTTTCTTTTTTGAGACAGAGTTTTGCTCTTGTTGCCCAGGCTGGAGTGCAATGGCAGAATCTTGGCTCACCGCAACCTCCACCTCCCAGTTTCAAGTGATTCTCCTGCCTCAGCCTCCCAAGTAGCTGAGATTACAGGCATGCGCCAATACACCCAGCTAATTTTGTATATTTTTTAGTAGAGGCGGGGTTTCTCCTTGTTGGTTAGTCTGGTCTCGAATTCCTGACCTCAGGTGATCTGCCCTCCTCAGCCTCCCAAAGTGCTGGGATTACAGGCGTGAGCCCCTGTGCCTGGCCTCTAAACTCCTAAGAGTTAAATATTCTGACCACTGTTCCATAATTTGCAAGGTGCTTCTCTTAAAATGGAGTTTTTTTTTTTTTTTTGCATTATTGTGTAGTACAAGGTTGCTTTCTTTCACCCATTCAAACGTTTCCTCTTTTAACCATTCAAACCATTCTCTTTCAGGCCTACCAGGAATAAAAAAGACTTAGTCTGTCTGTTACTCAGTCCGCCCACAAACAAATATTTATTTGTTTCTATAGATATTGGAGTTAAAAGTATGAACAAGTCAGACAGAGTCTTGCCCTCTAGAAACTTAAACTTCTGTGCTGGGAAGAGGTAATAAACATATTTACAGATAAATATGAAATAAAATGTGAGGTACATTTAAATATTTCAGAGATTATAAAATATGATAATGCTGTAGCAAGTGATTGGGTTGTGGCTTTAGTTCAGGCAATCTACAATGGCCACCCAGAGAAAGTGGCGTTCAAATTGAGACCTGAAGGCAAAAAGGACGCACCATGTGACAGTAAGGAGCCAAAACATTCTAAGTAGAAGGAATTGCAAGTGCAAAGGCCCTGAACTAGGAATAGGCTTGGCAAGGATGAAAGACAAAAAGGCATGTGTAAAGGCATCCCGGTCCATGAAATGAGGAGTTGAGGGGAAGCTGAAGAGGTCAGCAAGGCATATAGGAGTCACATTATACAGTGGGGAAAAGTTTGGTAGTTATTCCACATGCAATGGGAAATCTTCAGAGGTTTGATGTAAGTAGTTGGCATGATTTTTAAAATGTAACTGCTCTGGCAACACTGTGGAGGATAGATGATGGGGTCGGGAGGGCTAAACAGGAGGTTCAATGACCAGCCAGGAAACTGGAGAGAGATGGTGGGAACTGGAATCATGGTTGTAGCTGTGGAAATGATAAAAGGTGATCAGATTTGGGAATCCAGTGTGTTTTGGAACTAGATCCAACAGAACTTGTTGGTGGGGTCAAGGTGATATGGGAGGGAATGAGAAGAATCAAGGATCATTTCTAGTGCTGTACCTGAGTAACTACTGGTGCTCTTGAACCAGCTGTTGGGGTGACAGATTGTAAGGGTGGGATGGGATGAGGTACGGAAAATTCAAGAGTTTTCTGTTTAGGTTATAAAGCTTGAGGTGCCTATTCCTAAGTTCTTAAAGGTATAAAACAGGCAGTTGGATATAAGTACCTGGAACTCAGAACACATAGAATTTGATGAATACAAGGGTCCCAAAACTGAACTTCTTAATATCCATTTCTTTGCTACACAATCACCCAAATACGGCTTAATGATTACCCCTCATAAGAACTCAATTACATTCTTAGCCAAGGTCCTCTATTACTTGTTTAGGGAGGGAGAAGGAAAGGGTCGCTTTACTCTATCACCTTCACTTATTTCTCTTTTCCATGATAAAGAAGCCTCTAAGTGACAGCAGAAAGCTGAGGGATGGCTTGAGATGGAAGTGAATATGAGGACATAGCCACGCATGGCTGCCTGCCTTTAATTATCATGTCCTGACTCTTCTACCAGCCCACTGGGTTTGGCTGATGATGGAATCGCTGCCTGAGAGTGGGTCAACCAGCTCAGTGCCTGGCACAACTCAAGAACTCAGGAAACAGCTGCTAAATCAATGGTATGCCTTCAAAAACTCCCTCTATACAACTTTTGTTTGTTCTATACAACTATTTATGACCTCAAAATGTCCATTTAAGCCAATGTCCTTGGAATAATCCTTGATTTTTTCACTTTTCAACATTTAGTCCATCAACAAATCTCAGCATTTCTCAAATATGTTCATTGCTCTTTATTTTATTTCTCCTATCCTTTCTCTACACTATCATTATCTTTTGCCTGAACTTTAGAAAAATTCTCCTCTCTGACCTCCTTGCGTTAACTTGTGCCCACCATCTAATCCATTTTCCACACAACAGTCAGAGTGATCATAATAATCTGTGCCTTAGTTTCCTCATCTGTAAATGGGAATACTAATAGTGTCCACCTTGACACTTTCTTGAAAGGATTACCCAGGATGACAAAAGAAAAGCACTTAGAACAGTGCCTGAAATTAACACTTTTGGTTGTCCAGGTTAGCATAATTAAACCCTTAAACAGCCTTTCCTGTTCATCTTGCTATATCTAATTCCCCATTACAAAAAGACAGAAAAACTTTTCTAGAATTGAAATCTGATGCTGTCATTTCATTGTTTTTAAAAAATTATTTATTGAAAAATTTTCTGTAGAGACAGGGTCTCCCTATGTTGCTTAGTCTGGTCTCAAACTCCTGGGCTCAAAGGGATCCTCCCACCTCAGTCTCCCAAGTAGGTGGGATTGCACGTGTGGGCCAGCACACTTGGCTTGATCCTGTCACTTCAAAAAACTTCCTATTATCTTCAGGATAACTCAAACTTCTTAGCCTGACCTACATGGACCCTCATGATCTGCCCCTTGCCTACCTCTTTCACCTCACTTTTTGCCTGAGTTCCTCCCACCTGTCCCCATTCCATGAACACACACACACAGCTGCACCTCTCAAAACTCTAGCCATACCACACTTCAATGCCAGTTCCAAAAAGGCACAGTGTCTTCTCTCAGTCTAGGTCTTTGCAAATGTTTTTTCATTTGCCTTAAATGCCTTTCCTCCCTCTTTCTTCACTCCCCACCTTCCACACATACATCACTGTCCCCCTTCACATGGATAACTTCAACTCAGCATTTAGGACTCCACTTAGTAAGTTCCTGGCCATACCCAGCTTTCCCTGAACCCAGCAAGGCCAAGTTAGGTTTGCCTCTGGTGTGTTTCCATAACATCCTTTGTATGCAACTATGACAGAACTTATAACAGGATGTTAAAATCGAAATCTTAGCTGAGACCAAAGAAAACAGAAGTAGTATCTTAGAGGAGATCTAGAACAGAAACAAAATTTACAAAGAAGTTGTTAAAAAATGGTTACCTAACTTTTCAACTCTCTCACCTATATCAATGATATGAGAGTTAAGAATGAGAGATGAGAGAAGAATTGGGGTTTGTAGAGGGTTATACTGTAAATGCAACCTTTTCCACCTAAAGGAGAAAGGGAGGAGGATGGGAGGAAGAAGGAGAAAAGGAGGATGGAAGGAAGAATTTCCAAGAGAGTAGCCTGCAATGAAGAAGGCATGTGTGTAGATTGTAGAATTTGGATTCCAGCTCTCATCTTATTACTTGCTGTGTAACTTTGAAAAGGTCACTAGGGTTTAAAAGAAAAAAGTTGACTGAGATCATTTTAATGGTCTTTTCAAGCTCTAACATGCACAATTCTATAGTTTAGTAAAGGAGGAGAAACTTATGTCCTTGGTTGCCCTAAACCAGAGGATTAGATGAAACAGGATACATCATTGAGCTTTTGTAATTTGGGAGAGAGCGAGAGAGGGACTTGAGCTTCCTTGAATAGAGAGAGGCTTTGAGAACTGATTCTTCAATTCTGGATATACGATTGCCAGATACAAATGTATACCTTTCATTCCCCTTAGCAAATCTCTATTCCAGTTACCCTACATGGATTTTCTATCATGAGTGCCTTGTCCTCAAGCTGTTTTTTTTTTAACTGGTAGGAACTTCCCTGTAGTGGATTGAATGATGGCCCCAAAATGATATATCCACATCCTAACCTCCAGAAATTGTAAATATAACATTATTTATAGAAAGAGTCTTTGCAGATATAATTAAGGAACTCAAGATGAGATCATCTTGGATTATCCAGGGGGACCCTAAAGTGAGTGACAAGTATCCTCGTAAGAGGAGAAACATAGGGAAGAAGAGGCCACATGAAGACAGACGCAGAGGTTATGAAGCCACAAGCCAAGTGATGCCTGGAGCCACCAGAAGCTGGAAGAAGCAAGGAAGGATGCTCCCCCGGAGCACTTGGAGATAGCACGGCTCTGCCAACACCTTGATTTTGGACTTTTGGCCTCCAGAACTGTGGAAGAATAAATTTCCATGATTAAAGCCTCTAGTGTGGAACTTCTTGACAGCAGCCCTAGATAACTGGTATATTCTCTGTGATATGCTTCTGATCAGAGCTTGCATTCTAACTCATGCTTCACTTTACCTCATTGAAGCTCAGCTCTCTGGGTGATATTCCTTAAGGACTCAGCTATGCCATCTGATAAACCAAGGTTCATCTGCACGTCGTGATAACTGTGGATCACGTCTGCATTTCTCTAGAGACCTTCCTGCATGAAGAAAAATAATATAATATTGTTATAATACTCTGAATCTCAAAAGCATTTTTAAGAAGATTATCTTATTCCTCCAACATGAGCCATTAGGTAAGTTAGGAATATCATTCGCATTCTGCAAATGAGGAAATTGAGCAAAAATAGAATAAGCGATGTACCTCAGGACACCCAAACATAAATGGTCCAGAGAAGACTGAAACCTAAGTGCCTTAGTCTTTTCCAGCTGCTGTAAAAAAATACTATCGATTGAGTGGGCTATAAACAAAGGATATTCTTTTCCTCACAGTACTGGAGGCTGGGAAGTCCAAGATTAAGGCACCAGCAGGTTTGGTTTCTGGTGAGGACTCACTTCCTCCTCTACAGCTATTTCCCCACTCTAATCTCACAGGGTGGAAGAGTCATGGGTCTCTCTCGGGCTCCCTTAATAAGGGCACTAATCACCCTCCTGACCTAACTATCTCCAAAAGGCCACCTCCTAATATCATCTTGGGGGTTAGGATTTCAACAAATGAATTTGGGGGAGACACAAACATTCAGACCACAGTGCCACATCATTGCCTCAGAGGATACTAATCTTCTCTGTGACAAGATCAATGGAGAGATACCTTGAAAACAGTAACATAAGAGTACTTCCTAAATCACAACTAAAAGGTAACTATCTATTCTGGTCATGTGTAAAGCTACTAATTCCTAAATAACTAACCCCCTACCAATATTATGAAGGTAACTCCCATCCAATTTAGAGGGAAAGCCACATTCTTTAAGATGGCCTATGAGATCTGGCCCCACCTCTTATCACACCCTCTCCACTCTCACCTCCACTAATGCCTCCCCCACTCTCTCCCTCACTCTATGCCTACCCCTTCACCCCCACCCGGCCCCATGTGCTGCTGCTTCTGCTGACACCCGCCCGTCCTCTTCCTGTGATATTTGTCCTCCAGTTATCTTTGTTGCCGCTGCCCCACTTCCTTTTGGCTTTCGCTCACATAACACCTTCCCAGTGAGGGTCACCCAAACCACTCTAATTAAAATGGAATCCTGTCTCCCACCCCTTATTCTGTCTTGCTTTCCTGCTTTTTTTCCATACTATTTTGTTATTCTACTAGTCCCTGAAGGATGATGAGACCACGAAAGATAAAATTGAAAATTGGCAGGAAAGGACAATTTTATCTAAGAAAACATTATGAACAAAGGAATAGGGAAACAGAAGTCCAGGGCTGTCCTAGAGCCAACATAAAAGACCGGCTCTGCGCTTTCAAGTTTCTAAGTCACAGGACACGCGCTGTCCAGGGTCTGGGCTTTGTTTCCTGCATATGAGAGGGTCAGGCAGGTGGAGCCCCCTGGGATCTGCTCCGGTCATCTACAAACCATAGCCTCAGTGGCAGCCTGGAAATATCCTAATAGCATTTCTAGATGCAAAGAAAATAATGACTTGAGAAGGATTAATTTAGTTTTTATGTACAAGGGAAGAAAAAAAATGTTGCCAGCAGAGTAGACAATCACAGATTTTAAATGTCAATCTTTTCTTCCCAATGTCTGCTTTTATCAATAGGAACTTGGGCTCTGAAATTATTGATGTGACAGGGACAATTCCCACACCCACTTGTGACAACTCAGTGGAACTCAGGAACTGGTGTTGTGCCTTACCCACTCCACAAGACTCACAGCTTACCCCAAGAGAAGAAAATGGAAAAAAAATGTTAAGGCATAAAGTATAGATATTGTAAGCCAAAGTCAATTCATAGTCAAAGTAGTTATTTTTTTTTAGCACATTTGAATATAACATAAGTATACATATAGATGGGGGGTGGATATATATTATAGGTCTCAGAAATTCTAAATTTTGTTTTCAGGACTTTGACACAAAAGCTTAAGGCTGAAAGTTAAATTGAAGTAAAAATCGATGAGTTTCTGCCATCTCTAGTAAGGATCTGGAAAGACAGCACTAGCTGCTTCTTGATCATGTAATTGGAGAATAATGAATTGAGCTCTTCCTTCTGCCTCATTGCTCCATGTCACCCTGTAAGGAAGAGTACTCAGTCTGGTCCAGCAGAAGGGGTGTAAGGGCACTAGGCAGGAGTCCAGGAAATCAAATGCCTGGCTCAACATCCTGCACTGGAATCTGCAGGACAGGTGAGTTTGGACAAGCCTTTAGCTTCTTCCAGCCTCTGTTTCATTTCAAAATACTACCAACCTCACCCATCTCCAAAACTTACAGTAAGAATCTAATTTTATCATACATATGAAAAAGGCCTAGTATTGTATAACACATATGTCAGACTACCTGTATTCAAATTCCTGTTCCACCTCATGCTAAATGTGCAAACTTCTGGAAGTTTTTAAAAGTCCGTACAACTCAGTGATCTCATCTACAAAGTGAGAATAATAATAGTGCCACTTTCAAAGCATTGTCTTAAAGATTTTTAAAAATCTGCAAAGAGCACCTTAGAACATGAGGGAATAAAACCAACACATGTTATCATTTCTATAACAATATGTATAAATTTTGGTAATTAAATAATTGTTATAATTATTTAGAATGAGCCTTGGAATGCAGAGAGTGCTCAGGAAGTAATAGTGAATGATTTTACAGCTAACAATTTCCAGGCCAAAAAACTTCTTAATGAAGTCTCTACCCACATCAAGGTACAATCTAGACAGTGACAGGTCAGATGCAGCGTGCTGCTCCAGGAATTGTGTTGAGGGATAAATGTATAGGAGAGGCATGGCATTGATAAAGTTTGGCACTTCTAGAAATGAAAGTCCTAGAGAACCATATAAATTTCCTAAAGAATGGGGGCTTTAAAGGGAGTAACACATAACTTCCAATCTATAGGTAGTTATTTTGTTTGATCCTCTCAATAACTCTATAGGTTGGCATTGTTGGCTCCATTTACATATGAGGACACTACCTTAGCCTATAAAAGTCAACTGCTCTGGATTCAAATTCAGGCCTAACTCTAGGACATGTATAGCTAACCACTTAGCAGGATAAAACCATCAGCAAGAACAAAGTCCCTGCCTTTAATGAGATTATCAATGTAGCTGTGGAAGTTGATACATATCTAAATTGTGAAGTTAAGATAAATATGCAAATGTCCAATCTATTAACAGGAGTCTAATTATAAATGGAAGAAGTACCTGCACATATGGATGGGAATCAGAATCGGCTTTATTGAGAGGAAAACCTGTGAGCTGGTCCTAGTGGAGACCTTTAATTTTACTGGGTGGAGCTAAGGGCAGGGGATGGAGACAGAATGCAACACCAGAAGCCAGAGACACCTGCACTTTCCCAGCTCTGCCACTTAGTGGCTTGGTGAATGGTCAAGTTAACTGCCTCTCAGCCCTTCTGTCTCAGAGGCTGTGAAGGTTAAAGACGATGCATCTCCAGTGTCTCAGTAAATGGGGCTGTGATGGTTTCTCTAGGTCATGGAAAGAGTGATAGGCACAGAGAAGAAAAATATGTGCCCTAGTTAAGGACATACACAAGAATAGAAATAAAATAGAAAAAAAAAATTAAAATAGTTGAAACAAGAAAGAAAGTTTGTCCCTACAAATACACATATGTGAACATGGGAACATGAACTCAGACACATAACAAAACCAGAGACATATTTTATCTGTGTCTTGGGGGTGGGCGAGGCTGGAGACGACTTTCACTCTCAGGAATAAAAATGACAATTGCTTTGCTAACTGCCTCCTTGTTCCATATCTGGAGACCTTCCAGGACACAAAAAAGAAGTTCCTTCTTCTGTCTTGAAATTCTTTAGTCAGACACCAGCCAACTCCCATGAAACGTGGGGTCTGGTCAAGGAGGCTGATCCCAGAAATGTGGCATATTTCTCACGACCACAGGGCTAAAAAAAAGCACTCCAAAACAAGCGGCAACCCAAAAAAACAACATATTGGCATCCTGCAAAAAAATCTAAGTGTGCTGAAAAAACAACAACATATGGCTGGGTGGGGTGTGACCAAAAGGAATATAGTTATCACGTTTTGAACATTCCTTTTACAGACTTGAGTGAAAAGAAATTTTCTAGGACAGAACATGGAGTAGTCCCAAAGCCTGCCTTTTTTAAAAGCACAATTGGGGACAGGAAAAGCAAAGAAGGGTTTGTTCCAGGTGAGTTACAGCTGAGAACCAGGAATGGAATCTCACCCTTGACCCAAGAATACGCTGAAAAGCACCAAAGCAGACAAAAGCGTGAGATAAGGCCACGCTCACTGCTTTGTAACCAGAGTGCCGTTGAGATTAAAACAGAGAGAGGAATGGAATGTACTTGAGCACACTCATTATCAACACCAAAGCCACAATATACACTGATAATAGCTCCGGGGTGCCATCATTATGTACCTAGAATCTGGGTTTCCTTTGAACAAAACAGAATCAGCTTCAAGTGCAGTGCTCTGCTGGGGATCTCGGTTATATAACTGTTTCATAACTCAAGGTGAAGTCACACAGCAAGGCTAGAAGAGTGCTGGGAAATAAGTTTTCAAACTTTGGAACTTTTGCTGTTTGTTTAAACCTTGCCTATTTGTCCACTAATTACACCAGCCAAGAATAACCTGCAACTGAGCCCCTCTCTGTTGACTGGTGCCTATGAGGGCTGTTTATTTTTTTTAGTAGGAAATGATGGAGTGTTTCCTCTGTGTCAGGCCTGGAGTTAGAAGGATGCACGAGAAAGATCCCTACCCTCATTCAGCTTCCAGTCTAGGAGGGAAAGAGTTGTATGAACTGCAGATATTCAGAGAATGCCACCCCAGAATACGCTACTCTGGCATAAGGATTATTTTGAGCAAAAGACATTTGAGATTCAGCAAGATTAGAAAGAGGCTTTCTGTAAACTCCCCTTACTGCCTATAAGCAGAGCCTACCAAAAGAACCAAGACTGGCTCTTATCACAGGAGAGGACACCTAACAGACATTGTTACAAGACGGTCATATCTCCCATCTGTTCTCCTCAGGGCCCACATAGTTTTCCAAAAAGTTATTTGTGTTTCCTCAGTGCCTCCTTTCCCCCTCCTTTTCACTTACGAAGTTGTGAACCCCAAATTCTAACCACCCCTTTGAGTTACTCATCACTGAGCACTCCCAAGTGTGTGAGTGATAGACATGTTAATAAACTTCTGTTTGTTTTACTCCTAGTCTGCCTTTTCTCAGTCTAATTTGCAGGGCCTCAACCAATGAACCTAAAAGGGAGAGGAGAAAAGATTTCCCTCCCCTACAGAAGAGATTATTAAAATTTAGTGTTGTAATTGGGTAGCATGATCACAAGTATCCACTACGACTCCAAGGTACAAAGAAAAGAATGTTCTCTATTTTTAAATGGTTCTCATCCTGTTTTTACCTCCCTTCTCCTACCCCACCCTAGTTTCTGCTTTGTGGTGGAATAAGGAAATTAAATTTGTTCACTCAAGATATTTAGCTATCTTTTGGTATATTGGTCTCTTTAAGTTAAATTCAGCTTATGTTGGATAAATACTAATTCAAGAATAAGAGGCAGGGAATCCAGGACTAACTACACTTAATTAATTCAAGAAAATTAAGTGTAGTTAGTCCTGGATTCCCTGCCTCTACCCCACTCCTTCTTTTGCCTTTTCCAGGAGATTAATTATTTTGGAGTGGGGAAGGGACAGGTGTTTGCGAAAGGGTAGAAAGTCAAGTATCATCTTGTTCTATGTGGGGAGGACTATCTTATGCCTACCTGTGATGTTTCTGCAAATGAGTATCCATACAGGTTACCAACTGATCACTCCTTTGAACATCATAGGCACAGCTATGGCTGAAGCCTGTAATTCTTTTTATCTGTGGTTTTCATGTCACAGTTCCAATCTTTCCCTGGCCTGGGTCGCTTAGCATTTTAGCAGGCCCTGTAGGGGTTGTGAGTGCCCTGAGGCCTTACTCAGTAAGTAGATGCCTTCCTCATCATCCCGATCTACCTCCTTCTGCATGACACTGTCTTTCTCTGAACATAGGAACTCCTAAAAGGAATTCCTAATACAGATAAAAACCTTTTTTTTTTTTAATTTTATTATTATACTTTAAGTTTTAGGGTACATGTGCACAACATGCAGGTTAGTTACATATGTATACATGTGACATGCTGGTGCACTGCACCCACTAACTCGTCATCTAGCATTAGGTATATCTCCCAATGCTATCCCTCCCCCCTCCCCCACCCCACAACAGTCCCCAGAGTGTGATGTTCCCCTTCCTGTGTCCATGTGTTCTCATTGTTCAATTCCCACCTATAAGTGAGAATATGCGGTGTTTGGTTTTTTGTTCTTGCGACAGTTTACTGAGAATGATGATTTCCAATTTCATCCATGTCCCTACAAAGGACATGAACTCACATTTTTTATGGCTGCATAGTATTCCATGGTATATATGTGCCACATTTTCTTAATCCAGTCTATCATTGTTGGACATTTGGGTTGGCTCCAAGTCTTTGCTATTGTGAATGGTGTCACAATAAACATATGTGTGCATGTGTCTTTATAGCAGCATATTTTATATTCCTCTTGGTATATACCCAGTAATGGGACAGCTGGGTCAAATGGTATTTCTAGTTCTAGATCCCTGAGGAATCGCCACACTGACTTCCACAATGGTTGAACTAGTTGACAGTCCCACCAACAGTGTAAAAGTGTTCCTGTTTCTCCGCATCCTCTCCAGCACCTGTTGTTTCCTGACTTTTTAATGATTGCCATTCTAACTGGTGTGAGATGATATCTCATTGTGGTTTTGATTTGCATTTCTCTGATGGCCAGTGATGGTGAGCATTTTTTCGTGTATTTTTTGGCTGCATAAATGTCTTCTTTTGAGAAGTGTCTGTTCATGTCCTTTGCCCACTTTTTGATGGGGTTGTTTGTTTTTTTCTTGTAAATTTGTTGGAGTTCATTGCAGATTCTGGATATCAGCCCTTTGTCAGATGAGTAGGTTGCAAAAATTTTCTCCCATTTTGTGGGTTGCCTGTTCACTCTGATGGTAGTTTCTTTTGCTGTGCAGAAGCTCTTTAGTTTAATTAGATCCCATTTGTCAATTTTGGCTTCTGTTGCCATTGCTTTTTGTGTTTTAAACATCAAGTCCTTGCCTGTGCCTATGTCCTGAATGGTAATGCCTAGGTTTTCTTCTAGGGTTTTTATGGTTTTAGGTCTAACGTTTAAGTCTTTAATCCATCTTGAATTGATTTTTGTATAAGGTGTAAGGAAGGGAACCAGTTTCAGCTTTCTACATATGGCTAGCCAGTTTTCCCAGCACCATTTGTTAAATAGGGAATCCTTTCCCCATTGCTTGTTTTTCTCAGGTTTGTCAAAGATCAGATAGTTGTAGATATGTGGCGTTATTTCTGAGGTCTCTGTTCTGTTCCATTGATCTATATCTCTGTTTTGGTACCAGTACCATGCTGTTTTGGTTACTGTAGCTTTGTAGTATAGTTTGAAGTCAGGTAGTGTGATGCCTCCAGCTTTGTTCTTAGATAAAAACGTCTCTGCTCTGGATTTCTCCCAAACCTTCTGGTTCTTTCTCAGTACACACCCCGCAGATTCTGCACCAAGGCTAGGGACTGATTACACCTGACCAAATTCCCACTTCCTCTCTCTAGCTCCTCATTCTCACTGGAAAGGCTTTCACCTTTCCTGCTGGACAGCGACGGCTTCTCTGCTGTGTCCCTACTCAGGTGGCACTTGCACTCCGTTTCCTTTAGGCAACACGATGAGATGGCTACAAAGCGTACATAAAAACAAAAATATTAAGTTTAAAAAGCAGTAAAATAGATCAGGAGGTATTTAAAAAATAAGGTCTCTACAGCAGTGCTATGACAGGTCAACTTTTTGAGGCTGCAAATGTGATCTTTTTCATGCTTGATTTCTGCATCAAGCCAGCATTTGGAGATAGCTGGAACTGAAACCATTTACTATTACTATACAACTTTTTTTCAAGATAATTATAAAGCACACTGTCATCTCTAGAATCCCAATGCTTTCAGTTACATAAGACCTCTGAGAGCTTGAACATTGTGACTTGTAGTATTTAATATGAAAATATTTTTAAAACACAGAGATCGGGAAAGAAAATTTTATTCCAGTTATATTAAATTATAACTGTGCCAACTTGCAATTTTCAAAGATATCCTTTAGCATATACATTCTTCTTTAATGTGCCCTTGCCACTCCTCATGAAGATGTGAAGTCTAATTCCTTCCTTGAATCTGGGCAGGGATATAGTTGTTTCAATCAATAGAGTAAGGCTGAAGAAAAGTGACTTTCCAGGCAAGGTCATAAGAGGCCATGCATCTTGCGCCGTGTCTGTGGGATCACTCATATTTCCTGAGTTACATGTAGGATATCCAACTCTTCTGAGGCTGCTGTGCTGTGATAAAGTCAAATTACCTGCAGACACTAGGTGCAGGTGCTCTGGTCAGCAGTCTTAGTGTGGGAGTCATCCCAGGCCAGGAACCAGGCACTGAGTGCACAAGCTTTCAGATGACTCAAGCCCCCAGACATCAGGTCAACCCAGCCTTTGGGTCTTTCCATGTGAGGTCCAAACTATCTCCACTCTTCCCAATCCTAATTCCTGACCTACAGAATCTGGGAGCTTAAAAAACAGCTGTTCTAAGCAACTAAATGCCTAAACAAGGTTATGCAGCTTTATTGAATTGCAACAATGACTTAATGTGTGTTTGTATATTGCTATGTTTTCTAAATTGTCTCAGTCAAGCCCTTAAGGAATCAGACACTCTTTGTTGAATCCAATAGTCAAAAATGAGAATGAACCACTGATTAAGTGTCACCTCTTAAGCAAAGCAGGAAACACCTTATACTTCCCATAAAATGCAGCACAGACCAGAATTTGGTGCATGAATATTTTGTCAAATTTTGGACAATTTGGTTTTAGGATATCTCAGGTAAAATTATGATAGCTAAAACTAGATGATTCAGGGGAGGGGAGATGATAAATATCATGCAGTTTTTGTCTGAAATAAAAACCAGCAGAAATTAATAGATCTAAATACACATTATGAAACTTATAATGAGGAACACAACATTGTGCAGAACAAAATTTCACTCCATTGTTCTGTGTCTGGAGCAGGCTGAGAAAATTGCTTGAAGGTTTGACTAATGCTTCGGTTAAGTTGAGAAAGCTTACCATGTATTTCTAGGGGATGAGAGAAGAAAGAAGGTCTTTGCCTTGGGCTGGATGGAGCACTTCCTCTGACAAGAGTGTGGAGACTTTGCACTCTGAAACCACTGATGGTGATAGGCTATGTTCCTGTAATGCTTACTGTGTTTCACTGGGCACTTTTATAGACATGAACAGGTCAGGAATACATGCAGTCTTGGGGTTAGGATATAGTACTTGCTCTCTGATAAATACAAGCCCTATAAGATTCCTGGGAAACCAGTACTGAGCTTAACAAAACTGTTGCAAAGATCCAAGCCAGTTCAGTGCTTGATTAACCCCTGCTATATGAGAGACAATGGCCATAGCACTGAGACCCAGCAATGAATAAGAAACGCTGTAGGCAATGTAAATGGATAATTACACTAGAAAGTGATTCCTGTGCATATCTTTATGATAACATTTATTATATTGTGTTGAAATTGTCTACATATGTGTCTGTCTCCTTAACTAGGGAAAACATTCTGTCTAACTCATCTTTCTATCCACAGCATCTAGCATAGATTTTGGCTCAGAGAAGGCATTCAATAGATGCCCTATGAAAATAATTGTACCAGAAGTAAAATAATAGAAATGGATGCATCAAAATGGCATAGAAATTCTGCGCATCAGAAACCTGGGAGTTGTCCTGTGCTCCTTCTTCCTTTTCCTCAACTCTCACATCCCCCTGACCACTAAGCCCTGATGTTTCTTTCTCCTAAATCTCTCTGGAATCTGTGCCTTTCTCTCTTTCCTCACTGCTACTGCCTTAAGTAACATCCTGACCATCTTTCTCCTAGGCTGTTATAGCAGTGTCCTGACTCCTCTGATCTCTCACGCTCTGTCTTGCCTGCCTCCTATTCAGTCACCTACAGCCATGAGAGTGATATTTCTAAAAGGCAAATCTCCTTATGTTACTTCACTGTTTAAAAACCTTCAAGATTCAAGATTTTCCCTTTTGTCTACCGAATCAAGTCCAAACCAGTTTAAATAGCATTCAAGGTGTTCCATGACCTGACACAATTAGCCACTTCAGTTCATTTCCCACACACATTCAAATTCCTCCTTACGCTTGGTCAAAATGATCCCTTTCACCCTCAACAATGCCCTTGTAAATCACACGTCTTTGTACATCCTGTTCTTCAGGTTATCAATCCTCGTCCACCTCAGCCCCATCCTTAATATGGCTGTCAGAGTTCTGTATATCTTCCAGGCCCCACTCAAGTGGAGCTGATCAACATCTTCTTTGTACCATCACTAGACTTTTACTTTCTCTATCATAGCAAGAGCATAGCTTCAAGTGTAAGACTGGCCTCTGATCTTAGGCTAACTAGGTTTTCCTCCTCCCCTGCCACTGATCAGCTAGGTGATCTTGGCCAGCTGCTTGATGTCTTGGTGCCTTAGTTTCTTCATCTGTGAAACAATTCTTCTGGGTCTTGGGAGGCTGACTTTCATGGGCAGGGCCAGTGGCTTACCTTGCCTTTTCGAGGATGTGTCAAGTAGGAGGCTCTGTTGGACATTTGCAAATGTAGGGCTGGAGATTCAGTCCCCTGCTTGCTTCAGGCTTCCTTTCCCAAAGCCACAGCTCTGCAGGAGGCCTTCTGGGGATGTTGCAGTGGTTCTCTCTGGGTTCCATTCCCTTCTGCTGCCTTCCTCAGCCTCCCTATCTTGGGCCCTTTCTCATTCCCTGTTGGTTTCCCTTACACTTTGCCCACACCTTTGTAAATAGCCCCATCATCAGAATATCTTCAACTTTTCCATTGGAGTGGGCCACCTGTTTCTTACCAGGACCCCAACTAATACATCTCCCTAGTGAATTGTGAATCTTTCAAAGCTACAACTCAGACATTCAGCTGTGAATTCCTAGTTTCTAGCATAGTACCTGATACAACAAAAGTTACAACTCAGACATTCAGCTGTGAATTCCTAGTTTCTAGCATAGTACCTGATACAACACAATAGAAGCTAAATTTACATTTCTGAATGAATTAATGAGCAAACAAGTGATTAACACTATAAAGGGAGAGGAGACATTCAGCAATGGCTTCTAAGAGAAGGTGGATTATTATGGGGGGACATTTCTTGCCAAAAACTAGCATGCACAAAAGTCATGACAATGTTTAGGGAACTATAGATAGTAAGTTTTACTGGACCACAAATCACACTGGACTGTTATATAAGCTTTCTTTGATACAAATAATTCTGCTGCTAGTACAAACTTTGAAGCCACTGTTGTAGACAATCTCCTCACTTTATAGATAGGGAAAATGATATCTGGTAAAGAATAGTGTCCATGTTCGTATGTTTATTGTGGCACTATTCACAATAGCAAAGACTTGGAACCAACCCAAATGTCCAACAATGATAGACTCGATTAAGAAAATGTGGCACATATACGCCATGGAACACTATGCAGCCATAAAAAATGATGAGTTCATGTCCTTTGTAGGGACATGGATGAAGCTGGAAACTATCATTCTCAGCAAACTATCACAAGGACAAAAAACCAAACACCGCATGTTCTCACTCGTAGGTGGGAATTGAACAATGAGAACACATGAACACAGGAAGGGGAACATCACACACCGGGACCTGTTGTGGGGTAGGGGGAGGGAGAAGGGATAGCATTAGGAGATATACCTAATGCTAAATGACGAGTTAATGGGTGCAGCACACCAACATGGCACATGTATACATATGTAACAAACCTGCATGTTGTGCACATGTACCCTAAAACTTAAAGTATTAAAAAAAAAAAAAAAAGAATAGTGTCCATGTTTACTGCAAGCCCTTTGGAGCTGTGTGTTCATTTATGACAGGCGTGTTCAGGTCTCTTAACTCCCTCTGCTACCCCGAGTACTCTAAGCCCTGGAAAACCAAAGAATTTGAGGCATGTGGTGTGAAACACTATAGAATGTGAGGCAAGCACATTAATGGGGCCAAGCTTACTGCTTTGTCAGAGACATTGCTTGCCAAATGGAGTTGGCTTTATAGGCAAGGGTCTGGGACACAGCCCTTGGGAGGTTAAGGGCATTGCATTGCAACAAACAGACACAATTAGGCCAAAAATCCTTTCTACATGGTTCCCTTTGCCAGCAAGCAGGCTTTGGAGACCAGATTTTCAGGGGTGAGCCAGACGGCAGGCATGTAAGATGCAGTCACATAGTTTAGTTCTGTAGCTCGATGTTATTGCTGAAGTAGAGCCATAACAACTTTAGAATCCATTGACCAAATGGCCAGAGAGCTCCCTGTAAGAAATCACACACTGACCCTGGCTATTTGCAACTATTTTCCTCCATGGGCATGCAAGTAGTGACTTTAAGAAAAAAAAAAAAAGCAAACTGGATATCACCAGCAATAGGGTACAAGTGACCGTATCTGCCACTTTTACCTTGTATAGGTAGACCCCAGCTAGTGTGTGGACATAGTAGGTGCTGGATGGAAAGGTTCACTGAATAAACAATGGAATGGATGAATGAATAAATAACTATCATGTAGCTTTTCTTTGAGCTATTTGAATAACTGGCTGTAGTTGCATCATTTTTGTTGCTATTGCTGTTGTGAAAGAAATAAGATAACTTCCTGTTGCTAAGAAGGGACATTTAGAATCACTGTAAGACTGAGATTCAAAGAGAAAGTCCCACCGTGCTTATGATGTTCAAATATTGACTTTAACATTCTATAGGCATTACCATCCAGAGGCTCAAGCTATAATTAAAACTTTTTTTTTTTTTTTTTTGAGATGGAGTCTCTCGTTCTGTAGCCCAGGCTAGAGTGCAGTGGTGCGATCTCGGCTCACTGCAAACTCTGCCTCCTGGGTTCAAGTGATTCTCCTGCCTCAGCTTCCAGAGTAGCTGGGACTATGGGCACGTGCCACCATGCCTGGCTATTTTATTTTATTTTATTTTATTTTATTTTATTTATTTTATTTTTTGAGACAGAGTTTCGCTGTTGTTGCCCAGAGCGATGGCGTGATCTTGGCTCACTGCCACCTCCACCTCCCAGGTTCAGGCAATTCTCCTGCCTCAGCCTCCCAAGTAGTGGGGATTACAGGCATGTGCCACCACACTTGGCTAATTTTGTATTTTTAGTAGAGATGGAGTTTCACCACGCTGGTGAAACTGGTCTCGAACTCCTGACTTCAGGTGATCTGCCCACCTTGGGCTCCCAAAGTGCTGGAATTATAGGCATGAGACACTGTGCCTGGCCAATTTTTTCTTTTTTCTTTTTTTTGTATTTTAGTAGAGACGGGGTTTCACCATGTTGGCCAGGATGGTCTCAATCTCCCAACCTCATGATCCGCCCGCCTCGGCCTCCAAAAGTGCTGGGATTATAGGCATGAGCCACCACGCCCAGACTTTGTTGGGTTTTAATACATCCCTGTTTCCCTAACAAACTCTTAATTTTTGCTAAGTATTGCTTAAGACGGCTTCAAGGTGGCTCATATTACTCTCAAACAAATAGTCCCAACCACCACAATGTAGGGCAGATGTTACTTACATCATTTTTCTGCATAAGAGCATTGAGCCTCAGAAAAATTAGGTGACATTACAAAAAAAAAACAGGCAAAATCAAACAAAAACTCTCTATTGATCAGTAATCAAGCTAGTAACACACCAAGCTTTTCTGCATATGAGCTCTTTCTACTACATCATGCTGTCTTTTATAAGAACAAAAAATTTCCAGATGATTGCTGAATGTTTTCTTTGGTGAAGGTTTTGTGGCATGATATTATAAGCTTATAAAGAATGCTTTTAACATAGAACCAGTACACATAGAAGAATGGCACTTAGGAATATTGAAAAGTTTCGTTATGCATTGAACCGAAAAAAAAAAACCAAGATGAGTGGGTTGTAATTCTCAGGGTTTGTATGTGTTGGAGAGGGGTGGGGTGGGGGGTAAAGAGAACAGCAGGGGTGGAGCCCTTTATCAATGTGAACAATATCCTCTGGGTTGGCCATTATCTCAAGGCCATTTCCATAATGAATGGTGACAATATTGCCTATCGCTCCTGGGGTGACCGTAGATCTTCCATAGATGCTGTTGATCTTACCTCCTCTTTGACAGCATAGATATTTCTTTTATTTATTTAAGTCATCTTACACAACATACTACCTAATTCACTCTGTGAGAGCATAACATTTAATGGGCAGGTCACAAACACACACTTCATTACAACAGCTATCTTACAGCCAGAAGAGGTGAACTGCAATGCTAAACATATTCTGACACAGACAGGCTCTGGTTTTCATTATTCTTGGAGAGGGGTAAGGGGTTCATGGTCATCCTTAGGATGAAAACTTTTGTGAAGTGTAAACCCATGTTTAGCAGAAAATGTTTTACTAAAGACTTTGGTTCAAATCTACAGATAGTATCTTATTAAGTGAAGTTTGGTAAGGAAGTGTACTTGTAGTCCAATAGTATATGAGAAATAAGTCTATTTTGCTACAAGGACTCCTGGTCTAGGCAGGATTCAGAGTTCAAACCAGACTTGTCTACAAATCAACTGTGTGACCTTGAGCAAATTACTTACATTACCTAGGACTCTGTTTCCTCATCTGGAAAATGAACAGAATATATTAGATGATTTAAAGAGTGCCTCTTAATTTCCAAGCTTGGAAAATTTAGAGTGTCTGAAGATCTGTAACTATAAAGAATTTAGTAGGGTTAGTAGAAAAAGCAAGAACGTAGACAAAACAAATTATTAAACTCTGGGGATAGGGCAAGTCAGTGAACGTCTCTGAGAATCAATTTTCTCAGACGCAAACTTTTGGCATAATAATTTCAAGATCACAAAGCTACTGTGTGAAGTGAATCAGATAATAAATGTTAAAGTGCTGAAAACTTTAAGAAATTTTACTGTTGACTTATTTTTTAAATGATGCCTCACTTTTGGGATTGCCATCTAGTGGCCACTATAGTAATTACATGATTCTGATTCCTTTACCTGGGCTTCTTAAAGCCATCACAAATACTTAGAAAAAATGCGGTTTAAGAACGTGCTTTTGGCAGGGCGCGGTGGCTCACGCCTGTAATCCCAGCACTTTGGGAGGCCGAGGCGGGCGGATCACGAGGTCAGGAGATCGAGACCATCCTGGCTAACAGGTTGAAACCCCGTTTCTACTAAAAATACAAAAAATTAGTGGGGCGTGGTGGCGGGCGCCTGTAGTCCCAGCTTCTTGGGAGGCTCAGGCAGGAGAATCGCTTGAACCCGGGAGGAGGAGGTTGCAGTGAGCCGAGATCCCGCCACTGCACCCTAGCCTGGACGGCAAAAGAATGCCTTTAACTAGTTCCCCACAGAAGTAAGTGCCAATTATAAGATAAATTATTTTATTTAAATGTGAAGAGGAGAGTATCTTACAGAACATTAGAATTTCTATCTAGCCATCCTTCTTTAATGCTATCAGATTTCCTTTTGGGGAATTACTTTTCCCCGATGGCTGTACACTAGGAGTGCAATCCAAGTTGGAATTTTGATCTTAAACAGAGTCACCATGAGACTGAGAAGGGTGAAATTTTATGGACACGACTGCCAAAATGGCTCCTGCTTCTTCCACCAACAGAGTTGCTGGTTAGTTCTCATGTGTTGAGCCTGACTCCAGTTTTCCCATTAGGTTTTTAAGGGCTCCCACATATTTTAAATAAAATCTCTAATATATATATAGCAGATTTTTTTTTTTTTGCAACCTAAGTGCCCAAACTTGTATATTAAGAGCCAGAGTGTACAAGGCTGCCTTGAGCTGCCCCGACAAGATTGACAGCAAAACAGTGGTTTTAAGAGCTGCCGTTTATCGCTGTGACTACAGGCTATGAACTAGGCTAAATGTGTATCAGTTGCTTTTTATTTAATCATCATAATTATCCTTTGAGTTATTATCATAAGCCCCATTTTACAGATAATAAAGGTAAAGTTGAAAGAAGTAAAGTAACTTGTATAAGGACGTGCAGTTAATAAAAGGCAGAGCCAGGCTAAGCTCCCACCGTGTTTGGTGACCAGCAGGGAGAGTAGCAAGACTATTACTTTTTGTAATTTGTAATTGGGATCTTACATTTTTTTGGATGCAGCCTGAGAATATTAGTAGCTAGATCACATTGTGAGCTGAATTGAACTTGTTAACCCCAAACTCTAAGTTGTCTTTCACTAAAACGGCAATCAAACACTTTCCTGTCCTTTGGCCTTGCGTGTTTCTTTCTCCTTAAAAGAGGACATAGATCACCCATGTGGTAGAGAGTAGGAAGAAGAGCTTTCCCCTCTGTTTCTGATTTCTGGCTTGTCCTTGGAGTCATTCTCCATTCATACTGGCCATGCCAAACCTGGTCCCCAAAAGTGAATGAGACCAAACTTAACACTCTTAATTGAAGCACAACCAAGCCTCCCTTTCTTTAGTTTCTCTTATGGTATGTAAAACAGGGTGAAGTCTTTAAGGAGAATTTGATCATCTGATAGCGAAACCAAACAAAGACAAGAAACCCAGAAGAAGACACATAAGAAATCTAAGAATCAGATTGCTTATAAAATACAGTTTTTGGACTCTTTTATTGCTAACTCCTTTAAAATAGATCCTGTTTTACTCTCCGTCCTGCCTGAGCATCTGTGAAGAATATGATGCTTTTTTCATTTTGAGGCATTTCCCTCTTTTATTTTACCTGAAGCAGAGATCTTGGTCACAAAGATCTTTAGGAGAAAACAGAAAATTCATTCATTCACTTAATAAACATAAATTAAGCCATAATAAATTCCTGAATAATAAATAAAGACCTCAAGTCATTTTTGGAACCAGCTACTGCTGAAACCTGCTTTGCCTCCACAGCCATCCCCCTGCCTTCAGTTTGAGCAGCACCTGATACCCGGAAAAGACTGCCGTGGTGTGATCCTGCGGCAGTGGCTCTGATCATGGAAACATAAAATCAGTGGTGCAGACTTTTCTCCATGCAAAGCCAATTGATTCCTGCAAGTATTAAAACCTGACTCCAGGCTCATTAGCACAGGTCTGTGAGTAACTGAGCCAACTGGGCCTTCCAGCATTCATGCGGCAGTGAGTGAAACAATTCCCTCCTGGTCTGAAAAACCTGACGGTGACCTCCTCAGGGACCCTGTTCACCTGCCAGAGAAGATCTGTGAGCTACTATAGTCATCCAAGAGCTATGGTATTCACGGAGCAGCAAGCAATATTGTCACCATTCATTTAGAGCCAGCAATGAGTGGGTGACATACCTAGAGGCATTACTTTATAGTGACAAAGTCTCCACAACCTAAAACCCATTAGCTGACCCCACTTTGTTCTCAGCAGCAGCATGCACATGTCAGTAATGAACTGAGGGAGGGGCCCAGAGAGTTAGTGCCTCTCCTCTAGGTATCTAACTTGTCACAGAGCCTGATAAGAGGAGGCATGTTTTTCTTCTGTTCAGTTATTAGGACAATAACCATCAAAAAAAGAGACCTAGTAAAGAAGAAAAATACTTTTGCTTGTGACTTAATAATTTTTTTTCTTTCCCAAAGGCTTGCACACTTCAAACAACTTAACCAGCTCTTCCTGGGTACTTTCTACCTAGAGTAGTATAGTGGTTAAGAGCCTCAGCTTCATTCAGATGAATCTGAGTTCTATCCTTTTTTAATTGCATGACATTGAGCAAATAACTTAACTTCCCTGAGGCCAGTTCTCTCATCATTAAATGCAAACACTACCTGTAAGGTTGTTGGAAGTATTTTAGAAAGATTTTATATATATAAAGTGTTTAGCATGGAACTAATGCCTAGTAAATGCTCAATAAATTATTACTATCACTCAATGAACTAATAAGTATACATGTGCCTAGTATTGCTTAGGTGATTAACAAATGTTGGGGTAATATTTGTAAATTATGACGCTCTACTCAAATGTAAAATCCAAACATTATTAGCATTTGCCTTAGAGATGCAGCTCTCAGTTCAGTCATGGTCCAGTAAGAGATGAGTCAGAAGGGAAATCAGGGCACACAGCAGATGGCTTTCCCAAGCATATGACCTATTCACTTGTGAAAATCAACCCAGGCCCTGGTTAACTAAAATCCTTGAGTATTTTCCCCTCGAACTGCCAGCCAGTATTTTCCTCTCATGGTGTCCTTGGTAAAAGGTCTGATCTTTCTTCCTTAAAACATAGACCGCGCCAAGGAAAGCACTGGAAGGATAAAGTTCCACTCTGGCTTTTGACCTTTCCCTTTCTCTAGAGTCTTTCCCATTCCTGCTGCCTGCGTTTCTATCTGGCCCATAGGAATGGGTTAGAATTCAAATCTAAATGTGGCCAAAATCCCTTTTCCTTAGTTTCCCTTTGGACACCCAAAAGAGGCTGAACTATTGTTCAAGGAGAACCTGACTGCAATCCAATGACTCTTGAACCCATTACAATGAAGTTTCTTTACTTCAAAATGTCAAAAGTTCCTCTGTTTTTCCTTCTTGACTGTTTTCATTTGTTGTTTTGGTACCCTCTTGACCGACGCTGTATATGTCAGATAAAAAGCGGAGCTCCTAGCTTAAGGGTCTGGGGTGCAGCAAAGTGGGCCAGGGTTGATAAGGAAGCATTGCTAGGATGAGATAAGGAATTAGGTTGTGTCAGCTCATAATTTTTTGGATACAACTTAATAAACTCTTGAAATTCTTTTCAAAGATGCAAAAATTTATGGGACATCGGTCTTCTACTTGAGAAGTTCCAAAAGCATGGTTTATGGATTTGTGGGGGTTCTTAAGACTCTGGGTTCCCTGAGGCCAAAACAATTGTCATAATAATACCAAGTTGTTATGGGGTCTATTTCACTGGGTTGACATTTGCACTAATGGTGCAAAAGCAGTGGTGGGTAAAAGTACATGAATCAAGAGAGTAGTATCTGACTACTCTCTGATATCTGATACTACTCAAGAGAGTAGTATCTTTTTTGCCATTTTCTTCTTCAGTACCACACACTGGCAATGAAAAAGAAAATGCCAGTTTTACTGAAAGATGCCCTTAACGAAGATGTAAAAAGTATTAGTTTTATTAAATCTAGACCTTTGAGGACATGGGACAGCATTTTTACTTGAAAGAACAACAGACTGACTATGGATATTCAGACTTGGACATTTGGCAGAGAATTTTTTAAAAGCTGAACAAAATAAACCTCTTGCTATAAGGAAAACAACTCATAGTATTTGTTTCCACTGCTAAAATTTGAACTTTCCAATGAAAATTTAAAATTTTGAAAACTAGACTCTACCACTGTGAGCATGACAGCTTCCCACTACTTAGAGACTTTTCTGATGAGATAGGTGGTGATATTAATAAATATGACTTTTTGATGTTGTATAATTAAATCTTTGAACATTTGTAAAATTTACATAACTCAGTGAACCAATACTTTCCAAATGACCGAAGTGTAATGATGAAAAGGGTTTCAGATTTGCCATTGGGACCAACCTTTAAGAAACTACTTTACAATGAGTTTGGTATGGTTTCAAAGAATATTCAAATTACCTTAAAAAGCTATTAAAATATATCTTTCTTTTCTAATTACACATCTGTGTAAGGGTGGACTTTCAGCCACAACAACATATCACAACAGATAGATGTGGAAGCAGATGTGAGATGCCAGCTGACTCCTATTAGGTCAGACATGAAAGACATTTGCCAAAAATATAGAACAATGCCAAAATGGTCACTAAACATAGCTATTTTTTATTAAAAAGTTATTTGTGCTAACATGTAATGTTTTATGATGCATTTTTAATGTATCATCCCTTCAGTTTCTTCTATGTTAGATTTTGACAGATATAATTCACAGAAACAAAAGCTCTATGGAACCCACAATAATTTTTAAGAGGATATAAAGGTGCTGAGACCAAAACATTTGAGAGTTACAGCTCCACTTGTCTATCAAAACCTGAAATCTTAAAGTTATGAAATCCATTCAGCCCTTCTTTTAACATGTACTGAGTTCTTACTATCTTCTAAGTATTTTACTAGCCTAAGAGGAGAAACACATGAAAATAATTAGAAAGGAATAGAGTGAAGAGATGTTGATATGGTTTGGATCTGTGTGCCCACCCAAGACCCATGTTGAAATGTAATCCTCAGTGCTGGAGGTGGGGTCTGGTGGGAAGTGACTGGATCACGGGGGAGATTTCTTATGAATGGCTTAACACCTTTACCCTTGGTTGCTCTAGTGAGTGAGTTCTCGTGAGATCTGGTCATTTAAAAGTGAGTGGCTTTTAAACACTCCTCCCGAACTTTCTTCCTACTCCAGCCATGTGACGTGCTGCTCCCCCTTTGTCTTCTGCCATGACTGTAAATTTTCCTGAGGCCTCCCAGAAGCCAAGCAGATGCCAGCATCTTGCTTTCTGTACAGCCTGCAGAACCATGAGCCAATTATACCTCTTTTCTTTATAAATTACCCAGTCTCAGGTATTTATTTAAAACAGCCCAAGAATGAACTAATACAAATGTGTTCTGGTGCAAGGAAAGCCAAGAGAGAAGGTGTCATGGATAAGAAGACATTCAAACAGGGTTCTTTGTATGAGTATGAGTTCAACAGGAAGATGGAAAAAAATTCTGAAATAGAATCTTTTTTTTTTTTTAGATGGGGTCTCACTTTTTTAGAGGCTGGTTTCAAACTCCCAGGCTCAAAAGATTCTCCCCCCTCGGCCTCCCAAAATTCTAGGATTACAGGCATGAGCTATCATGGCCTTGAAATAGAATCTTTAAAAGCAGAGGTGTGGTGGTGGGGACAGAGCACTTTCAGTTTCAGGTAACTGCAAGTAGTTGTCTAATTGGAGCAAAATACATGTGTACAGGCAATGCGGGAATTGCATTCATTTAGAAAAAGTATATAGCAGAAGCCTCTGGTGTCCCATGGCACATCCCCTTGGGTGCACTTCTAATTTCTGCCACAGCAGCAGTGGGCAGCTCTGCTCAAGCTCAGACTCCTCCAGGGCTGGCAGCCCCCACCTCAAACGCGCGGTACATTTCCCTACTCTCCGCTTTCTGCTTCTAGGCCTTCTTTGGCCCCTAGGAGCCTGCTCTGACGACCCATAAGTTAAGGACCATGGAGTGCAGGAGCAGGTATGCTCCAGTCTCCTGTTGGTCCAATAGACCATTTTAGGAGGCATACCATTGCTCCTCAGAGGTGCTGGAGGGAACAAAGCCCCATCGCCTACAGTGGCAACCTTGATGATGCACTGTTCTACAGGCTTTTCCTCCTAACTTGCCTCTCCCTCACTCTCACTTCCTGGGATCACCGCCTGAATAAACTGCCTACTCCCAAGTCATTGTCTCAGTCTCAGAGACAATCTAAAACTGTAGGTCTCCCATGTGTAGGCACCGTGCAAGTAGCTGAGGATGTAACGGTAAACAAAGCCACGTCATACCCAACAGCGAAATCTCTACCATGTTAGTGATGTGAATCTATTGAGTAATTTTAGGCAGGATAGTCATATAATAAAATTATTTTTTATTTTGCAAAGTATCATCTATTTCAACAAATGTATATACTGTAATTTGTATACACAGAGAAAGTAACACTCATGTATCCTCAACCCACAGAAAGAAACAGGACATGAGCAGGGCCTTAGAAGATGCCTATGTGCCTCTCTGTAGCACGATCAGATTTTAATTGTTAAAAGATCACTGTGGTAGCAGCGTGTCTAATGGATTGGAGAAGGATCCCTGGAGACAATAAACACCCACTCATATTTCAAGCCTCAGCCTTAGCATCACTCTTCTGTAAAGTCTTTCCTGATGTCCGGGTTGAACTCCCTCCTTGCTGTCACCGATGAACTCTACTTTTTACCATGGCAATTCAAATCCTTTACAGCACTCATCTGGCTTTGCCTTTTTTGAAAAAACAGCTTTATTGAGATGTAATTCATACACCACACAAGTCATACTTTTAAAGTGTAAGATTCAGTGGTTTCTAGTATATTCACAGATAGGTGCAAACTTTACCAGTCAATTTTAGAACATTTTTGAGAGGGTGTAGGAATCCTGAGACCAAAAATTTCATCACCTCCAAAAAACCCCCATATCCTTTAGCTATCACCACTTTCTAACTCCCTCTTCACCTATACTCTCAGCCCTGGTAACCCCTAATGGACTTTCTGTCTCTGTTGATTTCCCTATTCTGGACCTTCATAGGAATGGAATTGTATAATATGTGAATTTTAATTGCTGGCTTCTTTCACTTAGTATAATATTTTCAAAGTTTATCCAAGTTGTAGCATGTATTAGTACTTCAGTCCTTTTAATGGCTGAATAATATTCCATTGGATAAATATGCTACATTTGTTTGGCCATTCATCCATTGATGGATATTCGGATTATTTCCACTTTTGGCTGTTATAAATACTCCTGTCATAAACATTTATATACAAGTTTTTGTGTGGACATGTGTGTTTAAGTCTCATGTGTATATACCTGGGAGAGAAATTATTGGGTCATATGGTAACTCTGTATTTAATTATGTGGGGAATTACTAGGCTGCTTTCCAAGGTGGTGATGCCATTTTACATTCCCACTAGCTGTGTATGAGGCTTCTATATTTCTCCACATCTTTACCAACACTTGTATATCCGACTTTTTGAGCCTAGACATCCCAGTGCATGTGAAGACTGCCCTTTTCAGATATGATGTAAACTCCAGGAAAATTGGAATCAAATTTTACTCAACTTCACATTTCCAGTGGTGAACATTGTGCTTTGGGTGTGGTAGGCACTCCATGTGTTTAGTGATTCAGTGAGAACTGCACAGAGGACAGAAGTTGGAGAGAAATATGATGGCAATTGTAAGGGAGAAGCGGAGAAGGATCCTGGGGAAAGCAAGAAGCAGTTGGCTTTGGCAACTGGCAATGTTAGGGGTTAGAGTGAATATGGATTCCAGTTTGCTCCCACTCTCTTCATTGCTGTGACTGGGTGAGACTCTTCTACATTACTCCAGCACAGATGTGTGGTTCTAACAGGGCATGAAGACTCCCCTCTAATCTGGGGGTGTAAGGCAATGTAAGGCACTCACTTCTTTGCCTTAGTTCACTCACCTGCACTATTACTTTCATACAGTTGTGGAAGACATGCAGGACATTTGTCATACATTGTTCTGTTTTGATTTTGACACTTACGTAGTCATGAGACATGAGGATATTTATCCCCATTTTAGAAAAAAAGAAACAGAAACTCAAAAAGCTCACACTTAAGTAGTGGTAGGGCTAAAGCTCCACCTGAAGTTTCTGACCTTGAGTAATGTTTCCTCTCATTAACAAGAGGATGCTCCTGGATGGCCTCTAAAGAGGGTTTTTTCTAACTGTATGTAAACTCAGAGACTTGCCATAGGAATTGGCTAAAAAATATTGCTATAAAGCTAAGGAAAGCCCCTCTTAAATTAAGTGTCGACCTCAAATTAAGTAGCATATTTTCATACCTATAGTTTTGGCCTTTCTTAAAGAAAAGGCTTCAATCCGTAATTGTATAATTAAGGAGGAGGTCTGTTGGTTGGTTAAGTATGTGGCTTTGCAGCAAGGAAGACACAAGATGTATCTTGATGATTTTCTCAATTGTAGATTCTATATTTTTGAGAGATATACATATTTTGGAGATCTTCCAGACAAAGGTCATCAGAATAGCAAGGCATGTGTAAATAACTTTGCATGACAAAAACGTAGGGGAACTGATAATTGTTACTATGGGGAATAAAACAGAAACATAACTTGTGAAATAATAGAAAAAGCCATCTTATAAAGGAGAGTGTTCTGTTATTCTCTACATAAGATGAAAATGAACAAGTGAGAAATGACAAGAACTAGGATTTAGTTAATTATAATAAAACCGTTTATAATAAATAGGATACTAAAATGGAATAATTGACTTGGTAGTATACAGAGCTCTTCATCCATGGACATATCATGTCACTATTAGGGATGCCATACCATGGGTTTCCCATGTATGTAATAGAGCTTCGTTACTCAGAGATCTCTCCAAGATCTCAGATTTGCTGACTTTAAGTACAACTTGCTCTTTTGATAATGTCAACTGGGTTTGTATTTTATGTTTTTCAGTCCAGTATTTCTCTTACAAGCTAGCTCTCTCTCCTACCTTTCATCTATTTGTTAATTTTTCACATATCCAGTCACCCAGGCTTAAAAAGTGAGTTGCCTTTAACTCCTTCGCCATCTTTTTCTTCTTTCCCCAAATCAAATTGGTTACTACATTCTATCAATTCCATCTCTGCCGTATCTGTTTGTTCCTCTTTTCCAATCCTAGTTCAGTCTTGAAGGAATACAATCTCCCTACTGGTCACCCCACTTCGAGGCTCTCTTGTTTGTTCTTCATCTTATTTGCCACATGGATATATGTCAGCCCTCTGCTAACTTTCCTAAAACACTACTCTAATAAATTCACCTTCTTATTTACAAATTTTCATTCAACCCATTGACTACCAAATAAAGTATTAGTACTTCCACCCTTCAAACAACTTTTTCAGCCCAATATCTCATGGTACCAACACTTACTCATGTTTCACATAACTGGTTACTTATCAGTCTACCATATTTACAATTTCATGATAAAATTGCACTTACCTGTCACTTCTCTTCACTGAAACATTATTTATTTTTCAATGCCTAGGTTACATGGCAGTGCTTTAAAATGTTTTTATACCTTTCCTGAGCTCCTAACTTGCTGGGATTCATTTTGCTTCTAAAATCTTAGAATTCTTATAAATATTTCTAGTACTTAGACTTCTATTGATAAATGTTGTTCTGTCACTAGGAAATGTCTTTCTCTCACTCACAGTTCCTTGAGAATGAAAACTATGACTTCCTCATCTTGTGCTTAATGGTCTCTGTTCAATAATTGTTTGATAGATGTTTAAGCAACTAATCACTGACTAAATAGGTGAACAAATACACAAGTGACTTTAACTACTAATGCCCTTTATAAAAAACAATGTAGGGGGGATGCAGTGTGATGGGGACTCCTTACTTTTCTTGGATGGCTCTGGTCATCATTTAATTGGACGTTTGGGAAATCCATGGCACATAAGAGGAACAGGACAAAAATGTTGATGATTGAGGACAAACTCCTCACTATACCCAGAGAAACAGTTCCATATTTTGTTTTACTGAAAACTTGTCCAGAGTATAATATTCTCATTTTAGAGGAAGGTCATCAAAACTTGACAGGGTTCTTTATTGGACTATGTTAATATACATCCTAATCACTCTCCTAACAATAACAACAGCAACAACATCAAAAACCAATCTAGTGCCTTAAAAATGAAGCATCAAGAACCTTGAGTTCCCTTGTAATGGGCTAGAGGTTAGTAAGCATCTTAAGCTGAGAGCCCTCAGCAGAAGCTAAACCCTCTAATGAAGCCTGAGGGTCTCCCAGAACCATTTTAAACTATCGCATTTGTTTCCTTGCAGAAACTTAAAGACGGTTTAAATTGAAACCGTTTTTATTTTACCTTCATTTTTTTGTAGCACTTACGGCTAACCAAGCAGACTGTGCTGATTTGGGGTCAACACTAATACAAGGTAGCAAACTATGGATGAAAAAACTTCTGCAGATAAATGTTTACGTAAATATAGACTTGTGTTTTCATTCTAAAGACTAGGAGGGGAAATGTCTCTGAAGAAGAAAGTCATGGGTTTTCAAATTTGGAAATTTAACCATTCTAGTTCCTGATGATGATGGTGAAATAATTTTGACTTCCAGATAATGCTTGGGTTCCACCTCACCCAACTTGTCAACTTAAAAAATACATTAATATTTTACTTTATATAATTTTCTCAGAGGAATGAGAACTTTTAACAAATTTTCATTATTGTTATGTGTAATCTTTAATATAAAAAGGATGATTCCAGAATTGTTGCTTACTATAAGTTTTATAAATTGTTATTTAATCTCTTTTACCTGTAAGCATATTTTAAAAAAGCGTACTTTTACCTTTAAGTGTGTTTAAAAAACCAGTTTGTCATCTTTAAAATTTCTGCCCTTTTATAACTTTTAAATTATAGCTTAAATATTACAGCTATCTGGTTACTTTTTTTGGGTATCATTCTTTGCAATATTAAATAAAAGACTATCAAATTCTTCTAAGTACATTTTCTGAACCCATCTTTGTTTATCAATTGAACTGGTCACTAGATGGCACCAGCAGCTAAGCTGGTGAACAAAAAAAAATCTTTGTTAAAATCTAAACTGCCAACATTTGGCAAGGGTTGTCATTATCATGACTTGGAAGCGTTTATTTTCATGAAAAGCCAATAAAGTTAGAAAGATAATTTTGCTCTCTGAATTTGTTGCAGTTATAGGCATATATATTTAAGCAAAATGTTGCCCAGTTTTAATATTCATTATATGTACATAGTCTCTATTTCTTTCAGGCAATTAGAAAAATGACTAACAATCTCCAGCTTTAAAAGGCCCAATAGTCATTGAGAAATTAGTAGATACAAATTGTCAAAATAATTCTAGCCAAAAAGCACACTTAATATACTGAATTTGTCAGATAACTCAGTCTTCTCCTTCCTCCTGAAGTGGCTTCTTAATCCTGGAGACTATTTGGATTTTACCTTCTCTCCAGTCCTCTGAGTGATGGTGGGATATGGCAGGCTATGTCGATGTGTACATTTAGACGGAAGTGCAATGTGTATACACTGCAACCCTTCTATTTCCATGCTACCTATGTTTGCTGTGGATGAAAAGGATCTGATTCATTTAAGAAACTAATGCAAGAGCCTTAGGCTGGAATTAATTATTTCTAGAAATCTATATAGGGCCAAACCTTTATGTATTCATAAGTTACTTTCCATTTCCCTGAGAGTTTCTGTAATTGATATCCAAGGTATTCTGCCTTATCTTAGGGAACTATGTCCACAGGTGAGTTTCATCACTTGCCCCATTCATACTCAGAAACTACATCTCACTCAACATTATTTCCCACTAGTGTCCATCTTGAATACTTTAATTCAGTTAGTTAGATATTCTAAAAATGCCATACCCAATCTTTCCTCTTTGCCTTTGCCTGGACTCCTTGTCTCTTCTCTCCACCAACACAAACACAGATATTGCTTTAAGATCCATCTCCTTGAAACCTGTCACATCTCCCTCATCTGGTATTTTATGTTGTCTTCATTTTCAAAGGACTTAGATTTTGTATTAAATTACACAACCTAGCACAATGGTTAAAAATTCAGCATGTATATTACAAGCACCTATTTATTATCTCTAGGTGCTGTGCTGAGTGATGAGGACAGAGCGGTGAACAAGAGAGCATAGTCCCTTCCTCACAGGGCTTAGGGTCTCACAGGAAAACAGATCCTAGAAGGGTAATTTACACAAAGGGTATAATGGGGGAAGTTGAGGCTGTTATGGCTAATCTAGCTGGAAGTTTATAAAATGCCTCTCTGGGAAAGGTATATACTAAGCAGAGATTTAAAGGAAGAGTAAAAGGTAGACAGATGTGAGTTGGGATAGCAAAGGAAAAAAGTTCCAGGAAGAGGAAACAATATGTGGAATGGCTTAGGGAAATACAGACCATGGCATACCAAGTAATTGAAAAGGTATCAGTATGGGTATAGCATATTGGGTTTCTCATGGGGGTTGGTTGGGAACAAAAAGAATAGGGCTAATTTAGAGTTCATCCCAAGCATGGTAGGATGCCTTGGGATTGGCATGGTTGCTGATTTGAAGGAAACCTCTGTCTTGAAGTACAATGAATGAATTGCAGGCAAATAAGTGATAAGAAGACCAATAGGCAGGTTATTGCAGTGGTCCATGCAGAAGGTGATGGTGGTCTGCATTAATACTTGGGCAGTGGAGATGCTAAGGAGTGAGGATACATAGATACACTGAAGAGGGGGAAGAAATAGGGTATGGTGACTGCTTGAGTATGATGGTGAGGGAAAAGGCCTCACAACTGACCTTAAAATTTTTGCTAGTCTAGGACTGGATGAATTGTGTTTTCATTTACTTAAATAGAAACATGGCTAGGGAAGTAGGTTTGAGGGTGAAAGATGATTAGTTTAGTTTTGCTCTTGATAATTTAGAAATGCCTAGGAAACATCCACATAGAGATAACCTAGTAACAAGTTGGATCTACTGAGATGAATCCCAGAGAAGTCTGGAATGAAGGTACATAATTGGGAATTATCAGCATATAAGATATAACACGGAGTATTTTAGGATGTCTATAGCCCCCCTGAAATTGCATGCAAATTGTTACGTGCCTGCGTGTGTCTGTGAATGTTTATTCTTGGAAAATGGTTCCCACTGTTCACTAGAAGCTCAAAAGAGGGAGAGAATCTGAAAGGTGAGGACAGAGCTTTGAGGAATACCAGAATTAAAAGATAAGGCTGGGCATGGTGGCTCACACCTGTAATCCCAGCACTTTGGGAGGCCAATGAGGGCAAATCACCTGAGGTCAGCAATTTGAGACCAGCCTGCCCAATATGGTGAAAATTTAGTTAGTTAGAATATCCAACTAACTAAAAATACAAAAATTAGCCAGGTGTTGTGGTGGGCACCTGTAAGCCCAGCTACTTGGGAGGCTGAGGCAGGAGAATTGCTTGAACCTGGGAGGCAGAGGTTGCAGTGAGCCAAGATTGTACCACTGCCCTCCAGCATGGGCAACAGAACGAGGTTCTGTCAAAAAAAAAAAAAAAAGATTAGTAGAAAAGGCTCATCTAATAGAGAACATTGAGACAGGGCCATCAGGGAGATGGGAAGGAAACACCAAGGTAATCAGGAAGGTGGGGGGCGGGGGGTGGCCCTCAATGGTGTCAAGTGCTGCAGGGAGGTTAGAAAAGAGATTAACACTACAAATTTCCAACAGGGTTTTGCAAATCATTCTCATATTTTGCTTTGGTCAAAGACATTACAGTGGAGCAGTTGTGACATGTGATGAGAGTAATACAGAGAGCAGGGGCAATTCTCTGAAGACATCTAGATGTGGAGGAGAGAAAGGGCAGGAGATGAAAGGAGAGTGGATCAAGATAGGGTTTATTTTATTTTGTTTTGTTTTCAATTTTGAGACAGGGTATATCCCTCTGTCACCCAGGCTGGAGGGCAGTGGTGCAATCATAGCTCACTGTAGCCTCAAACTCCTGGGCTCAAGCAATTCTTTCTCCTCAGCCTCCTTAGTAACTAGGGCTACAGGCACGCAACACCACACCTGGCTAATTTCATTTATTTATTTATTTTTGTAGAAATGGGTTTCTTGCTCTGTTGCCCGGGCTGATTTCAAACTCCTGGCCTCAAGTGATCCTCCCTCTTCGGTTTCCCAAAGCGCTAGGATTACAAGCATGAGCCACCATGCCTGGCCAGGATAAGGCTTTTTAACGAGGAGAGATACTTTATCAAATATAAACACTTGAGAAGAGGCCAAGAGAGAGAGAAAGATTGGGAGACAGAGGGAGAAGGGTAATTATTGATCAAGGGAGGTCCCTGGGGAGATGGCACCCAGAATACAGAAGGAAGATTGCTTTTACTAAAGAGCAAGGATCCCTCTTCCACTAAAAGAGAAAGAAAAAAGGAAGGATAGAAACAGATGAGTAGCTATAGCAGCACGAATTTCCACAGCTGATAATTAGGGAGCCGGGATTTGAATGCAGATAGTCTGGTTCCAGATGCTGCACTTGTAATCACTATCTCATGCACTCTTAGTTCTGAGTGTTGCCTGTCAACTCAGCAAACACTTGTTACCTAGGCCTGGAATGAAAACTACCACCGTTTCTGTAGAGTAAGTGTTTCTTCTACCCAGCAGCCCCTGAATTTAACTGTGAAATTTCACCCCAATTCTCAGACCAATTCACCATTTCATCTCATTCATTCAACAGGTACTCATTGAGAGCCTGCTCTGCTCTTATCTCTAGGGATCAGATGGTCATCCTGAACAAATAAAGCACTGCCTTCTTATCATCATATAATATAGTGAGAGAAGCCAACATCATCATAATAATCTCTCCAATAAATATAAGGGCACAATGTGGTTATTGGTATGAAAGAAAAGCACATTGTGCTCTCAAAGCCTCCAACAGGAGAACTGGATTCAGTTTGAGCTTTGGTAAAGGCTTCCCTGAAAAAGTGACTTTCAGTTGACTAGTCACTGATGGGCTAATCAGTATTAACTGATGAAAGGGAGGAGGAGAGAGAAAGAATCGTTGGCAGAGAGAACAATACTGAGAAGAGGCTATAGACATGGGAGGAAAAGAAAGCCACTGTAGACACATGAGGAAGGGGGTGTGGTCCGCGGTGAGACTGAACAGTGAGGAGGCAGCTAGGACATCCAGGGTTCTGGGAGTGGGATCAAAGAATTGAAAGGTTATAAGCAGGGAGAAGGGAGGGGCTGATGGTGCATCATTAGATGAACATTGGAAAAGATGATCCTGTCTAAAAAGATGATTGGAAGCAAGGCAGAGGCTAGCTAAGAGGCTCCAGCAACAGTCCATGTTAGATAATGCTAACCTGAGCTAAGGAGCTGGAGAGGGAGAGTACGGATTTGACAGATGTTTTAGAGTTAGTGGGAGATATGAAATGACATAAAGAGAAAGGTGTTTTGAACAACGTGAGGAGTTTTGAGGTAATGTTCAGCTTATAACATGTTAGTTTCCAGCTCAAAGCCAAGGAGATTTATATAAACGGTTCCATTCTGATGACAGAAGGCATTCATAGTGGGCATTTTATCCAACAGAGTTTACAGACACATTATAGAATGCTCTTCCATTGGAATAGAGCCATACCCCAGCATTTCCTATGTGGTATAGATTTGTATGATATAAAACAACAGCAATAACTGCAGCATTTTCAGTTAATGGATTCTTTATGGTTGAGGAAGAAAACTCAGTAAAGATCAAGTTATGAGAATATTGTCAATCGATCCAGAACTTTATGCAACTTGTAGGCTAATTTAGATATCAGGAATTGATTGGTCTTGTGTAACTAGAATGCAAAAAAGGACCAATGTGGGGTATAAAAGTGAATGACTTAAGAAGAAGAAAGTCTGACTATGAGGATGCTAGACTCAGTGTGGTCCAATAGAACTGTCTAGAAAGACAGAAATATTCCATATCGTGCTGTCCAACACAATTGGCACCAGCTACATGTCATTATGGAGTAATTTAAAGGTGGCTAGTGTGACCATGAAACTAAATTTAAATTTTTTATTTTAATAAATTTAGATTTAAATGTAAATAGTTTATATGGCTAATAGTGGTTTATTAGAGAACAAACATCTAGACCACAATAAGAAAAGTACACAAGGCTCCCTTGGCCAAAAGTTTCATTGGTAATCCAGTTAATACCAGAACTGCAATCTCATCATTTATTATTTGAAACATATAATTGTGTTTAATTTAACTGTTAATAATTTTACATGACTGCAAACTTTCATAACCCATTGCCATACCTAACACATTATAATTGTTTGGAAAGTGTTGGATGGAATGGATTCTAATAAATGAAAAAATGCTATAAAGCAGTTGGCATTGTGATTGCTAAATACCGAGAGTTCCATAAATATTAGCTATTATTATTATCATTATTTATAATGTCCAAGTAAACTTATAGTCTGTTTTGTGAAGTTGTGAGTTAAGTCATGCTTTAAAAAGAAGAAACGGAACTGGCCAGATCACCTCAATATGTTGTTTGCTGCAGTTCTGTGTCCTTTCCCTTAAAAAGCTCCAGGAAATCCCTCTTTCCCGGAGAGCACAGCCTGATTCCCGCTTAACTGAGAACAGCTTCACTGAGAGAGGTGTCTCCGTGCATGGTCTCTCTTGGTATTCTGTAATTTAAATTGAATGTTGCTCTAAGTGTATAAACAGTACCCTTATAATATTATGTACCAAAGGAAAATAAGAATACTAGCAAGATAAAATTAACTGCCAGCTTCTATCCAACATGTTTAGGATGACAACAGCACAAGGAATATGGTATCTGGCATATGAGGGAGCACCCTGAACAGTGTTCAGGAGGGACTGCCTCATGTAGCTTTTCTTTTCTGCTCTTCTAAGCTTGTTGATTATTTTTCAAGTCATAAAATAAATCCCCAAACTCTTCCCACAGGCTTCCTGTTATGGCAATGGAAAGGATTCTAAGAAAGGATGCCAACAGGCCAGATGTCATCTTTTTTGGTGGGCTGTACACATCAGACTGGACTTGCCTTAAATGAGGTCAGTTGGCAAAGGACTGACAAGAGATCATCATTTCCGGAGCATCTGCCCCTGAGCTGGGAGATGTACTAGGTGCTCAAAGTTTACTACAGCTAGAGAAACTGAAGACTTGCCATTCTGAGTTTGGGGAAGAAACAGGGAAATAGTGAGGAAAAGAGAATTCACCTGAAAAAGATGAGGGAAAGAAGCCAAATTGTCCTCTTCCCTTGGTTTGATTCCGAACTTCGCAAGAATGGCCCTGTTGACATTCTGGACTGGATAATGCTTTGCTGCTGGGGAAGACGGGGTTTGTCCCATGCACTGTAGGATATTTAGCAATATCTCTGGCCTCCATTTATTAAATTCAGAAGTAGTACCCCTCCCCCAATTCATGACAATCAAAAGTGTTTCCAGACATTACCAAATGTCTTCTGGAGGGTAAAATAGCTCCTGGTTCTGAACCACTGGTTTATTGAAGTAGCACTGGGAATGTACATGACTTGTGGGCCATGTGCTGAGTGACACAGACAAATAAAATGGGGACAGTGGTCAAAAGGAAGTTCTTCTTTGTCCTTATTTTTAATAAAAGAAAAAGTCTCAGAGGCATGGTGAGGACTAAGCAGCAAAGCACATCTTAGAGACTGTTTATGTAATTAGGAATTTGTTCTTACATAGAAAGTGGAGAGAGAGTGAGCAGCCTGCTCTTAGACCAAGGGCAGAACTGGAGCCTAAAAGACAAAAGCCTAACCATTGCTGAGCCCCAGGTATGTTTGTTGAGTCTACATAGTAGACTCTCCTTCAAGCTGTGTTCTAGCTAATTCTGTACAGTTTTCACAGAAGCAGTTCTTCCAATTTGTTCTTCTGGGGGCACTGGCGGCTGGCTGTACTACACTCTCCAGACTTGAGGTTATGCAGCAACACTTCCCTTTATTGCCCACCACCAATTCAGCTCACAGCTTCACCTCTACTTTAAAACTTTACCTTAACAAGAAAAATAGATTCCCTAGGGAACTTTTTATTACAGAGTGTCAGTTCCTACATAATATTATATCTCGTAACTGTAATGGATAATCATCCCAAAGATGGGGCTATTTAGCTCAAGATTGGAGAGACCGTAGTCTTTAAATAAAATATGCAATAAAAAGATTTAGAAAATCTTAGAAAGAAATCTGCTATATTTATTTTTAAATGCAGATATATATGTATATATAAAATATTTTATGTGCAGAAAATTTTAACTTAAAAAGTTAACAATAGATAAAATGATTACGCCTTTATTTTCCTTTTCTCCATTATAGATTCAGACAATCCTCTTTGCCAAATGTCCAACAAGAAAGGAGCAGTTATGCAGAACTTGTGGTAGAAGGAGGGAAACTGAGGACCTTAGACATCTCTGTCTGATGAGTAACTGCTACCAGTCACAGCTTGGAGAGCTGGACACTTCACCACTCAGGTATGGAAGGTGAAGGCCATGTTTTTATCCTATTAATTGCTTCTTTTTTAAAAGAATTGCTGTTTTTGGATAAATTGAAATCAAAGTTTCAATCTCAGGTCAACAGATGTCTGAAAATAACAGCAAGAAAGAAATGAAAAAGAATCTCCCACAGAGGTATGTTATATCATTTCCCCGCAAGTCTTTTAACACAGGGTGGATGAACAGCTCTCTAGCATTATGTGAATGGGAGGCTGCCTAAAGGAAGGGAAATGGGTTGGATAATTTGGGGACTCCCTCAGCTAATTTAGAAAATTCTCTGTTTTTTTCAATGGTGTGGGTTCTTGGAAGAAAATGAAGAGCATGGGGAAGAATCCTCAAGAGATTGCAAGCTCTGATCAAGTGTGCTCCTAAAGGGAAACATTGAAGACAGTCTTTAAAACAAACAAACAAAAAACAAATAAAAAGCCTATTCTGAAAGTCCATATTAAATTCTTATTTATAGATACTAATAGATGGTAGCTCATGGAGTTAGGGGCAAATAGAGGTGCTTAGGAAAGGTCTGCTCCTATCAGAAAAGGTATGATTTGAAATATTATAATTTAATTTTAACCTAATGCTCTTTTTGCAAATATCTTCCACCACCTTCTCTAAACTCAGAGCTCCCTAGTATAAACAGTTTTCTGTGCTTGTTATAGTAGAGTTACCTCAGGTCTCCAGGTCTCACTGGCCCAGGGAGGACAACAAAGCCATTGCCAAACAAAGGTACAGTAATGCCCAGAATGCTCATTGTATTAAATTCCTTCCATCTGATTAAGAAGACATTGGGGAGTCTCCTTTGTCCTCCTGAAAACCATGATGCTCTATGCCCATGCTGTATGGAATGTATTATTTTCTCTTTAATTCCTAATACGCTGTTCCCTGATCACTGCATTGGCAGCCTTGAGCTCTAAGTTTTCTTTCCTAGAGCTTTTAAAATGTTTATTTATTTGACTCAAACTTTACTAGAGATTCTAATTCCAGATTAAGGGCCTTGACTTCAGTAACCAGATTCAACAAATAAAATACTGGATCCCCCATTAAATTTGAATTTTAGGTAAACATTGATTTTTTTTTTTTTTGGTATAAGTATGTCCCAAATATTGAATGGGATGTACTTCACTAAAAAAAAAAAAGAAAAATGTTTCTAGTTGATCTGAAATTCAAATGTAACTGGGCAGCCTGCATTTTATATGGCAAGCCTACCCAACACCTCAGCTGGACTTGAAACGGCCTGTTTTTGTCCTGAGTGAATATTTTCAACCTGCCTTTCTGGAGGAGCACACACCCATTAGGTACAATGTTAATGAGTTAGGACATAGCCTTTACACTCAAATGGCCCACAGGATTTTTGTCCCTGGTGTTTAAAAAGCTTTCAGCCCAAGTATACAAGTCATTCTGCATAGAAGCAGAATCCGATATAACTCCCTTCTGTTGCGTTCTTAGATATCTGCATCCACGTTTTAATTTAATGAAACTAATGCTCTAAGTCTGAAATTATTACATTTATTACTATAACTAAATGTAAATTCTAAATAGAGTAGTGATATTTTATTTACAAGTAATAACATCAGAGGACTTAATTCATTATGTCAAAATCCTAAGTAGGAGGGCTTGCCTAATTCATTGCTTGATGTTGTTTTAAAATTCTCCCTTTGATTGTAATAGTGGATTAGCAGCATGTTGAATATAAAATTCCCAAAAATGGTGCCTAGTGAATGACTCTATAGTAAAAAGGTAGCATAGAAATAATGTAAAATATTATGAAAATGTTCTATTGGTGAAATTAACAATTGAAATAAAGGGCATCCTTTATTCCATAAACATTTATATATTTGATTAATTTACACACTAATTCTTCTATTGCATATGTTAAAGTAAGAAATGTCTAATAGTGGGAAGTTTGGGGGTCAAGATAATAGGTTGAGCACATGCATCTAATTCTACTCTCTCTAAACATCTTTAGCAATAAAGTTAGGGGTTTTTTAACACAGGCATAAACCCCCAAGGATGAGGAAAATAGGATAGAGAGCAAAAACAAAATACTGGGAGCTGGAAAACAGAAAGTCAAGTGGTAACTGACTCAGCAGAGCCTAGGAAACGGAGAGTGGAGAAAATTAAACACCAACCTAATTTATATCAGAGAATTCTCAAAAGCCTCAGTGATGGTTAATTGTATGTGTCAATTAGACTGAACTATGGGATGCCCAAATAGCTGGTACAATATTTTTTCTGGGTGTGTCTGGAAGAGATTAGCATTTGAATCGCGGGACTCAGTCAAGAAGATTCCTCTCACAAATGCAGGTGGACATTACCTCCCCTTGAGGTACTCAGGGGGACTCAGTCAAGAAGATTCCTCTTACAAATGCAGGTGGACATTACCTCCCCTTGAGGTACTCAGGGGGACTCAGTCAAGAAGATTCCTCTTACAAATGCAGGTGGACATTACCTCCCCTTGAGGGCCTAGATAGAACAAAAAGGTGGGGGAAAGGTTAATTTGCTCTCTCTTTTGGAGCTGGATATCCCTCTTCTGTCTTCAGACATTCAAGCTGCAGGTTCTCAGGCCTTTGTTCTCTGGGCTTGCACCGGCAGACTTTCCTCCTGGTTCTCAGGTCTTTGGGCTCAGACTGAATTTTATCACCAACTTCCCTGGGACTCCAGTTTGCAGATGGTGGATCATGGGGTTTCTGAGTTTTCATAATCACATGAGCAAAGTCCCATAATAAATTTATTTTTCTATATCTGTATATATCCTATTGGTTCTGTTTCTCTGGAGAACCTTGACTAATACAGTCTCTGATAACTGTCAGTTCTAGGTATCTAGAGATGATGAAAAGAGAGACTTAGGTATCTAGAAACGATGAAAAGAGATGATGAAAAGAAAGTCTTAAATAAGATTGGGTAAAAGAGCAGTTAGTGTCGTGCCTACTCCAAGCCACTGAGAAACTGCATGTGTATATCAGCATAAGTTTGCTAGTTGATTCTATGGAGATAGTAAAGTGTGGGTGTGGTGAGGTCTCTGTATGTGGGACTTTAGAGCTGGGTGCCCTATGAAAAATAAAGAAAATGACTATATGTAAGCTGAATAAAAATACTGAAGACCTCCCATCTCAACCTTTTGCTCTATTCAGTTCCCCAAACACTACCAGCCTTTTATTTATGTGAAATATCGAAAATTTCCTCTCTAGTGACCAGCACAAGGAAACTGTCTAAGGAGCTAACATCAGAAGGTTTTCCAAGAGCAGCCCACACTGATCATACTGTAGTTAATCTCAAAGTTAATATTCCCAGGTGCTCAGATCTTCCAGTCACCTTTTTAATTTCCTACTTTTGATAGTGAGTAGACCAGCAAGGATGTCCAGACATTTCTGGAACACCTCTACATGAAAGAGAACAAGGCATACTCACTGAAGAAAAAGAAAACAAACTAAAAACAGTTTGGAATAAATAAATTATTTTAGGGGAAAAATTAAAATTCTATCATTAACTACATAAATATAAATCTAACCTATACTGACAGAAAGCAAATCAGTCATTGCCTGAGACCAGGATATAGGTGGAGAAGTTGACTGGAAGATGATGGAAATGTTCTATATCTTGATTATGGAGGTGGTTACCCTATGGTATACATTTGTGAAAACTCATTTAATGATATATTTTAAATGGATGCATTTTATTGTTTGTAAATTATACTTCAATAAAGTTTATTTTTTAATCTTTTTGTTAATGACTAACATCCTAAAAAGATAAGAGAAGTTATTGAGTCCATGAAACAAGAATAAGATGCCACATAAAAGGGATGATTCAGAAAACAAAGAATGCTTTGAAATTAAAAAGTCAAAATGCAAAAATAAAAAGTTGATAAAATCTCCCAGAAAGTAAAGCAAGAAATAATGAAACAGAAAAATATAGACAATTAAAGAAACTTTTTAGAAATTCTAGTATCCCAATAACAGAAATTCCAGAAAAAGACAATATAGAAAATAAAGAGAAACAAATCATCAATAAAATAATTCACAAAAACATCCTAGACCTGAAAGACATAAATTGACAGTTTGAAAGTGTCTACCAAGTGCCCAACACAATAAAATTTGAAAACTTTGAATAAAAATTGACCTACAACAAAGGCCATCATTTTGAAATTTCAGAATTGTGAAGAGAAAGCAAGATCCTATAAGTTTCTAGAGAAAGAGAAAAAATATCAAAAACAAAGGATCTGGGGTAAAAACTATTTTGGATTTCTCAACAACAGTGGAAGCAAGAAAACAATGGAATAATACACTCAAAATTTTGTAAAGACGTTATTTCTAATCCAGATTCTATACCCATCTTAACAATCAGTATGAAAGTTGTGGGGTCCGTTCCAAGGTGGCCAAATAGGAACAGCTCCGGTCTGCAGCTCCCAGCGTGATCGATGCAGAAGACAGGTGATTTCTGCATTTCCAATTGAGGTACCTGGTTCCTCTAGTTGGGACTGGTCAGAAAGTGGGTGCAGCCCATGGAGGGTGCCAAAGCATGTTGGGGCATCGCCTCATCCAGGAAGCACAGGGGTCAGGGGATTTCCCTTTCCTAGACAAGGGAAGCCGTGACAGACTGTACTGGGAAAATTGGGTCACTGCCACCCAAATACTGTGCTTTTCCAAAGGTCTTAGCAAATGGCACACCAGGAGATTATATCCCACACCTAGCTCAGTGGGTCCCATGCCCACAGAGCCTTGCTCAGTGCTAGCGTGGCAGTCCAAGATCAAACTGCGAGGCAGCAGCCTGGCTGGGGAGGGGCGTCCTCTGTTGCTGAGGCTTGAGTAGGTAAACAAAGTAGCCAGGAAGCTCAAACTGGGTGGAGCTCATTGCAGGTCAACGAGGCCTGCCTGCCTCTGTAGACTCCACCTCTGGGGGCAGGGCATAGCTGAACAAAAGGCAGCAGAAACTTCTGCAGACTTAAACGTCCCTGTCTGACAGCTCTGAAGAGAGCAGTGGTTCTCCAAGCATGGTGTTTGAGCTCTGAGAACGGACAGACTGCCTCCTCAAGTGGGTCCCTGACCCCCGTTTGGCCTAACTGGGAGACACGTCCAAGTAGGGGCTGACTGACATTTCATACAGCTGGGTGCCCCTCTGAGACAAAGCTTCCAGAGGAAGGATCAGGCAGCAATATTTGCTGTTCTGCAATATTTTCTGTTCTGCAGCCTCTGCTGGTGATACCTAGGCAAACGGAGTCTGGAGTGGACCTCCAGCAAATTCCAACAGACCTGCACCTGAGGGACCTGACTGTTAGAAGGAAAACTAACAAACAGAAAGGAATAGCACCAACATCAACAAAAAAGACATCCACACCAAAACCCCATCTGTAGGTCACCAACATCAAAGACTAAAGGTAGATAAAACCACAAAAATGGGGAGAAACCAAAGCAAAAAAGCTGAAAATTCTAAAAACCAGAGCACCTCTTCTCCTCCAAAGGATCTCAGCTCCTCACCAGCAATGGAACAAAGCTGGATGGAGAATGACGTTGATGAGTTGACAGAAGTAGGCTTCAGAAGTTTGGTAATAACAAACTTCTCCAAGCTAACGGAGGATGTTTGAACCCATTGCAAGGAAGCTAAAAACCTTGAAAAAAATTAGACAAATGAGTAAATAGAATAAACATTGTAGAGAAGACCTTAAATGACCTGATGGAGCTGAAAATCATGGCATGAGAACTACATGATGCATGCGCAAGCCTCAGTGGCTGATTCGATCAAAGTGGAAGAAAGGGTATCAGTGATTGAAGATCAAATTAATGAAATTAGGCGAGAAGAGAAGTTTAGAGAAAAAAAAGAATTGAACAAAGCCTCCAAGAAATATGGGACTATGTGAAAAGACCAAATCTATGTTTGATTGGTGTACCTGAAAGTGACGGGGATAATGGAATCAAGCTGGAAAACACTCTGCAGGATATTATCCAGGAGAACTTCCCCAGCCTAGCAAGGCAGGCCAACATTCAAATTCAGGAAATACAGAGAACACCACAAAGATACTCCTCGAGAAGAGCAACACCAAGACACATAATTGTCAGATTCACCAAGGTTGAAATGAAGGAAAAAATGTTAAGGGCAGCCAGAGAGAAAGGTTGGGTTACCCACAAAGGGAAGCCCATCAGACTAACAGCGAATCCCTCAGCAGAAACTCTACAAGCCAGAAGAGAGTGGGGGCCAATATTCAACATTCTTAAAGAAAAGAATTTTCAATCCAGAATTTCATATCCAGCCAAACTAAGCTTCATAAGTGAAGGAGAAATAAAATACTTTACAGAGAAGCAAATGCTGAGAGATTTTGTCACCACCAGGCCTGCCTTCCAAAAGCTCCTAAAGGAAGCACTAAACATGGAAAGGAACAACTGGTACCAGCCACTGCAAAAACATGCCAAATTGTAAAGACCATCAAGGCTAGGAAGAAACTGCATCAGCTAACGGGCAAAATAACCAGCTAACATCATACTGACAGGATCAAATTCACACATAACAATATTAACCTTAAATGTAAATGGGCTAAATGCTCCAATTAAAAGACACAGACTGGCAAATTGGATAAAGAGTCAAAACCCATCAGTGTGCTGTCTTCAGGAGACCCATCTCATTTGCAGAGACACACATTGGCTCAAAATAAAGGGATGGAGGATGATCTACCAAGAAAATGGAAAGCAAAAAAAAAAAAAAAAAAAAAAAAGCCAGGGTTGCAATCCTAGTCTCTGATAAAACAGACTTTAAACCAACAAAGATCAAAAGAGACAAAGAAGGCCATTACATAATGGAAAAGGGATCAATTCAGTAAGAAGAGCTAACTATCCTAAATATATATGCACCCAATACAGGAGCACCCAGATTCATGAAGCAAGTCCTTAGAGACCTACAAAGAGACTTAGACTCCCACACAATAATAATGGGAGACTTTAACACCCCACTGTCAATATTAGACAGATCAACGAGACAGAAGGTTAACAAGGATATCCAGGACTTGAACTCAGCTCTGCACCAAGCAGACCTAATAGACATCTACAGAACTCTCCACCCCAAATCAAGAGAATGCACATTCTTCTCAGCACTACATCTCACTTACTCCAAAATTAACCACATAGTTGGAAGTAAAGCACTCCTCAGGAAATGTAAAAGGACAGAAGTCACAACAAACTGTCTCTCAGACCACAGTGCAATCAAATTAGAAATCAGGATTAAGAAACTCACTCAAAACTGCACAACTACATGGAAACTGAGCAATCTGCTCTTGAATGACTGCTGAGTAAATAACAAAATGAAGGCAGAAATAAAGTTGTTCTTTGAAACCAATGAGAACAAAGACACAACATACCAGAATCTCTGGGACACATTTAAAGCAGTGTGTAGAGGGAAATTTATAGCACTAAATGCCTACAAGAGAAAGGAGGAAAGATCTAAAATCCACACCCTATCATCACAATGAAAAGAACTAGAGAAGCCACAGCAAACACATTCAAAAGCTAGCGGAAGGCAAGAAATAACTAAGATCAGAGCAGACCTGAAGGAGATAGAGACAGAAAAATCCCTTCAAAAAATCAATGAATCCGGGAGCTGGTTTTTTGAAAAGATCAACAAAATTGATAGATTGCTAGCAAGACAAATAAAGAAGAAACGAGAGAAGAATCAGATAGATGCAAAAAAATGATAAAGGGCATATCACCATCAATCACACAGAAATACAAACTACCATCGGAGAATACTATAAACACCTCTATGCAAATAAACTAGAAAATCTAGAAGAAATGGATAAATTCCTGGACACATACACCCTCCCAAGACTAAACCAGGAAGGAGCTGAATCCCTGAATAGACCAATAACAGGCTCTGAAATTGAGGCAATTATTAATAGCCTACCAAACAAAAAAAGTCCAGGACCAGAAAGATTCATAGCTGAATTCTACCAGAGGTACAAAGAGGAGCTGGTACCATTCCTTCTGAAACTAGTCCAATCAATAGAAAAAGAGGGAATCCTCCCTAACTCATTTTATGAGGCCAGCATCATCCTGATACCAAAGCCTGGCAGAGACACAATAACAACAAAAATGAGAATTTTAGACCAATATCCCTGATGAACATCGATACTAAAATCATCAATAAAATACTGGCAAACCGAATCCAGCAGCACATCAGAAAGCTTATCCAACATGATCAAGTTGGCTTCATCCCTAGGATGCAAGCCTGGTTCAACATACGCAAATTGGTAAATGTAATCCATCACATAAACAGGACCAAAGACAAAAACCACATGATTATCTCAATAGATGCAGAAAAGGTCTTCGACGAAATTCAACAGCCCTTCATGCTAAAAACTCTCAAAAAACTAGGTATTAATGGGACGTATCTCAAAATAATAAGAGCTATTTATGACAAACCCACAGCCAATATCATACTGAATGAGTAAAAACTGGAAGTATTGCCTATGAAAACCGGCAAAAGGCAGGGTTGCCCTCTCTCACCACTCCTATTTAACATAGTGTTGGAAGTTCTGGCCAGGGCAATCAGGCAAGAGAAAGAAATAAAGGGTATTCAGTTAGGAAAAGAGGAAGTCAAATTGTCCCTGTTTGCAGATGACGTGATTATATATTTAGAAAACCCCATCATCTCAGCCCAAAATCTCCTTAAACTGATAAGCAACTTCAGCAAAGTCTCAAGATACAGAATCAATGTACAAAAATCACAAGCATTCCTATATACCAATAACAGACAGAGAGCCAAATCATGAGTGAACTCCCATTCACAATTGCTACAAAGAGAGTAAAATACCTAGGAATCCAAATTACAAGGTATTTAAAGGACCTCTTCAAGGAGAACTACAAACCACTGCTCAACGAAATAAAAGAGGACACGAACAAATGGAAGAACATTCCATGCTCATGGATAGGAAGAATCAATATCGTGAAAATGGCTATACTGCCCAAGGTAATTTACAGATTCAATGCCATCCCCATCAAGCTACCAATGACTTTCTCCACAGAATTGGAAAAAACTACTTTAAAGTTCATATGGAGCCAAAAAAAAAAAAAAAAAAGCCCACCTTGCCAAGACAATCCTAAGCAAAAAGAACAAAGCTGGAGGCATCATGCTACCTGACTTCAAACTATACTACAAGGCTACAGTAACCAAAACAGCATGGTACTGGTACCAAAACAGAGATATAGACGAATGGAACAGAATGGAGGCCTCAGAAATAACACCACACATCTACAACCATCTGATCTTTCACAAACCTGAGAAAAACAAGAAATGGGGAAAGGATTCCCTATGTAATAAATGGTGCTGGGAAAACTGGCTAGCCATATGTAGAAAGCTGAAACTGGATCCCTTCCTTACAATTTATACAAAAATTATTTCACGATGGATTAAAGACTTAAATGTTACACCTAAAACCATAAAAACCCTAGAAGAAAACCTAGGTAATACCATTCAGAACATAGGCATGGGCAAGGACTTCATGACTGAAACATCAAAAGCAATGGCAACAAAAGCCAACATAGGCAAATGGGATGTAATTAAACTAAAGAGCTTCTGCACAGCAAAAGAAACTACCATCAGAGTGAACAGGCAACCTACAGAATGGGAGAAAACTTTTGCAATTTACCCGTCTGACAAAGGGCTAATATCCAGCATCTACAAAGAACTTAAACAAATTTACAAGAAAAAAACAACCCCACCAAAAAGTGGGCAAAGGATATGAACAGACACTTCTCAAAAGAAGACACTTATGCAGCCAGCAGATACATGAAAAAATGCTCATCATCACTGGTCATCAGAGAAATGCAAGTCAAAACCACAATGAGATGCCATGTCACACCTGTTAGAATGGTGATCATTAAAAAGTCAGGAAACAACAGGTGCTGGAGAGGATGTGGAAAAATAGGAACACTTTTACACTGTTGGTGGGAGTGTAAACTAGTTCAACCATTGTGGAAGACAGTGTGGCAATTCCTCAAGGATCTAGAACTAGAAATACCATTTGTCCCAGAGATCCCATTACTGGGTGTATACCCGAAAGATTATAAATCATGCTATTATAAAGACACATGCAGACATATGTTTACTGCAGCACTATTCACAATACCAAAGACTTGGAACCATCTCAAATATCCATCAGTGATAGACAGGATTAAGAAAATGTGGCACATATACACCATGGAATACTATGCAGCCATAAAAAAGGATGAGTTCATGCCCTTTGTAGGGACATGGATGAAGCTGGAAAGTATAATTCTGAGCAAACTATCACAAGGACGGAAAAGCAAACACCACATGTTCTCATTCATAGGTGGGAATTGAACAATTAGAAGAGCACTTGGACACAGGGCAGGGAACATTACACACCAGGGTCTGTGTGTGAAAATGGTCATGGGGTGGGGGTATGGGGGAGGGATAGCATTAGGAGAAATACCTAATGTAAATGACAAGTTAATGGGTGCAGCAAATCAACATGGCACATGTATACATATGTAACAAACCCGCACATTGTGCACATGTAGCCTAGAACTTAAAGTATAATAATAATAAAAAAGAAGGTTGCCTTCGGAGTTTTCAGACATGCAAGATCTGATTAAAAGTTCCTATCAACAATTTCTCTAGAAACTAATGAAGGGTATGTGCCACTAAGAGAGAAACCAAGAAAAAGGAATATAAATGACACGGAAAACAGGATACCCAATACAAAACTTAGTGGAAAAATAATTCCCAGGGCTATGGGGAAGAGAGATCCCAGGATCCCAAGTGTACATGGGACATGGAGGACCAGAAGGGTCCCATATCACCAAGACAAAGCACCTCTGTGTTCTTTCTTCTTAACCTGAGGCAGAATGCCCGGTGAGACTAGCCAAGATTCCTCTATCCTGGGCTTCCTTTGACCGTGTCTTTATGAAGTTTCCACTCTTCCCTCCTTGTCTTGCTGCCCCACCTGCTGGGCATTCACATCACTGCACAGAAATGTGATTTAAACTTGTCCTAAGAGATAGGCCCTGGTGAGCTTAGAAACAGAAAATACAGAGCAGCTTGTTCTCCCCAAACAGATTCCTTCCTGATGTCTCAAACCTGGCCCATACTTGAGCCCTGCCGGATTCCCACTGAGGTGAGCCCTGAGTTTCTAGGATTCATTTGGGACCTTGCTCACTGCTCACTGACTTCCTCAAAATGGTTTTCTGTAAATTGTTGGAGAAACAGAAACCAGACTCACAATCTCAGGACAGTTTCCTTTTGTTCTTGAAGCTTCCTTCTGATATGACAGTGACCATATTATCTTTTTCTTACACAGTTAGATTTGAGCTTGCTACTCACTATTTCAAAAATAAACAGTTTAATGCTTATGGATACATATATAAGTGGTAGGATTATAAAGGAAAATAGGGGAATGATTAACACAAAGTCAGGATGGTGGCTAAGTGTGAAGGGAAGGAAGAACATATCAAGGAGGAATATGCAGGAGGCATTTTGTTACCAGTGATGTTCTATTAGTTAACCTGGATGGGAAGTATGCAGCAGTAGTTTATATATTATTTAAATTGTACTTATACACTCATATGTATGATACATTTCACAATTAACCATGTATCCCATGGCAAATGTGTTATGCTTTAAGAATGGAGATGAAAATATTAAACTCTGCTTCTCATTTTTCTGTATAGCCAGTGGGTTTCTATAGATGTTGAATCCTTGACTAGCAGGATCTCTACAAATCAGGTTTCAGACATTTTGTCCTCAAATATATTGACTTGTGACATTTCAAAGTTGCAAGGAATGTATAACTGATTTAAAATAATAAAAGCTCAAGAATACCTTTGCTTTTTTTCAGAGGCTGTCTGGCATTTTGTGACTATAAAGAAGCTACAGAGTAATTTTATATTAATTGATCAAGCTACATTTTTTTAAAGTTTCAGATGACAAAACCTCAATTTTTAACTCCCAATCACTTTTTTTCCCAAAAAATCTTTATTGGTTGGTTAGATTTAGAAATATATCTAATATTTCACTGTTCCCACTTCCCTACACAGTGGAAATTGAAAGAGAAGAGACTTTGATGTCATTGGAGAACCTCAATTAAACTGATAACAAGTGAAATAGCTGAAACATGTAAGATATTATTAAATGATTAGGTTGAATATTGAATGGTTAATATAGCCTGTAGAAGTGTGAGAAAATGTAGTTCCACATCCCTGATGAGAAAAATAAGGATTTATTTGCCTGGTTACTGGATTCATTCAAGTTCCATTCTTATTCAACTTTAAAAATATATTTATTATAGGATTTTAATAATATTCTAAGGCTAGGGACTATAAATATATTTGCAAATTTATATTTTGATTAAAATGCTTTACCACTCAACCTAAAGAGATAAGCCTTTCATGAAAAGTGTCTAACAACATGTTATCTCTACTTCCCAATCTGAGTTATAGAGAGCTAAAGACCATGTAATATGAGAACATTCTATTCTCATGTAACTGTTCATTGTGGATTTCTTGCTTAAAAATACATTGTTAAGACATTAAATAATATAATTATTTGAAATTTCATCTCAAGTCCTTCATAAAATTTCTATAATTACAACTCATCAGAAAGGTGACAAGTATTTAAATCAATGCTAAAATATAATAGGCCTTAAATTTCTAGCAGAGTGTGAGCTCTTACTCAATGCTGACTTTCACTTAGGAGTACCAACAGCTAAGCTCCTCCTTGCACCTAAATTAGAAAAATGCTTTTCCTATTAACCTGGGGCCAAAGACTTATTTTGAAAAGACAATAAAAACAAAACAAAAAGCAAAGTAAAACTATGGAGCTAATTTTCTTGCCACTGTACACACTGGCATTGAGCAGACCAAAATTAGCTCCAGCTAATTTTCAAGCAGAGGAGGAGTGCTTTTATGCTTCTCTAGACAATTTGGTTTCACACTTCTTTTTGTGAGCTCCTCTCAAATTTTAAGTTATTATGTCAGAACTTCTAGAGTCAAAGAAATGGCTATCTCAATTGCATGCATGTGTCCTACAATTTTTTCACAATACTGTCAAGGACATTTTCTGGACTCAAACGTAAAATTCAGCTTCTGGTTGAAAATATTTGAATGTAAAGGAAAATGGGTTTGTTGCAATATTTATTCTTTTATTTTCTTTTATTGAGTTTTTTTTCCCCTCTATGATATACTATGCCATTATGTTTGCTTTAAAAACTGAGACAGTATCTTTGGTTTCTAGTCTCAATACTGACAACTCTATTGGCAATTGTGTATTTTACTTTTAGAAATGTTTATTTAAAGCCGGGTGCAGCGACTCATGCCTGTAATCCCAGCACTTTGGAAGGCTGAGGTGGGCGGATCACGAGGTCAAGAGATCAAGACCTTCCTGGCCAATATGGTAAAACCCTGTCTCTGCTAAAAATACAAAAGTGAGCTGGGTGTGGTGACGCACGCCTCTGGTCCCAGCTACTCAGGAGACTGAGGCAGGAGAATCATTTGAACCCAGGAGTTGGAGGTTGCAGTGAACCGAGATCACACTACTGCACTCTAGTCTGGCGACAGAGTGAGACTCCACCTCAAAAAAAAAAAAAAAGAAAAGAAAAAAGAAAAAGAAAAAGAAAAGAAAAGAAATGTTTATTTAAAGCATCCGAAAGGATACAAAAATTAATACAATGGACACTGATGTACCTTTCATTTGGCTTAAATAAAAAGCATAATTAATACAGTGTGTTTGTGCTCTTTCTGGTTTATCTCCCTTTTCTCCTCTCCCCAAGACAACCACCCTCCAGAATTGCTTTCTGTCACACCCATGCATTCATTTATACTTTTCCTACATGGGAATGTATTCATAAACAATATAATATAGTTTCACAAGCCTTCAGCATTCATATAAACACTGCCAGTAGTCTTTTGCAACTTGCTTGTTAATGCATTATGTTTTTGAGATTAATGAGTATTGATATGTGTACCTATATTTTATTTATTTTCAATATTGTGTGAGTATTCCATAATTTATTTGCCCATATTCCTGTTGATAGACATTTTGTTTCCTACTTTTTTCTAGCACAATGTCATGTGAACATTCTTGTACATGTTTCCTCAAGCACATGAAAAACAGTTGGGTATACACCCAAATCTTTCCACCAATGTGTACGTCTTAATGAGCATTAGAAATTGACAAAGCATTCTCTATAGTAGTTGTAGCAATTTATATTCCTAAATTGTGAATTGAAAGTTCTTTCTCCATCAACATCCTTGACAACATTTTTATGTAAGTCTTTGTAATGTTCACCAATCTGATGGGTAAGCAATAGTTTCTCACTGTGCATATAGTGATTTTCAGAAGCATGGACTGTGTCGTGCGAGGATCTTCAAGTGATGATAATTTTGGAGTATTTGTAATTCACCACACACATTCTCTAACCTTATCAATATTTCTTTGACACAGCTTAAGATTGGTCCCTAGAGGAACCAAATTGTGTAACATAACATTTCTGTCATCTTTTCAACTCTGTCTCCATGCTCAAGTCCCTAACCCTCAAACTTTTGAAGAGTGGTAGGAGGTGGATGTATGTTCTCTCCAGAACACTGCCAATGATGTCAGACCCCCAGGCGATATATGTCAGGGACACTCTAAGTGTTGCTATTGCTTTCTTTCAACCTACACTACGCAAATCACCTGCCCATTCCTAGCAGGGATTAGAAAGATGCAGACGTGTGCTAGGGCTTCGACTTAGATCTTGTCTTTGAAAGACTGAGACTAGATATAAATAGGGTTTTTTAAAATAATTGCTGCAACTATGGCAACTTTAAATGTGAGTGTAACTTTCATTTTAAATAGGATTAGTCATGTAGAAATATCATCTAGTTAGTGTGATCATACATTCACTCAATAAGCATTTTAGAGCAAAATACATATAAGCTACCGATGGTGTTCCCAACCTCATGGTACAGACAGACACACAAATGAATAATACAATGCCACAGATCTTTACAAAGGAGATAAATAATATGTTTTTTAAAAAATCCCAGATAGACAAAGAAATAGAAAAGCAAAATATTGACTGATACATAACAGGATTTCAACCCATGCTCAAATGGAAGATGAAGAAGAGTCAAGAACAAAATAAAAGCTGAATTTGTTTATGAGTTCTAATATTTTGTATCCAATTACATGTCTGAGTTTAAATTTCAGCCTCACCATTTACTGCATGTGTGACCCTGGGAAAGTTAAGTATACTCTCTAAGCTTCAGTTTCCTAACCAATAAAATAAGAAAAAAATAAGAGTATATGCTTCTTAAGGCTATTGTTATGAATACATACATTAATAGATATAAAGTGCTTAAATAATTCACTTGAAATGCAGTGAATATTAAAAAATATATATTAATAATTCTAGGGTCACTCAGAAACATTAAATGGAGTAGTGTGAAGTTTCCCTTCATCCCTAATGTCAATTTCGTGATTTATTTCTGTATTTCTTAATGTCCCCCAAATAATCTAGAAACAAATGATTATATACAAAATCACGAGTTTCAGTCACTTTTAGATTTCTTGGATTTCTGTGTCTATTTAAGATTTTGACTTCAGCTGCATATCTGAATCAGATCTCAAGCCACATTAAACTTCTAATTTTGTTCCTTTTATAGAATGTCAGAACATTTGTCCACTGTGCATCATAGATGCTTTCATCTCTGCTCTACTTTCTGAGTCTTTTATATCTCATTCTGCCTCTGGGAAGGGTATTTTCTCTCTTTTCCTTTAGATATCATTGTTGAAGCTTTGTGTCTAACTGTTCTAAAAAGTTAATATCTTCACAATGGCTTCATTGCTTTTGAATTCCACTATTAGGAGGATGGAGGAGATAAATATAGATTATTTCTTTTTCATGTAGTAGTCTTGAGAGCCTCAACCTTGTGGCTGTTGCCAGCAGTAGGCTTTTTGCAAAGCATTCTTTGTGCTTTTACGAAACCTGGACCAGGCTGGCATGTGAGCAAAACAGCCACTGGCAGTGCTCCTATGCGAGCTTTCTCTAACCTTTCCTGTCCTCTCCCCTTCCTGGACATACCATACCTGAATGGGACATTGCATGACGGAAGAGAAAGCAAGAATAATCTAAATTGTATAAAAAGAAGAGAAAGCCCAGGAAAGAAGGTGTGAGAGGTAAAGGGAGAAGAAGTGAGAGTGGAACAAGATATCAACATTCTTTTAAAATTTGCTCTTTGCCTGATACTGGGCCAGATGCTTTACATACACAATCTCATTTCATTCTCAAAGACTATTAGAGGAGGTTCTGTTATCCCCAGTTAACAGGTGATGAAATCGAGAATCAGTTATCAAGTAAGCTGTTCAAGCTCATGTAGCTAGCAGGTGATGGGACTAGGAAGTAACCCCAGGTTTTCAATTAAAACATCCTTATTCTTTTACATTCTGCAAAGAGGAAGAGTCCATGGGTGTGTACTATGTGAGATGGGGAGGGGCTAAGTAGTGGCATGAGGACTCCCTTAGCAAGGACTTAGGGAGGTCTCTTTGAAAAGTAAACGGATATTTTCGAGGTGGGGAAAGTAACTTACACATAGATATTCTGTAATAATGTTTCCCTGTTGTTGGCAGAAATATTTTATAAAACTCTTGGGTCCCAAAGTATTTGTTTTCTCTTAGTCAAGCAATAATAACAAATAGTTATTATTACTTCAGATTTAACCACAAGCAAAAGAGACACTGAGAATTACACATGCTCATTAATTCTTTGTGAATCTGAAAGAATTCAATGAGTGTTCATTGAGTGCCTACGATATGCATAGAAGAGTGCTAGGCACTGTTCTAAGTACACAAGCTTACAATATACATAGGTGCCAGAATGCATTTCAGTAGCCTTAAATTATGTAATTTTGAAAATAAGGTTAAATATGTAGTCTTGGAAGTGTAGCATTGAAGAAATAAAATTTAATCAGGGTGTTGATGGAATGGTAGGATATAGATAGGCAGAGAGGTGAGAAGAAAGGCATTCCAGGTAGACAGTGAAAAAAAAAAAAAACAAACAAACAATACCAAAGTCAGTGGTGCAGACCTTCTTCATGCTTTGAGGAGGCTAGCTTGGAATCACATGGGAACGATGGCTATGTGTCATAACTTATGTTTAAAAATGTACCTACTCCCAGACATAGCAACTTTCACTATTTATTCTCTGAGTGTGTATGACTTTGTGATGGTGAATCTAGCAGATGCAATTTTAAAATTTGCTGCTTATGAAAAATGTACTTCTTTGAAGCAAAGGATAGTTAGTCATAGGTCAAGCTGTGAGTTTCCTGCAAGCAAGACTGATCTCTAGATTATCAATTATAAACCAAAGATTGTGACTATTGGAAAACAATGATGGAGGTGTTTATTTTGCTACTGTCTGATGACTGCACAATGAAATTAAATGAAAAGTCCAAGTACTTACTCCCTGCATGTCTGTGAATCTCCCTTTCACTCCATTTCAGTTCTTTTCAGCACTAAACTGATCCACAAAGGAGCAATGGAAAACTATGCCTATGGCTGAAAGACATTCTTATGCTACTCATTAATATTCCTTTGGGATAAATATTCAGAGAAGCTTCTACAATATAATTATGCTCCACGGGAACTCAATTATATTTTTGAGTTCTTATGGAGATTACTTTTCATAAGAAACATAGCATTCAGTACCTGATCAGAAGTAAGGGTGATACCTTGCTTCACAAACACAAAAGCCAAGATGCAAGGACAGTTACGAATATGCTACATGGTTTGTCTCTTGGCAAGAAGAGGTTGTTGTGAAGCCTGAACTCAAGCCAGTGAGAAGCTCTAAGTTGGCATGGGATGGGAAGAGGAAAGAGAAGTGGATTTTGCATTAGAACCATGAGCTCCAGTTCTGACTCTGCCATTGTTCTGTCCCAGAGATTCTGACCACTTCTCTGAGCCACTGTTTCTTACTTTGCATAATGAGAGAGTAATACTTCACAGCACAGTTGCGGGGCTTATAACTCTCATGTGTGGAAAGGCTGTGAAAGCTATGGAGTATGAAGTAAAACTATGAAGTACTAGACACTTGAAGTTTAATGCTATTGCAATTAAAAGGGACTCAAGTGAACTGTGCCTAAATTAACACTTAAGGCAATCCTGCATCTGTAGAATTTCTGGCACCTTTCACCTCTCTCTGATGGACAAATTGTTGAGGGCTGAATATCAAAAACAGCAGGGTTGAAACTGTTCGTGGATTTTACTACGTTATAGAGTTTTAGAACTATGCTTGTTAGAGGACACTGTGTATGGATAATTATATCATTATTAATTGACTTTGAAGTATATTTTATTTACTAGTATGAATTACTTTCAGTCTGAGAATTAATGTTATGCTCACATCTACATTGTTTAGATGTGGGGACTACTCCGAGATAACGGGTCATAAAAGCACCAGTGTGAGTTGTCAGGCAGAAATGCATAAAAATGTGCATTTATCAGCCACATAGAAGCTGGCTTCCTAGTTATTGAATTAATTAGCATGTATCATTGAGTTAAAAATGTAAATGAATTTGAATCACATTTCCCTTCAGTATTCTCATATCTTAATGAAAGTAGGAAGGTAAATAGCAGGAAAGATCATTTTAAGAAACAAAATATTATTTGGGTATGGGTTATTATTGTTGCTATTATATGTGACAGTATCATGACAAATTCACATGTGATAAACCTTAAACAACTTTAACTTTATTTGGAGGAATCCACAGCTTCTTTTCAGTCCAGATATTGCGTGCTGTTTTAACTAACTCTGGAAAATTGCTCAATATTTTAAATGAAATACACCTATTTCAATAAGAAGTCACTGCATACTAGCCCTCTATAACAAAGGCTAATACAATCTTCTCCTGAAGCTAGAACCATATTTTGAAACTTTGTTTCATGTAGAGATTTTACTATGCATTGAATTATATAGCATTTATACCTTGCTTTATAATCAGATGCTAAAGAAGGATATATACCATCTAACAAGATCCAATTAATTTTAAATCTGCTGATTATAGTCTGATTTGTTAAGAACATATTCACACTTCATTAAATAAATGCATTGTTAAAGAATGCCTCCCCAGATAGATCAAAAATCATTTATTAAATTTCATGCACATCTATCTAAATAGGGGCTAATGCATTTGGAGTCAGGGCCGGATTTCCTACACTTTCTCGGCCTTTTGCAGGTGATATGTCTCTTTGTGACCCACCTGAATGTTCATCAGTTTTCCTTACTGTTCTTCAGCATAGCTTGGATGCACTCAAGATAGAACAGTTAGGCTGTCCTGAAGTATTGGCCCAGCAGCAGCCGATAACCAGTATATGTCTCAGGACAATTGGTCAGAGAGAACAGGGAAGAAGAAAGTCAGAGCTTCTGTGTTTGACAGTGTCCTTGCTTGTTCAGGAAGCACTATGAAGTACATGTATGCTATACATTGGAGCTATTATTTATTTACATATTTACAAAAACCGTGTAGCATATATTTAGTATACATTTCTCTATTTACTAAATATAGAGGCATCTATATTTTAGGAATATCTTATTCTTTTCGTTCTTATTATTTTTCTGATGCACATTATTCTTTTTCTAATTAATGTACATTATTAGTTATCAAATTAGCACATGAAGAGTACAGAACTGCATTGCAGAATTGCAGTAATCTGGATCCCTTTTAGTACTTTTTTTCAACGTCCCTTCACCACAGCTAGAGAAAACTGGATCAGTTCAAAACTTTGGAGTTTCTCAGTTCTTAAGTGGAGACTCCCTGACTATGCTAAACTCTCCATATTCTCATGAAACCAGCTTCTTAGTTCAACATATGCAGTCACTATAGAAGGACCAGATATCCCTATAAAGAGTTCTTTCAAGAAGTAGAAACTGAATTGACAGAGAAACCATACACTGGATAATGGTTGTACCTAAAAACATTTAAGACCCTTGCCATCTTTGATGCTCTATTCTCTAATTCGACTGAGATTACTCTGCTGTCTTAGCCTGGGTTTCCCCTTTGGATGACTGACCAAGGCAAGGACTTTTGAAGGGAGGCAATTTATTTTGGGAGTGGTTCCAGGGAAACTGGAGTGAGGGCAGGGATGGGTAGAGAAAATCCAAGGGTGTTTTGTGAATTGGTGATGTTTTAAGCTTGATCCTGCTGGAACTCTGTGAGAAGCTGGGCAGAATGTGTCTCATTATTATCTATTCAAAGGACGAGGATCATGTGCATGTGTCTTAGGCATGCTGGGCATGCTCCCCTAGGCATCCCAAAGAGTCCTTTATTCACAAAATATCATGAATACCTTGAGAGAAATTGATGATCCCCAGAATTCAGTGTTAGAACCAATACTCTCCATGTGGAGTGGAAATGAAGAGCTTTCCTCAGCAGCTTACTCTACATATGCTAGACGATGTTGTATTTCTATTGCTATTAATGTTACTTTTATTATCAGAAATAACTGAATTTTGGAATATATTTTTGGATAGTCAATTCCATCCTTTCATTATTCAAATGAGAAAAGTTGGGCTCAGAAATAAAAGATATATTCTAAAATCACACAGCAATTCAGAGAGTCTATTTTTATTCTAAAAGATTTCTTGACTTTCTGTTTAAGCCCTGTCCTCCATGCTTCACTGCTTTCAAAACAATACAAAAAGCATTGGACCAAGGTTTTATTTTAGCCACATTTGATTTCTGAGTTCCAGGACTCTTAGGGATGATGTAGTCAGCCACTGTATACCAGTGATAGTGTTGGCAAGAAGCCATATTTTGGTAAGCATCACTATTCACCGGTGTCTATTCTCTTTAACTTCTAGATACATGAAGATTCCAATTTTCTGCATAACCGTGTAACTAATTCTAGGGAATAAAATGTGAATGGAAGCTATAGCTATAACTTCTGGGTCAAAAATTTATACTTGAATCTTTAGTCTTCTCTTTCTCTAACATATTATTGGATATTATATAATTATGGCATCTATAACTAGGTGAAGCCTCACTCCGCTGGACTTCTTCAAACACCAAAACAGAGCCTCCCTTCCAATCTGTACAGAGGATGTAGTATGATCAAGATACTGGCTTTGTTGTTTTAAACGAGTGAGATTTGGGGGCTGTTCATAGGATATTATAGGATAATAGCTGTTATCCTATCATATCAGTTGTTCATGTCATAGGATAACAGCCCATTACAACTAATACATTTTGGGAGCAAGGTAATTATTTTATTCTTGAATCACTCTCATCTTTTATTGATTGTTGATCTTGTGAAGATAAAATCTGGATTTTTTATGTGATAGTGTCTAAATATCTGTTAAATTTCCCAGCAACTGATGCTGATATTAAAAATGATTTGCCTCTCTGTGGAAGCTGTGAGAACACACCTCATAGATCTGTAAATAGAAGACATGTAATTAACCAAGGGCCTTAACCCCTGCTCCCTAAAAATCCATCTTTATATTTGTTCAAAGGAAATGTTTCTTATGAACTGCTTCTAACCTGTGACTAACTATGGTAGAGATACTAGAGCAGGAATGTTCTTGGAAGACCTAGGACTCCTCTGACAGCCAACTCAGGCTCAAGAACTTCCTGATGACCTTGACAAACCTTCCTGAGACTGCACCTTCCATGCCTGTCTCTTTCATTAGAGATCAGACTCTGCATTGCAGTCTGACAACTCTCCCAGATTATTCTGCTCCATCCCATCTTTTCTCACATAGGCATTTTTCCTAATAAACTGAATGTATGCTTAACCTTATCTTGGCACTGGCCTCTTTGAGAATATGGACTTACACATTCTGTATGTTATAACTAACACTTCTCCAAAATACCAGTTCTTTATGGGTCTGCCTATGGCAGATTCACTATCTTTGAATTATTAATTTTCTTTACTTTAAAGCCAAAATGTTTAGAGCTAGAAAATGCTTAGAGAGTTGGTCCAAGTTTCTCCAAATGTATATCAGTTGCATCCGAACCAGCTGGGGTGCTTGTTTAAATGTTTTGAGACCTGCTGAAACTGAATTTTCCAGGATAGGACCTGAAAACCTAAATTTATAAACTAGCCCCCTCAGGTGATGCTTAATGCACATTATGGAGAATCACTAATTGATCTCACATAGAACTAAAATCTAGTGAAAGGAATAAAGTAATCCAAATTACTCAGTCAAAGTTCAGTCTATACATCTCCAGCCTCTAATGTTAGTACATTATTTGTATATTACACCAATTACATTGCAAAGCTAGAGAAGTCCTCATCCTCAGAGCTTTTGATAAGTAAAGTAATCAAAACTTACAGGAAAGATATTTAACTTCTTTGTTATACACGACACTTGCCATTGCCTAAAAAAGCCTGACAGAGACATCTAGCCACTTTCAAAGACTTGGCTAAGATGGTGACCAACAGTCATGAGCAATAAATGAGGGCGATATTTAAAACTGTGTTTTTGGTAAAGACAGAAATCTCTAAAACCTTCACAGCTAATGAAATGAATTTAAAAAGTACTTGAAATTATATCTGTGGGCATATTTTGGGATAGGCTTTTGAGTGTTCAGTTGATTTGATGCTTATTTTAAACATTTGAAATAATGAGGTTATGAAGAAGTGAGTCTAGTTATTAGGACCAGTTTAATAACTAAATTAGATTTGTTGTGTACAACTAATCAATCCAATAAAACCAGTTGATGATTTCATTGATCTAAGTTAGTTAAATTTCAGGTCCTATAGAGAAATACAATGGTAAATTGAAAAGAAAATTTCAGGTCCTATAGAAAAATATGATGGTAAGTTGAAAAGAATCTTGATAATTGGAAAAAATCACTCATTAAAATAAAAGAAAGTAAACAAACAGAAAAAAAATCACAGGGACAAAGCTACGGCTTATTAGAATGTATAAATTAAGGATAAGGACCAAATTACAGAGTTTGAATGGGCATTTATGTTGCAAAAATTACATTTGAAATCAAAATCTATGACAAAATAAAAGTAAATATTTATAATCAATAAACACAAAATTCAAGCATGACTAATAAACCACAATTGAGACAGGAGCTAATACTTTACAGTCAACATTACATCAGCATATATTAATATTTTACTCAATTGATCTTTAAATTTGAAAGAGAATAGCAAAAAGCATTCATTGTTTCCAAATAGATAAGGATGTGCATCTGTAAGAAAAATGTAAATATATTGGTCTTGTTTATCCCAGAATAGCAAAATACAAATCTGTTCTTCTCATGAGGAAAACTCTCATTAGTGACATGGAAGCACTTAAAGATAAAAAGACATGAATTATAGAAAGTAAGTTCAGGAGAATAGAAAATTTAACACTGAGAAAGCATAAGCTCCATAAGAATAGAAATCGCATGAATTTCATTCACCTTTGAATATTTAACACAAAGAACAGAGCCTGGCACCTACTAAGCACTCAAACAGTGAATAAATGAATGAATGAATCTATGTTTTTATCTTTGGAAATCTGAGAGAAGTTGTTTACTACGAAAAGAAGTGGAGGTTAAAATAAAAATCAATTCAAGTCCATACACACACACACACACACACACACACACACACAATTCTGTGATATAAGTTTGGGTCCTACATTTAGGAATGATTGATTTGTTCAATGTTATTGGTCTAAATAATCACTTACCTTACTGGGTTTCATTATCAATTAAGATAAAAGCAGAGAGAGAGAGAGGTAGGAAGATAATGTAGAAAAATTATATTCATTGAAAGGGTATTCATGGATTTAGAAAATTTGGAAAGTTATTGCAATAACAACAGCAGGAGTATGGAGAATAGTCTGAATGAACTAGCCATTTTTAATGATTATTTATTAATAATCCTCTTGTACCATGCAATTTTACCAAGTAGATTATCTAATAATAGGAAGATAACTGCAAAAGAGGTAAGTCCAAGCCATAGCTACTGTTGGTTTTATTTTTTTTCACAACCATGTTTTAAATGTTAACTGTGATGTCTAATATAGATATTCCTTTCCATATACATGTATTTATATACACATACACCACACCCCTCATTCTCTCATCCAACTAACACAACTTCCTGATGCTTAGTGGGCATTTATAAGTATCTGTGCTTTCTGAGTTGAAAAGCTAGGTAAAAATAACCCTGTCATTGAATCAAAGCCCCTTTCTTTAAATATACCAGGTTGTAAAATCACATATTGAAGAATGCATCCTTGGAGTTCTTGTAACCAATCTACTTATCTGATATCATCAGGACAATGAAAACAACATAACTACTATACCCGAATTCTGGGAATCGAGAGAGTAGAGTCAGGTCAAGGATGTCCAGGGAAGAGAGAAGTTCCTCTGATTTGGAAAACTGGCACTACATAGCTCTCGGCAAGGGAACACCTTTCTCTATTTAATGTTTTCATAGCAACCCAAACTTTGTAACCTTTAAATTGACCTTGCCTGAGGTACATAGTCCTTATCGTTTTGGCCTGGAACTCCCACTCTTCACAGTTAACACGAGTATAGGGAATTCCTGAGAAGCATTGTGACTGAGTTCAAGTTAAGAATCCTGCCAATGTAAGTACATTGTCACTACTACTTAGAACATTCAAATCAGTAAGAAACACTCTCCTAAACCAAGTTTCTGTTTCATTTGTCACTGTTTTTTGTTCAAACAAATTAACAGAAGAAAGATATTTTGCCCAGCATAAGCTATGTTATATTCATTCTATTATTAAGACAGTAGTCCCCACTTCTCTGCAGAGGATGCATTCCATGAGCCCTAGTGGATGCCTGAAACTGCAGATAACACTGAATCTGATTGTCGTCAATCGGAACACGTTTCTGTTCATGTCTTCCAACAGCAAATTTAGTGCCTTTTGCATTTTAAGTAGCACTTATGCACCGTGGCTGTAACTTTTACAGTTTGAAGTGTGACAACAAAACTAGCCTAAATTTACCTTTCATTCTTTTCAAATTCATTAATAGATGATCCATTCTTACACTAGATCTTAGCAACCTCAGTATGCAATATTTTTTCTTTCCTTATTAATTTGAGAACTTTCGCCTTTTCTCTTAAAGGATGTACCTATGGCTTGTCTTTGGCATATCTGAATTCCCAACATCACTACTTTTGAACTCTGCAGTCATTTTAAGCAAAACAAGTGTTGCTTGAACATAAGTGATGCTGTGTGATATTACTGCAACAGTAGATGTGATCATCAAGATGGTTACTAAGTGACTAAGGGGTAGCTACATATAGCATGGAGATGCTGGACAAAGGATGATTCACATCCTGGGTGGGATGAAGTGGGGTGGTGCAAGATTTTATTATGCTGCTCAAAGCAGCACAAACTTTAAAACTTATGAATAGTCTATTTCTGGAATTTTCCATTTAATATTTTCAGACCACAGTTGACCGCGGGTAACTAAAACCACAGAAAGCGAGCCAAGGCTAAGGGGAGACAATTGTACCATGTATAAAATTATATTTTAAATATTTTCCTTCTTATGATTAAAAAGAACCTGACCAACAAGTAGGAAAGGAAAAACACAATTCTGCATTACAAACCCATAAGAGTTCAATAGTAAATTCACATTTTGCTTATTTGTTTTTCAACTTTTCCCTGTCTTTCTTAATTCAACAAGATCAAAATTGTGACATGACAATGAAGAATTCCTTAAGGTTTCTCTGCATAAACATCTTCTACTGGAATTTTAAAAACAAAATTGAAGTCAAGAGGCTTCTTTGTTCTTTCTACATGTGTCTCAAAGACTTAATTTCTTCCTATTTCACTCTATTTTGCCTTGGTAGTATCCAACATCTGAACTTTTTACTTCGTGGAGATTTGCTCATCAATGTATATATTTTCGCTGCAGTTTGTAACTACTAACCTTCTATCTTAAAGACAATCAACTTTGATTTCTTGACATCCCAATTTTATTCCTTCTTAAAGCATTTTATTTTCAATTCCTACTCAGTCATATTTCCATAGTATATTATTTACTTAACAGCAGCTGATGGAAATCGCAGTGGCAGCTGAGTCTGAATACTACAAAGATACACAGTGTGCTAAAGCCTGTTCTTTCTAATCTGCGGTCCACGATTAGGGCTTTTTTGTGGTCTACAAATATTAAATTCTATATTAATTTTATCTAAGACAGTGCACAATTATTGTTGCGGTTCCTCCTTAAAAGCATCAGTAATTAGTTGTTTGTGTTCTATTAGTGCTTTCCCTAAATATACTGTTTAGATACATATTACTCCTATGGAAGTGAATGTTTCCATAGGCTTTTCACAGCCAGAATAAATTAGGAGGAGTGTTTCAGTTACAATACGTTACCCTGTACAAGTATAAAATAAAGGGAGGTTAAAAACCCTTACATGCAAATTTGAATAACAAATATTAGAGTATGCGTTTTACTTCGGGCAGCATCTATTGGACATCTGGGAAGCTCTTTTAGTTGGTTCTCTTCTGTTTTTCTTTTCTTTTTCTTTTTTTAGAATACATCAAATGGTTTTTAAAATAGAAAAAAGTCATGTTCATGTCTTCCACCCACGAATTTGTTGCATTTTATTTACATTTTAATTTACATTTTATTATATATTTTATTTGCCTAGAAGTTGTTTTTTAACTGATTATAGTAACTATAAGAAGTATAGCAAATTTATGTCACTCTGTTTATTTTCTCCTGGGTAAAATATGCACTTATTTAGGAAGAAATTTAAATTAAGTAAAAGAAAAAAAATATTTTTAATTTTTAAAAGGATACTTAAAATAAAAACATAAAAGTTCTACCATTTTTTCACTTATTATGCCATACATTCGTAAGTGCATTCTTTGGAGAAATAGCTTTCAGAAGACAAATGTACCCATATTTATACGGAACTTGACACAATTGGTCAAATATTTAACCTGATTTAACATTTAATCAATACAAGATTTTTAAATTATAGCAAATTGTAAAATCATACAATTTTTAATTTTATCTTAGTATTCTCAACAATCTTAGAACTTAATATTCTTATAGGCATTTTGATTTAAAAGCTAAGACTAAAATAAGTGATTTTAAACAGCTATTTTGTTCTGACACCATAAAATAAACAGAACTTTATTTTTACAAGATTTATTAACAACCACATAGTTAATAGAAGCATTTTATTACATCAGCACTAATATATGCAACAACAGACTTCATGGCAAAGGTGTGCGTTTCAAAATAGGTGGCCATCTTGAAATTCATAATGTTGAATAACTACAAACGTACATTTATTTTAATCAATATAAACCCTATAACATAAAAATTTGAAAAGGTTTGAACCTTTAAAAAAAATCTCTATTTCATTTGGTAATTGATTTTCCATACTGAAAAACTCATTTTTAATGCAAATAACGTTTCTTATGGCTTTGCCCATGCTGCTACCATATCTCATTACTTCTACTCAGAGTGGGTTATTTTCTAAAGAAGGCTTTGCAAGCTGAGTGTGTGTGTATAAATGTATTGCAAAGGTTTTAAGGGCAAAAATATTGTACATATTAATAAGAAGCAAATTTTTCTTCTTCTTTAAAATAATTCACTTTCTTATTTCAAAACTTCAAGTCTGGTCAAAATTTGGGTTAATCACTGAAACAAAACAACAAAACAATGATTTACATCGAGACTTAATTTCTTTCTTTTTATTATCGTTTTAAACTAACACAACAACATGTGCTCGGTATCTTTATTTTAATTAAGATTTGTTTCTTTATTAGATCTTAGTTATTTGGAGAAACCAGGACGTCTTCTCCACTCACCTGTTTTACACAAAGGTTTTTCACTTAGATTTGCAATTTCGTATTTCCATATAAAATTCGAGAAAGAGTGGAGAAATATAACTACAGAAATAATCTGAAAACTTCAAAACACGGACTTTTCATTATCCTCCAGAATAGAAGATAACATCCAAGGAGTGCTCAAAATCAAAATCAGGTGGCCCTTTCAAAAGTAGAATATGATGAGAGCTTTTAAATTTCACAGATTAAACGTTTCTAAGAGCTTAATGTTTCCTCCGCTTATTGCCACTGTGCCATCTGGCTTTTGTAACTGGTGTCCTGCCTCTTTGAGGCAGCAGAGGGCGCTCTGGCATTGTTGACACCAGATACCTCCCGGTGCACCGCGCTAGCATCTTGTTCCCAGGAAGGAAACATACTATTTCCCTGGAGGGTTGTCCTTGAGTATCTCAACGGGTCAAGCTGTTCCTAAATTATTCCGAGAAGCTTTAATTTCAGACCTAGATGAAAGCTGAGATTGTCAAAGGACTCTCACGGCACGCCGCACCGAAGTTCTCCCATTGCGAAGCCCGGGTTGTTTTATTGCAAAACTGCCGCGCATAGAATTTCTTTCATAGCAGGAAAATTTGTAATGGGCATCAAACTGGATGATTATTTTCCAAAGAAATAGGAAGTACATAGTCTTAAAAATCTAGAAACATCACGGATCAATAGCCACTCGATTTCATCTAGGCAACCGAATTACTAAATTGAGTGTTTCCCTTTTTAAGCAGTATTTTAACCTCTCTCATATCACGTATTTCATTTCTATTTAGAAAGCAATTTTAAACTGATCAAGCTTTCTGAAGGACAAGTTTAGATGATCCTAAACAGGTAGGATTAGGCTGAGGGGATTAGGTTTGCTCCTCTGAGGTAGTATGAATTCTAAAGGAATCAGGCAGGACGATTTTGCAGCCCTGGACCATAGCTGCTTTGTGGATTACGCAAGATGTGGATGCAGGAGATCAGCGCAATTGGATGAATACTGGAAGGAAAAAGCAAGGCCGCCATGATAACGTGTAATGCTTTAAATTCATTTCTGCTTCCAACGACTGCTTTTAATTGGCACAAGAGGAATATTCCCAATCCTTAAATTTTGTAATTCGAGCAGCCCCTATTTTCCAGTGTGCTTTACCCACCCACTCCGAAATTGGATAAAATTAAATATAAACCAAAGTAATCGATGAATGTGAAAGACCCGACTTGCAGAGTTCTAAAATTCGAGGACAGATAAAATCCGCCCTGAGGCAGGGGGTGAGAAGGCAGCTCTCTGAGGATATTGCACCTGGCCGCTTTATTTCATGAATTTTATGATACATCTACATCCCGTGTAAAAAAAATAACTTAATGAACACATGTCTTTTAGGTCATTGTCAATGCATGGCCCATTGTTATACCTGGATCAAAATCGGTGTTGCTGTCTCTATTGTCCAACCTGAATTATTTTGTCTGTTACTAATTTTAACACCCTTTATGTTTGTGAATTTATAGACAAACTCAAGCAAATGCATAGAAATTTCTTTTGAGAAATAGCCAGCCAGGGTGGCTACGAATTGGTTGATTTTCCGTCTCTCTCTCTCTCTCTCTCCCTTGCCATTTTGATTCATTACTTAGGGAATTTAAATTTGTATTGTTTACATTTAATACTTTCAACATCTAAGAACGATGAAATATGCTAAGAAATTTAGATTTTTGAATATATCAATACTGACTCATCCAACCTTCGATTTCTAAGGCGAATTTTCACTGCATAAGATTTAGTAAACCGCCCTGCCTCTTTCCGTCGCGTGAGCTATGAGGATGTGGCTGAGGTCGGTTTTTCCGCAGTGCGGGTTTCAGGCCTCCTGGCCCTCCAGTGCCTCCCGCCGGCTGGGATGCGCCGAGCAGGCTCCTGCGCAGCAGAGCGGTCTGCAGAGCTCAGCCCTCTGTACCCGTCTACTAAGGCTGCCGGGCTGCAAGGCCTGGCCGAAGGTGGCAAGCTGCATGGGCTCCTGCCCTGTTTCACCTGGTGGGTCCCCGACCCACCCCTTCCTAGTTAAGCCTCGAGGCCCACACTTGAGTCCATTGCACGTCCCTTTGGTGACCAAGTAAGCACTAAAATCCGCGGCTGAGGACCTTATGTTTCTGTTTTAAGGAAGATGATTTAAGAAAGAAAAGGATAATAATAAAGCCTTCATTCTCCTCAATTTCCTTCTTGCAATCCTGCGATTTAGGTTTCAGCCTAAATAAAGTGGAAATGGTTTCCCCATACACTTACAATGTATGTATGTGTGCATTCCTACGTGAAGACCAAAAAGTGTCAGGCAAGGGTAGCAACCAGCTTGAGGGAACGATTTCAGTAAAATATTGTTTTGCTGTATGTGACCTTTTTCTCTTTTTAAATGTTATTTTTCAAATTACCTAATATCCTACTCTTCTTTTGAGTAGGGACGGGACGGTCCTATTGCTTTTCCAGTTTGATTACGGAGAGAGAAAAGGGCCACGGTCAGCACCGCGGACAGCGCCAGGCAGGGAGGGCGCGGCTACTTTGGTGCATCCTCTTAGCTCCTCTCCTTTGTTCCCAACCCCTGCAGGCCAAGGCAGAACAAAGACATCAAGGCTCGCTTTTTCGGCCTGGGTTTTTCTTTGGCTCCAAAGTCGTGGTGCGGAACTGCTACCTCAACATAGTCCACCTCACTGGCTTCCAAACAAATTAATTTACCGAGTCCTTCTAAAGTTTCTGACCTGGTCCTTTCACCTTATCCCACTCCTTTGACCGATTTGGACATTGCGACAATGCCAAAACAAGAGAGTTATCTTGGCGTCTTAAAGCCAGGCATGAACGCCTCGAGATTGGGAAGAAAAAGGGAGAAGTCAAGGGGAAATGCGGGCGGCAAGTGTTCTTCAGATCTTTCCAAAGTTTGGACGTTTCATTTGCTGTTTCTTGCGCAGTGTGGTCAGGACGCTATTTAATGTTACACCTCTCTCTGCTGTTTTGTTTTCCCAGCTTGGCCCAGGACTGCAGACAATCACACTACCTGTTCTTGAAAGAACTAGTGCTTTCTAAATGATTTAACTCTCTGGAATATTTGCACAGGCGGGAACTACTGCTCTCCAGACAGCTGTCAATGAAGCTTCCCTAAAATTCTCCTCGGAGATTTGCCTGCGGATTTCCGCGGCTGTAATGGAAAAGTAGGAGCCTTTCCCTTTCGAACACTAGGTTGCTTCCAGAATCAGTCCTGGGTGGGGGTGGGGGGCATTTATGCGGCAAGAGATGGGTTCCTTTTACTACCCCCTAAATTCCCTGCAATTGCTTTTTCCCCTTTCTGACCCTGAGATGCTTTGGTGTCCTTCAAGTGCAGCCGTAGGCTCCGCTCTTGGCATTCACCGCGTGCCTTAATTGTATGACATTAAATCAAGGTCCGCTGTGAACACGGAGAGCAGAGCCTCTAATCTTGATCCGGAAAGTATAAGACCCACTGCGATTACCACTCTTCTCTCCCTGCCCATCCCCCTCTCTCCGCTCTGAGTCTCTACCCCTAGAGTCATAACTCATAAGCCCAGCTCCTGTCTCTGCTCATCTCTGACACATCTGCCAGAGCCGCTGTTAATTAGTCTGTTCCGTGGAAGTGTAGACGGTGCGTGTGCCTGCGTATACATATGCATATATCTCCATGCCATTTACAGCACACGCCTAAAAACATACATAAGCCTATAAATCTAGTTTTCAAATGACGGCGTGGATCCAAGTTAATTACCCCTCTGGTACAGATCTAATTTTGTAATCGTGTTATTTTACTGAATGCAATTAACCCAGTTGGTTCGCCCTGAATCCTTTCTAAGGCACTTGTAAGGAATGGCAGGTTTTTAAGGACCACGCTATTGCATGTTCTCCGTCATAACCATTGCCAATCATTTTCTGCTGTCAGGGATGAAATCTAGCATATAAAAGAGAAAACCATGCGTGTGTGCCTGTAAGATAAACACACAGATATGCCTGGGCTCTGTGTCCTTTGATAACGTTACCGCGGGTTTGGTTGGGAGATTTTGGGAAAAGAGAGTCCAAGGGCGGGCTGGGTCATCTTTCTTTGTAATGCGGAAAAATTAACTCATCCGCACCTGCCTAGTCCCGAGAGAGCTGGGCGGCCCATCTGGTCTGGCTACAAGTTTGCTGCGGAGAGAAAAGCCTGCTCACTAAAGCTTCCCCACTGCCCAGGAGCGCGGACCTCGGGTCTGGGCCCGGAAGAGGGATTAGGCTCAGGGCAGCGCAGCCGACTCGCACTCCTCAGCCAGTGGCCACAGTCTGGGGCTGGAAGCGCCTGGGCCGGGCGGAGGGAGGGCAAGCAGGAGAGAGAAAAGGGTGAGGGAAGTTGACCTCTACGGGCGGAGCCCTCTGCGCAGCGGGCAGGAGGCAGCGGGCGCGACGGCTCTTTTCACGGCGTCCCCTACGGCGTGGTCGACCCGAGGGAAAGGCCCGCTCCCGCTCCAGAGTCCGAGGAAAGGAGAGAGAGCTGAGAGCTGGTCTTGCGCAGAGACCCCAGAATGCGCCCCTGAAAAACAGAATCAAAGCGCAGTGTTAGGGAGGCGGGAGAGAGGAGGGGGAGGGTGGGGAGAGGGACACGAGGCGGGAGGGAGCATGCGAGGGATACAAGGTGACAAGAGGACAGGACCCCAGTCGGCCGGTCGCGACCTCCGTCCCCAGGCTTCAGGGGGACGCGGAGGGGACCCTGAGCCCACGGAGCGCGGGGCCCGCAGCCCGGGGGGAGGGGGTGGCGCGATGACTGTAAGCGCAGGTCTGGGCTGCGGAAGTCCAGAGGAGGGTGCATGCGCTGCGGATACTGCCGCGTCCAGAGAAACGATTTCGGGAGCTGGAGCAGTGAAAACGAGTCCGCAGATGGTCCTTCTGTGCAGTCCCAGCCGTTCCCGCATTCTGCACCCCCTTTCCCAGCCTCACCCCCTCCCTTGGACCACACGCCAGACCCGCACTCTCGAATCTCCACCCCTCTTCGTTTAGGACCCTGCAAACTGCAAGACCGGCAAGAGAATCGAAACGATCGATGAGAGAAAGAATTACATATACCCATAGCCCTAGAAATCCGGAGAGAGACCTGCTAGCCCTGTTCAAACCTGCAGAGGACCAAAACGTTTTCAATCGCTGCTCAGCGCGTTCGCAGAGGAAAGAAGAGGCTGAGAGCCTTCCGTGGTATAAGGTGCTTTAAGGTGGGAGGTGGGGGTAGGGAGGGGGTGGGTCGGAGCGGTCCGGTCTTTCCCCCTCGCTTGCTGATCCAGAATTAGGGATTAATGGCTCGCTCCAGCCAAACAAATAAGGCATCTGCCTTCAGCACAAGAGGATTACACGGGCTGCTGACGTCACCAGTCAGACAGATGTTGGCTCCCAAAGTCCTGAGCAGCTCGCTGTGTCCTTGAAACCAAAGAGCCGCAGAAGGCTCGCAGCCCCCAGTTGCAGAGCCTAGGTACAGCAGAGGGCAAGAGCCCTGCCCTTGCCGACAACCTCTTGGCGTCAACCCAGTGCCCGCAGGCAGCTCCCTAAGACGTCGAGCTTCCAGCCTCTCCAAGCGCTCCCTTCGCCGTCCTGCTGTCAAAACCCAGGCTCTCTCAAAACAAGCCAAAGTCACCGTTCTCAGTTGCCTCTCCCTAACATGGAGACAAACGCCCACAACCCAGTCGACACCTTATCTAGATCCCACATTTAAGCTCTCGGGCTCCTGTTCACTCACACTCGGTTGGCCAAGTAACAGGAAAATAAGCACCTTAGGCCGGACACAGCCCACGCTCCAGCTGAGGGACCGCCTCTTAATTATGTGCGCAAGCAGCAAAAGCAGAGCTAATCTGCATCTCCTCTTCTCAACCCCGCAGCCTGCCTTCCCCCGAGGCCAAGGTTTAGGTTTATGTTTAATCTTATCACGAATGCCATTCCGGACGAATGTGCCTTTCAAAACAATGACGCTTTGCCAACCTAACTCAGCGTCCCAACCAGAGCCCTGGACCACCACTCGGTGAACCACGGGGACCTCACCATGGTCCTGATTAGGACACGGAAAAAATGTCATTGCATATTCTTCTCAAGTACTTTGAATACGTTGTCTAAAACTAAAATATTAAAATAAGTATGTGTGTTCAAAATATATGTAGCATCTAATTCCAGCAACCTGCACATTCAAAGAACTGCAGTTTCATTTTATAGCCAAATCTGATGAATAAAGATCAAAAATTAATTTATTTATAAACTCCAAGGTCCTTTTAAATGATGTAATTTTAACTTAATTTTAATTATGAACTATTTTAATTCTTCTAACCTGCATATTGTTTTTGCTTTATATGATTTTCCAGGCCTTTACAGGTCACACTAAAGTCAGGTTATGAAATAAGCTAAAAGACACATCAAACTGGAAATTTAAATGAGCAATTTTGAATAAGTTATGTAATCCACAAATGAAATGGTTTTAAATGAATTTTAATTCTGTAAAGGAGTAAAGACTATTCAAACAATGTATAAAACAAAATAAGCTGATCTCCAGCACAGACCCACACTGAACCAATCCTGTGTCCCAAATCTAATCAGTATATATGAAAAAATCTGTGACTTTCTTGGAAAAAAAATAAATGCTTGCTCACAACATTGCACTGTCAGTTATAGAGTACAATGCCTACACGGGAGTAGAAGGAATAGCCGGATTATATCTCCATTCATATTATTCCTGTCTATCAAAGTGGCATTTAATTTTCCCAATTTTATGCATTTAGAAATTCATTCACTGATAAAAATCAATTTAATTTTCTGTAGTGTCATTCAGCCAATGCCAGTCTAAAATAGTAAAATTTCTCCATCCCCATTCTGTTTCAAGGCCTTATAAAAAACGTTCTACATCTAAAACTGATAGTTTTAAATTTTATATTTACCAGTACCAAAAGGTGGGCTTTATCTTATTTTAATTGGATAAGTAATATATACTATTTGAGGCAGGGTAAAAACTGAACACATAATCATTGTTTCTTTGAAACTTGGTAGAATAAGTTTGAAATGCCACATTTTACCAGTCTAATTCCTTTTAAAGACCATAAAGATTATTTTTGACTTCTAACATGCTTTGAATGTAAACTTTCACTCAGGTCTCAAAATTTTATTAGAGTCCTTTTTTGCTCAGTGATTTAATATTAGTTCGCTGTCCATGGTCTTGATCCACATGAAAGGACATGCTAGTGTTACCTTTTGAAAAATGAAAGTCACAATGCTTCTGCACAAATTAGACTCCCTAGCATTTAAAATGATAGCAAAAGGGGGAAATGCTATAGGCTTTAGGTTCTCTTCCTCATCCCAGTTGTTCTCATTTTTCTATATTTGCCACCAAATTGAATGTACAGGAAGCAGATAGTTTGCATTTCATTATTTTTGAGCTCACAAAACCACCACTCCATTTAAAGATCCAAATAATTGTAGTAAACAGGAAATAATATCTTTCAACCTGCAATACTTTTTTGGCGGTTTTCAAAAGAGACATAGACATTGTTGTACAGGAATCCTTGTCCACTTTTACATATGGTTTAACAAGTGCAGAAAAATTACAAAAATGACAAATTCAGGGGCAAAAGCTAAACAACCTTTTCAATCATCTCTCTCTCCATATTTACATCACTATATAGAGGCATATAGATAGCACACACACACACACACACACACACGCTAAGAGCATTAAACTAAATCCATCTCTAACACCTTACACTTTTTTTGTAGCAAAGCATATGTTCCAGTGGCTAAGATGCGGAATAATTCTTCTAGCCAAAATAGCATTTCATCTTCAGTTTAAAAAATAAGAGACTGACCCGGCAGAGTAACATTTAACATCTCCTGGGGTTTCCTCGAGCGTGAGAAAGGAGAAAGGGAAAGAAATATTCCCTCTTTCAAAAACGTAATTGTCCTTCGTTTTTTATTTTCTCCTTCACATTGTCAGGAAAAATATGTTTTTTATATATATGTATATATGCATATATAAATAGACACTTATTTTTCCAAACCCCAAGAGCCGCTGTTGATCTTTGGAGGACACCGATCCGCACAAACCGGTCATATCTGTGCTTTGATACAAGTACCCCAACGGTAAGAAAACAGGCCCTTGGTTTTAAACTGAGGTCAGCACCCACGCCAGGCCATGGGGCCGAGCCTCAGCGATTCACACTTTCTTGGGCACGAGAAGGCTACTTTCTCAAGAAGTATTTCGAACTTGGGAAAATCCTAGTACCGGAAGAAAATGGCCTAAACACAATAGGACTCGCCATTTTCTCCTTGTGAAGCACAAAGCGCTTGGCGCTGCCCGCCACACAAAGAAAGCCTGGGCCCGCGGAATTCTTGCACATTTTCAAGAGGCCAAAAAATACCTTCTCAGAACCACAATTTCTCCCTCCTGGGCGCCGTGAGACACACCCTCTCTCCCACCCTCATTCAGTCCTCGTCCCAAGAAGATCCCATATTTGAGATGGAGATAAAAGACGCACCGAAGGCGCGATGCTGGCGTGCGAGCCAACCCCGGCAAGAATAAGTCCTGAAAACCAAGGGGCCCGGCCCGCGGCTGGCCGGGGCTCCATTCTAGGCCCGGGGTGGGGGAACACGGATCCCCTCCCTCCTCTTCAGATCCCTCCTTCCAATTCCATTCTGTCTCCCAAGCGTGTCTGAGAGCCTGGCAAGCTTAGGGATCTCTGTGACCTGATTTCCATCCATTGCCAGGAACCAACCTTACAGCCCGGAGCTGAGCCGGCGGCTCTCAAGCATGCTCGCGACGCGGGAACTCCTCGACTCCGCGCCTCCCGCCGCCCCCCGCCCGCCACCCCAAGTCACCGCATCAAAGTCAACCAGGATCGTGTTCTGCACGCCCACAACCGGCGAAACGCTTCTCCCGCTCACGTGCGAAAAGTGTAAGCTTCGAAGAAGCCCCTGTGAACCAAAACACCAAAACACAAGCAACAACCCGATTCACAAAGCGAACACTCCCAGCCCAGCCGGGGACGCAGAGCCCGGCTACCGCAGGAAAGGATGGTACTTACAGCCGGCGTGCGCTCGGGTAATCCGCGTCGCAGTCCGTGCGGTGGTTAGTTGGCTTTTAAAAAAATCACTACACACCTCTACATCTTTGATTTTACACATCTTCCACCGGTGAGAAGGAACGAAAACAAGAATCTTGTAGCCTAGTAGAATGGGGGAGGGGGATGAAGATTTTCATTGTCTACGCTCGGCACACGCAGCCCAAGGAAAGACGCTCACTGCCTTTGGAGCTCCTTCTACTTTCTGCTTGAAATTCAGAAGCTTTCAACGCAGTAAAGCGGGGGTTTGGTCTCCCTCCCTGCCTCCCTCCCTCTGCGTTCTCTCTCTCCTTTCTCTCTCTCTCTCTGTCATTTCCTTCTCCCTCCTCTCCTCTCCCCTCCCTCTCTCAAGCTCGAAGTCTCTCTCTCTCTTTCTCTCTCTCTCTCTCTCTCGCTTTTTTTCAAAAGAGGGCAGGTCGCTTCCTGCATCCCAATGAGTTAAATCAGTCACTTACTTCTCATGCATCAGCAGCCTCTTTAACAACCCGAGGGCTGCAGGCACAAAAGAGCATTTAGCTGCCTCCAATTTGTGTAGAAGGCCTGTCCTTAATTTGTTTTTGGAGTATAATTAAATCATGTATTTCACGTAATATAAAAATACCGAATTCTCAACTTTAGTGAATGAACTGCTAATGGTAACCTTTGAAAATAAATCCCTCTTGTTGATGTTCTTATCAAGGGCCTAGAACGCCCCAGAATTGCAGAGGCCTAAGGTCTGGGCCCCAAACTACCTGCCCCTCCCCCCTTTCACATGTCAAGGTCACAGTCATATGATTCCCCCATTGCTTTAAAATGGAGCCTTTTATCAACCCGTCGCCCTGGAAAGGAATTAAGTCTCTTTTATGGGGTGGGAAGATCTGAAGGATTAAATAAATAAATAAATAAATAAATACATCCTTAATCTGAAATACACACGTCAGCAGAATCAAGCCTGATCAGACATTGGGATGGTGGCGTGGGGGGACTGACAGGGCATGTGAGAGTGAGTGGTTTTCCTCTCCCCGCTTATCCCCCTGGCGAATTTTGAGGTCGCTGGGTTTTGCTTGGGTTTCTTCCAGCGACTGCGTGGGACTTCTGGGAGGACAGGGCGGCGCCTTTTTAGCTCCCAGAGTATCTGAGGGGTTCTGATCTCCCGGACACCGCCCAGTGGTCAGGGGGATCCTGTGTATGACTCCCCCTCCTCTAAAGGGGCTGGGGTACAAAGAGCAACTCTGCCTTCCTGCAGTTTCTCTTTCAGGAAGAACTCCAGGCCTGGCCATTGTTCCTCCTCAATGAAGGGGGCTGAGGGTGACAACAGAGAGAGACCTTCTCTTCTCTACACTCACCACCCACCTCCTCCCTCACTCCACCCAAGGCCACTGCTAGGGAGAAATTTGGGAATATTTTCTTGTTCCGGAGAGACGCTTGTCTGGAAGATCATGAGATGTAATATCATGAATATCTCGGTTATCTTTGTATTTTCTTCAGTAAGATTCCGTTAAGTCGTCAGTGGGCTCCCTCACCCCCTCCCATTTTCCAGTTCTAACAGAGCTTGTTCAGAAACATTGCACTCCGATGCGAGAGAGGTTAGGACCGCAGATAACCGCATTTAGTTCCATCGAAAGGGAATGTAACAATATAACTCACCACTTCCCGCCTCTGAATATTCGCTCTTCTACCCTAAATCACCCTGGGGTTTTGAGTAAGGCCACATTTCACCTTGAGCATTTATCAAACCGTACTTGGCTGCTGCTGCTACTGCAGGAGGACTCACAGGCCGCCAACACCCACCTGACATCTGCTTGAAATATCCAACAATATCTCCAACCGGGTCGTTTGCAAAAAGCAGCAAACCAAAAATGAAAGAAGAATTTTAAAAAATACAGAAAGAATATAAGTGTGTGTATAATATAATCCCAAGGTGCTGGATTTGGGGGCTCGAATTACCTAAGACAAAACATCTCTGCAGTTGAGACCAGACCAAAGGCCTCACCACAAGGGTGTTTTATTAGCGGCGAGAGACCACGGTTTTTTGGAGGCACTACAAGAAATGCGCATCACCCCGCTGCCCTTTATCTCTCATCCATGATTCTCATTCTATCCGTTTCCAGTTTATTGACCTGGGATGCGGGACTGCTAAAGATCGTCAACGACTTGCTGAGCCTGGGGGAGGCAAAGTCACGCTGTGCGCACTGGGGCCCGCCGCTGGGAAGGTGCGGCTCTCTGCTCTGGTTAGCAGCAGAATCTGCTCTGTGGGGTGACGACTTTAGACCACCCCGGGTGGGCACTTTACCCAGCATCCTCCCCTCTCCCCCGACTCTGGCAATGCTAGCTTTGCCTCATCTTCCAGGGCCTTGGAATTTCAGCCTTGTTGGTGGGGAGGCCTTAGGAAAGAACCCAAGCGGTGGGCGCGTTTCCCACGAATGGGCCGCTCCCTCGCCGGCGGCTTATTCCGAGTGGAGGCCTCAAAGGAAAACGTGAGAGAGATCACAGGCAAGCACCCCACCATTAGTCCAAGACTTTCACCCCACCCCCACCCCATACAGATGGCTGGGCCGGGACACCTGCACGGCAGCCACAGTCTCCGCCTCCGTGCAGCTCTCGGGATGGGGATCACAGAATCGGGTCCAATAAGGTCATCAGCCACCCTGGGCCCAAATCGATCAACTCCACCCCACCTCACCCCATCCCCAGCCTTAAGAACCTTTTTCCGGACACTTTTCGCTTTCGATCCCCGCCTGGCGCCCTATGCCTAGGAAAGTGAGCGGGTGATTCCTTTCTAGCGCCAGGTTTCGGGTTTGCCCTGCTCTCAAACCTCCTCCTGCCCTGCGCACCTCGTCGCTCAGGCCTGGAACTTATGAAAATGTAACCCAACTCGTTGCCAGAAGTTGTTGCTAATTAGTGGATAATAAACTTCTGTAGCCAGGGCACAAAAGTCTTTTAAAAGTGCAAAGGTGTTCTTTGTTGTGGCATCAGAAAAGAGATTAGCATATCAATTGGACTGGGGGGACCGGACAATGAGTCCTCCTCCCCCTGAGCTGCCCTCAGTTCGCCGCCCGCCGCCGCCTCCTCCTCTTTGTGTCCTTCCTCCTCTTCTTCTTCTCGCTGCTCCGAGAGCTGTCAAGGCTTGGTCGGGGAGCTCTGGGCGGCAGGCTGGGACCGGGCAGGCAGGCGCAGTGCACGCTTCACGCCGCCCACCAGGCTCCGCGGCCTGCGTGGCGCCCACGCCCTCGCCCCTCGCCCCTCGCCCCACGCCCCTCGCTGGGGGCTCAGCCTAGCTCCGCGCCCAGGCGTGCACCTGGAGAAGGTGGAGGCGCGTAGGGACGCCTAGCCAAAGCGCAGCGGGTCTGGGAGGCCACAAGGGCGTGGACGAGGCCTGCCGGGGAGGGCGGCCTCGCACGGCCTCACGAGGCGCCCCCTCCCAATACTCGCAGCCCGGGCCCCGCAAGCCCGCGCCCTTCGCCTCCCCCAGGCGCATAAAACACTAACCGACTTTTACTCGTCTGGCCATAGGGCACCGCCAGCTCCCCACCCTCCTCCGGCCTCCACGCCAGACATGCTGGGCTGGCGACCCACGCTTGCATGCGTTGGGGGAAAGCAAAGACCCTTAGGCCCGAGGCAGCTGTTTCCTCAGAAGCTGTGGGTCCGCTCGGGTGGTCCCGGGGCGAGGTCCCTGAAGAGGCGAGGCGGCTGGAGCGGCCCAGGCCCAAGCAGGCCTGGTCGTCTCCCTGCGACCTCGCCTCGCCCCGCTGCCCCCACCGGCACCCCCTGCCCCAAGCCCGTCCTGCGGAAGTCGGCTCCTCTGGCCGAGGCAGAAACTAGAAAGCCTGCCCCGGGCCAGGTGCAGGAAAGCAAAGCAGAAGTAAGTCTCGGGCCGCAGATGCGGCCCTGGCGGGCAGGGCCTCGGCGCCCATTCCCGCCGCGACCTCGCCCGGCTGCGTACGCCAAGGAGCGCAGGATAGAGGCGCTGGTGTCTGCGGGGCCGCCCCGGGCTCGGAGAGCGGAGGAGCAGGGAAAGGCTCGGGGAAGGAATGTTAAAGGGGGACACTGGCAGCGACGGCGCGCTCCGCCCGCCCGCGGACTAGCCGGACCCGCCACTTCCCAGCCGGCCGCGAGGAGCTGCGGGCCGGGCCGGCAGCCCCTCGGCCGCGAAGCCCGCGCCACCCCGGTAACCCCGGCGAGGAAACGCGCTCTTTCCTTTTTCTTCTCCCCTCCCCCCTCCCCTTTCTCCCTAGAGGCAGCTCCCGTCCTCTAAATGCATTACACACACACACACACACACACACACACACACACACACACACACACACGGGAAATCTCTGGGGCTCTCCTTTTTCCACCGGTCTCGCCTCCTCCTAACACTGGTGTTGGTCGAACAAGCGCGAAACTCACAGAAGTTTCCCCGAAAACGAACAGCTTTAAATGCCAGGAGGGAAAATGTCGGGGGAAAAAGTGGAGGTCGGTGTTTCCCTAAATGCAAAACATCAGAGAGGAATCTGAAAAGAGCTTTACTTTCCCTGCGAAATCTCCATTGTTGCTCAGCAAACAATGGGAGCCTGGGCGACTGGAGGGCTGTGCGAATGAATAGGCGATCCGCGGGATGTGTGCGGGTCAGTGCCTGGGGTCCCGGGCCTAAAGCCCCTTTCTCAGCTTGCCACAATAAACCAGCGCAAGGTTTAGTCCTTACTGGGTCACCGGCCATCCTCTATTATTCAACACTTCACAACAAAAAACACTTATTAATCAGCGCTGACCAGAGGCCCCTTTTGAAACAAGAGAAGAGGGGAGAGAGAGAGGGAGTGAGAGAGAGAGGGGTGAAAAGAAGATTGAGAAGCCCTGGACAGATCTTTCTAAAGCCAGAGCAACCATGGGGTACTTTCCTCCAGTGGCCAAAGTTTATTTGACACAACAAAGTTTCTAATCAGGCCACGGAGACCTGGATTTCTCCTCATTTGCCTCACTCCCGGTCTCTTCCTCTGAAGATGCTGGAGACTTTGTTGCAAGAAAGGATGGCTTTAGGTCATGTTGCTGAGGCCTGATCTTAAAGATCTAATTGCTATTGGAAGAGAATCCTGTTTCCCAACTGGGCCTCCCCTCTGGAGATGGAGCAAGGAAGACTGTCCAACTCTGCTCTGGGCACCCTGCTGATGGATGAGGTGTCAGGCCAGTCGTCATGTGAGGACTGGTTTCCAAATGGTATGAGCAGTAGTCAAATGCGGTACTTATTGGTGATACTGAATGCAATCTGTAGATTTTCTACTTCATGTTGTTTCAGGCCAGATATATGAAAAAACTAAACTTGCTTGCTAGAGTGAAGAGAAATTGATTATTCCTATGCTCAGACAAGGATTGAGGGGAAAGGATATGATGAGTTTACTTTGAGAGAAGAAATTGATTAAAAATGTTCCATACCACTAAAGTCAGTGGGTTCTTTGCTCAACTTTGATAATTTTTACAGAGCTTATTTGATGTTTGTAACCTAATTTTGTGTCTTTTATTTATCTGGTTACATGATAATTATGAACACATGCTCAGACATATATGGACCCTACTATACATCAAAGTGAAGTGCTACCTACGTCAGTTTTATGGATGAGTTTAATCCATTTAGAACTCAGCTAGACATTTTTGATGGCAAAATTTTGTTGCTTTTTGATTTGGGGTTGGAAGCCAATATTTCTTGGTTATTCTGTCTGTTTCACATTACTCAGGTTGTAATTTAGCCAAGTGAGCAAAGCTCTTTTGTAATGGCTGATGTTTACAAGTAACGGAGGCAGCAGTTATTGAATCTTGGTTGTCAAAAGATATAAAACAATGATTTTCCTAAAGAAATAGAAATGAATGTCAAAACAGTATTCTTTTAAGTTTAAATTTTCGTTTGTGTACACTTTTGAGTTTCTGAGTAACATAACTAACCATTTTACTTGTTATGATTCAAAGAAGCCTTTAAAACCAGAACAAGTATGGATGGGGGATTCTGAGTTGAGCAAATTAAGCTGTAGAACTAGAGGGCTTGGTAATGAAAGCAAGAATGCAGAATTACTTGGTAGCAAACTACACTGATATTTACCAGAGTTTATGTAGTAAATGCAAAAATGAGTTGCATACTTTGGTCTGATGCCTACTATTTAAGATTGGCCTTTTTTTAATGTGGAAAATATTGTGTTACTCAGATTTTGCAGAGCTCAAGGGTTCTTGCAATGGAGTAATCAAGTGTTATCTGAATTATTTAAAGCCTGGGATTAAAGGCCTTGGAGTTGACTGCTGACAAACTCTCAAATGTAGGCAGGGGAAAGTTTAGTATTCTTGTCTATCTGTTTATACTTTGAAAATAATTTGGCCAATTGTGGTAAATTATTTTTAAAGTTTATGCATAAGAACAATGAATATTTCTTCTATGAATTGTTTCCCAAATGAGCAAGTAAGATTATTCAGAAAACAAGTAGTTATCTGTTTACTACATACCAGTGTGTCACCTAACATGCACTGTTTTCACAAGATTATGCTTTAAAAAACATATTTGCTATGGAGAGCTCTACTGTTTCAGAAAAGCATTTAGAGTGTGGATACACACAATGTATTCATTCAACAAATTCATTTGGGGGACATGACAATTTTATGTCATGTTTTTCCTTTTGCTATTTTGGTTGACTTCCTAATTTGCTTAAAGGAGGCAATATTCCATTTGTATATACATGTTTATTTGTAAACTAAAGGTACCTACTAAATGGGACTTGTCTTTCACAGAATATCTCTGATTAAGTTTTATCAAATAAATAGATAAAAGCTTTAAAATAATATGTAATACATTGAATGTGTACATATATCATTGCACAGCACACCATTTCAGCACACTTAAAGACTCTAAATACTTTCTTTCTTTTTCTTCTTCCTCCTCCTCCTCTTCTGCTTCTCTCTCTCTCTCTTTTTCTTTTGCTAAGAAACTAAGTAAATAGCATTGCAATAACATTTCCTTAAATATTCCAGTGAATTTGTATGGAAATTGGAATACCTTCCACATTATTCAAAGGAGAAAGAATAATACATAAACATTATATTCAGCAAATGTTTAAAATAGAGAAATGTTATTTGTTGATATTATTTACCATGGAAGCAATATTTGTTAAATTTGGTTAAATTTGTTAAATCTTTATGAAATCATTGTTATTCCCAAGTACTTTTTTTCTGGGACAATACATACATACTTGTATTTTTAAAGAAAATATTTACATCTCTAACAGAAACCTAAAAATTTTACGACAGATTTAGCACATCACAAAAATTACTTCATAGGTATGCAAATCATGTATATTCTGGAATTTTTTTTTTACCTTAAAAAAGCCACCTGGACAGATTTATTCTTTTTTCAAAAAAAAGATACATTTTAATAAATCTCCACTACAGAAGGTAACAAATATCTTGCTAAAATTTGTGCATCTTTATCCAAATGAAGTTGAGATTACAAAACATATGATTACAAAATGAAAAGTATATACAGTCTGGGGAATTTATCTGGAAACATTTCAGTTTTTGCATTTATGTTTCTTCCTGGCAGATACATATAATTCAGACCTTTTTTCCCTCTTGACAGAATTTGTCAAATTCAGTTTGAATTTATATGAACACGATCTGACAAAATACAGTAGAAATAGGTTATTATGAAGTTTAAATGTAAACTCTGCTGAATGTTGCCTTAATACATACTACTTTCTGTCTTATCTAAAAGTAAACTAGTGTTGTTTTTCATGATGGAATGAAGGTAAAAAGAAACTGATAGAAATTTGACTTGCCCCCCATGATCTGCCTGTTGCCAGAGAATTCTGGTTACTTGTATAGATCTAAGACTTATGTGGAGCGACTCAGCCTAGCACTTATTTATTTATAAACTTTCAGCTCACTAGAGACTCAAAGTTATATTTAGAAAATTAGAACCTCACATGATATACGTTTATTTGATTCTTTCATTTAAATACTTCATGAGTATACCAAAAGTAATTTTTAATCAAAAATTTTCATTAGGTTTAACATATATTGCATTTAAATGCCCCTAATGTATTTCTATATATACCGTAATAAAACATCTCATTTTTTGGAAACAAAAGAAAATCAAACTTCTGAATGAAACTTTTCCCTTAAAATTATTTCCTGTAGTTCTTAGTTCAATATTTCCTTTAACTAATTGCATTTTGGTACATATGTTGTGAAATCCATTTTGGCTTAGACATCAATTTTTCACCCAGAAAGCCTATCTGCTTATATAACCACTTGTGACAAAGCAGAGTATTCTAGAGAATTTCACAAAAGCTCCAAAGATGAGTGTGTGTGTTAAACTATTTAAATCCCAGAGGTTCATGGATGTTTGTTATATGTTGAAAAGGAAGTATTCAGCACTGCCAGTGTGGTAGTTTTTTTTTTTAAATGAAGGTTAAGTTTTAGAAATGCCTAAAACATAACATATACACAATAAAACACATCTGTATTTGGATTTTTAATCTTGGTAATTAGTGATTGAGTGTTTTAGGTTGACACAAGCTTCTCTTTCACTTAAGGAAGCTGTTTAGAAATACTGCAAGGAACTAGCTGTGTTGAGATTATGGCAAAGAATTAAGGTATTTTTGTTTATTTTTTTCCTGTGTTTTTATGGATTAAAATGTAGCTCAATGTCCTTGAACTCTTCTAGTGCTCCTTATGTGTTTTATTGCTTTTTGGGAAATACCAATGGGAGCAGGGGTTTTGGAGAGGAGGGCGTTAGGCAATAGAGTCTATGGATCAAGTAGGGTTTGGGTGGAAATGCTCATAATATTGAACCAGTCTCCTTGTGCCGGGAAAGGGTTCATTTGCCAAGCTTTTCTTTCTCTATAATTCTTCTGCCTCTCCACTCAAGGTGCCTAAGAGATCCCATGAAAATTAAGCTCTGGTAAAAATCATTTGTTCTGTACCTGATGAAAAAGGTATTAAGAGGCAGGAGAATGACTCCGGTTTCACATCAGGACTGGCACTTTGGAGTTCATGCTAGTCTGCAGCAACATAATGTTATGTTTTATGGATGTGCACGATGTTTTATTTCCCAGTAGTTACACGTACATTGCAGATGCATGAAGACCATATTTAAAATTAAAACCCTAAAAACAGCAACGTTCACTTGAACATATTTTGTAAGAAAAAGACTTTAGAGGGGAAAAGGTCTTAGCTATGGGAAAAGAAAAAAAATACTTAGCCATGAAAATATATAATTACATTGCATTGCAGCTAGCTTTAATCAAATTCCAGTTTTCTGAAGACCACAGTTAACTGAAGTTTAAGTAACTTATTCATAACTATTTATAACTTAAGTTTATGAATATCCTAAGAGTTTTTCTGGATACTCCAGTTTCTTATGAAAGGCAGCTTTTGTAAAACCAACCATCTGAGACCCCATACTATCTCAACTACTTTTTATCCCAAGGTTATTTATTGGTCTTCTGAGACCTAAAGATAAACAGATTTGTTTGTACATGTACATCACCACAGAGCCCAGCCAGGGCAAGTCATTCCAGCGCCACCTGGGAAGAGTTGAGATTTGGGCTGTGGGGCCTGATCAGAAAGGCTGCTAAGCTTGACATGACAGGTTCCTGGGGCCTTTGTGAAAGCCCTTGCCCTTAGAAGCAGAACCACAGTTTCTCCAAAGTGGTAGAGTAATGCCAATTTCATGCTTTGGTGCAATCCTGGGTTTGCTAGCATCAACCCTAATAATTCCAGCTGTGAAGAATATAAGCTTCATGATCAAGCTTTCCCATTCCCTCCTGTACCTCCTCATCGTTCTCTCTTCTTCTTTCTTCTCTTTTTTCCTTCTCTTCTCCTTCTCTTCTCTTCCTTCTCTTCTCAGACTGCAGTGGCAATGAATCAGCCCCATGGGCAGATGCACTTTGCTATTGATTTGCTTGCTTTGTAAGTTATGCTTTAAAACTAGTCAGGTGAGGGCTTGAAGTTTTTTTTTTTTTTTAAGACTAGTGTACTTGTTGAGTATAAGACTCACTTTGTGGAGTTTGGCGATCTGGCCAGAGGCATGGAGAAGACCACATTGTAGGTGTGATTTTCTTCTAGGGTAGGCTTAGAGTAACCTAAGGGTTAGTGATCTGAGACATATCTCTGGGACTGCCCAGGAACAACAATCTCAAAGATTTAGGAAGAGCTCTCCTGATTTTAGAAGTTCTGGGTCTGGAAGATAGACAATGGGGTTGCTCTTTCTGGATAATTCTACGTTAGTTATGTCCTCATCCCCTTCTAGTGTGTGGTGTGTGTGTGTGTGTGTGTGTGTGTGTTTGTGTGTGTGAGTGTGTATGGAGAGAGAGAGAGAAAGGTAGAACAGATGATGGTGAGTATAGTTGTTGATATAACAGAATGGCCCTAATTTAGTGTTGGAGTGCAAACATAACTCTAAAAATGGTTATCAAGGACTTTTCAGAACATTAAAACAAGTCAAACTGATTAGGACAAATAATCATGCAGTTTTACAATGCCTTTTGTTTGAAAATTTACTTCTATGGATGGATCAAGGGTTTAGGGGGAAAAAAAAGTCTGAATTGCCTGGGAGATAGTAGAATTGCTGGGTTGCAAGGAAAGTTGTCTGGTGTGTTCACTGATCTTTAAATAAGACCAAGGGATGACGGGAAGAAAAAAGAACTGGCATTTGGTTGGGTGTACTCTATGTGAAATGCTCTACCAGGCTCTATCACAGACACATTATTTCATATATTCTCACCTCAGCCCTTTAACATAGGTATTAATTTTTCTTTATTTTACAAATGAGAATGCTGAAGCTTTGAAGGGTTATATAACCTGGCCAGGGTCACACAGCTAACACATTTTGGAATTAAGACTAGAATTTAAATAAGTTTTTCTCCAAAATCTGTATTTTTTCTTCAACCAGAAATATCTCACATGATTTATTTTTCTCATAATCACTCATGACAGAAGTAGGTATTTAATCACCACGTATCTTCCCAGACTCATTTTTCTCCATACTCTCCTCTCTACAGTTATTTTCTACTTCTGTCATTGGACAGATGCCTTATGCTTTTTCAAACACTCCTATCCAAAAACTCTCTCTCTTCTTTGGCTCAAACTGTTCAGTTTGCCTGCAGTGCCTTCACCAGGACATTGACTTGGGTTGCCTTTTATTGACATGGGTGTATGAGCTCATGGGCTTGAAGCCAAGCATATATATATACACATGAATTGGAATTTTATGTTACATTAAACTGTGAAACAGGGAAATTGGGCAAAGGCAGTAGCAATTTTACTTTTCAGAGATTTAATTTTGGGATGTAATGATTATTTTTTCTTCTTTTTCCAGTTTTTCAATATTTATTTTAAGAAAGCTTTTTTGCTACCCTATTTCACTTCCGAACACATAATCTAGCCAATTAAATCATGAGTCTGAAACTTCGAGGCCTTGAGCTAGTTCTTTACTGAGGTTAAGCATCATTTAGTAGCATAATTAACTCTTTAAAGCTCTTAACTCACTATATTCTACTTATTGAATGCTTGATACTTAGTGCTAATTCTCAAAGAAAGGAAAAATGAGAGCATGTTAATAACATCTAACATATTCTATGAAGTTTTCTAAATATGGGTATACATCTAGTATATTGAATATAATTATGTTTTAGTTTTCTTATGAGAGTAGTAATCCTCACTTAAAGGAAAATTGTGAAAGTTTATTAATACTGGCAGAACATCTTGAGAATGATAAATAATATAAAGTAGAAAAATCAAAATATAAATGCTAGATTAGAAAACATTTAAATTCAAAATTATATTTACTATTTAGTTCTAAACATTAAATGAATGTTTCTATTTTCCTTCTTATAATTTCCATTGAAATATTTATTTAAGATTCTTATACTAAAATCTTTAAATGACTGTTACTTATATATGTCTATTTCTAGAAAACTAATCACCGTACTGTAGGGAATCTAAATATTCCTTCTATTGAGCTAAAAACTCAGAGGTAATCTAGGGTTAAAAAATTGAAACTTAAAAGTACAGTATGTTGGTGATTAAAATAATTTTGTAAATAATGAAAGAGAATATTAAAATTTAATATAGCAATTTTTGGATGGGAATTAACATTGGAGAGCACACTAAGTATTTATTTCAAAAACACAAATAACCTTGGAACTTATGTTTTTGGGTATAAGTTACTGTTTGTAGCACTGTTCCAAATAAGGCACTGAGGGCTGATTTGGAGCAGTGTGATATAGTGTTAATATGGAGAACAAAAGAAAGGAAACAATAAGGGCATAGACTCATTTTAAATCTTTCAGAAAAGTACTGTAATATTAGTGACCAAAATATGAGACCAATAATCTGAGATTTATTAAAAGCCAAACCTCTGGTGAGCCATTATAGCTCTTCGTCTTTGACTTAGTTTCTTAATCCCAAAATGGAGATAAAATTGCTTACTTGCAAAAGGATAGTGAATACTGATTAATTAATGGGTCTGAGCCTGCTGATGCATTCCGTTTTCTTAATTCATGTTTTAAGGCTACAAACACAGACATGCTTACAATATGGAAGCTGTCTGTTAATACATAATGTATCCCAATGTTTGGGTTGTTCAAATGCATACCTAGCAGACTCAGATGAGTCACAGATACATTTCCTGGAGAGCTTAATAGTGGTTTTAAACTACTCAGCTCAGAATGTAACTTTTGATAGAAAACACTGAATTTTACTGGTTTCATCTCTGAGGCTTAAGATGTGTGTGTGTGTGTGTGTGTGTGTGTGTGTGTGTGTGTGTGAACATGCTTATATACACAGTTTCTTTTGCATTTTAGGTAGAAATGTAGAGAAATATATTTAGCAAAATAAACCTCTTAATCACCATAAATCCAAACTAGTGCTTGTCTTCAGTTTCTAGTTTGTATGCAGTGCCTCAAGGCATGGTAACATCTGCCTAGGCATTAGCGGCATGATCTGCTTAACCTAAATTTAAGGAATTGTTTCAGGTTTTTGGGAATTAATTTGTCATGATAGTGTCATCTGCACAAGAATGTAAGTTAGATCATGTGTGGCCTTCCAGAGCGGATGGGCCTCACATGTATGTGCTATCATGGAAAAGGTGCAGGGCCAGGAGTCAGGAGCCCCTGTTTCTAGGCCTGGCTTCACCTCTGATAAATTGAGTGAGGCAATGAAAAGTGACAGTTTCCTCAACTATAGGAAGAGTGCACTGGATTAACATTTTGTGTCCCTAGTACTATAACCCAAATCTCTAAATTTCCAGGCTCACGCTCTCCCTATTGTTTTACCCTGCCGTTTTCGAATGCTTCTGCAGGAGTCAACTCTGGGCGAACTACATGCCAGGGAGTATTGCCTGCAGAGAGCTGTGCACATATTCAATAAATGTTGCTTGAAATGCTTCATGATTAATTAGCCATCTAGAGAAATCCTGTGATCAATGTGGATGACTGAACCTTAATATTAAAATAGTTAAAATTTATTGAGTACCTCTAATGTGACAGGCACTCTATTTGCAGTTTACATATGATATCTCACTTAAGCAACCATCTAGGAAACACATCTAAATCCCCCTGGAGAGTTTTGACATTGTGGTATTATTGGCCATTCTTCTCAGGAAGTCTTTTCTGCTGGCCTTGTTTGGAGCCTCCCTTATGATGTAACTTGAAGAAACTCAATAAATGCAAATAGGTTTGCATTGGAAGAAAACAGGGTTAACTATCCACCCAAACCTCAAGCTAATGCACTGAATGTACAAATTGTATCTTAAAAAGCTATGGGCAAGATCATGTTCGTGGGAGAATCTTCTTCCTCATCATCCATGGTTCCTCCCCTTATCTGAATATTTAAATGGGCATGAAGTAGTTTTTCTTTTCTTTCTTTTTGTAATTCTGCCATGAAATACCTCAATAATGCATCTTGTCCTCCCTGTCCCTGGCATAATTGTCTTAGTTCAGACATTTATTATCTCTCTTGTGGAATGTTGTAATAGCCTCCTCAGTGGTCTTTCTTTTCATCCTTTTCTAATATTTTCTCTTTTCTTGCTGCCAGAGTGGATTTCCTAACCCTCAAGCTGATTGTGTTTAAAATTCCTCAATAGGTCCCCTTGACATCCTACAGGGAGTATTGCCTCTTTGCTACCTAGTTCCCACACAGAGGGAGCTGCCCCATTCTTTAGGTATCTGTGCACTTTGATATATACCTCTTTTAGCAAATATATTTTATGCATGTCGCTTCTATTGGTTTGTGAGCTTCACATAATATAACACCTTTGAATCATATCAGTGACGCCACATTGTTAAGGATTGCTGAAGGAATAAAGACTTTGGGAAGCCTGAGCTATTTCCTGGTTTCAAGAGAGGAAACATAAAGACTCCTTTTTCTTTCTGTAGTAGCCATCTTGGCCAACAAAAAAAGGCTAGATAGAATTTTTATTTCCAACCTTTCATTTCTTCTGGCCCAAGAATAATTCTCTGTGATGAAGGACCGATCCTATATTGTTAAATAAGTTCTGTAGCTCTGTCTTAGGAGAATTCTATTAGGTTGTTGCAAAAGTAATTGCAGTAATGGAATTCTGGGTAGTGGCATTACTTTTAATGGCAAAAACTGCAATTACTTTTGCACCAACCTAATGGCATCTCAGAGCATTGTGCCTTTGTTAACTTGTAAGCCAGTGCATACCTTTCTCTAGCTGGTATATTGAGAGCAGGATATAGCTAACCAGGTTGATAAAAACAGATTTAGAATTTCCAAGCATAGAGAATAGAGTCAAGAAAATCTAGCTTCTAAAGATGATTCCATTATCTACTAGTTGTGTGAGTTTGAGTGAACATCTTAGCCAGTGTAACCTTAATTTTCTTTTGTATACAATGGGGATAATTCCCAGGTTATAGAGCTGTTCTGAGCATTCAGTATTATGACACGTAAAGCACCTCATGTAGTGCCTGGCATTAAGTACTCTCATAATAGTAGCTATTACCATCATTATTATCATTATTAGTAGCATTTAATGCCCTGCTGCAATGAAGAGCATCACAGTTCATTACAATTGTTTTTCTAATCCATTTTCTTATTTAATTCTCATAAACCCCAACCCTATAATTATAATCTATGAAAAGGGCTTGATTTATTGTCTCAGAATTTCTGATAGGCAACTTACTTGGCTAGGTGACAGCAGGCTAGGACTCAGAGATAACTGTTTCAGGACTACTTCTCAAAGGTCTGATCCTTCTTTCTGATAGGAGGAACTAAAGTCTTAAGACCAAGGTTACCCTGAGAGTCACAGCTAACCCCCTACTCCAGAAAGAAAATGTTTCCAGGGCTGAACCTAAGCCTGGTACAAGAAGGCTGCAGTAAGTAAGGTAGAGAAAACATTCTTAGAATGACCCAGGAGAAGATAAGTGGAGGAGTGGGAAGAGAAGGAACCTCCTTGGAGGTCCTGCAGAACCTTCTCAGAACTGCAGAATAATGGCTTAGCATGAAAAACATCAAAAGATGCACTTGATTGCTTTTTCTCCTCACCCTCTATTCATCCTTCAGCAAACCCTATCAGCTTTACCTTCAAATAATTTCCTAAATCTGATCACCTTTTTCTATTTTCACCACTATTTGTCTTGGATGGAACCACCATCATTTCTCTCTTGATCTATTGCAACAGTCTTTAAATTGGTCTCCTTATTTCTACTCTTGACTCTCCTGCTCCTCCTCTACAGAGCTGACAGAGTGAGCTATTAAAATGTAAATCAAATCACATCACTCCACTGCTCAAAAATGTACAAAGGTTTCTGTCACACTCAGAATAAAATCCAGAGTCCTTGCAATGACACTCGAAGCCTTACATGATCTACCTACCACCTACCCCTTCCAGTTGCTTTCCTTCCTTTTCTTACCCACTCATCCTATTCAGCCACTCTGGCTTTCTTGTTCACAGACTTTGTATATTATGAAACTATTGCAGTTTCCCTTGTTAAATTGGTTTCTAGTAAGTTTAGAGCTAAATTTCTGGTCTATCTCTAGTAAGCTTATAATAATATATATTTTTAAAAATTACCATTGTTACTTCTGGCTCAGCTTTCCTTTTCTGCTATTACTTTCTCTCTCCTACTTTTCTTAATTAAAACTAAAATATAAACCTTATTGTCTTTTTATTGTAAGATCAATATACATGTTTATGACCATAAAATCAGAAAATATAGACAATTGAAAAGTAGAACAATATTCTTATCAAATCCCCCACCCCGCACTAAATCTTCCAGCTATTGTAAAGTTTAAACATCTTAACATGAGTTTAAAAAACTCTGGTTTCTGCTTATCTCTTGCTTAATCTCTTAACACTCCCTGTTTGCATGATTACCTTCTGTTCATTCTTCATATCCTCAGTGGAAACATTAGGAGGACTTCCCAGATATTTCATCTATGAGACCTCTAACCTCATAGCACAAGGTGAGTCCTCTAGTGCAAAGTGATGTTGTTGCCCCTATTGAAGAGCAGGGACATGTCTTTCTTATTCTTTACTATATCCATGTAATTAGTTTAGTATCTGGCCCAGAGAAACCGCTTAATGAATATTGATAAATGAGTGAATAAATGAATGGATGAAAAATTCTTGCTGGGGGAGGGTTTTTGAAAGTCTCTGTTCAAGGTTTATGTTCTATCATAAATGTTTTATGAGAGGTGTGCAGGCAGTAGGTGTAAAATATAAAACACTCTGGGCTAGGCATGGTGGCTCATGCCTGTAATCCCAGCACTTTGGGAGGCCAAGGTGGGCAGATCACCTGAGGTCAGGAGTTTGAGAACAGCCTGGCCAACATGGAAAAAACCTGTCTCTACTAAAAATACAAAAATTAGCTGGGCATGGTGGTGCGTGCCTGTAATCCCAGTTTCTCTGGAGGCTGAGGCAGGAGAATTGCTTGAACCTGGGAGGCGGAGGATGCAGTGAGCTGAGATTGCACCACTGCACTCCAGCCTGGGTAGCAGTGTGAGACTCTGTCTCCAATATATATATCACTTCAAATAGGTGCTCTTTATGGGGTAATATTATGGAAATCCTTTGTCTTGGAGTATACCCAATAAGATTTAAGATTGCCAAAGCCCTTCTTTCAGTAGGGGATCTCTTCAGTCATCTTCCCCTTAGTGCTACTGATGGGAACTATTGAGTGTGAGTTCTTGAACATAGTGGAATCAAACAAAAAGTTAGAGAACCAGAATATGACCTTTTTTCATCATTCTAATTTTATTGATTCACAGTGTTCATTTTATTGATTTATACAATCAATTGTGTTTTCTCTGTGCCCAGAGTTGGGGAGCAAGCACTTTGAGCTTACAGTAGATTTGTAGATATCTTTTCATGCTCAGTCTCTCATCAGGATGGTGGAGATGTGCTGAAATTAATCTATTATCTGAATTAATGAAATGCCTTTTATTTGGCTCTGCAATCTTTATAGAGTAGTTAAATCTTTGCTCTGGGCAGAAGTGATGGCAAGACCGCTATCTGCAGAGACACAGCAATGTGCAGGGATGGGAAAAGCAGATAGTTCCAGAAAATAGTTCATTCTAGACTTCCTAATATTTTATAAAATGTTCCTGCTCATCTCTTTATATGCGGATGGTTTTTATAAAAGCGAATAATAAAGCAGATCACATTTCATCTAATAATATACAAGGTGTTGGATTTAGAAGCCATAATGATGAAAATGACTGTCATTGTCTCTTCAGTTGGATTTGCTATGGCTACTACATACTGAATGAGCCTATCCAAGAGGTAGAGATTTGCTCTCTCTCTCTTTTTTTTTTTTTTTTACCAAAAATAGCTACCATTTATTGAGTGCTTATAATCATATAATCTTGAGCCTATAGAACAACTCAATAGTTGGATGTGTTTGCTCCCACTTTACTGAGGAGTAAATTAAGATGTAGCAATGTTAAATAACCCAAATCATAAAACTGGTGTTCCAGCTGGATTTCTTTGACTCCAAAGTCCCTGCTCCTACCACAAGAAGGCCTTAGGTAGAATGGTGGAAATGTCAATGTAGGATCTAAAGTGTTTTAAAACGTTTTCAAATAGCAGTGAGATATTTTTTCTCTAACATGCAAATTTACATTATAAATGTATGAGTGAGGCTATAATGAAGATAGAAAGTTTGCTTGGAGGTGAGGGAAGGTGCTCCAGTGAGAGGATAAAATGGGATAAAATTGTGAAAATGTTATTGACTCTTAAAGCTGTAAAAGCTTGTAAGATTAATAGAGATAGAAGTTGAAAGGAAAGAAATGAGGGTGTACTGAAGATCCCTTGAGTCCCATGGTTGACTAATAAAATAGGAGAAGACAGTAAACAAAACAGAGCATATTATAGGGGGCAGATCCTAAAACCAAGCTTGGAAACTGACCCTGGTGGAGCAGTCAAGGGAACAAGGAAACAAGACAGAGAGGCAACAAAATACACAGGTTGCTTTGATTGGTAGAGTGTGGCTCAAGTCAGAGAACATATGTCAATCAAGATTCTTAAGGAGATATGAAGGGTGATACTTACAAAGTGGTTATAGATTCTGCTCCATAAGGCATTTTTCTTCAAAGACCCTAGCAGAGAAATGGCAATAAATACTGAAGCTTGATCTAGGACTAGTTAGCGGAAGTCAGGTGCTATTGACAGGTTTTTCAACCTACTGGCAGTGACAACATTTAATCTCCAGGAAGCCTTGCTGGCCAAATAGCAGACTCCAAGACAAATTGGCTGCAATCCCTGTCCTTTTCTCAAAAAGACCACGTTGAGAAGGGAGATAGGGAAGGTAGGGAAAGAGACAGATGTGTAAGCAGATAAATTACAGATAGTATAGTGAATTATATATAATACATACATATACATAGGAGGCACTTTGGAAGTAAAATAGGAATCTTGACTAACTTTGAATAGAAATACACCAAAACCATATATGAAATTGTGTTTTGGTATAACAAGTAATGTGCTATGTAACATTAGCACAGAATAATTAATTCTTTCTGATGGCTTTAAGGAAAACTGCATTGAAGATGGAATATTTGAGAGACCTTGAAGGATGAGCTTTGTTTAAGGCAGAGTATTATTAAGTACCAAGAACAAGAATGAGAATTCTGTACCTTTGTTCCTTTGCAGAAAAGTTCTAGGAATAGAACTGTAATCTGTCCAACCAGGAAGAAGCACTCAAACTGTATACTCAATCATCTCCTTCAATTATCATTAAAATGATCTGATGTAAGCAATTGCCCAGCTCCTGTGACACTTAAGTTTATAACGATGGGTTTCCTTGTTGTAGAAGTGCATTTTGTTATGAGTATCTGTGTCTACAGACAAAGCATAGAGGAAACTCTTGGAGCTCTAACTTTTGCAGTGATTGTTGGAGAGAACTCTGTGTGTCTCTGGTAGATGAGAGGGTCAAATGTGGTGTGTGTGAATGTGTGTGTCTGCATAGGGGGAGGTATAGGAGGTAGACATGGAGCAATTCCAGGATCCTGGGAAGAGGCTGTGACTCCTTCTACCTGTCTTTGGACTTCTTTTATCAGTTTCTGTTCAGGTCTCTGTAGAAAGACTGTGCTGTCCTGGCTTTTAGCAGGGATCTGGCCTTTGCCAGATCCACCTCACCAAGAAAAGACAACATTGTATGGGAAGATAATCTGGGATATATATATATATATATATATATATATATATATATATATGAAATATAAATTTAATGTATATTAAATTTTATATATAATTATATATATCTATATAATTATAATTAGATATCTATATAATTATATATATAATTAAATATATATCTATATAATTATATATATATATAAAATTAAATGAGACAGTTGCTTCCAGAGATAAATCTTTAGCCTTCAAATTCTCTTCTGTGATCTAAGAGATAATACAGAACATTTCTAGGTGGTATACCATTGCTTTTTAACAGCTGCCCTATGGTGAAAAAGCCAGGCACAGTAAGTACCCGAAACTATAGAAATGTCAGCATGTGGTATGCTGATATATTAATTCCAATAGTATTGATTCAGAAACACATATTACATATATGCCATATGGGCCTTAAATATTTATGAAAGCTAAAAGTCATGAAAACAATTCATTAATGAAAAAGTTAAATATATATTACTGTAATTTTTTATGGACTAAATTTTAGGCATTTAATTTTTAACTTACAGATTCTTACTAAAGAGACACTTATGACTTAAAAAAGTCAATTCTTATTAGTTACTTACTCTTCAAAAAAACACTATATTAGACGCTATAAAGGAATGAAAAGGATGTCTGGAATTTGTCAGGTTCTTAACTTGTTCTTCCTAGCTTCTATTTTTACCACCCATTAAGTGGTAATTCATTATAGGATAATAATTGAAGGAAATAATAGGTAAATCTCAAGTCAGTTCACTCTTTGGCCTTTTCCAAGTGAAATGGCTTGTGGGGAAAAGCAGAGCTGGCAGGAGAGAGTAAAGCAATGATTGTAAAGAAGGTGTCTTAGAATTGGGAAAACAACACACATACTGTTTGTTTGTTTGTTTGTTTGTTTTGGCATGCCCTTTAAGCCTGGTGTGGTGCTAGAGTGATACGGCATAATTTAGTCTAAAAGTGCTGGACTAGTAACCCTGAAACCTGGCCTCTAGCTATGGCTCTGAGACTAATTGGTTGTATCTTAGTTTCCTAATTTGTAAATGAGAGACCGATTAGTTTATCCTTAAATGTGATGTTATGAAGATTATCTAGATTTTTACAGATTTCCACAGCAGACTTTATTCTATTGAGAACTGCATATCTGTATACAATCCTTGGTTTCTTCCCATATATTCCTGGCATATATGTTCAATTAATGAAGGAGCAAAATAATATGAAAGGGTTGTAGAAGCTGCCTCTATTGTGCCCTGAGAGCCTGGCACACCTATCTTGTGGATCTGGAAAGTTGTGGAATACCCTGTGCTTGAGTGCCTCTGTCCCTCTCTCCAGGCTTAATCACGATCTGTTTTTTTCCTGACACCATCAAGTTCTCTTTCTAAAAAAGACTACATCTGTTTTCCTTGCATATGTGTTGGAATAGAAAAAGATGCTGCCATGAGACTTGCCTTGTCATACGATTTATATATAAATCACCTTTTCCTATATTTTGAACACCTTCTTATCCATTTCATCATCTTCTTTCTATCCTGCATTATTCATTGACCCAGTTCTATGACACACTTTTGTCCATCTTGATAGTTTCAGCACTTAGCTTGTAGTTTGCCTTTCTTCTTTAACACCTACAAACATACATAAAAATTTTGACTTGATTTTTAGATACTGGATATTTTTTTAACCTCCCCATGTCTTCACCTTCACTTTGCTAATATATAATTATTCCTGTGGAATCTCATCCTTATCTAGAATGGTTTATCTTCTGTATCTTAAGATGTTATAATAACACCACCACCACCACCACCACCATCATCATCATCATCAAGTAGTATTATTTTCAGTGCTTTTTTCCTCATCCATTTTTATACATTGAACCTTTAACATTCTCTCACACCAAATAAACTGGTATTCTAGTTTTAATTTTAAAACTCTTTCTCCCCAGCACTATCTATTTACCTTTGAATTCTTTTGAATTCCTGCCTCCTCTGGGCCCCATGATCAGCAATTAAACTCTGACATTTTGAGAGTGCAATAATCTTGCATCTTCTTGATCTTGCAGTGGATCTGGTGTGCCAGTCCTGGCATCTAATGAAGCCTGATTGTCTGAGTTCCCAGCTCTTGTCCTGCCAGTTGTAGGAGGTCATAAAAGCATACTAATTGAGTCCTATAGAAATATATGCAATCTGTCCTTAGCTAGACCTTTCCCGTTCTCTGTGACTTTACATCACATTTGGATGCAGCAGTTCCAATTCATTTCCCTACTCCTTCTGTCCTCTGCCTTGTTCTTACTTCTTTTACACTTAACAGATAAGCTTTCCTGATTTACTGAGAACATCTGTGGCAATAATCCTGTCAACTTCTTTCTCTTCAATTCAGAAAATCTCTTGTACTTCCACCCATTATCCTCTTCACTGCTATCTCTTTTTTCCATGATTAATTCCAGCAGCTTGTGATTGATCTTATGGCCACCTGATTCCTTCTGGTATCTGTTTGTTTCTTGTGACTTTAAGTTCCCAGACCTACCACTTGTTGGTTGTGTGATTTTTGAGTAGGTTTTTGAACTTTCAGACTCTGTTTTCTCATCTGTAAAACAGGAAAATATTATCCATCTCATTTGATTTCTGAAGGATCAAATGAGATAGTGGATTCTCATATATCTTTCTAACTGCTTATTTGTGGTGACAGGTCTTAGCAATTTGAAGCAGAACTGTATTTTTCTTCCCAAATCATCAACCTTTGCCCTAACTAGGACCAGAATCACACCAAGCATCATATTCTAACTACAAAAGGTGTAAACATATTTATGACTAAAGCAATCAGGGTAGAACAGGAGATATGCTGCCATCCCAGGGAGATTTTTCCCCCAGACAACTGTGGAGCCTCATTTGCTAAGAAAGATGAGAGCAGTAAATTTTGAAAATAAAAGTGACTGGCAACTTGAGTATTAACATGACTTTTAAGAGCTCATCTGTTTGACCTACAAAATAACGGGGTTTGACTGGATGATCTCTTTTGCAGCTTCAGGAATCTGTGATTTTCTGGCCCTGAGTCTGAGCTCCTCTTATAGTACGAAATTCATAGACTGAGCTCCCATATCTCCTGAAATATAAGTGAGCGGCTCAGGGCTGGTACTATTTCATCAGACAAAGAAGAATTTCTTGTTGCAAATGATTGTACTATTAGTTTTGAGAGAAAACTCAATGATCTGCTCAATGTACAAGGAGCGGTATTGAGTGTTTCCTAGCGGATAGATAGCTGGCAGGCTTAAAATGAGTATTGATGTGTTTACGTGGAGATAAGGATACACGTTAGCTTTTCGCAGAATTCCGTTTTCAATTACTCTTGAACTAGTTTGAAAATTCATCATCTTCATGCCAAATACTTTTAGTGTGCCATGTATGCTGAGTAGCAGACCCTGACATCTCAACAGGGCTCACATAAGTATACTCAGGCAAAAATTAAATGAAATTGGGGGAGTGCAGGTCTCTGGTACTGCTCTGGTAGTCAGAATCAATAATTTTTGCCCATTAGGTGATACACCAATGTTTCTCTTTCCACTCATTCTCTTTTCTCCTCACTTTTCACTCCTTTCTGCCTACTTTTCTCTCTTCTTTTTGCCTTTTCTTCTTTCACGTGGAATGCATTGCCTTTTTGAAAAGAATGAGTAATGCCTGTATACGGTTTTCTCTAGGATTAGCTGCTTTTGCTTGTTAAAAATAGAGAATATCACAGAGCCCTAGGAGAGAGGATGGTCAGGGGAGGACGTTCAGGCCATTTCTGTAAGTTTAGGCCACATCATACTCTACGCAGATGACCTTTCTAGATGAGAAAATTCCATCACCTTTTCTGGTCTCTCTTCCAATATTGACCAACGTTCACTGTCACAAATGCTGCAGTATTGAACCTGCTGCTAAATTGTCTCAAAGCTGGCAGCAGTGAATGTGTTGACAAGTAAAGGGGAAAAATAAAGCAAAAGGAGCTATTGAGGCATGCCCCCAGAAAGGTTCAGTGTTTATAAATATGATGCTTTATAGGATAGTTGTACATGTATGCAACCTAGGATCAAATTGATCCTCTCAAAATATAATAAGCCTATAATTCACAGCTACTCCACATCCTGTGCTGGTCCCATATGTGGCCACAGCTGTGAGGTCCTCAGTGTAGTTATTTAAAATCAAAGAGTTAGTCTAAAGATAGACAATTTATTTAATAACGTTAGTAAAATTTTGGGAGACATATTTTTACCAGTTGAAATTATACTTATTTCATAGAATTTTATGGATTGTTAGATTGGAATGGGACCTCACTCCTCTATCAGATGCTTGATTATCCATTAGGATATCCAAGTGACCATCTACCCTCTATCTGGATATCTCTGGGGGATGGAGTGTACTTGTGAAGCCTCTTTCATTTGTAAAGCACTCAAGTTACTAAAAAGTTTGGTCTTGTATGAGGAGATTTAGGCATAATCTAAGTATCTATCTCTTCAGGCCTTCTTCATTCAGGATTTACAGTTTGCTTAAAATAAACCACCTCCCTCTACCCCAATAAAACAAAGCAAAGCAAAAGTCAACCTGAACATAATTTACAAATCTAAATAGATCAATGAGAAACTAATAAATTTATTTAATTATTTAGGTTTTTGTAAAAAGATGATTTGTTTAAGCAGGAACACATACAAAAAAAAGTGTACCTAATTACATTTTTTTTTCTTTGGGAAGTCCAACCTTTTATTGACTGAACTATTGATGAGCTAAGCTGTTACTCTTTTTCTCATAAGGCTTACGGTCAACCCTTAGATTTTTATTTTGTCAAAAACATGGTCTTAAATATGTATTAACTTATTTTCATTTTATAAAAGCATTTTTTTTCTATAAAATTGCCTCAAACCACAGTGCAAAAGTAAAACATTCTATTAGCTAAAAATCAAAAGTATTAGCTGAACTAAAAATGGAATCTATTAAGAATACCATATTTTAATACTATAAAATTATTCCTTTTAGTTTGTTTTTGATATGAATAACAAGCAAGTGGGAAGAAAGAAAGAGACATTCAAATAGATTGTGGAGGATTAGGGTTAAAGCTGTGGGCATGAAGTTGTGGTATGGTGAAATATATGACTTCTGACCCTTGGTTTTTCCACACACAAAAAATGGGTTGATAGTAACATCTAATATAGAGAATTGTTGAAGGGGTTAGAAACCATACATAAGAGTATTTGATAATCAATAAAGAACACTCATTTTTATGACTCATATACCTAATCACCAGGTTCATAATGAATCTATAATTGAGAAGCGTCTCAAGAAAGCTCCCAGAGGTAATGTCTAAATTGCTGCTTCATGAGTTTGGGAGAAAGCTATAGTAGAAAAATCAAAGAATCTGGAGTCTGAAAGGCTTGGTTTTGAATTCTGGGTATGCCTCTTACCAGAAGAGTGACTCTAGGCAAATTATTTATCTCTGTGCGCTTACATTTTCTTATTGTGGGTATCACATAAATAAGGTGTGTGGCAATGACCAGTGCTTAATAAGAATTAATTTTATTTTTTTCCAATAAGAGCAATCTGTTGCAGACACTCCTGCAGAGTTGAGAGTGGTTATAACCAGGAAGTCATTTTCCAGTTACTTTTAGAGACCCTGGATTCCATATTGCGAGGCAAGTTGTGAAGCTTTGGCATTATAATATGCTAACAAGGCCCCTATTGCTTTTCGAATGCATATTATTACTGTTTCATGTGGAAGAAATAAGGTATTTCTACAAACCACTGCTCAAGGAAATAGGAGAGGGCACAAGCAAATGGAAAAACATTCCATGCTCATGGGTAGGAAGAATCAATATCGTGAAAATGGCCATACTGCCCAAGGTAATTTATAGATTCAGTGCCATCTTCCCTTTTTCTTAGGGAGTTGTGGAAATTCCTAAAATATAGAAGCAGGGACCTGGAATCAGAATCTAGGTATGGTTATTAGCTCTCCTACTTAACAAGCTGTACAAATTCGGGCAAGTCACATATCTAATTTTAGTCTCAGTTTTTAAATGTATAAAGTGGGAATAATAATAATAGGTTGATTTCTTCACAGAATTGTTTTGAGATCCAAATGAGACGTTAAAGTTGCTGAAAACTGGTCTGTGCTACATATATGCGAAGTTTATCATCTTATCAAACCTGACTGAGCTGGGGTAACAACACCATTGGCATCTCCTGTTAGATTGGGATAGCCTGAAGCACTGTGCTTCTCAGTACCAGAAGGTCCTCGAGGTGTCAATGCCTGGGGATCATCTTGCTGAAGCTACTACTATGTAGATCTCCCTCTGGGCTATATGGCTTCCCAGGGAGACTGGTCCACACTGTTGATCACACCTCTAACTGTGGCCAGCCATAAGGGAGTCTAGACAATGTAAGTGACTCTGATGAAAACAATACTGTCACCAGATACTCATGGACATAAAGATGGCAGCAGTAGACACTGGAGACTACTAACTAGTGCAGGGAGAGAGAGGCAGGATTAAAAAACTAAGTATTGGATACTAAGCTCATTACCTGCTGATGAGATCATTCGTGCCCCAAATCTCAGCATCACACAATTAACCCATGTAACAAAACTGCAACATGTGCCCCTGAATCTGAAATAAAAGTTGAAATTATTTAACAAACAAAGCAAAACACTGCCACCAGGAAAAGATCTCAAAGTGTATGTTTTTCTTCAGGATCCTCATCATAGATAAGAGGTAATTCATTTATAATATCTAATAATTATAATAACAGCATGCATGTTACAGTGTGCTTTTATATACCACATTGTTTGCTCTGATCTTCATGTAAAACACCACAAGGTCCATAAGTCAACTATTATCTTTATCCCTATTTTATAGATGCTTCAAATTAGACAACTAAATTTCCCAATATCACCTAGCTAATTAGAGGTAAAGGTGGGGCTTAAATTGAGATATTCTGATTCCTGATTTATTTTTCTCCCCCACACTAACTTCTTAAGGTGTTATTGGTAATGAACCTAAGCACTGGGAAAACAAAGCTGCAGTGGGTTCAGATAATTTGAAAGTTAACCTGATATCGCTTTTGTTCAGCTATGCACACAGATAAGCAGCCAGTGACCCATGGAAACCTAGTTCTTTTTCATCGAGGTGGTCAACAGGATCTCACTCCTTTTAAAATGTTCTTTTGATTTTGAATGATTAGAGAAAAGAGAATATAAAAGTCTAAGAGGAAAAATATAAGCAAGTTCAAAAACCACTAAAGTGCTAAGAAGTTGTGAATTCAAAAAAGACATATCTGTCCATGTTTATGCATGGTCTCCTGAATGAGATAATTTAAGAGAATCAGCTATGCTTAAAACTATCTTAGGTGTGAGACGTTGACTTTTAACAGCTGTGGAGAGACACATGTGTCAACCTATTGCCGAAGCACTGGTTGTTTATAAACAGCAACAGGAAATTGTTTGCCTTCCTGTAAACTGACACAGGTTTGGGTGAGGATACAGTAAAATCTCCTTAGCATGGCAAACCTCAGGGCCCCAACATGCCTTTCCAGCCTCTTCTCCAAAGTGGCATCCACTATGAAGCCAACCACACAAAATGCCTACCAGTCCCTAGAGGAGTCAATTTAGGTGCTGGATTGATTTTCCCTTCCCCATCACCACCTTTTAATGTTAGGATATTACTTGTTGTTACCATTATTACTATTGAGATGTCAGGTTAAAGCATTTTATCAACTTTTCCCAAAGGCTAGGTCTTTTAAAAAATATGACACTGAGAGGAAAATTTCCTTTTCTCCTTTTTCTGTTCACCTGAGATCACATTTTTTTTCCTGCTATATGGACATGACATATCCACTCACTTTTTGGAATAATTTGAGACACTTCTGTTTAGAGTAGTATATTTCTGATTTTATTAGCCAAACATTATTCTTTCCCCATCTCTACATTCTTTTTTTCTCTCAAGAAAAGATTTTTCTTTTTCTTTCTTTTTTTTTAATTTTTTTTATTTGAGACAGAATCTCACTCTGTTGCCCGGGCTGGAGTGTAGTGGTGCAATATCAGTTCACTGCAACCTCTGCCTCCTGGGTTCAAGTGATTCTTCTGCCTCAGCCTCCCGAGTAGCTGGGATTACAGGCACGTGCCACCATGGCAGGCTACTTTTTGTATTTTTAGTAGAGATGGGGTTTCACCATATTGGTCAGGCTGGTCTCAAACTCCGGACCTTGTGATCTGCCTGCTTCGGCCTCCCAAATTGCTGGGATTACAAGTGTGAGCCACTGCACCCGGCCAAGAAAAGATTTTTGAAGCATACCAGTCTGATCATTTAAGTAAGATCCAATATCTGGAGTTTACTTTTATTTCTGTATTTGAGTTTGGGGAAGAAATAAACCAGTCTACAGTTTATAAATAAAACACATTGTTGAGCCTAATGTATAATGTCAATGCTACAACCACATTTATATTAGTACATTTATGAATAATCTATGTATCTGACTAATTTATTAGTTGAAGAAACATAAAATGAAGAAGACTACATTTTATCATATGCAGTAAAATATTTCATTGTACTAGACATAGTTTGGGGTTTTAAAACTGACAAATATTAAGGGCTAAATTTAGAAAGGGATATTAATATCGATTTTTTTTTTTCGATTCTTCTATTTGTTTCCAATAGATAGCAGAATCCCTCTGGACTAGACAGATGACTGGAGGGCAGAGGAGGGTAGGAGAAAGGCATGGAGATCTTCTCCTGGCACTCAACCTTCTCCTGCACTCTAGAGCCAGACCATCCCCTTCATTGCTCCCCTCCCATTTCAGGCATTACATGCCTTCCACTTTCCACTCCAATTATTCTGCATTTTTTATAATTATCGTATTTTTCCCTTTAATCTGTTAATACTATGAGCTATATTTACAGATTTTAAAAGATCTAATCATGTTTAGGTTCCTGGGATCTACTCATGGTCAAGGTATATTACCTTTTTATATATACTTTTGGTTTGCTTAAATTTTAGCTGGGATTTTTACATCTGTTCTTACGAATAAATGAGCCTATAATTCTGGAAGTTCTTTTCTGATGCTAGAATCAAGATTTACTTGCTTTGAAGAATGATTTGGGAAGCATTCCCTTTTCCCCTCCATTTTCTGGAAGTGTATATGCATTTGGGATAATTTTTTTTTCTCTGAAGTGTTGGCAAAACTTGCCTATATAATAACTGAGACCTGGAGCAGAGCTTCAAATTTCACAGTCAATCCTGTAGATCATAGTATTTTGTTTAGTTTTGTTTTGTTTCTTTACATTTGTAAAGTAAATGTAGTATCTCTTCTTTGTGGAAAATAAAGAAGGGGATTGAAACCTTAACAATCACCCATAAATTACCTATTTTTTTTTTTTTTTTTTTAAAGAATGACTACCTTTTAAGCTTTTCATTGAAGGGTGGGGGTGGAGGAGTTAGATCTACGGGCCTCCTCAATTGTTAACTTCTCAATAAGACCTACCCTAACCACACATTTATAATCACGACCCCCAAATTCAGTTCCTCCATACCCTGTGTGTGTGTGTGTTGTGTGTGTGTGTGTTTTCTTTTGAGACGGAGTCTTGTTCTGTCGCCCAGATCTCTTTACAGATCTGCAGTGCAGTGGCATGATCTCGGCTCACTGCAACCTCCGCCTCCCAAGTTCAAGCAATTCTCCTGCCTCAGCCTCCTGAGTAGCTGGGTTTACAGGCGCATGCCAGCATGCCTGACTAATTTTTGTATTTTTAGTACAGATGGGGTTTCACCATGTTGGTCAGGCTGGTCTCGAACTCCTGACCTTGTGACCCGCCTGCCTTGGCCTCCCAAAGTGCTGGGATAACAGGTGTGAGCCACCGTGCCCAGCCTGCCTTATTTTCATTTATAGTGTTTATCATATTCTAACATACTATGTAATTTATTTGTTCTGTTTCTTGTTTGCCTTCTCCCAATAGAATGTGAGCCCCTAGAAGTTAAAGATTCTTGTGTAATTTATCTGTTTTGTTCACTGTTACATTCCTAGCACCTAGAATAGTGTCTGGCACAAAGTGGACACTCATATAATATTTGTTTTATAAATAAGCTATTTTTTGGTACAGATTATCTCTTTATTTTTATGTAATGCCTTTTTTGTTTGTTTGGTTGGTTGGTTTAATTCTGTTTTATAAACTTTTTCCTGTTCTCATTAACATTTCTGTCCTAAGAGATTGTGCTCAAAGCACTGTACTCCAATTATATATCTTGAATTATATTTCTTTACACATCCGTATGTGTAAGGAAATATGTGTGTGTATGGCCTGTATCCCGCTTTTAAATATCTGCATAGTATTTCAATCTATGATTGTAATATGAAAAAGTATAACTTAGCTGGACTAAGAGGAGTTTTTGTCTTATGCCCACTACTGAATTTTCTGACTTGCTGAATACCTAAGGAGCCTAGAAACTGTTTTTTAATGATTCCCTTGTTTCAGCACTTTAGTTCTTTAGTAGTGAAGATTCTAAATTCTTAGTCCGTCCTTTACTTCTTGTCATTTGCTTCCTAAGAGATGTACTCCCTTCATGGATATAAGTGCAAAAGTGCTGATGATGATCAGGGAATGGGGCAGATACCACTCTGGCTGCTGCAAAGGCTGGCAGCCATGCAACAGAGATTGCTTGCACCGTTGTCCTGCTTTGTGAGCAGAAGCAGGCAGTGGGTTGTGAGGAAGTCATCCTCCTATGCTCTTTTATAGTGGTCCAGCGTGGTTTGGTGAGCACAGGGGCTTCTAAATATTGTTTTATTTGTTGCTGTGTTAATGGCCAGACCATTGGTCCTAGTTTTCAGGGTTGCTGTAATTTTTTTTTCTTAATAGCGACAGGGTCTTACTCTGCCACCCAGGCTGGAGTGCAGTGGCATGATTATAGCTCACTGCAACCTTGAACTCCTGGGCTCAAGTGATCCTCCCACCTTAGCCTCTCAAGTAGCTGAGACTACAGGCATGCTCCACCATGAGCAGCTGTTTTCTGAAATTTTTGTTAGAGATAGGGTCCTGCTATGTTGTCCAGGCTGGTCTTGAACTCCTGGCCTCAAATGATCCTCCCACCTTCACCTCCCAAAATGATGAGATTACGGACGTGAGGCACAGCGCCTGGCCAGATGTAATTTTTATCTCTTCACTGCATCCAAAGAATTTTTCTAACTGCAAAGCTGGTTATGTTTGTTCTCTGGCTTTAAACATTTTAAAGTCACTCCATTGCTCTTAGGATAAAAAAAAAATGCTATTTCTCCACAAGACCTAAGAAGCCTTGCTTTATTTGGTTCCTCTATGCCTAGCCAGTCTTATTTCCCTTCATGCACCACTGCACATTCTACAGTCCAGCCAGGCTGAACTTTTCCACTTAAAAAGTTACCTCCATTTCTTAGAATACGCTGACTCCTCCTTTTCTTACCACTTTTACTTACTCAATTTTTGATCTTTCCACTTAGATTAGATTGCTTACAGAAAGCCTCCCACACTGGCTTTAATTTGGGTGCCCTTTTGTAGGCCCCAGCATGCTGTTCTACCTGTGTTATGACACTTTATATGTATCTCAGTTGGCTTATATTTCCCCCTAGAATATGAGATTCCTAAAGGTAAAGACCTTATTTATCTTATTTTCCATGGTATGCCCAATGTCTAGTACAGTGCCTTTCATATTACAATCATGGAATAAATATTTGATGACGGACAAAAATGATGTTTATTCTTTTTCTGTGTCAGAAAAAAAAAAACCACACAGAAAAGACACTTGAAGTAAGAGACCGCAAGCATTCATCATTTTAAACCACAAGAAGCCTGCAGAATAGGGAAGGGCATGGTACAGCGGGAAGGAGCATGGACTGTGAGCCTGCAAGCCTGTATTTGAATGCCTGCTCCAACATTTGCCAGTTGTATGATCTTGAGCAAGTTATTTAACCTCTCTGTGCCTCAGTTTCTGCATCTGTTAATTGGAAATAATATTAAAGATAGTACATGCCTCACATGGTTGGCATAAGGATTAAATAAGTTAATCTTTGTAAACATTTAAAACCTGCATGGCACATAGTAAACATACATTGAGTGTTTGCTTAATAAACAAATAAATAAACCCCCCAGTACCCTTCTGAATTGAAAGAGTTGCAAAGGACCTAACGCATATTTTCAACTGATTTTTCAGGACTGTTTACACACCTCAAAGTGTGGCTGCCTACACTAACTTGAACTATTTGTTTTTATACTGTGGTGTTTTATTCCATTGGCAAGAAGAAACAAGACGCTCATAGGACTATTTTTATTCATCATAAGCAACTGTATTATTTATGGAGTATCCTTATGTTCTTCAAAAACTCACTTCTTGAACTAAACACTTTAATATCTGCCAGCCACCATATCATGATAAATTGTGGTTGTAGTTCTTATATTTTCTTAATATTTCTTTAACTGCAACCTATGGCTATTGCCTTAGATTATATTCTGATATAATTCTGGAGGATTCTCAATAGAAAGGAGCCAAGGTGTATTATGTGATGACATCGCAGAATGGTTACTTACAGAGGACTTTGGCAAGAAATTTGCCTATAATGTGAGTTGCAAAAATGGCTTCCTCTACTAGATGTACTCATACCCACTGGTTTCCACTGCAGCATGGACAAAAGCAGAGATCACATGCAATTGGGACCATCGGGATTATAGACATTTCTTACATTCCCAACATCTTTCAATACTGAAGTTTTTCTGTTTTTTTTTTTTTTCTTTTTTTTTTTGAGACAGAGTCTCACTCTGTCACCCAGGCTGGAGTGCAGTGGTCCCATCTCGGCTCACTGCAACCTTCGTCTCCCTGGTTCAAGCGATTCTACTGCCTCAGCCTCCTGAGTAGCTGGGATTGCAGGTGCGCGCCAGCACGACCGGCTAGTTTTTGTACTTTTAGTAGAGACGTGGTTCCACCGTGTCGGTTAGGCTGGTCTCGAACTCCTGACCTCGTGATCTGCCTGCCTCAGCCTCCCAAAGTGCTGGGATTACAGGCGTGAGCCACTGTGCCTGGCCAATACTGAAGTTTTTCTAGAGTATATGAGGCCCTAGCACTACTGTGGAACCATACATTTAAATGAAGATATGACAGGAGACCCAAGAAGAACAGAGAAAAACCTTCCATAGAAATCTGTAGGTTTGGGATAATAAATAAGATAAGTTGCAGAATCATGTTGAATTGTGATTGGAAGTATCTCAAATCTTATTTAAATTGATTAGAAACACTGGGGAAAGATAGCAATTGAACACTGTAAATGCACTTTAAAAACCCATTAAATTCATTCATTAATATTTGGTGAATGATACTACCAGGTTTAACTGTGAAGTGTTCTAGGGCCTTGCAACAAAGTGTCAATAGCATAGAGGAGGATCCTGGGATTTGGGTTGACACACACGTGAAACTGTGGCTTAAATTGGGTTTTGGATAAATCAAAGGCAGAATTTAGCTCTAGTGAGGGAAAATAAGAAATCCAAGACATAGGGGCAAAGGCATTAATAGATTCACATATGATTTAGGACCTCTCTTTACCAAATTAGCTTTTTTTTTTTTTAAATTTTTTTTTATGAAGTAGGAAATGGTGGTTAAGGTGGAGCTCATTCAGGAGCAAGACAGGGAAGATGTCCATATTATGAGACCTGTTCCAAGCTATGTCTAGTGTTCTGTGGGAACACATGGATTTTGGGAGGGAAAAACTTTTTGCCATGATGGATTTTTTGTTTTCCTGTGTTTGTATTAGATACTCAGGAAACCATGTCAAACATGCTCTTACCTTGGGAAGGGTAATACCTTTATAATCTTTCAACAGTAGTTATGTATTGTGGGTTCTGGAATCAGACAGCTTTGCTTCTAATACAGACTTTAAGCCAGTTACTTAACTATAACTGGAAACAAAAATAGTAACTGCCCATTGGGTCCCAGTGAAGATTAAATGAAATTTAGCAGTCTGTTACAGAATAAATCCTCAATAATCATTAATCCTTATCATTTTTATGAAGTATGAGAACAATGTTTCTGAAAATGTTTGGACTTTAGCATGCCCAAATATGACATGAGGTGGCTGCATTTGAATCCTCATGATGCCACTTATTGTCTTACGCAAGTAAAACTACCCAGTGACCTTCACATTTTCGTGTATAAAATGAGGATTAAAATATTCATGTTGTAGGGTTGTTGTGAGGATTAAATGGGATAATGCATGTAAAGAACCTGGTTTATAACAATGTTTTATAATGTTGTTGCTTTTAGTTCAGTTTTCCAAAGACAATAAAACTAACCGTGAGCATCCAGTATAAATACTAAGGACAAATTGCATCTATGTATTTCATCTTCTCTGGGATGAAAACTTACTGTGTGGTGCTGATGAGAATTACTCTGATTTACAGCTTTCTGCTTTGTGGGGCTTACAGCCAATGAGTTACTCTCTGTGAGTAATAAAAGTGGCAGAAGAATTCAAAGTGGGATTGAAGGAAATAGAGCATTTGTACATTTGTTGTTTTTTTAATATCAGTCTGTGGGCAGTAATCTCAGCTCCCAGTCTCTCCTCTAGGATCTGGTAGGCTAGTATACTTGTCTTGGAAAAATACTTAGGTACATTTGGAGTGGGAGACCTTACTTATACTATGACCAATTTCTATGTATATTAAATTTACTAGAGTAGGTAAAAGGCATTATCCTTGATTAGCCTCACTCATTGGTTCTAGAGACCTGAAACAGATTTTAAAGACTGTCACTAGGAGGGGTAAGGTCAAAACTGGATATGGGATTTTTAGTTCTAAGGTACTGGAGAATTTTTTTGGGAGTTATGCGTATTCTCTAGGATATCTTGAGAAATAATTGAAAGTCTCATTTCAATTTAGTTGACTCCTAGTATTTAAAAGCATGACCATCTTCAGGGTTCTCTACCTTTATCCATCTCCTCCTCTGTTTGGCAAGAGAATTTTCAGCCTGATTCCAGGCAGCTTCTAAATTAAGTTAATATATAATGCACAATAAATAATATATAATTTACAGTATGTAGTTAGCCTGACCATCTACTTATGGACTTTTTAAAAGATTCAGTATAGATGACCCTACAATGAAAGCTGAAATATGAAAAAATAAATTTTTGGCCAAAAGAAACTTGATTAAATGTATAGGCATAGCATAAAAAATACATAGCGTTGGAGAGCATGAAAATACAATAAAGGGGAGATGGCAAATGAAACAAGTCTCAAGGAAGGAAAGATAGATAAGGATAGAGGGTACTGGGGTGAAGAATTACCATATATTTCCCTGGTATGGGGGCTTTGGTGGAGTGGATGATGAGCATGTAGAGAACCTTTAATTGGAGAGTCTTCATCTTTTTATAAAGTGAAAATGTCACCAGCCCAGTGTGGTAGTTGTGGTTGGAGGCTTGAGACGATTGAAAAGAGTTTAATGCAGCTGGAATGTAATATGAAATAGGGAGACAAATAACAATTAAAATAATGCCTGTGCAGTGTGGAAGGTTTGGTTGATGTTAGATAGTCTATTAATAATTTGTAGTAGGTCCAATAGCATGGTTCTATGGCTTTTTCTAGTAGCATTAAGTATGTTGGGGTGGAAACAGAAAATGATAAAATTGAAAGCCTTGTCCACTAGAATTTCAATCTTTCAGGTTAGAACAACTTTCCTCCAAACAAAAGGGGCTTTCCTTTTTTTCCTTAATCTCACCTGAGTTTGTCATGTACCAACTCAGCAGCATTCTTTTTTGAGTGGGTACAAACCATGATGAGGTACAACAATTGATCATGTAATCCTTTCGTGCAAGAATTTTTGTTTCTTTTTTTCTTTCTTCTTTGAGATGGAGTCTTGCTCTGTCACCCAGGCTGGAGTGCAGTGGCACAATATCGGCTCAATGCAACCTCTGCCTCCCTGGTTCAAGGGATTCTCCTGTCTCAGCCTCCCTAGTAGCTGGGATTACAGGCGCATGACACCACACCCGGCTAATTTTTGTTTTTTTTTTTCAGTAGAGAGGGGTTTCACCATGTTGGCCAGACTGGTCTCAAACTCCTGACCTCAGATGATCCACCTGCCTCGGCCTCCCAAAATTCTGGGATTACAGGTGTGAGCCACCACACCCAGCCAAGAATTTCTTAATATAAATATTTTTATCAAAATAAATTCACTAATGAATCTTTAAGTGTTAATGGCTGCCTAGATATAGGGGACATTGCCTATTCACTTTTTATATCACTATTGTCTTCCCTGATGGCCTTTTCTTTATATATTGCTATAATGTTGCAATATGTCATTGAAAATTATTTGTCCTTCATAAGACTGTTATTGAACAATAAAGGTCACTTGGACAACATGATGTTATATATTGAGTGCTGCTAGCCAGGTTTTAAAACTTTGGAATCTATCAAATGAATATCTATTTGGTTCTTGGTGTCATGCTTAACTATAGTAGGCAAAACCTCTGTCTGATTCAAACAGTTAGATACTCAGAAATCTTAAATGCAGTCATCAAATTTTCCTTCTTGAATAGGCCAAATATGATATTAATATGTGCTTAGCAGTTTACCCAGCAAGAGTTGGTCCTAGGTATTGACCTTTCCAATATATGGAGCTCTATTGACTTTTCTCCATTACTTTGTAAAAGTTCAACATGTTATCTGCTTGGAAGCAACATCACCAGTCATGATAAGCCAACATCCAGCTAACAGACAGATTGCTCTATTAAGATATGTAGGCTTCAGGAATTTTTAGGAAAGTAAAACTATTCTGCATGATACTGTAATGGTGGATACATGTCATTATACATTTGTCAAAACTCATGAAATATATAACACAGAATGAATCTAATTTAAACTATGAATTTTAGTTAATAATAATGTAACAATATTGGCTTATCAATTGCAACAAATATGCCACACCAGTTAAAGATATTAACAGTGGAATTTTGTGTGTGTGTTACAGGCCAGGGGCTGAGGTGTGAGGGGATAGTGGGAACTCTCTGCACTTTCTGTTCAATCTTATGTAAATCTAAAACTAGTTTAAATATAAAGTTTATTAATTAGATCTGTATGTAGGCTTCCAAAGAGGAGATGAAGGTTTATGGCTTATAAACCTATAAATGTTTTGCTTATATAAATTTGCTTATAACCTATAAATGTTTAAATTAACATGTTATGTTTCTTTCTGTATTGCTTGATTTAGCATTCATCATAATGTCTACTGTTCCTTTAACCTGATATATAATTAACTACTATCTTATCAGAGATCTTCTTGAGCCTATTTATATTTGATACTTCTCCCAATACGTAATAAGTTTCAAATACTTAACACTTGCTGTAATAGCTTTATGACTTTAAACTATCTCCTTAAAATGTTCCCAGGGGTAACCCCTTTTCTGGTGTTCTGCAAAATTACCTTATTCTCACTTTGTTCAAATGCTCCCTAATTAAAAAAATAAAACAAAGTATCTGTATCTTAATTTATATTTTCTCCAGGATCACAGCATTCTAGTTATTTTCTCATCTCTTGAAAGAAAGACCTGATATCACACATAATTCTAGGGAAGAGTATGAAGCTATCTAAATTATGTGAGCTCAGGAATTCCAACAAGGTTTATTTCTCTCTAGCACCTTGCCAATTAACTAACTGCTATCTTAGATTTCACTGTTAAATACTTATTCCTTCAACTTTATTGTTTGACCACTGTTAAATTTGACTCCTCGGGGAGGAGCATACAGAATGAATGGATTGGGTGCAGAGGAAACAAACTTCCTCAAATTTTATATCTGTGCCTAGCTAGAAGAACTATAAATTTATGAAGTGTTTCCTTCAGTAGATGCTAAAGGACAGGAGACCATGATCTATTACTTCCAGACTGCAGAAATGTTGGCCTTAACAGCATGTTATCACAGTGCTCAGCAAATAGGCTACAGTGACTCCAGATACCTTTGTTGTGTTGCACTTGGTTACTTGATGCACTGAGTGACTTTAAAATCTTTCCTTTGAAGTTGGAATATTTCCCCTAAAATAATACCATTCTGAGAGGAAGCCTATTATGATGCAAAGAATATGAACAGGAGAGGAGGTAGATCTGACTTCCGATTTTGGACCTGCCAGTAAGATCTGTGTGACCTTAAGTACATTTCTCATTCTCTCTTGAGCATCAACTTACACATTTGGAAAATGAAAAGAAATAAACTCTTAGGAGATTGCTTTTTTTTTTGTAATGAAGCCATAAAAAAGGTCCAAGATACAAGTTTAGTGTTTGGTAAATTGAAAACACCCAACATATGGTAGGTATTTTTGTGAGCCCAAATAAAGTTTACCTACCACTTTACTGTGCTTTTGAGATCTTACAATTATCCTCAGAGATTAATTGAAGAATAGGAAAAACTGAGTTTCCTTAACTAATTCAGAGGCTTCTGAATATAATCTTTCCTTCAGATCATTTGGAATCATGGAGCAATAAAGTTAGAAAGAACTTGAAGGGAACCTGTCTTCAAAGCTTTATAATGCACACCAAAAAACCTGACACCAAAGAGTTTGATATGCCTAGCTTAAGCACCTACTCTGCACTGCTTCCTTCCACATAGTAAAACCAAGCATTACCTTGCTCTTACTTTAATGCAGAAATAGCATGGTAATGCAGCAAACACAAGGCGCATAGTTTCTTTTAATACCATTCCTGCAAGATGTCAAATTTTCTTTCTAGTTATTGTCCATATGGCAGGTTTTACAGAGTTGTAGCAATAATATAGGTATAGCTCTAAATCCTGCTTTTTACTCTTAATCACATGCCTATCATTTTTCTCCATATTGTTATATAATCTTTTAAAGTATAATTTTAAAGGCTACAGAATATTTAATTGGATAAAAATATTATGTAAAAGCATTTGGCTACAATTGGAAATATTAGTTGTTACTTATACTACAATGAACATAAATGCAAATAGCCTTTTCTTTCTTATTTCATTAGGATACATTCTGAAATTTATAATTCCTAGGTCAAAGAATGAGAGCATTTAATGAATCTTAATATGTACTGCCAAAAAGCAACCTAAAAATACTATGCTAATTTACAGTACCACCAACACTGTGCATCAGATTCACTGTAGCCACACCAGTACTGAGTATTGTTTGTTAAAAATATTGTTTGCCAATTTAATAGGTGTGAAATGGTATCTCATTGTTTTAACTTGCATTTAGTTGATTATTAGCGTAGTTGAACATTTTTCTGTGTTTGTTTACATGTCAGGTTTTTTCTTGTGTGAATTGACTGTTTTTAGCCTTTGTTCATTTATCTATTAAGATCTTAAAATAGTCAGTTTTTAGCAAATGTTTTCTACAATGGTATAAATGCTTTTTATGTTTCTATTTTAAAAGAAAACTTACATTTCTGGTAGGGAATTCACCATTAAGTTCCAAGACTATCATAATCTTCTGTGAATGTTGTCAAGTCAACTGTTACGTAAAAAGAGATGCTACAGAATTCCTTTACATGTCAAAGTATGCATAGGCACTGTATTTAAAGGTCCTCAGTATGCAATATATGAAAAGCCAAGTAAGGCAAAACTACTTTCTATTTGTTATTGGAGTCCTCAGCACCCTATTTACATGTTATAATAAACAACAATATAATAGAAGAAAACATGCTTCACAGATTTTATAAACCATTTAAGAAGTTATTTTTTGACATGGATATTCAAAAATTTGCTCTTCTATATATTTGTGTTATACGTATTTAAGGGATAAGATACTACTTATGCAACAGAATACAGTTAACCTTTTCTAAAATTAAAATCTATCTCTCCCCTCATAGTTGCACTCCAAACTTTTCTAATTTTGTTTTCTGGATAAATTATTTTTATTCTGATGTTGGGGAGTTGAGAGTTAGTAGATTTTAAAAATCAGGCTTGATTTTCTTAGCAGATTCAAATACTAATCAATAACAAGGTTATATTTAGTTGGGTTTCTAAAGTGCCTTTAGGAATGTAAACTTCAAAACAATCCCTGGCTTGAAGGTACTATTATTGACCATCTGGTCCACTTTATCTATTTTTTTCTACCACATCCCCTAAAAGTAGTGTTTTGAGCCTATGTTTGAATATTGCAATGACAAGAATGTAGTCCCTTCAGAAGCAGCCCAATATTTGGGCAATTCTGGATGTCAGAAAATTCTTTGCTGCATTGACCTAAAAGCTGTCTTTTGTATAGTTTAGTCATTAGTCTTGGTTCTACTCTGGAGATTTATGGAACAAGTTTAATCCTTGTTTCTCATGACAGGCTTTCAAATATTTGAAGCCAGCTCATGAACAACAACAAACTGTAATGTAAAGCACAAAAGAAATGCCATAATTGTAGCAAAGAGATAGTGCTTCTTGAGGAGCTTCAGTGGGTTTTCAAATCAGTTTAGGAAATCAAGAGAAAGTGACAATTAAGATAGATTCAGTGAATGGATAAAATTTTATCAGAGAGATTGAGAGAGGGGAGTGTTCCAAGTGATGTGGACTATGAAAGCAAAGACATGAAGGAAAGCATTAAGTCTGTTCTGGAAACAGTTCACTTTTGCTGGTGCATAGGAGAAATGTGAATACTTAGAAAGGAAGACAGAAAACATATTATAAAAACTTTTTTTTGCAATAAAAGATTTGAAGGTTTTAGAATTGGGAGGTGCCATGTTTGGATCAGAGCTTTAGGATAGTTAATTGACAGCAGAACTAATAGGGCTCTTTAAAAATGTAGAATAGTAGGAGGTAAGGAGATCAATTAGTATCCTCTTACAAAAGTTTAGTCAGTGGACAGTGAAGGCCTGAATATGTTACAGAGTTTGGAATGGAGAGGAAGAGATGGATGTAGGATAGCATGCCTATAACTTTGAAACTGATTTAGTGCAGGAGGGAGGGGAGAAAGGAATGGAAAGAAAGAAATAAAAGATGACTCTGAAGGTTTCCCTTTTTATAGCTCTGGGAGAATGGTGGTGAGAGAAACAGAAATAGGAAAAGGAATAACTCATTGTACAAGAAAGACAATTAATTGTTTTTGAACAAATAACAAGGAGTTTGTATGGGCTATTTCCTGTAAGCATTTTAAAATGCATCTATAGGCCTTGGCTTGGCCTTCCAAAAGGATCAGAATCAGATCTCTGGCTATACAGGAGTCCACCAGATACTGCCAATCAAGCAGACAGGTGTAGGAGCACAGAAGGAACCAACTGAGATGGGTGATTAGGAAAGGAGACCATAAGTATCATGCAGATTTATTTAGTGCAGAAGACTTCCGAGAGGTAAGAAACAATCAAACAATCAAACAAAACATCCACATGGTAAGGATTTAATTCCGAGCAGGTCTACAAAATCAGAGAGAAAGGAACAAATTTAGGCAGGCAAAAACAGTCTGGGTTCGTGACTTGTTTTCCTTACCTGTAATAGAAGGATAACTATATGCCTACTTTCATGTGTTGTGACAATCAAAGAAAAAACATATGCAGAAATTTAGCATAGTACTGGAAGATAGTAAGCATTTAATAAATACTTACTAAATATATAATATTATCAGTTGAGAGATAAACTCATTCTTTATACTACATAAACTTTAAAAAATTGTTAATTGTTTATTTATCAAGAGAAACTATTTCTTGGCCCACATATTCATGTTTCATAATTCAGGAACACAGGTCAGTGACAACCTTCTAGGTATTTCAACCTGAATAGATTCTTTATATTCTGAAATCACTTTGCACTCTGAAAGGTACCAGCCTCCTTCACCTCCTCAAAATCTTTCACAGAATCATAATTTCTGTAGAAATCTGTATATTTCTTCTTTCTTGGTTCAGCCACAGCAAACTTATAGAGAGCTGCAACTCTCAGGGATATAATGAATGTTCTAACAATATGAAATCACAGACCCTTGACCAGAAGGCCACACGTCTGAGGTTTTGTCAAAGTATGGGAAGCCATGGTAGTTACTGTTCTTGATAAGTATGTCAACCTCAAAACCAATGTCCTTCGTTAAACATTTTTAAATATTCAAAATATCTTCATCACTTTCATTGTTAAAATTGGAACCTTTTAAAATCATAATTGTATGGTTTTAAACAAAGAACATTTGACCAGAGATGAAGCCCTCAGAGTTCTAGTGTCAGCTGCCTTTAATCAACTTTTTGATCATATTAAAGTTCCTCTTCCCTCTTGGCATTGTCATTTTTCTAATAAGAGGTGGGCCTTCATGATCTCTAGAATACTTTTAAACTGTAAATATAGATTCTATGATATAAGATTTGGAAGACTGAACTTTCTCAAGGCACTCCTTATTTTTGTAACTCAGTGTCTTTCACCATCAATGTCCACAATCTTTTAATTGAGTGAAGTTGGACATAGAATTCCAGTGCTACTATTATGAGATTCTGTGGTTCCTAAAAGTTATGCCATTTTAAGCAAGTCTTCACAGACTGTGGAGACTTCAAGTCACTTAGCAAGAGTATACTACCACCTTAGCTGACCAAAGGCAGCATCCAAATAACTGGATTTTATTTAGTTTATCAAAATCTTTAAAAACTGGAGCATTATTTAGTTCATCAAAACCTTTAAAAATGGAAACAAAAGAGACAAAAAAAGAACTTTGAATTTGATAGATTTGTACTGATCTGTACTTTTATGAAAGACAATAAGGTGCTTAATTGGCTTGAGGACCAACATTTCTTTGAATTGTATGATACAGAAAGGAAATAGTATCAGCATAATGAGATTTTCCCCACACTAACCTACTTACTAACAAACAGGGGGTGACTTAGGAGGTGGAAGAATGTGACCATTTGTGGGTCATCATCATCATTGTCTACTTAAGTTACATTTACTAAGAAACCTCAGATTACAAGGCATCATGCCATTTCTTAGTAATAGACAGACTTCTTCCTCTTAAATTATAAATAAATATAATACTTTCACTTTATATCACCAATGCTCCATGACTGCTAAATATACCTTAAAAGATGAATACCTAAATGTAAGTCAAGTTTAACAAATGTTTTTTAAGGTAAGTAAAAGATAGATTCAATTATTTACAGGAAAATGAATTTAAAAGGGAGGTAATTAACATTTATGAAGGACCTATTATGTGTAAGATACTTTAAAAAATGTGCTAAATTACTTGGTAAAAAATAGATAATACATTTTATAAAATACAAAATTTAGAAGGCAATAAACAATATTCAATGCAAAATAAGCCTCCTTCTTATTTCTCTCTTCATCTCCAAATTTTTTCCTCAGGGGCAACTAATATTACTCATTTCTTGTGTAATAGAAATAATAATAGCTAACGTGTATAAATACCTTACTAATGCTTGTCAAGATTCTTAAGTGTTTTAAAATTTTTATCTCATTTAATGCTCACAACATCCATAGGTAATATTATCATGAATAATTAATAATAATTAATATTATTTTTACTCTTTTACAACTGAGGAAACTAAGGTACAGAGAGGCTAGATGACTTTTCCTATGTAACACGGCTAGGGAGTGGTGGGCTGAGATTTAAACCAAAGTAGTCTGGCTTCACTGTATCATATCACACTGAGAAAAATCTATGAATATACAAGCACAAATTTATATATCTGCAAATATACACATGTACATATAAACACATACACACATTTTTATGCCATTTGCTTTTTTCACTTAATATTTCTTGGAGGCTGTTCTAAATCAGTATATTAAAGAACTGTTGCATTTTTTGAACATTTACATAGTTTCCAATTGCTTGGATATATCACAATTTTTAGCTTAATTCCCAATGATAAGCATTTAGATTGCTGCTTATCTTTTATCATTATAAACATTACCACAATGGAACAAAATGGCCACATGTGTTAGGATTTATATTTGTTATTTAATGATGCTCTGTAGAAATGTGTGAGAATGACATTATTATTTAAAAAAAACTGAGACACAGAGGGATCAAATAATTTGCCCAAGTTTTCAGAGCTAGTAAATGGTAGCGCTAATGTTCAAAATTGGCTATTTCTAGCTGAAATAATTTTTCCATCAGGGTATACACATGGCACTCATCATAACACAATAATGAGAAGGGCAAGAGTTACTAGAGGCATAGAATCAAGAGTTGGCAATGTCTGGAACTCTTATCTTCCAACCTGGTCAAAATGGAAAATGGAGCCACTGTTAACAGAAAATACAGGCAAAAGAGCAGATATGAGATGTCGAATATTGATGAGCTTCAGGTGCTCCAAGACAACCCTTTTCTAGCTGTCACACATCCTCACTTTTATAGGTAGAGTGAACAGGAGTTCCTGAGCTCTCAAGCTCTGGAAGCAATAAGCAGTTAGAGCTTGAGTTCTATATTTATGTCTATAAGATAGCTCCTGCCCTGGCTTCCCAACCTCTATTGTCAAGACCAAATAGAATGTTGGATATATGCTTGGTCCTCTCAAGAGTCTTACCCTGCTGAAAAGCTCTATGACATTGGTCTGGACAGTGATTTCTTGGAGAAGATCCCAAATAAACAGGCAACAAAAGCAAAAATAGACAAATGGGACTGCATCAAACTAAAATCTTCTACACAGCAATGGAAACAAGAGAGTAAAGAGACAACCAAGAGATTGAGAAAACATATTTGCAAATCATATATCAGATAGGCTAATATCCAAAACATATAGGGAACTGGAACTACTCAATAACAAGAAAACAAATAAATCTATGAAAAATGGGCAAAGGACTTGAACAGACATTTCTGAAAAGAAGATATACAAATGGCCAACAGGTAGATGTAAAAATGCTCAGCATCTCTAATCATCAGAGAAATGCAAATTAAAACCATAGTGAGATTTTATCTCATACCTGTTAAATTTGCTATTATCAAAAAGATGAAAGATAAGTGTTGGCAAGGATGTGGAAAATAGGAAACCCTTGTACATTGTTGGTGATAATGTAAATTAGCACAACCACTCTGGAAAACAGTATGGAAGTTCCTCAAAAACTAAAAATATAATTACTATATGATACAGTACACTTCTGGGTATATATCTAAAATAGTTGAAATCAGTATGTGGAAGAGATGTCTGCACTCCCATGTTTATTGTAGCATTATTCACAATAGCCAAGATATGGAAACAACCTAAGTGTCTGTCAATGGACAAATGGGTTAAAAATGTGGTATATATACACAATGAAATACTATTCAGCCTTTAAAAAGCAGGAAATTTGGTCACTTGAGACAGCATAGTTGAACCTAAAGAACATTATGTTATGTGAAATAATCCAGGCACAGAGAGACAAATGCCATATGATCTCACTTATATGTGGAATCTAAAAAAGTTGAACTCACAGAAGTAGAGAGTAGAATCGTGGTTACCAGAGGATGGGGGTGTGGAGATGGTGAGAGTGGAAATGTTAATCAGAGTAAAAAGTTTTGGTTAGACAGGAGGAATAAGTTCTGGTGATCTATTGCACAGCATGATGACTATAGCTAATAATAATAATGTCTTGTACATTTCAAAATAGCTAAAAAAGAGGATTTTTGATGTTCTCACCACGAAGAAATTATAAATATTTGAGGTGATGTGATATGTTACTTAGCCTGATTTGATCTTTCCACAATGTGCACATGTAACAAAACATCACACTGAGCCCCATAACTATATACAATTATTTGTCAATTAAAAATAAAATAAAGCAAAAAATTACACAAGAAATAAACGAGAGTCTTCCCTTGTTGTTTTTCTCCTCTTTTTCCTGCCCCCACCATTCTGGTCCACCAAATTGCACCACCCTGAGAGGATCAGAACAAATTTCACTATGGAATTTAATTCTGCTTAGTCTCTCTAGGACAATCTGGACTCTGAAGTCATCTCTCCTTCCATAGACTCTCAGTTCCCCACGTCTCTCTGCAACCTCTTTTCTGACCTCATCTCTCACCCGCCTCATTTCTGAAACCCTTCCACTGGAACTCATAGTTATTAGGAACCTCTTTCTTTTACCTTCTTGCTTCGACTGAACCTGATTTTCCCTGGGGACATGTTTCTTTATGAACCCTCTCAAGCTTTAGTTATTTTTCTCCCACAACATTTCACCACCAGGGATGGAGGCAGGGAGAGCTTTCTCCTTGCTCCAACAGCCCATTCTCCCTTCCCCTTTCTCAAACTTTCCCAGTTTTGAATCTCGTGCCATCAAACCACCCGCATCTCCTTCTTGCTGCTATCTTCTGCAAACCCTCCAGGCACTCCTCATTCCCTGAAGAGTTTATTGGCTTATAAACTCCTGGCTTATTGTCACTGGTCCCAATTCTACTTCTTGCATAATTCTTGGTGATTTCATTATCCTTGTAATGTTCCTTCTAATGCCCTGGATTTTCAGTTCCTTCTTTTCACCAATGATTTTGTCCTGCTCTCCTTCTGGGCCAATTGTTCACAGGGCTATGCCCTATACCTTCCAATTATCAACATCTAGCACCTCTCCATAATCTCAGTGTCAAGAAGTCTACTCTTCAAGTCTCAGTTCTTATCTTTCTAGCTTACTTCCTCTCATACCCAGCTCCAACAATTTTTTGGTCACTGGGGACCTATAACCCATTGATCCTTCAATCACTTTTCCCCACAGCATCTCCCTCTTCTCAACTCTTCACTTTCTTTCTTGCCCATAGCAACTTCCGATATCAATTACTACAATCACTCCCTTGCAAATTCCCTAAACTCCCTTGCTCCGCTCCCATTTTGTATACTCACCTGACCAAACCCCAACCATGGTTAAAGCCTAATATTCATCTACCTCATGCCTGTATCTCCATAGTTAAATTAGCTGGATAAGAATACACAACCAGGATAATTGGCCTCATTTAAAATTCATGACCACTAGCATCAAATGTGATACTAGTCCTACTGCCTAACAATCCTGATACAATTTCTTTCTGCGTTTCTTAAAGACAATTTTTTCTTCCCTTTATCCCCATACCTCCAAGACATCCTTCATCATTCTCACTCTTAGCAGGAAGCTTTCTAATACACTGAGAAAACAGCAGCAAACCGAAGAGAGTATCCACAACAGAAGAGAGTATCCACAACAGAAGAGAGTGTCCACAAGCTCCCACCACCCATCTTGCCACCTACCTATGAGCTGTGCTCATATACTGAGCTTCTAGTTACTATAAATGAACAATCTGTTCCCACTCTTCCACTTGTATACTAGATTCCATCCCATCTTCTTGACTCAGATTTTTGCTCCAATATTACTTTCTCAGTGAGTCCTTCTTTAACAACCTCTTTAAAATTTCACTTTCCTTGGCATTCTTTATTCTCATCCAATTATTCATTGTTTTCTCCATATTGTTTGTCACCATCTCACAGAGTATGTATTGTGATTATTTATTGTCTGTATTACTTTCCTTTCCCTCTGTAATGGAAGCTCCATGAGCAGAGAATTTTATGTTTTATTCACTAGTGTCTAAAAGAGTTCTTGGAACAGAGTAACTGCTCAATAAATATTATGGAATGGAAGAATAAACAAATGGGTGACTTTGGTTTTGGACAGTGAGTTAGATATAGCCATGGCATAAATGTATGGGACTTTCCAACAGGATATTAGGAGGGGATTTTAGGGCAATTATATATATTTGGAGTTTATGTACAAAATAAAAATAGAAGTCACAAGAATAAATAAGAATGCAAATAAAGTTTAGAGAGAGGAGGCACATTTGGCAGGATGTTTTATGTGGAAGTATAAAAACATCTGTATCTAAAATGATAGTTCCCATTATGAAACTATACTTAACAGGGTATGGTTATTTTTATTAAATGCCATTTGTATGTGAATATGCACATGTATATGTATATGTAAATGGTTTACTAAGCCAAGAAGTATGCTGATTACTTTTGGATGTTGAATAACAGAAAATAAATAAAATTATAAAACAGAGAGGTATGGTCACTTCTGCTGGCAAAGGTAAGAAAAAGTTTATGTCTGGACTCTACAGAGCTAGTTAGCCTCAAATCCTGCAAGGTCATTTTTCGTGATGGTTTTTAAAGCAAAATGGTCATTTGAATCTTGACCTCCTTAATTTTAGAGTATTACTGCATTAAATTCTATAATATACAATACATATTTGATTATCAGACATTATGAAATATATTTGTGTAAGTATATATATGTAAGTGTATATATGTGAGTGTATATATATGTGTGTGTGCATCTTTATATCTACCTAAATATATACTCAGTTGGTAGTACGCCTCTGACATTTTTAGTGACATGCTGAAAAGTTTCCACCAACCAGTGTATTTATTTTGTTGCTTAATATATTACTTATTTTAAAAGGCCACTTGAAAATATACATTTTTACAGCTAACATGCCTATGACTTGACCCCTTGCATGTTGTCTGGGGATTGGTATGGTTATAGTAATGTTATATATCCATGTAAAGAATTCCATAATAACAATTTAGGTGACAATCCCAAGTGAAGCAGTCATGACTGCCCCTAATTCAGATAGTCTTTATCTGCCTATCTCCACATTTGTAAGTCAGGCAAGAATTTAGGGTAAGAAACACCATCATCTAGCTCCTCGGTTCCAGTCCCTTTCAAAATGAACTGTACTTATTTAAAGAACCCTTCATGACACAGCAAGGTTTGGCTGACTGCTCTTGCCTTGACTTGATTCAATTTAAGCCATCATCCCATTTTAGGATCAGAGAGAAAGGCAGCCTCCCATGAACATTCTAGAATATAACCATATTTTAAGGTTCTTAATATTTAGTTTTTGTGGCATAAGCAATAAAGCAAAAAACCCAGTATAGATATTTGCTTGTGTTATAAAGATAGGTCCCAAGTTTAGATTTTTAACTAAAAAACTTACTAATGATAAATGGGATATACTGTAAACTCTTTCTAATTTTGTTTATTATTGTTATATTTTTCCTTAACGAAACAGGAAATAGAAAATTCATAATGTAAAATGGAACAGATTGGAATCTAAAAATATAAGAAGTTTTCAAAACTACAGAAATTGTAGATTGCTGATGACTTAATCCAATAAATAAAGCATGAGTTTATTTGGTCTTAATCAAAACTTGATGTTTTTTGATATTAAGAAATTAAAATATTAGCAGATTAAAATAAAATTGTAACATTTTGTGAAACTTGGTCATATTTGTGTTCTGATAGTTTGAGTTGGTAAGATAATTACAACTTTGAATTTTCTTTTATATAATGTTTTTCTGCTTTAATATACATACGAATTACTTGGGGATCTTGTTAAACTGAAGATTGTGATTCTGTATGTTTGGATTGGGAACTTGAGGTTCTAATAAACTCCCCAGTGATACAGATATATGGACCATACTTTGAGTAGTAAGGATTTAGAGGACAATTAGAGTAATCTTACTTAGGTTATTCATTTTTACAATCATTTTATTAAATCAAGTAATTTTATTATTTAACAACTAATGTTACATTTCTTTGAGAAGAAAAATTCAAATAGTTTCTAGCAATAAAATTACTGTAATATATAATGCTTCATTATTAAGTATAATTTTTCAGTTATAAAACTTGCTTCTTTTTTTTTACATGAGTTGCAACACAAGGCAATAAATAATCTAAAGTTAGATTGTCATCTTTACAAGTTGATTTCATGAATGTTTCAGAGGAAAACAAGTTTAATTTCTTCAGTTGAAAACAAAAGTGGCATTATTTTTTCTGGTTGAGACTGTCAAAACTTTCTATAACACATGAGCAGGTAAATCTATTAAGTTTTCATATGTTAAATCTCTTTCTTGAGCTATCAGTGGGAAATGATTAAGGAAAAATTAAGAGGAGTCAAAATTGAAGATACAGGAACATTAAGTTGTATTTGGGAATGCTGCATGAGCAAAATTATGATTTCTTGACATTATTTGTCTAATGCAAAAATAAGTGTATTTATGAAAAATGTCACAGTATTTTTTTTTATCAGGTTAAGTACAGTCTCTAATCTTGGTGACATGCTTATTAGATTTTGTTTTCCCATGCACAATGCACTGAAGACCCAAATTAGGGTTCTCTTAGGGGATGTACTGATCAAGTATAAATTGCAAACCAGTGATTCAGGTGAACTTCAGAAAGGCCTGATGTTGTAAGCATTTGTGTATGAGAGGGGATAATTTGAGCCTATGCTATAGAAGAGTATATCCTATGAATGTACAGTAAAGCAATATAAATCTGCAAATTTATTAACTTCACATAACTTTTATAATCCCTTGGGATAGATTTTGGCCTGACGGAGATGTACTGTGCTACAAGACATTCACTGTAACTAGAGCAGAAAGCCAAAGAAATGATACTGAAGCAGACAACCCCTGCCAGGAGCAGGATTACAACTTACTGGATGGAATAAGTTTATATGTGGCCAGCAAGGGAAGAGATGTGGACAATGTCAGATTCAAAAGGATAAACACAAACAAGTTGTTTTTCACACACTGGGGAAGAGACCTTAGGATAAATACTAGTAATTACAGTATATTTATTTAGATTAGGTATACATTAAAACTCTAAATACATATGTAACTCCAAATACATATGTTTTTTTACTGCGAACATTCTTAGATCTCACAGTAATTTCTCAGTTATCACAGATGAAGAGATTGTGGGCTGGTTAGTCCTCCAAGACTAATATGAATTAAAGAAACATGGGGAGTGTGTAGTTTCATTTTAATATGGTCTCTACCCTAAAATTTTCTCTCCCAGAGTTTTTAAAAACAACCAGTCTATCATTTTTTCTCCTTTTGTTGTTATGTTTTTTCTCCTGTTTTTCTGACTTCTACTGCATCCCAAACTATTGCATTTGCATTGATTGATACTCTGTCCTGCAAACCTGGTTATCCTTTGAACATGATTTTGTTTACTGCATGCTCCTATTGTTTAGCATGTGGAGGTGGTCTGCTCACAGAGAACATTTTATCTGACTCTGACACTTCTTCCCATTCTGTTAGGTACCTTCAGCCCTTCAAGGTAACATTTATATTTCTCAGGTATATTTGTATTTGATTGGATGTATTGGGCTTAAGTTTAAGAAAAAAATATTTTTACATATTCGTATTATAATTATTTCATTATATGGGGGAAAGAGGAAATGATAATAGGGAGAAGGGCACTAATATTTATTGCCTATTCACATTATTTTTGTAACTCCAAATACATTATATTATTTTTTCCTTATAACAAAGCTTCAGATAATATATTTTTTTAAAGAGTGGGAATTCTTTCCTAGTCAAAGAAAGGGGTGACAGACGGCACCTGGAAAATCGGGTCACTCCCACCCTAATACTGCGCTTTTCCAACAGGCTTAGAAAATGGCACACCAGGAGATTATATCCCGCATATGGCTCAGAGGGTCCTATGCCCATGGAGTCTCACTCATTGCTAGCACAGCAGTCCGAGATCAAACTTTAAGGTGGCAGCGAGGCTGGGGGAGGGGCGCCCGCCGTTGCTGAGTTAGTTGTTTGATTAGGTAAACAAAGCGGCCAGGAAGCTCCAACTGGGTGGAGCCCACCACAGATCAAGGAGGCCTGCCTGCCTCTGTAGGCTCCACCTCTGGGGGCAGGGCACAGACAAACAAAAAGACAGCAGTAACCTCTGCAGACTTAAATGTCCCTGTCTGACAGCTTTGAAGAGAGTAGTGGTTCTCCCAGCACGCAGCTTGAGATCTGAGAATGGGCAGACTGCCTCATCAAATGGGTCCCTGACCCCCGAGTAGCCTAACTGGGAGTCACCCCCCAGTAGGGGCGGACTGCCACCTCACACGGCCAGGTACTCCTCTGAGACAAAACTTCCAGAGGAACCATCAGGCAGCAGCATTTGCGGTTCACCAATATCCACTGTTCTGCAGCCACCACTGCTGATACCCAGGCAAACAGGGTCTGGAGTGGACCTCTAGCAAACTCCAACAGACCTGCAGCTGAGGGTCCTGTCTGTTAGAAGGAAAACTAACAAACAGAAAGGACAGCCACACCAAAAACCCTTCTGTACGTCACCATCATCAAAGAGCAAAGGTAGGTAAAACCACAAAGATGGGAAATAAACAGAGCAGAAAAACTGGAAACTCTAAAAATCCGAGCGCCTTTCCTCCTCCAAAGGAACGCAGCTCCTCACCAGCAATGGAACAAAGCTGGACAGAGAATGACTTTGACGAGTTGAGAGAAGAAGGGTTCAGAAGATCAAACTACTCTGAGCTACAGGAGGAAATTCAAACCAATGGCAAAGAAGTTAAAAGCTTTGAAAAAAAATTAGACGAATGGATAACTAGAATAATCAATGCAGAGAAGTCCTTGAAGGACCTGATGGAGCTGAAAACCAAGGCACGAGAGGACATGACGAATGCAGAAGCCTCAGTAGCCGATGCGATCAACTGGAAGAAAGGGTACCAGTGATGGAAGACGAAATGAATGAACTGAAGTGAGAAGAGAAGTATAGAGAAAAAAGAATAAAAAGAAATGAACAAAGCCTCCAAGAAATATGGGACTATGTGAAAAGACCAAATCTACGTCTGATTGTTGTACCTGAAAGTGACGGGGAGAATGGAGCCAAGTTGGAAAACACTCTGCAGGATATTATCCAGGAGAACTTCCCCAATCTAGCAAGGCAGGCCAACATTCAGATTCAGGAAATACAGAGAACGCCACAAAGATACTCCTCGAGAAGAGCAACTCCAAGACACATAATTGTCAGATTCACCAAAGTTGAAATGAAGGAAAAAAATGTTAAGGGCAGCCAGAGAGAAAGGTCAGGTTACCCACAAAGGGAAGCCCATCAGACTAACAGTGGATCTCTCGGCAGAAACTCTACAAGCCAGAAGAGAGTGGGGACCAATATTCAACAATCTTAAAGAGAAGAATTTTCAACCCAGAATTTCATATGCAGCCAAACTAAGCTTCATAAGTTAAGGAGCAATAAAATCCTTTACAGACAAGCAAATGCTGAGAGATTTTGTCACCACCAGGCCTGCCCTAAAGGAGCTCCTGAAGGAAGCACTAAACATGGAAAGGAACAACTGGTACCAGCCACTGCAAAAATATGCCAAATTGTAAAGACCATCAAGGCTAGGAAGAAACTGCATCAACTAACGAGCAAAATAACCAGCTAACATCATAATGACAACATCAGATTCACACATAACAATATTAACTTTAAATGTAAGTGGGCTAAATGCTCCAATTAAAAGACACAGACTGGCAAATTGGATAAAGAGTCAAGACCCATCAGTGTGCTGTATTCAGGAAACCCATCTCACATGCAGAGACACATATAGGCTCAAAATAAAGGGATGGAGGAAGATCTACCAAGCAAATGGAAAACAAAAGAAGGCAGGGGTTGCAATCCTAGTCTCTGATAAAACAGACTTTAAACCAACAAAGATCAAAAGAGACAAAGAAGGCCATTACATAATGGTAAAGGGATTAATTCAGCAAGAAGAGCTAACTATCCTAAATGTATATGCACCCAATACAGGAGCACCCAGATTCATAAAGCAAGTCCTTAGTGACATACAAAGAGACTTAGACTCCCACACAATAGTAATGGGAGACTTTAACACCCCACTGTCAACATTAGACAGATCAACGAGACAGAAAGTTAACAAGGATACCCAGGAACTGAACTCAGCTCTGCACCAAGCGGACCTAATAGACATCTACAGAACTCTCCACCCCAAATTAACAGAATATACATTCTTTTCAGCACCTCTCCACACCTATCCAAAATTGACCACATAGTTGGAAGTAAAGCACTCCTCAGCAGATGTAAAAGAACAGAAATTACAACAAACTGCCTCTCAGACCACAGTGCAATCAAAATGGAACTCAGGATTAAGAAACTCACTCAAAACCGCTCAACTACATGGAAACTGAACAACCTGCTCCTGAATGACTACTGGGTAAGTAAAGAAATGAAGGCAGAAATAAAGATGTTCTTTGAAACCAACGAGAACAAAGACGCAACATACCAGAATCTCTGGGACACATTCAAAGCAGTATGTAGAGGGAAATTTATAGCACTAAATGCCCACAAGAGAAAGCAGGAAAGATCTAAAATTGACACCCTAACATCACAATTAAAAGAACTAGAAAAGCAAGAGCAAACACATTCAAAAGCTAGCAGAAGGCAAGAAATAACTAAAATCAGAGCAGAACTGAAGGAAATAGAGACACAAAAAACCCTTCAAAAAATTAATGAATCCAGGAGCTGATTTTCTGAAGAGATCAACAAAATCGATAGACCACTAGCAAGACTAATAAAGAAGAAAAGAGAGAAGAATCAAATAGACACAATAAAAAATGATAAAGGGGATATCACCACTGATCCCACAGAAATACAAACTACCATCAGAGAATACTATAAACATCTCTACACAAATAAACTAGAAAATCTAGAAGAAATGGATAAATTCCTCGACACATACATCCTCCCAAGACTAAAGCAGGAAGAAGTTGAATCTCAGAATAGACCAATAACAGGATCTGAAATTGAGGCAATAATCAATAGCTTACCAACCAAAAAAAGTCCAGGACCAGATGGATTCACAGCCGAATTCTACCAGAGGTGAAAGGAGAAGCTGGTACCATTCCTTCTGAAACTATTCCAATCAATAGAAAAAGAGGGAATCCTCCATAACTCATTTTATGAGGCCAGCATCATCCTGATACAAAAGCCTGGCAGAGATACAACCAAAAAAGAGAATTTTAGACCAATATCCTTGATGAACATTGATGCAAAAATCCTCAATAAAATACTGGCAAACCGAATACAGCAGCACATCAAAAAGCTTATCCACCATAATCAAGTGGGCTTCATCCCTGGGATGCAAGGCTGGTTCAACATATGCAAATCAATAAATGTAATCCAGCATATAAACAGAACCAAAGACAAAAACCACATGATTTTCTCAATAGATGCAGAGAAGGCCTTTGACAAAATTGAACAACCTTCATGCTAAAAACTCTCAATAAATTAGGTATTGATGGGATGTATCTCAAAATAATAAGAGCTATCTATGACAAACCCACAGCCAATATCATACTGAATGGGCAAAAACTGGAAGCATTCCCTTTGAAAACTGGCACAAGACAGGGATGCCCTCTCTCACCACTCCTATTCAACATAGTGTTGGAAGTTCTGGCCAGGGCAATCAGGCAGGAGAAGGAAATAAACGGTACTCAATTAGGAAAAGAGGAAGTCAAATTGTCCCTGCTTGCAGATGACATGATTGTATATCTAGAAAACCCCATTGTCTCAGCCCAAAATCTCCTCAAGCTGATAAGCAACTTCAGCAAAGTCTCAGGATACAAAATCAATGTACAAAAATCACAAGCATTCTTATACACCAATAACAAACAAACAGAGAGCCAAATCATGAGTGAACTCCCATTCACAATTGCTACAAAGAGAATAAAATACCTAGGAATCCAACTTACAAGGGATGTGAAGGACCTCTTCAAGGAGAACTATAAACCACTGTTCAGTGAAATAAAAGAGGATACAAAGAAATGGAAGAACATTCCATGCTCATGGGTAGGAAGAATCAATATCGTGAAAATGGCCATACTGCCCAAGGTAATTTATAAATTCAATGCCATCCCCATCAAGCTACCAATGACTTTCTTCAGAGAATTGGAAAAAACTACTTTAAAGTTCATATGGAACCAAAAAAGAACCTGCATTGCCAAGTCAATCCTAAGCCAAAAGAACAAAGCCGGAGGCATCACACTACCTGACTTCAAACTATACTTCAAGGCTACAGTAACCAAAATAGCATGGTACTGGTACCAAAACAGAGATATAGACCAATGGAATGGAACAGAGCCCTCAGAAATAATGCCACATATCTACAACTATCTGATCTTTGACAAACCTGACAAGAACAAGCAATGGGGAAAGGATTCCCTATTTAATAAATGGTGCTGGGAAAACTGCCTAGCCATATGTAGAAAGCTGAAACTGGATCCCTTCCTTACACCCTATACAAAAATTAATTCAAGATGGATTAAAGACTTAAATGTTAGACCTAAAACCATAAAAACGCTAGAAGAAAACCTAGGTAATACCATTCAGGACATAGGCATGGGCAAGGACTTCATGTCTAAAACACCAAAAGCAATGGCAACAAAAGCCAAAATTGACAAATGGGTTCTAATTAAACTAAAGAGCTTCTGCACAGCAAAAGAAACTACCATCAGAGTGAACAGGCAACCTACAGAATGGGAGAAAATTTTTGCAATCTACTCATCTGACAAAGGGCTAATATCCAGAATCTTCAATGAACTCAAACAAATTTAGAAGAAAAAAATCAAACAACCCCATCAAAAAGTGGGCGAAGGACATGAACAGACACTTCTCAAAAGAAGACATTTATGCAGCCAAAAAACACATGAAAAAATGCTCACTATCACTGGCCGTCAGAGAAATGCAAATCAAAAACACAATGAGATACCAGCTCACACCAGTTAGAATGGTGATCATTAAAAAGTCAGGAAACAACAGGTGCTGGAGAGGATGTGGAGAAACAGGAACACTTTTACACTGTTGGTGGGACTATAAACTACTTCAACCATTGTGGAAGTCAGTGAGGCAATCCCTCAGGGATCTAGAACTAGAAATACCATTTGACCCAGCCATCCCAGTACTGGGTATATACCCAAAGGATTATAAATCATGCTGCTGTAAAGACACATGCACACATAGGTTTATAGAAGCACTATTCACAATAGCAATGACTTGGAACCAATGTAAATGTCCAAAAACAATAGACTGAATTAAGAAAATGTGGCTCATATACACCATGGAATACTATGCAGCCATAAAAAATGATGAGTTCATGTCTTTTGTAGGGACATGGATGAATCTGGAAACCACCATTCTCAGCAAACTATCTCAAGGACAAAATACCAAACACTGCATGTTCTCACTCATAGGTAGGAATTGAACAGTGAGAACACATGGACACAGGAAGGGGAACATCACAGAGTGGGGACTGTTGTGGGGTGGGGGAAGGGGGGAGGGATAGCATTAGGAGATATACCCAATGCTAAATGACGAGTTAATGGGTGCAGCACACCAACATGGCACATGTATACATATGTAACAAACCTGCACGTTGTGCACATGTACCCTAAAACTTAAAGTATAATAATAATAAAATAAAAAGAAAAAAAAAGAGTTGGAATTAACAAACTTTCCCCACATTGTCCAGTTCATAGGAGGGTAACCTGAATGAGTCAGGTCTCTCTGGCTCCCAAAGTGGCAAAAACTTTAAATTATTCAGATGGGTGACAATATATCACAATTTAGTCTATCTTTATAACATAATAGCTTTATAATGCAATCAGCAAATTCACAGTGCCTTACAGTATGTCAGGGGAGTTAACCTAATGGTTATAGCGGGAACAGAGTCAATTCAAAACTAAAATGTATTCTGATTGTGTTTATAAACCCAGATGTAACATGTATGTCAATCTAAAGTGTGTGTATGTTCATTTTCAAAGGATTATGCATTTTCATTTGGCTAAACTAATACAAAAGTATCTAAATTTCTTTGGATGGTTATGCATAATAAAAATAGTAATTGAAATTATGTATCAGGTATGGCATTGCTCCTGGCAATAATTTACATGTAACAATTTATATGTTATTAAAACTTTCTTAAAATTATACAGTTTGAAAGTAAGTGGTAGAGCCAAAATTCAAACTCCGGATTTTCTTACTCCAAAATTCATTTGTTAACCATATATAAAAAATGCATACATTTTTACCATGCACAAAATAGAGATAAAAGATTTTATCACCTTCAGTTTGTGCATATTCATAGTAATTTGTGGAAGTTGAAATGCACCCTATTCCTAGTGGCTGGTTCAATTCCAGGTTGATTCTAGGCACTCTAAGTCTAAGAATATGCATGTTTGAGCTGGAAGAAGAGAAGAAAGAATATTAGGTTTGCAATGAACTGAGATATCAGATCTTATTTAAAACCAGGTTCTCAAACTTTCTAGAAGGTCATTTTTGCTTCTGGAGCCATTCTGAATGTTGAGGTTCATTGCCAGGTTTCCCAAAGCTTTACTTAAACCTTTTTATGACCCCACATATTATCCACCACAGTATTCTGTGTCTGATAAGAACTCAACCTATAAAGGTTGTTGATGTTGCAGTTCTTTAGGCTGCCTTCAGATATTCTTTTTTAAAAATAAATTTTATGGTGCATATTTAAGTCTTATGCATGATGTTATAGGATACACATACATAGCAAAATCCCAAATACAATATAATTTTATTAAATTTAGTCCTCATTTTTAACATCATATCTCTAGACCTGTTCTTCCTACATATCTGCTCTTTTGAATCCCATGACCTATATCTCCTCAGTTACTCTCTCCCAAGAAAGACTTTTAAAGTGGTTTTCTTATTTGTGTTAGGAGAAGGGTGGCCTTTCCTTGGCCATTCAGTGCTACAGAATGGGAAAGTAACAGCTGACTATTTCAGTCTTTATTTCTAGGTATCTCTCAATTCATCCAAGGATTCTAAACTAAACAACATAGGTATTTCTTCAGTAAAACCTCTTGTTATACAGAGGCCAAGATGTTCAAGGATGATACAGTTATAAAATGGCATGCAATTTGTGGCGTGCTGATTAAAAATAGTCAAGTGATAAAGCATTATGATTAATCACATCTTCAGTGGAAATTATGCCCCAGGCAGCTGAGAATTTCCTTAGGACTATTTTAGTATGATTTTGTAGCTCATTTTAGATGCAACAAAGCACTATTGTTAATGTTTTAGTAGTTTACTATTGTATTTTAGACTCTATTAACTCCAGTATTTTATAATATATGGCCAAAAACATTGTTCTAGTCTTTAAAAAATAACTCTAATATTTTATGCTTATGATTTTTAAGCATAATGTGAGAATGAACAAAATCAGCATTAAGACCATATCCCTGAGATAGTCACTATTAGTGTTTTTTTGTATTTCCAACTTTTTTCCAATGATAAAAATGCACATTTTAATAGCTTTACTTTTGATAGTAATTTTATTACATACATGGAAATAATTTTTCTCAGAGAAGAAACATCTCAAGAAATCAATGGGAAAATAAAATCTACTTCAATGTTTTTTTCCTGGAAAACAAGTATTATGTTGAAAAAGAAATATATGTCTGTGTGTATATACATATATATTAGTTCTGTGATAACTGAGCTAAGCTGGAGATATATCGATTCTGCCCACTTCTCTCCCTCTCTGCTGATGTTGCTTTAGTCTAAGCCACCATTATCTCTTGTCTGAAATAATTTCCTAACTTCCTTCTTTTCAATCTTCTGTCTTTCAATCTTGTGTCTCAAGAATTCGTTCTTTTCGCAGTAGCCAGTAATCTTTAAACTCTGAAATTAGACTGCACCGCTCTTTAAACTCTCTCAGTGGCTTCTTACACTGAGAATTAAATCCAAACTCCTCATCTTTTTCTATGAAACTCTACATAATCTGATTCTTATTTTCTTCTTGGACTAAATTTTGTACTATTCTCTCCTGTATTCACTACCTCCATCCATTCAGACTTCCTAGATTTTTTTGCCCATTGTATAATCTGTACCTTTCAAGGAATTTTCTCATTTTATCTATATTGTCGAATTAATTAGCATAAAATTATTCATAATGTTCTCTTACTCTTTTAATATTTTTAGAATTTGTAATGATAGATTCACTTTGGTTCCTGATATTGGTAATTTATGTTTTCTCTCCTTTTGGCCAGTTTAATTAGAGGTTTAACAGTTTTATTTATTTATTCATTTTCAAAGATTCAACTTTGATTTTTTGGATTTTCTGTATTGTTTCTGTTGCTTACTTCATTTATTCCCAGTCTTATTTTATTATTTTCTTCTTTCTACACACTATCGGTTTAATTTGCTCTTGCCTTTTAGCTTTCCTAAGTGGAAATTTAAACCTTCCTTCTTTCTTACTTACTGCATACCTTTTTTTTTTTTTTCAGTTACTGAGAGGGAAACATTGGAATCTTTACCTGAAACTGTGGCTATATGTCTCTTCAGTTTTCTCAGTTTTAGCTTTATGCATTTTAATGATTTGTCATTAGCCACATAGACAAACAGTCTTGTTATGTATTTGTGATGAATTGTTCCTTTTATCATTATGAAACATCCTTCTTTATCTATAGTAATATCATTTTTTGAAGTATGATATCAGTCTTTATCTAATAAAGTCATTCCTACTTTGTCACATTTAGAGTTTGCATGGCATATTTTTTTTCCAACCTTTGGCTTTTAGTCCATCTGTCTCTATAAAGTAGCTTTATTTTCATCAGCATATAGTTGCGTCTTGTTTTTTTATAGTCTGACAATCTACCTTTTAATTGGATATTTCCACTATTGAATAATGTAGTTATTGATATGTTAGTTTTAAGACTGCTATCTTGCTATTTATTTTCTATGTGTTTCATCTGTTCTTTCTTCTTTTCTTCTATGCTTTGTAATTAAGTGAATAAATTTTAGTATTCTATCTTATCTCTATTATTGGCTTACTGTATATCCTTTTTTTTTCTCTTTTGAGACTTGCTCTATTACCCAGGCTGGAGTGCAGCGGCACAATCTTGGCTCATTACAGTCTCCACCTCCCGTATTCAAGCGATTCTCCTGCCTCAGCCTCCCAAGTAGCTAAGATTTCAGGCATGTGCCACCACACCTGGCTAATTTTTGTATTTTTAGTAAAGATGGGGTTTCACCATGTTGCCTAGGCTGGTCTTAAACTTCTGGCCTCAAGTGATCTGTCTGTCTTGGCCTCCCTAATTGTTGGGATTACAGGCATGAGCCACCTTGACCGGCTTAATCCTTTATTCTTTCAGTGGTTGTTCTATGGTTTATAGTATGTGTCTTTAATTTGTCATATTCTACATTCATCTCTTATTATACTACATATATAACACAAGAACTTTACAACAAAATACTTCCATTTGCCCCATCTTGATTTTATATATTTTTTCATAAACTTTATCTCTACATATGTTATAAGCCTGAAAATACATTGTTGTGGCTTCAAATAGTCAAGTGTCTTAATTTTTTAAATACACAATACTAAATTTTTGTATATCCATATATTACCCTCCCTTGCACTCTACTCATTTGTGTAGATCCCAATTTCCATTTGTCATTATTTTCCTTCAACTCAGATAATTTTCTTTGTTATTATTTTTAGTGCAGGTTTGCTGGTTTCATTCTCTCAGCATTTTTTTTGGCTTAAAATGCCTTTATTTCTTTTGTGTGTGTGTGTGTGCAAGATGGTTTGGTTGAATATAAAACTATAGTTTTATATTTTTTTCTTTCAGTACATTAAGATTTATCTCCATTGTCTTCTTGCAATTTTTTTTGTTAGCAATTGGCAAGTACTTCATTCTTTTTTATGGCTGAATAGTATTGCATGGTGTGTATGTACTACATTTTCTATAACCAGTTTATTATTGATGGGCATTTACGTTAATTCCATGTCTTTGCTATTGTGATTAGGAACATGGATGGAGCTGGAGGCCATTATCCTTAGCAAACTAACACTGGAACGGAAAACAAAATACCACATGTTTTCACTTGTAAGTGGGAGTTAAATGATGAGAACACGTGGACACATAGAGGGAAAAACACACAGTGGGGCCTATCAGTGGGTGAAAGTTGGTAAGAGGGAGAGGATCAGAAAAAATAACTAATGAATACTAGGCTTAATTCCTGGGTGATGAAATAATCTGTTCAACAAACCCTCATGACACAAGTTTACCTATGTAACAAACATGAACTTGTACCTCTGAACTTAAAGTTTAAAACAGGAAGATGGCAGGTATTCTTATCTTTGTTTTCCTCTATGTAATGTTTGCTCTTTTTCTGCTTGGTTTTAAGATTTTGACTTTATCAGTAGATTTTCATAATTTATGACGCTGCTGCTCCTGGTTTACTCTGTATTTGTTTGGGATTTGGTGAGCTCATTGCATTTGCAGATTTAATTTTTCATCAAATTTGCAAAAATTTTAGCAAATTTCTTGGGATATTATTTCTGGTCCCTTCTTTCTGTGTCCCCAACTGAATGCATTTTAGACACGCTAACACATTAATATTGCCATACAGGTCACTGAGGCTCTTTTTTTTTCTTATTTCTTAGCCTTTTATTTCTGTGTGCTTCAGATTAGAAAATTCCTAAGGTTATGCTTTCAAATTCACTGATCTTTTTCTTCTGAAATGTCTAATCTACCAATCTACTGAATTTTTACTTCATATATTGTGTTTTTCAGCTGTACAAGTTTCATTTGTTTTTTCTTAATAGTTTTTATTCCTCTCTTCATTATACTCACACAGTTCTTGAAGATTTTAAGCATATTTATAATAGCTGTTTTGAAGATCATCATTGCTCAGTTCATCACTTCTGTCATTTATGGACATGGTTCTATTGACTGATATTACTTCTTTTTTAAAATTTTAGATCTGGGGCTACATGTGCAGATTTGTTACATGGATGTATTGTATAATGGTGAGGTTTGAGCTTCTAGTGAACCTGTCATCCAAATAGTGAACATTGTATCCAATAGGTAATTTTTCAACCCTCACTCCCCTTTCAGCCTCCTCTCCTTTTGAAGTTCCCAGTGTCTATTATTTCCATCTTTATGTCCATGTGTACCCATTACTTAGCTCCCAGTTATATGTGAGAACATCTGGTATTTGACTTTCTGTTTCTTAATTATTTCACTTAGAATAATGGCCTCCAGCTTCACGCATGTTACTGTAAAGGATATGGTTTCATTCTTGTTTAAGGCTGCATGTATTCTATGATTTACATATACTATATTTTCCTTATCTAATCATCTGTTGATGGATACTTAGCTTGATACCATAACTTTGCTATTGTAAATTGTGCTGCATAAACATACCAGTATATTTGTCTTCTTGATACAATTTATTTACCTTTGGGTAGATATCCAGTAGTGGGATTGCTGAGTCAAATGGTAGTTCTATGTTTTGTTCTTTGCAAAATCTCCATACTGTTTTCCATAGGGATTCAACAAATTTACATTCCCACCAAGAGTGTGTAAGTGTTTTCCTTTCACTGCATCCTTGCCAACATCTACAATTTTTGGTTTTTTAATAGTAGCCATTCTGCGGTTTCTCATTGTGGCTTTAATCTGCATTTCTCTGATGATTAGTGATGTTGAGCAATTTTTCATGTTTGTTGGCTTCTTTTGAGAAATGTCAGTTCATGTCCTTTGCCCTCTTTTTAATGGAATTTTTTTTTGTAGATTTGTTTGATATCCTTGCAGATTCTGGATATTTGTCTTCTGTGGGATACATAGTTTGCATGTAATTTCTCCCATCTGTAGGTTGCCTGTTTAACCTGTTGATTACTTCTTTTGCTGTGCAGAAACTCTTTAGTTAGTTTAATGAAATCCCATTTGCCTGTTTTTTGGTTTTGTGCTTGTGCTATTGAGGTCTTTTGCATAAATTCTTTGCCTAGGCCAATATCCAGAAGAGGCTTTCCTGTTTTCTTCAAGGATTTTCATAGTTTCAGGTCTCACATTTAAGTGTTTTTTTTTTTTTTTCTTTTTGCGTATGAGTAGCCAGTTGTCTCAGCACCATTTATTGAATAGGGTGTCCTTTCTTCATTGCTTGTTTTTGGGCAAGAGTGTCTGGAGTTTGTTATTTTTCTTTAACAATTATCTTGTATTGGCAGGCAGTTCACTTACTTGCAGAGCAACTTCATCCTTTTGTGGATCTAAAGAGTCTTTACTCTAGAACTAATTTAGCCTTATTTCTAATGTAGAATCCTTCCCTACTGAATAGTTCTGCAGAATGCCCTAGATATTGAACAAACTGTCTCTGCTTGGCTTATGGGAAAACAAATGTCTTCCTGCTCTATGTGAGCTCTGGAAGTTGTTCAGCCCTTGGAGTGTTACTCTTTGTTTGAAATTTTTAAGTTTTACCTTACACATATGCAGTTTTGTATTCAAAGAGGCAAGAGACTCTTATTCAGATCTGGAGCTTTTAAAATATATTTCTCTCTCCTCTCTAGTACTCTTTCATGCCAAGTGAAGCTATCTCAACCCCCTTGTGCTCAGTTCCTATTTCTCCTTCCTCCAAACATGGTCTGTAACTTCCAGAAGAGAGTAGAGGCAATGGAATCATCTCACTTATTTCCCTTCACTTAGGGATCACAGTTTTGCACTGCCTGTTTTCAAGTCTGAAAACAATTTTCTTCCTAGATTTTGACCAGTTTTTAGTTGTTTACCATGGGAAAGCAGGTAGCTTTGCTGAAAGCACAAATCAGGAGCAGACTTTTTCTTTAACTATTCTGGCCTTTGTGTTTTTTGGTTCTTAAAAAAAATCAAGTTGCTCTTTGCCTTAAAGGCTTTGTACTTGTTCTTTCTACTTAGGAGAGTCTTCTTGTGACCCTCTACAAACTGCCTCCTTCTCATTTTTTGTCTTTTTAAAGAGGCCTTTGTTGATTACACTATTTAACTGAACTATCATATTAGTTCTTTCTTCCTTTCTTTCATAGAGTTTATCACAATCTATGATTATCTTTAAAACATTTTTTCCATGTGTAATATTCCCCATTCCCTCAAGCCATGTAAGCTCTACAAGGAAAGGAAACCTGTGGATTGTACTCCTATATTTCTTAGCCTCTAGAGCAGTACCTGGCCTGAAAGAGGGAAGTAACAAACATTTCTTGAATGAAAGCATGAATATAGACAGTATCAAGACATGTGCTCTGAAATCATAACGTAGAGAGACACTAAGCATGGTAGTACCAAAGGCCCATACATTAGAGTAGGTTGTGTTTATGTGTTCCTGTAGAATCTTCTTCAAGCATAGTAAGGAGAATTGAATTCATTATGTTCACAAGAAAAAATGTGACATTAAATTCTAGATATTTAGCTATGTTTGCTATTGCTCTTCACTTCTGTACATGTAGGGTAAATACACTACACTCTTATTGGTGGCATTATATGGTCTGTGGCAGTTCATTTGAAATCAAAATGTTAAATATTTTTTCAAAATTAACCTGGTTTAGTAAAATATATCAGTAATGTGGCGAAAATAATATTTTGTATAATGGCATATATCAACATTATGTAACGGTTTTAAATTTGGTTGACAATAAAGGGACTGGTCTGCTTTAGTATGAAATAACTATGTTAATGTTACCTGATTTCAATTCTGAAGCAGATCAAAAAACAGCTGACCCAAATAGTCATGCTTTACCTTTTAGTTTTACATTATCTTAGGTGCGTGGTTTTTATTAATCATCCACTTCACTGGAATGTAGGTCTGCATTTTCTTAATTTTTTTTAAAAGGATATCTCTGCGCAAGATCTTGGGATTTGGTGTTCTCTTAGTATTAGTGGCCTACATGATGGAGAGCTAATTGTCTCCCCATTTGAGGATTGGCATTTGAGAACATAGAGTATTTAATGACAGCTTTAGGGTCTATACTTACTTATCAGTCCTCTTCTCTTGGAATATGTAGCATAGATTTTTTTAAATTGTCTTTAGAGCTTTGATAGTGGGGTTGTTTATAAGCTGTTCTTTTTTTTGTACATCAAATATTGGTAGCTTTCAGTATTTCATTTAAAATCATGCATGCATTTTGACACAAACCAGGACATTTATTTAATTTTTAAAAATTATACTTTATGACAATAATATCATCTTAACACATAAATATTCTTAAATTTATCTGTGCTATATTGTCATAATTGAGTATAAAAGTACAAACTTAAGCACCACTGTAATTTACACAGTCAGGCGAATCAATGAAATCATATTATAGCGTATACAATTTTTAAATATTTTTCAAAATATCTAGACAGCACGACTTCCCTGCTTAGACAAGAGCAGTTCAGTATAAATATTTAAAGGTTAAAAAAGTCTTTGTGATGTAGTTAGAGGCAGGCATTTATATACTTTGCTTATAATTTTTCAGATGTGAAAGGGAAGAATCCGTTTTATCCCTCACAATTTCCTAAACATTATGACTTTCAGGTTTTTAAATGAATATTGCCAAGGTGATAATGGATATGACTAGTAGCTTTTACATGGGAATAGGGTTGGCTTTCCAGTGCACATACATCAGTGGTCTAAGAATAACTTTTGTCTATGTCTCTAATTTACTTGGCCTCATTTAGCTGTCTTCACCATTGAGAAATTTTGCTCTTAAGCCCATTCTCTCCAGAGTCCTAAAGATCTCTGATGATAAATTAGAAGTCTTATCACCACAAGTAAGTGGGATCTGGAAATAATTTTGTTGCCCTAAGTGTGGTGGTTAGTGTTTCAGATTTTTTGCTTATCAAAGGCATCATGGGTTTCTGTCCATCTTGTCCCCCAGCTTCACTTTCCTAATTAATAGGTTTAATTCTATTGTTGCATTATATTTCCTTTTCATTTGTTTGATCTAGCTGCTTCTTTTTCTGCAAAAATAAATATAAAGAGATAGTACTTAACTTCCTTTTGGGTGAGAAAATAAAATTTGAAATATTACACAGAGAGAATATAATACAATAGGGATATAATACCCTTAAGCTGTTTTCAATGGAATGTTTCCAATCATCCTTTGTGGGTATCTCCTGCCCCTCCGCATAACTGCCTTCCATAAATATTTGTTAAACAAATGAGTGGATTAGTGAATAAATCAACCATATTAAGATATATTTAAAATTCTTATAGTAATAGGATTTTTTTCCCAGATAATCAAACCCCAAAACTCAGAATAATTAGATAGCGGTCTATTATTTCATTAGCATATTTACTAGTAAATATATTTAACAAATAATGGAAACTGCTTTTTATGAATAATGCAGTACATCCAGACTGAACGATCACTGATGGCTTCCTTTTCCATCGAATAGTCATTGTAAAGGGTGTAGGAATGCCTTTGGTGAGAAAGCCTTATGTGTTTATATATCTAAAGCTATATCATTTGTCACTTTGTTCTTTAATTTTTAACTAAAGGTCAACCTGTTTTTAACATATTGCAAATAGCTTATTTTTACAGAACCATTTTTATGTCCAAAAGATTTCAGTAAAAATTTGCTGAAAATAAGGCAATTGTTTATAAGCACCACCATATTGCCTGACCTTTTGCAAGATGTCCTACTTCAGACACCCACTGTCTTGCAAAGTTTCAAATTCTCTATTTGCTTTTTGTACTTTATTACTTTTTTCCCATGAGTTTAAGATGCTTTTCTAAGAGGGAAAAGTGTATCAATAAGTTCTTCAGCATTGCTAAAATTATCAGTGAACATCTTGTCAGACAGTGATGTGTGAATCTGTTTTGTATGCCTCTATCCAAGGCCAGGTTTGTTGATGGAAGAAACACTTTCTCGTTTTTAAACCCGAATTCCACCCTGTGTGGAACACATCAGTATAATGCAGAGACTGTGGGAGAGGGTAGCATATAATTTGTTTTTTGCTTCCTTATTTGTCCACATTTCCTTACACATTCAGTTTAAAACAAAGAACTCTACTATTTGCTCCTAATGTTTGTTGGATGCTTTCAGAGACCCTTTATTTGTTTTAGTTCAGACAGAATTACACCCTAATTCTAAGAATCTCTGAGTTAGGAGTGGAGCTTTCTTTGTTATGTTCCTTAATGTCCCTTTGATCCAGGTCCAGCATGTATTAGCTGCTGCAGCTATCCAAGAATAATTTACTTATCCACTAATGCCAGCTATGTAAGAAAAAATAAACCAGGTTTGTATAAAATGTAAGATTCGAATGTGACCACTAACATTAAGTCACTAATGTGATCCTTTCATTAGCTATTACTTTTAATTAGGAGTTCTCAAACAATTAGCTTTTGAGCTACATAATCTTATTTATAGCATATACATTCCCTGATGAGAGAAGAAATTACTTCTGGGAAAGCTGAGGCTCAAACTTTTAATTTAGCTACTAAATTCAGATACATTACCTCAGTTGGACTTTCTTCTTGTGGAATTACTAAACTCAATTATCTTGATCACGTGATCCTCTAGGCATCAACCGCCTCTTAAAAAGAGAACTGCGGTAATCCACGGGTGCTTAGAGCACACAGGGAGATAAGCACAGCAGAGACCTGCTCTTGCAAAAAGCATTCATATTTTTCAGATTTTTCAAAGCATTCTCAGACTCTCACCTCTTATTAATATTATTTAAGGCCATATATATGTAGATTCCTATTCATTCATATATATATATATATATATATATATATATATGTCAGAAGTTTGTGTTACTGCTTCTTTGGCTTGATATTCTACCATGAAAACTGAGATTGGAATCACTTTAAATGTTATCCCGATAGACTTTTCAAAATCTATGATAACATTTATTGTATCTGTCATCACATAGTACTTTTCAGGGTGCTGTATCAAATTCTTTCCAAATAAGACATGGTCTTTGCCTGCAAAGAGCTTACTATATAAATGTAAAGTTATACAATAAACATTAAATATGTATTCATCAGTTCTTTCAAGAAATTCATAGAGGGTGCCTAATATTTTATAGACCCTGGAGAGTCAGTGTGTAAGAAAAGACAAAGTTCTTCCCTGACAGTTCTTTCATTTTGTTGGGGACTTCATTTTGTTGAATTTCACAAGAAATCCAATAAACAAGATAATTACAGATTATGGTAAGTGCTATGGAGAAAATAAACAAGAGGATGTGATAGATAGGCAGAGAATATGTTAGAGGAGTGAGCAGGGAAGGGTTCTCAGTGGAAGTGACATTTCATCTGAGTTCTGAAGGATGGAAAGGAGCTCACAAGGAAACAGCCACCATGGCAGAGGGAAAAGCAAGCACAATGGCCCAGAGTAGGAACAAGCTTGATCTTGTCATTGTGATTGGTGCTTCGTCAAAGAATGAGAGAGAAGTAGGAGATGAAGTTGGTTTAGGAAGCAAAAGTCAGATCACGGAGGCCAGGTTGGATTTTATTTTAAAGGCAGTAGGAAGTTGTTGAAACTTTTTCAGAAGGGTAATGTGTCTTATTAGACTATAAAGAAGATAGCTCTGTCTGCTGTATGAAGATTAAATTATAAAGGCAGGAGGAGAAACCAGGAAATACATTAGGAGCCTATTTCAGTTATCCACCCAAGAAACGGTGGATGGGACTAAGACTAGCGATGAAGAACAATGAATAGATTTAAGATATATTTTTGAAGTAGAAACAATAGAATTTGATGATTGGCTGTAGAGGATATGAGAAATGGAGAAGTGAGGATGATTACTTGATTTTTGGCTTGAACAACTGGTTATCATTTGCTAAAAAAAGTGAGAAGATTGGAAATATGTAAACCGAAAGATCATAAACAAATGTAGAAAAGGCACACTTGGAACAAGTTGTTGGTTAATAGTGGTTATTTTTTCTTGTTTAAGTGTTTTATGCATGCTCTATTGAGCAAATGTATTAATAATTATGTGAAAATTTCTAAGTGCTGTATGTCAGGCTAGAATAGATAGAATGTCTTGAACCAGCAAGTCAACTGCATTTATTGAATGCTATTGTGTTCTAAGCACTCTACTTAATCTGTATAGTATTAATTTCTGCTCTCAGATAGAAAAATCAATATGCCAAAAACAATTAAAATATGTTATGATGAGTGGTGTAATGGAGGTATACTTAAAAACTGTGGGAACAGAGAGAAAGAGACAGTCATCCTAGAGGACAGAGCAAGGGTGCCTGGAAACAGTGATTATTCTAGTATTCATACATGTGAGGGGCTGAGGGCTTGCAGGCTGGCTGGAGATAGCGGAGGGTCCATGATCTTGAACTGATACTGTGTTTGAGAGGGAAGCTGATTCTACTTGTTGGAGCCTAAGTACTCATGGCATTGCCACTGCTCAAAAACAACATCTATGCTGGGTTTTCAAAGTGAGATGGGAACTTTGCCAAGTAGAAATGGGAAAAATGCTTTCTAGGGAGAAGAGAGAACATGATATTCAGGACAAAAGGGAGAAATGACAAGAAATGAAGTGGACACATAGACTAAAAACAGCTTGTGAAAGCCTTGCATGAAATGAAGTGGACACATAGACTAAAAACAGCTTGTGAAAGCCTTGCATGCTGAACTCAAGAGTTCTGCCCTTGCCCTCAGGGAGCTTCCCATGCGGAAACTTGCACATCAGTGGACATGCCAGGCTTGGATGTAATAGACTGAGAATAGGACACATTCTCAATGAGTACTTGATGATGCAGGGACTTGTGTCTTTGTTGAATTATCATATTTAGGTATTGTAATTTGTGTTTCACATCCTTAAAAAAAAAGGGAATTAGTGGTATCCCTATAGGAGCCACTAAGGAACAATGAGGGGCTTACCTACTGATATGATTTGGCTCTGTGTCCCCACCCAATTGTAATCCCCACATGTCAAAGAAGGCACCTGGTGGGAGTGATTAGATCATGGGGTTGGTTTTCCCCATACTGTTCTCATGATAGTGAGTGAGTTCTCACAAGATCTGATGGCTTAAAAGTGTTTGGCAGTTCACTCCTCTCTCATTCTCTCTCTCTCCTGCCACCATGTAAGACGTGCCTTGCTTTCCCTTCACCTTCTGCCATGATTGTAAGTTTCTTGAGGCTTCCCCAGCCATGCAAAACTGTGAGTCAATTAAACATTATTTTTCTTCATAAATTGCCCAGGCTCGGGTAGTTCTTTGTAGCAGTAGGGAAATGGACTAATAACTCCTGAGAAGTTTCGGGTTACATTTTTATGACTAGCTTTCCTTCTCATGCCCTATTTCTCTTTTCTGTTATAGGCTTCAAGAAGTGAACATACCTTTCTTTCCTCTGTAAAGCTGCTGTTTTCCATTCTGTGTCTTGGGTTTCTTCTAGTTCTGAAATGGATTCCAAGTACATGGCAATTCTGCCAGCTCTCAGCTCTCAGCTTCTAGAACCTAGCCAGGCAGTAAAGGGGTTGAAAGCTTGGACTCTGTGGCCAGTGACCAGATTTGAATTTTGGATCTGTCACATATTAACTGTGTAAACTTGGACATGTTTTTAAAACTCTCTGAGCCTCAATTTTTTTCTTTTTAATCCATGAAATCCAGATAGTATTAATATGTACCCTCTAGGTTTGTTGTAAAGGACATATAAGGTAATGCATATGGACTTAGTACAGTGTCCTAAGGGAATTCAATCAATGTTGGCTGCCATAATCATTAATCCTCATCAGGATTAAAAATATAAGAATAACAAACCTTAAGTAAATTATATAAACTATGGCCATGGCAATATCACCATAGAGGCAAAGACAGTGTCATGCTCAAAGATATTAGTTTCTCTGGATCTACTTTTGTTGACTCTGTGAAGACAGTGTATTTCCCCAATTCCTCCAACTCAGCACCGAGTTAGTTCTTGTGCTTGGAAGAACTGTCCCTCACGGTCACTGCTTTTTGCCTGTACCTCCTCTGAGTTGCTGTGGTGATAGCTCCCCTAGCTTCTTCTCCTGTGACTAATACCATCATTGCTCCTGATATCTTTAGGAGCTTGCTGAAGCCTGCTGCCCTTCCCAGTCTTGGGAGATCTGGGAGAGTCTTGCTCCTGGTTTATTCCATTCTTTCCATTTTGGGCTCAGTCTTGGATTCAAATAAAGAAACAGCCTGTTTTCCACTGATGAGGGCCTTTGTGAAGAGGCTGCTTCATACTTCCGCCTCATGCTCTCAGTGTGTGAAGTGGAGGGCTCACATAATAGCTTTTACCAGTCACTTTCTCTATAGCCAATTCTTCCTAAAATGCAGACATGATTTCTTGGGAACTAGTCTGGAAAGTATTCAGTGTGGAAGATATTGTGATGGTCTTATAAAGCATTCTCCCTGGTCTTTACTCTGTTGCTGAGATAGTTATTGGAAGCTACTCTAGACTTTTGACTTTTACTTTTGTTCTAATAAAAATCCTCTCTGACTTTCCTTAGGAGAAGCATAAGCTGACTGTTTCCCTGGGAAGGTTCTTTTAAATTTGTGTGGCGATCTGCAGTAGCACTGGCTTTGCAGATAACAACACTATAAGAAAAGAGGGCTCTCTAACAATACATGGAAGGAGAAAAAAAAAACTACAGGAAAGCTTCATGTGTACTGATATATTTAAAATACTAATATAAATTGTTTTGTGTATTTCCCCCAATTTAAATTTTCTCAATATATCAGTTAATCTTACTTTGAAGATTAGGAGAAAAATCAGAAGAGAGGAAGGATGCTAAGAGTGATTAAAGCATGATTTTAGGGGATGACTAAGGAAAAGCAAGGAGAGGAATGAAGGAAGATAATAAAGAAAAGATCAGATAAAAGAGCACATACATTTAAAGAAAATGCTGTGATGCTTCGTTTGGAGTATTTCACTAGCTACCTTGCACCTGAAAAAAAGAAGGCATACCCACTGGCTTCTGTTTTGCTTCTATTTAACAATATTTGTTGTTCTCAATGTAAATATTACCATTCTTCATATCAAACTCTAGGCAGTTACAGAATGCAAATAGCCCAGAAGTTTGGCAATCTCATTTTTAATGATTTAAAAGATAACTTCACAATAATATAAAAAGTAGTCTTTTTCAAACTAATGGCTACTAAACACATCATAATTTATTGAATTACAACTGGCAAATAACTATGTTTATCACCTTTCTATTGGCAAATAACTTGGCATCAGATGCTCTTCCCTAAATAAATATTCTAGACTAACATCTCAAAATAATTTTTCCAAAAACATTAATAAAGCATGTAGAAATAAAGTGAAAAGATAGGCAACAAGAATTCCTTATCTCATAAAAAAAGTTAAAAACATCCCAGTTTATTACCAAGTAATGGATTTTGGAAAGGAAATTTTGAGAAAGTGCTGTTTTAGGCTTTCATGGTGTCTCGGGAAGTGTAGGTGGGCCTGTTAGCAAAAATTTGAGAGCATTGGTAGGGCGATATGGTTGATTTATTTACTTTCTTTAATGGTTTAGGATATGAATTAGAAACAAAAATTTCAAAAAGCAGAGGAAAAGCCAGAGGGTAGCACCATGGTGGTCCTCTTAGCTGTGTGGATTCCTTCAATGGATACCTAGAACAAGTGGCCTTGCAAAGCCCACCCAATCCTCCACAGGCTCAGATGGATCTCCCCTTAAGAATAAGGGGGTGGATGGAGGCTGTAAAAGGGAGAAACAGTCTATGTACAAAAAATATATTGAGCTTTATAATAAATATTGCTGTTGCACTAAGTGGAGGCTGTTTCTTCTCCCATCCTCAAACAGGAGGTATGGTAGGTGTTAAATTCACTTACTTTTCCTTTTGCTGTTTTCATTTGTGCATACTCCTGTTAAAACCCATTAGATTTTGAGGATCATGCCATTTGATTATAGCAACCATTTCCTTTCTTTGATTATTGTCATCTCTAATTTTCCTGACTCACTACTTTCTTGACCTTCATGACTGGGTCAGTTGTTGTATGTACAATTACATGTACAATTATAACTGATTATAACACTTTTTACACTTTTTTCTGGAGTCAATAACCTATGCCCATCAGAGCCAGGCAGGCCACATAAATGTCTGAAGCAGCTGGGTATAAGAAAATAAAGATTAAACTGCTTGTATTGAAACAAAGCTAAATCTATGCCCTGGTCTTAGTGCCTTGAACTCTATAAAGATAGGAAGCTTTCCTATTTTGTTTACTGTTGTATCTCCATCAAGAAGCACAAGCCCTAGTGCTTAATAGACAGGCAATAAGACTTGTGAACTGATTGAATATGTAAATTACTGCACTGGATTTTCCTCCCATAGCCCCTGGAAAGTATTCCTTTTGTTGTCAGTGACTCTCAGAATTGCAAAACTCAACACTATATATTCAGACCTTGTTACTTGCCTCCTTTCAAGTGCAAAGAAAAAGTCTTTTGTGTTACTATGTGTTTCATATCAGAAAATTTTCTCCTTTGACTACCTAATGCCATATCCCCAGTTTTCTTCCTGTCTTTCAGGCCACTCCTGTTAGATCTCATTTCTCTACTTGGCCCTGTTATGCTTTTGTACCTAATGATCATGCTTTCCCGCTGCTTCTATTTCTCTTTGGCTGATTTCATAAATTCCCATACTTTTAAGTGCTATTTACCAATTTCTCTTAAATTTGTGCTTTGCCCAGAAGTCTCACCTAAATACTGAAAGGAAAATTCTAAAAAGATAAATTGCCTTATAAACATTTCTACATGGATGCTCCACAGATATCTTATACTCATGTTTACCCCAAAATTCGAATCCTACTGCCAAACTCCTTCTGTATTACTGTCACAACCCACCACTCCATATACTTAGAATGTCCTTATGAATTAATTCATCTTGGATTAAGCACTATAGATAAAAAGTGACCAAAACAGGCACATATTTTGACAGACAGGCATTGAGTATATACTAATCAAAATGATTTTTAAATTTCCACTGTGGTAAGAGCTATGAAGGTAAAGGTGAAGGTATTATGAGAAGATATCATGGGGGTAATCTGTCTGAATCTAGAGGCCAGAGAAAGCCTTCCTGAGTAGGTAACATTTAGGCTGAGAGGATGTGTGTGAAGGGGTGTAGAGAGATTGTTGCAAGAGGAAGGATCAGAAGGTGTGAAGACCCTGGGCTGGGAAAAAAGCAGGTGCTTTGTAAAGAGAGGGACAACACTGATGGGGAGGCTGGGAAAATGGCAGAAGTTTTATGGGGCACGTTCAGGAATTTAGGCTTTAGTCAAATAGCAACGTAAGTCATTAAAGAGTTTTCAGTGGAGGAATGACAAAATTTTGTGCCCCCAAAGATGGCACCATCATTAACTCAGTTATTCAAACCAACAGAATGGGAGTCTTCCTGCCCTTCTCCTTGATTTCTCATATCCATCTCTCATATCTACCTGATCTCTCATATCTCTCATATGAACAAACCTGCATTTTCCAAGTGGTCTGGTCCTTCTTTCCTCCCTGTCTTTGCACATGTGCCCCATCCCAAATGTCCTCGCAATTCTCCATTCGGAGGATTTCAATCTGTTCTTTGTGAGTCTGAACATCACCCAAATCTTCGAAAACTTTCTCTCTTTTTGTCTTCATGCCTGTCTCCAAGTCAGCTGTTGACTTCCCCATGGCAGTCTGTATGTGCCCCAACCCCAGTGCTTATCACACTGTATTGAAATTGTGGATTTGCTTTCCTTTCTGCCCTTCTTGACTGTAAATCTTTCGGAGGTGAAGGATTTCCTTCATTTTTGTATTTCCGGACACTAGCACAGCACAATAGTAACTGCTCGGTAAATAAGTGTTGAATAAAGAGATGTATCAATTAGCAAGACTCCTCTATTATTTTGGGTAGTGCTACACATCTATTTTCTAATAAAGAATATTCATTTATGTCTATTGGATATACATATATATGTATTGGATGTACCTTAGAATTATGTATGGACATGCACAAAACACTTTTGTGGAAAAGGCATAGACTTGATAATCACGGCGATCTGGGTTTCCTCTCTTGCTTCTGTTACTCACCTACCATGCCATTTGTGAGAAGGCAGTTTATTTCTCTAGTCATCAGTTTCCTTAACTACCAAATGGAGATTATAAGTGCTAAGATAGTTTTGTGGATTAAATAAAATATCTGTGAATCAATATAGTGCCTGACCTAAGGTAGGCTTTTAATAAAGGGAAATTCTTTCCCGTCTCTTTTCACTTTTCTTTCTTCTCCTTCATCCATATTCGCACACTCCCTTTATTTCTTCATTCCTGTAGTTAAGTGCTCCTAAAAAAATAAATAAAACAACAACAACTCAGCCTTAGAATTTATGGCTATTGATGAGTTCTTTTGAGAAAGATCATACAAAGTGAGAGAGAACTGTACATCTCTGATATTGGGGACTAAGAGGAAGCCCTAAATCTTTAAGGATAGGAAGTGCAGTCAAGAAGACTAGTATTTAGTCATTGTCTCATCATATCATAATTTACCTTGTTCACCATAAAGACATTTATTTTAAAGCAATTAATGTAATTTACTTTTTCTACTATGTTATTCTATGTTGTTTCCATAGATCAGGATATTTGTGTTTAGTAGAGTTCAACATATTATATTAATGCAAAATTCATTGTTAATTATATTTATTGTAATATATCATAATTATATATAATATAATGCTAATTATATATATATCCATATTACTGAAAGAGAAAACAGCGTGTCAAAGGTGTTAGATTAGTTTTAAGTATGTATACACATAATCACTTTATATGTATACATTCATTGAAATGAAATTGTTTTAAATATAATCTTTTACCATTACAGAATAACTATTTCTCATTTTAGGGCCTTTTCATTATTTTGTATTGATTGCACGTACAAAAAAAACCCACTAAGTAATTAGCACTCTATTATACAAATTATACAGGGAAAACTAAATAAGTTTAGAAATGGAAAAGGTCAAATTTTTGATTAGTTTTTGAATTGTGGACTGCACTCAGCAAACTATCATACCTTGTACTTTATTCTCAAGAACCAAATTGCACTGACATCTCTTAAATTTACTGAAGATATCCTCATTTTAAAAGTTCCGTATGGTATTTTGTTAAAATATGTTATGTAACTCTTGGGGATTGGGTAGTGACTGGTTCCCAAATTACACTTTATACTCATTATAGATCAGAGGGAACAGATACTGAGTTAGGTCTTAGCAGAATAGAAATAGGTATAGGCCTGGGAGAGTATCCATTCTGATGGACAGATCTCAGCATCTTAATATCAAAGGAGGAGGCGAATGATCTCTCAATAAGTGGTCTCGCTGGAAGTTGCATGAAGGGGAGCAGAGAAGCATAATAAGGGGGATATGGTAATGTCAGCAGTCATTTGGCATTAAAGAAGCCTGACTGTAGATGGCTAATGAAAATGGGAACAAGGTTCCAGTGTGAAAGGAAGGTATTGGCAAGAGCAAGTATGGTCCCAGTATGGAGTAGCAAAATGGTCTAAGTATGGAGTAGTAGCCACATGTATTTGTCAAGATAAGGACTCAGCTATGGAGAAACAGAACACACTCTTAGACTAGGCAAATGTATTAGTCAGGATTCTCCTTGGAAAGAGAGGCAATATGACAAACACACAAACACACACACGCGCCCACACACACATTTATTATAAGAAATGGGCTCATGTGAATATGGAGACTAAGTCCCTTCATCCTCAGCTGGTAAACTAGGGAACCAGGAAAGTTGGTGGCATAGGTCCAATCCTAATTCAAAAGCCTGAGACCAGGAGAGTTTATGGGTAAGCCCCAGTCTGAGGACAGTAAAAGATGAATGTCCTAGTTCAATCAGTCACTCAGAGAGAGAGAGAGAGTGAATTCTTCCTTCTTTTGTCTTTTTGTTCTGTTCAAGCCACAACAGATTGGATGAGGCCCACTCACATTAGGACAATCTGCTTTACTTTGTCTATCAATTCAAATGCTCATCTTTTCCAGAAACACCTGCACAGACACTCCCAGGAACAATGTTTAATCAAATATCTAGGCACCCTATGGCTCAGTCAAGCTGAAACATAAAATTAACTATCACAGCAAGGTGTGAGTCAGATAGAGTTCCAGTATCAAACCAGAAACTCAAACATCAGAGGTGGGGCCCAGGTTCTAGGTCAGAGAAGTAACAAAAGTAACTTTCTATTGAAGCTGAAGATCTGATTTGGTCTCACAGGAACAGTCTGAATAATAGAACTTGTCCTAGCTGCTTGGGCAACTGAAGGGCTGCAAGACTTGATAGACCACAGTTAACATAAGGCTCTAAGTAGTTTTGACTTGTCAAAATGGGACTGCAGCAGTAACAGCCCTCCCTGTGACTAGGGGAGGAGCTGAACATAAGTGATATCAGCACTGACTTTCATTATGATTCACACACTCAAAGCAGGGTGTATTGAAAATATTCCTCTGCAAAATTTGCATAGAGGAGATAGTTTCCCTGAGCAGGAATAGTCATGGTATTATTTAGGTTTCAGAATGCTAGTGTTCTGTTCTATGCAGGACTTCTGTGCCAGGCAGCCTGTGTGATAGTGATGATTTTACCTGGACTGGAGCAACCTTGCACTTAAAGTTGGAAGATAATGTGAAGAACAAGGGTAGTCTGAGGAAGGGATTAGAAATGAGTGAGGAGACTAAAGGCAAGAACAGCACAGATGGGTAGAGAAATGCTCATATTGGCTGTGAATATCTGGGAAGTTAGGGAGCAGGAGAAAAGAAGCTGTTGAGTCTGAAAAGCATTTGGGCAGCATTTTGGAAAGAAGAGTTGATTGATTTAAAAAAAGTGGTAGGAAAATATCACTGAGTTGGTATTGGATGACACTGTAATATTAATCTGAAGCTAAGATTCTAAGGAACCCTGAGGCCTTACAAAGAACAGTATTTCCTGAGGATTGGGAATCAAGTAATCAGCCAGCTGACTTGAAAATGAAACCTGGATGAACAGATTTTCAAATGCTTCACTATTATGACAAGCTGCCTCAAGTCAACATGAATGTCTTTGTATCTACTCTTGAATAGCTCTCTGACCTATACTTAAGACAAAAGCATAAGGAAATTTATTACATGAGAGTAAAGTCGTAAATACTGGTTGACTAAAACTTAAGTGGTATTGTTTCAGCAATACATTTTCTAATGTGGCTATTTTCCTAATATAGAAATATAAAATACAAGTTTCTTGTACAGCACATGACAATGTATTTTAGAGTTTTTGTGGTTATATCGAATGCATCTGTGAATCAACGGGATCAAGCACATCTCTCTATTAAGGCATTCCTTCAACAAACTTTTATTTATAATTGCTACTGTACTGGATGCTGGTTATAGATAAATGAGGAACAGACTTTATACACTTTACAGAAGGTTATGTCTATCAGAGGACAAGGCAGGCAAATGGTAAAAACCATTAGAGCTATCATAGAGGAAACAGAATGCCATAGAAGCCTGTAAGGAAGAACATACTCCAGACTGGGAAATACAAAGAAGTCCAGTTCAGTAGCTATCTATTGATGGTAATAACCTCTATGTTGAATTTTGAGGAAGAAAATAGTCTCTCTTAAATATTACTTGAAATAAAGTAACAAGGGCAAAGTCACAAAGATTTACTAGAGCAAGATGCATTTGATAAGTTACAAATAAGTCATTATAGAATATAAGGAATAGGTGTCGGAGAGCTGGGAGAAAAACAGGGAATGCAGAGAAAATTTCATGGGGCATGCAGTAACTAGGTTATTAAAGAGCCCTAGAGGTCACGACAGGGACTTTGATTGGTTTATCCTGAGGTTAAAGATAGTATTCAATCATTGAAGAATGCTAATTTGTAAATAATATTTTCAAATTTGTCTTTTAAAGGCATTATTATGACAGGAGAGTAGAACATGGTAAGAAGGAGATGAGCCTGGGGGCAAAATATATTGCAACTCAATCAGAATGTATGAACTTTTGAACTAAGGTGATAACAGTGGCAATAAAGAAGAAGAAACAGATTCAGAGGATATTAAGGAGATAGACTTGCTAAGAGTTGGTAAACAAATGTAGTGAGTGAGAGGAATGAGGATAAAAAGTGGCTCTCACATTTTCTGGCAGGTAGATTGTATGAAGGGTGGCACAATTAATAAGAAAGTGAATTCAGGATACTTGATGTGGAGGGAATAGATAATAAGGTTTAATTTCAAACATATTGAATAAAGCATAGGTATAATATCCACATGAAAATGTTCAGTAGGGATTTAGACATATTGGTTGGTGCTCAGGAGAAAGATTGGAGTAGATATTTGGATTTGGTACTAGTCAGCAATTGAAATAATGAGAGAGAATGAAGTAGATCAGTGTTAAGGACTTAACTGTGTCCCTGCAAAATCAATATACTCAACTTCTAACCCCAATATGACTATATGGGGAGATAGAACCTTTAAGGAGGTAATTAAGACTAACTGACATTAAAAAAATGTGGAACCCTACCTAATCCAATATGATTGGTGTACTTACAAGAAGAGAAAGACACCAGAGATTCATGTGCACAGTGAGAAGGCCATGTGAGGGCAAAGTAAGAAAGTAGTCATCTTCAAGCCAGGAAGAAAAGCCTCACCAGAAACCCATCCAGCCTGCACCTTGATCTTAGACACCCAGCCTCCAAACCTGCGAGGAAATAAATTTTTGTTATTTAAGCCACCCAGTTTTTGGTGTTCTGATATGGCAGTTCTAGCAGACTAACACAGTCACGAAGAATCTAGGGTTAGAAGAAAAGACAACCAAAGGCGGAAATCTGGAGGATAACATCATACAGAAGAAGAGCTATACTTGAGAAGGAGCAGCCAGCGAAAAGAACCAGGAAAGAGGGAGACACTGAAGATGCAAAGGAAAGAGTTGACTAGAAACTGAGGACACTGATGAATCTGAAAAGAGGATTTATGGGGAGAAAGGGAAGGAATTTGAAAAGTGTTACGACTTGATATAAATTGTAGAATGTAGAGACAAGAAGTTAATGAATTACACATAAAGTTTGAGTAAGGTTGTCATCTGAGAGGCAGTGGGAAGAAGGAGGTAGGGTAGGAAACTTTCTTTCTGATCCTTTTGAAGCTTGATTTTATAGGCAAGACTGTATCAGTCTTTAGTCTAGGGCAAATTTTGCCTCACCACTATACTAACACCCTTTTGAGTACTCTACCTGATTCCCCATTAATTACAAGTGAAGAAAATGTTGAAGATTTAATATAGCTATTGCAGATGTCTACTTCTGATTATGATGGGGTAATAGGGGCTGAATTCACTTTCTTGCTTTAAATAATTAAACACATGGGCAAAATATAATAAATATAATTGTCAGACATTGGACATCAGGTAAGGAAGTTCAGTAATGCCTTCCCTGAGATAGAGGAGGAAGTAAGGTGAGCCCTGTGACGGCTCCAGCTTGCTGTCTGGAGAGTTCCCAGACATAATTCAAATGGGAGAATCTACATGGAGCTTAGCAAAATCCCTGAGTTGAAGAAAGAAAATTAGAACTTTGAGGAAGCCGAAGTAACTAGAGTTTCTAGAGTCCTGGAGGAGGGAGGGAGAGAGGAAGGGAGACAGAGTGAGAGTGAGAGCGAGAGTGAGAGCAAGAGAGAAAGAGAGAGAGAGAGAGGAAGGGAAGGAAAGAGAGATATGAAGTGCTCTGGAGATCTTCAGAATTCCTTCCATTTTTCTGCATACGCATGAGGAAAGTAGCCAAGGCTGGGGAAAGAGCCACTTAAAAGGGGCTAAGGAAACAATCACTGTCACTCACCCAGGACCAGGAAAAGTACTTGTTTCTACTTGCCTTAGTGAGAAACTTGTAATTGATGGGGCATCAGGTAGAGTACCCAAAAGTGTATTAGTATAGTGGTGAGGCAAAATTTGCCCTGGTCTAGAGGCTGATACAGTCTTGCTTATAAAATCAAGCTTCAAAGGGATCAGGTTATTTCCAACTAACTTAACTGTGACTCATAAACAAGTTCAAGATTATTTATAGGAATCCAAAATATCCAGCACCCAAGAATGTCTATAGAATTAAAAAACATCCAGTACTCAACAAGATAAAATTCACATGGCATGTGATAAAAAATTACCAGGTATGCAAAAAGGCAGGAAAATATGACACATCATAAGGGAAAAGTCAATAAATAGAGACAGATCCCAAAATGACAGATAATAGATTCACCAGGTAACATTAAAACACTTATAACTATATTCCATATGTTAAATAAAGTAGAGGAAGGATTGAACATATTAAGTGGTGACATGGACAATGTAAAAAAAATGACTCAAATCAAATCTATAGAAATAAAAAATACATTGTTTGAGATGAGAAACATACTCGATGGTGTTAATAGCTGGATCAAAACTGTTAGAAAAAAAGACTAATGAACTTGAAGATAAAGCCAAATAAACTTTCCAAGGTGGTACCTGGAAAAACAAAATGACTTAAAGTTAAATAATCAATGAACAGTTGAACAATGAAAAGCTGAAATATATATATATATAATTGGAATTTCTGAAAGAAGGGTCAGAAAAATATTTGAAGAAATAATAGCTGAAATTTTTCAAAATTGAGGGAAAATACAAATCTAAGCACAAGATACTTGAGGAAAACTTCATTAAGACATGATAACAAAATTCTTTAAAATCAATGTTAAAGAAAAATATCTTTAAGAACTCATAGCAAAAGTAAATATGTGATACAGAAGAAAAAAGGTAAAAATGACATCAGACTTCTTGGTAGAAACAATGCAAACAAGGGGTCAGGAAAGCTGAAACTTTGAAATACTGAAAGAAAAACTGTTGCTGAAAATATCTTTTAGAATAAAAGTGAAATAAAGTCTTTTTCAGACAAATAAAAGCTGAAAAAAAAATTAATCAGCATACCTGCATGAAAGAAGTGTTAAAAGTCCTCAGTTTGAAGGCAAATGATATCAGATGGAAATCTGGATTTACACAAAGAAATTAAGAGCATTAGAAATGTTAAATATGTGAGTTAATATAAAACACTTTTCTTAACAATCTCTTTAAGAGATAACTGATTATTTAAAATAAAAGTAATGACAAATTAATAAGAGGTTTATAAAATATTTAGAAAAAATATGTGTGAAACAATAACACAGTGGTTGTGAGGGCAAAGTGCAAGTGAAGGTAGACTGTGATTAGTTAAAGATACATACTATAAACCAAAAGCAATTGTCAACGCAGACACACATACACATATACAAATGAGTTACAGCCAATAAGCCAACAAAGGGAACAAAGTGTAATGAGAAAATACTGTATTAGTCCAAAAGAATGCAAAAAAAGAGGAAAAAGTGAACAATAAACAGATGAGATTGATAGAAAACCTATAGCAGGATGATACATTTAAACACAACCATATCAATAATCACATTAAAGATTCAATGCCATCCTCATCAAGCTACCAATGACTTTCTTCAGAGAATTGGAAAAAACTACTTTAAAGTTCATATGGAACCAAAAAAGAGCCCACATTGCCAAGTCAATCCTAAGCCAAAAGAACAAAGTTGGAGGCATCACACTACCTAATTTCAAACTATACTACAAGGCTACAGTAACCAAAACAGCATGGTACTGGTACCAAAACAGAGATATAGACCAACAGAACAGAACAGAGCCCTCAGAAATAATGCCGCATATCTACAACCATCTGATCTTTGACAAACCTGACGAAAACAAGCAATGGGGAGAGGATTCCCTATTTAATAAATGATGCTGGGAAAACTGGCTAGCCATATGTAGAAAGCTGAAACTGGATCCCTTCCTTACACCCTATACAAAAATTAATTCAAGATGGATTAAAGACTTAAATGTTAGACCTAAAACCATAAAAACACTAGAAGAAAACCTAGGCAATACCATTCAGGACATAGGCATGGGCAAGCACTTCATGTCTAAAACACCAAAAGCAATGGCAACAAAAGCCAAAACTGACAAATGGGTTCTAATTAAACTAAAGAGCTTCTGCACAGCAAAAGAAACTACCATCAGAGTGAACAGGCAACCTACAGAATGGGAGAAAATTTTTGCAATCTACTCATCTGACAAAGGGCTAATATCCAGAATCTACAAAGAACTCAAACAAATTTACAAGAAAAAAACAAACAACCCCATCAAAAAGTGGGCGAAGGACATGAACAGACACTTCCCAAAAGAAGACATTTATGCAGCCAAAAAACACATGAAAAAATGTTCATCATCACTGGCCATCAGAGAAATGCAAATCAAAACCGCAAGGAGATACCATCTCACACCAGTTAGAATGGCCATCATTAAAAAGTCAGGAAGCAACAGGTGCTGGAGAGGATGTGGAGAAATAGGAACACTTTTACACTGTTAGTGGACTGTAAACTAATTCAACCATTGTGGAAGATAGTGTGGTGATTCCTCAGGGATCTAGAACTAGAAATACCATTTGACCCAGCCATCCCATTACTGGGTATATACCAAGAGGAATATAAAATATGCTGCTATAAAGACACATACACACGTACATTTATTGCAGCACTACTCACAACAGCAAAGACTTGGAACCAACCCAAATGTCCAACAATGATAGACTGGATTAAGAAAATGTGGCACATATACACCATGGAATACTATGCAGCCATAAAACAGGATAAGTTCATGTCCTTTGTAGGGACATGGATGAATCTGGAAACCATCATTCTCAGCAAACTATTGCAAGGACAAAAAACCAAACACTGCATGTTCTCACTCACAGGTGAGAATTGAACAATGAGAACACCTGGACTCAGGAAGGGGGAACATCACACACTGGGGCCTGTTGTGGGGTGGGGGAGGGGGGAGGGATAGCATTAGGAGATATACCTAATGCTAAATGATGAGTTAATGGGTGCAGCACACCAACATGTCACATGTATACATATGTAACAAACCTGCACATTGTGCACATGTACCCTAGAACTTAAGGCATAATAAAATATATATATATATAAAGAAAAAAAAAAGAAGATTCGCTTTGATTGCATAACAAAAAAATTAAATAGTTTGAACACCCCAACTAAAAGGCAGAGAGTCTCAGACTGGATAAAAAAAACAAAGACCCAACTATGTGCTGCCTACAAGAAACCCACTTTAAATACATAGACACAAATAGGTTAAAAGTAAAAAGATGGAAAGAAATTTACTATGCTAACACTAATCAAAGGAAAGCTGATGAGAATTTTAAATGATACAAGCACTTTGGAAAACATTTTGGCAGTTTCTTAAAAGCTAAATATACAGCTACCATATGATCCAGACATTCCACTACTGGATATTTTTGCAAGAGAATGAAAGCATATGTCTACACAAAGACTTATACATGAATATTCATAGCAGCTAGGTTTCCAATAGCCATAAAAGGATGAAAAAAATCAATCATCTATCAAGAGTTTAATAGATAAATAAATTGTTGGTTATTCACAAAATGCTACTCACCAGTAAAAAGGAATGAGCCATTGATGATAGTACAGCATAACTGAATCTCATAATAATTATGTAAAGTAAAAGAAGCCAGGCATAAGAGTGTACACACTGTATGAGTCTCTTAATATAAAATTTGAAAATGTAAAATAGTGTATAATGACAGATAAGCAGATCAGAATTTGCTTGGGAATGGAGGGAATAACAGGAAAGGAATAACAAGGGGTACAAGGAAACCTTTGGGGGTGCTGGGTATGTCCACTATTCTGATTGTAGTTGATGGTTTCACATATACTTCTACATGGCAAAAGTTATGAAATCATACACTTTAACTGTGTACAGTTCATTGTATGTCAATTGTAGATAATAAAGAATATTGTGACAATTGGTTAGGAAAGCTAATTAAACAGATAGAACTGTTATGAGGAAGTGTTCAGAACTCAACAGGTTGAAAACTATGAGTTTATTTTTGCACCAATTTGTACAACTGCATGATTTTTTCATCAGTGTTAGAAGTTGAGTTATAGGAATAGGGAATATAAGATTTTAAGAGACCAGATTATTTATTTTCAAGAAAGTACAACTGACTGTCAAAATAGTATTATCTACTAATGGGTAACAGAATTCAAATTTCTCTGGATGAAGGCAGTTTTATGAGGTGTATTTACTAATGCACGAGAACTGAAGAAATAACTCACTAAAAGTTACCATAAAAGAGTTAATATACTACATCTAGTATCAAATTTTCTACAATTGTGTAGGCACTTGAGAAAATCTGACTTAATGTATTTTCAACTATCATGATAACATGTTGTATTTAATAAATGTTTTCCAACATAATATTTGCTCTACCAGCTCATTTCATATCTCCCTTTTACTTTTTAATAAACTGGTTATAGATGAGCTTAAAAACACCAAATAACTATGGACAGAGAATTGTATATTTAGTACCTTCCTTGACCTACAACATTGGAACATAAGCTTTCAAATAAAGATTGCAAAAAAACATCCATTTAATTGTTCTTAGTTCTGCCGTTTGCATTGTTCATGTGTACAGCACCTTGCAGTTCTAGTATTTAGTGTTTGACAAGGGTAGATTTTCTATGGGTTCTGCTTCTCCCAGGAATGTTGCGATTGACTATAACTCAAAAATACCAGATGGCTGACTGTAATCAAACAATAATGTAACAGAGAAGGATTAATCCTGATTTTTAAATGTGATGTTAAGCTTTTGCAAACCTATTTTAGGTTAAGCTCAGGTGATTGATTTATGGTATCATAGACATAAAAATAGAATATTGTGATATATGAATTATGGATCTAGATTTGTCAGTATCTACTATTGTAAGACTCTCAGATTATGATTTCAACTCATCTTAGTAATGTGGCCATAACTATGTGCATAACTGAAAATAAGCCTAACTATAAATGAATTTAGAATTGCAGTGAAAATCTTCCTTGATCCCTTTAATGAAGTGGAGTCAGGCAACAAGGTACAATGCATTTGTTCAATAAATGAATAAATAAAATTGGAATTATGGGATCCAGTAAAAATAGCCATCTACAATGTTTTCAGTATTAACTGACATTATTAATGATAGGTTTAATAAATGCCTTTAAAGTGTACATTTGTTTGCATAACAGAGACTAGTTTTTTAGTTCCTTTCAGGTTGAACAGTGTTAAACAGGTGACACTCTTAAAGACCTATGGAAGTGCATTTGATTAACTGGTAACATGGCTAAGGGAAGATTGATAACTTGTTTTCTTTGTTGTCCATTTCCTAAATGAATATAATTAAAATTTACAGTCATAGAGATACCGTTTATTCAGATAATGTGTCCCAAGAGGTAATTGCATTTTTTTCCCTCAAAAATAAATAGCTTCACAATTTTAAATTTGTTTCCAAGTGGGTAGAGTGTATGGCATCAGGAATATCTTGGCACTGGTCCCTCCTACTCTCCTTGAAACCTCTTGAGGGCCAAGTGCTTGTGTATCTTGTCTCACGGACACATCATTGCTTATCACCTTATTTTCTTGGCAAAATCATGATTTTTTTGGCCCTGTTTTCCTTCTATTGCATTCTTAAGGCAAATAATCCCTCCACTCTGAATTAATTTAAGTATCTGCCTTTTTGATACCTACTTCTAAGCTGTTTAATGCTGCTGGAGAAAATGAATTAGGTACAGTAACACACAAATTTGTGGTCTCCACCCTCACCTGCACCTTTGACACTGTGGAGTACTCCCATCTTTCTTAGTCAGTGCTTACTCTCTCCACAAATGTTACTTCATGTCAGCATTCTTTAAAATTTTAACCCCACCAATCCCCATTGTATCCTCTTCTCTGCCATCCCTCACCTTAGCAGATGGTCACTGGTTCCTGTTCCACAGAAAAATTAGAGATCTTTGGGCAGGAATGTCCTCATTCTCTTCCCCCAACCCTCTGCTTTTGTTACTATATAAAGGCTTTTCCCGTTTCTGAGTTCCTCTTATCCCTGTTTTTGTGTTTTTCTTACCTAAGTAGGAGGATCTCTATATTATTAATGATCTCTCTTCTGTCTTCCTTCTCTACTAGCTTCTTCCTACTCTACTAGCTTCTTCCTATTAGCATTGATACAGGTTCAAATCTCTCATATATTAAAAATCTTCACATTCCTTCTAGCTTATGCTTTCCTTATCATAGCTAAGCATCCTTTAAATGTCACATACTCCTGTTATTTTCGCACCTTCATCTTCCTTTCACTCTTCAATATGCTGAATTGTTTTCCAGCCTAACTAACTCTGCCATTGAAACTCTTTCAGAAAAGCCAGTAACACCTCCTTTGTAGAAAAACCCTATGGATACCATTCAGGATTAATGTTATTGAACTCCGAGTGACGTTTGGAATTGTAGATCACTTCTTTATTCTTAAGAAACTTTTTTCTTTGCTCCCTGGACAATTCTCTCTCCTGATTTTCCTCTGACCCCTTTGGATTTTTAAATCAGACTGGTTTGCTAGCTCCTTTTTCTCTGCCTTTCCCTCAAGTGTTTTCCTCAGAGATGAGGCCAAGGCCCTGTCACATGTTCCCTTAATGACCTTATTCACTATTTGGCCTTGAAGCACTATTTACCTGCTTATAACTCTTTGCCTATAATATAATTTATATCCAGATCTATATCTGAATATAAATCTATATCCGGATCTCTCCTCTGAGCTTCCATTTGTATCCAACTGTTTTCTGGAGACCTCCATTTGCATTTCTCACATAAACATCAAATTTGATGTATCTTCAAACAAATGATGATTTTCCCCCACTGTCCAATATGCTTCTTTTCCTGAGATTTCTAGCAGTGAGGCACAGCATATAGTTTCCAGCCTTGTGCATCATTTTGGATGCATCTTTCACCATTCCCATGTACATATTCAGTCAGTCACCCAATGCTATGGATATTGCCTCTAAATATCCCTCAAATCATTCAAATTCTCTCAATGCACATCATTCCTTCCCTCCTTCACTCAGCACTCCCCCTCTCACTTGGATAACTAATTAATCCAACTGAATTATTCACCTCCAGTTTGCCTCCCTCCAATCCTATCTCTACACTCCAGAGTAATATTTCTCGGCCATCTAATAATGTACACTCGCACTTAAAACTTTTTAGTGACTCCACATTGCCTTTAAAATAAAGCTCATGCTCTTTAACACAGCTTATGAGTCCTTCACCACTTATCCCTTGCTTATCACTCCAATTTTATCTCTCACCAGTTTGAGCTCTCTCTCTAGGATCCAGCCCTGTAGCCCTACTTCTGAAGCCTCAATATGCCAGGTTCCTTCTCGTTTCTGGGACTTCACATATGCTGTTTCCTCTGCCTGAAATATTCTTACTAATCCCTTGACTTGAGCTTTTAGTTTTGAGCTTAGACGTCATTTACAAAAAAGTCTTTCCTAATAACTTGAGTCAGATTTAGGTGCTATTCTTATATGCTTCCATAACATCCTGTACTTTCATTTCAGCATCTAGCAGAGCTCATCTATATTTCCCCTATACTGCCAGCTTTTATGGAGTGAGCCATGTTTGTTTTGCAGCTATATTTCTATCTACTGGAATACACCGATGCTTATTGAAAGTGTAGGGGAGAAAAGATTTCTCATCCAGTGCAAGGTTCATGCCTGAGACACCGACAATAAAAGAAAGATTAACAAGAAAAAAACATACACATTTATTTAATATGTTTTACCTGACATTGGAGTCTTCAGAAATGAAGACCCAAAGAAACAGGGAAAACTGTGTACTTTTATGGACAGTCATGCAGAAGTATAATTAGAAGACAAACTGTTCCCAGTGGTAATAAACTGGGGGAGACTTGGCAAGGCCTACTTGTTCAGATGCTTCTGTGTGTCTCTGTTTCTTCAGAGATGAGGATGCTCCTTCCCTCCAGGTACAGGGTGGGCACCTCTGAAACGAAAGTTTTTTGACCAACTCTAGAGGAAGATCAGAGAATCGTGTCCTGCTTTAGGGGAGAAGGGCTTGGAAAAGGGCAGAGAGAACTTTCTGCTTCTGCTATGTTCTTAAATGCCAAGGAGTCACATTTTGGGGCAGTAGGTCCTGAACTTCATCAAAAGTTTACTGAATGAATGAATGTTTGTGTGAATAGTAAATTAAATTCCTCCCTTTCTATTTATATTGACTGACTTTGTTTATTCATTTATTATGAAATCTGTATATCAGCTAGGGTTTCTAATCTTAACATCTATCTAAGATTGACTTAAACCCATATGTGTGTTTTACTAGAAAATTAAAGCTGAGCTGGAATTTCTATTAAATTTCTGGTAGGCTTTTGCTCTCATGAGTACTTTATCCCCAGTTCTTGTGACTTTTAGTTCTTTTCTGCAACAAGTAAGCCCAGATAAGAAAGTCAGATCCTTTAGCAATTTCAAAGAGCCTTATATGTAATAATGGTGAGTGTGGGAAAGTTTACTGAAACAAGGGGTGGGAGGGTTCAGTGGGAGAGATGGAGGGTTTTAGGTTCTAGCAGTTCAAACAGCTTCCAATGGAACCTGCCACCGGCAGGGGTCTCTAGTAGGCCCATGTCAGTGGCAACGATCACTGACTTTTCTACGCTCCTTTCCTCTACTCATTCTTTCTCCGTTTCTCTTGTAAAAGCCAAGTTTCTCCTCATTTTGGGCCATTCTCTAACCTTGTTGCCTTGGCTTTTGCTGTGTAATCCACACATTCAGGTCTCACTTTTACCTTACTTTATTGAGCTATTTTACCAAGGCAGTTCCTTCCTTAAAATAATGTCGTTTTCAGCTTATTGCAATGATCGTACTCATTTCTTTATTCAACAAATATCTGTTAAGGTGTGTGATGGGCTAGGCACTGTGCTAAGTTAAGCTAGGCACTATGCAGAAGTTAAGAGGGTGGGATCTGTATCTTGAAGGGCTCAGTCTGGTGGGGGACACAGCAGATATGTCCCAAAAAGGTGTGCCGATGATGCTAAAAGAGCTCAGGGAGGAGAGTGGCTCCACCAGGCTAAGATTGCAGACGGATACCAGATTGACAGGCGTGAGCAGTGACTGTATTAGAGAAAGAAAGTAGTACCTTTAAAGTTTTTCAAAAACATTGGTTATAAAAGGCTGGAAGTACTTGTGGTGGTAATTGAATGGCAAGAGGACTCTGGATGATAGTGCGTTCATGCTACAGCCAGCTCAGAGATGTGCATAGAAAGCTGGTGGATAAACAAGGACATGGGGACTTAATAAGCTCATCTGTGGGGCTGGCCTCACAGAAACAGTCAGGAGTGTGGTACAATGGAAATTCTGACAGTCTGGATATGCTCATTGTAAATTGAGCTCCCCCACTAACTAGAAAATGACTTTGAACAAGCTGGGTAACTTCTGTGAATATATCTTTGCTTTTTAAATGAGGGGAAAAGCACTTACTCTTTTGCAAGTTATTGTGAAGATTAAGTCAGAGAATGAATGTTTATATTGTTTAAAAGAAATATAAATAAAATACATACATGTAAGCTATTCATCAATATTTACTGAATTTTGGTAGGATAAAAACTTAATGTTCAGAGACTAAAACTTGTAAGGTTTATGAACTCAAAGTTTCAAATCTTAAAAAGATTCCATTAATATGGGCACAGTGATTCACAACTAGATAAATAAATGCAAAATCTTTTATAGCCAATTTAATTTTATTTTATATTTGCATGTACTTGGCAATATTTCTAAATAGATGATGCAACAGAAAAATGAGCCACAGTAAACTTGACTCTGATTTTTTCCAACGTGAGCAGATTGAGGATGACGAGTCCAGGATTCTTAATAGTGATTGTGGTTCCAAGTTTTTGTCCATTCAATATGATGGTGCATTTTGCCTGGAAAGAGTCCCCACTTTGCATGTGTGTTTTAGTAACAAAAGAATGCTTTCAAACTGTGAATCAATTTACAAAACAGCAAACTGTAACATCTCTTAAAGGCCACACACACACAGAAATGCAAACCAAGATCTATAGAAACAATTCTAAGCCATTAGCTGGCTCTGCTCTGAAATTGTTTGAGGAAACATTGCCAAGGTACCTTTAAAACGGAAAAGGGTGTAGGATAAAAAAATTGAAAAAAGTACCATGACTGATGTAGATCAGTATATAATTCTCAAAAGAAACATTATCTAATAATACATTGAGTTTAGATATTATTTGCTAACAAACTTCTCAAATACAGAATGAATTATTTGCAACTTAAACTTTTTTATAATGTAGAAAAGAGCAAAGCTCAAAGAAGAAATCGATTACCTCCCATTCTTTGAAAATTAAATACTTCCCACAATGTTTTATTTTGACGAACAAAATTATAGTGAGTAGAATTTAAACACAACCCTTTCAAAATTAAATGTTTTGTATAGGTCTGTTATATTTACAAACATGATTTGGGAAACAAAGTTACTTAAAACTTTGACTTGTTTAGTATGTTTTGATGTGTTAATTAACATTCATTTACTTCATTTAAACAAAACATTTTAGGACAAAATTAAATGGCTAAATTCATCAATAAACTTGATCCAGTACTTTACTCAGTATTACACTTAAAAGTAGAGTATGAGGTTTACTCTGCTATTTTAATTCTACATTACCAAAGGAGTCCAAATGCAAACTGTTTGCTAGCTTCCATTTGAAAAGCAAACATTTAATAGAATTACAAAATTATTACAAAAATGATGCAGTAAGTAGCACTTAGCCTTATCTGTTCAGGATTTGATAAAGTGTTTGGTTGATTAATTTTATGTAATAATATGATTATTATGTAAAATTTTATTTGATCAAATGAAATTTTAGTTTCTGATTTTATGCAAATAGAAATTGACATGTGAGCTAATGTATTTTGATCATGTTGAACACTAACTAATCATATGTTAGGCCAACTTCATTTTAGTTCAATTCTGAAATTATTATGGTCTGTGAAAGTAACTAAGGTCTCTTGATCTACTATTGACTCAACTAAAAGTACACTGACCTATTTATAGACGTTTCTCTCTCTAAAATAATTTTATTTGAAAAATTGAATATTTCATAATTAAATGTCCTTTAACATTTAGAAAAGAAAGAATACATTCAACTAAAAATTATACAACAACTCTATAACAATAAGTATTCACATATAAACACAGTATTCTCAAGAGGGTATGAAAGGAAAGATGTCTTAAAAATTATGGTGATTTAATTTTATTTTGCCCTAGAATGACATTCTCTTGAGCATTTGTGAAAATGAAGATGAATATGCAGGGATACATTCGGTTGATTTTGTGCCAGATGGCCAGTTGCAGAGGCTGAACTAAGCTGAACTGATTGATTCGTTTTTGCCATATTGCACACCGGCGCTTACCAGAGTTCACATCATTCAATTACTAGCATATTTGGTAGGTTTGTGGGTTTCTTTTTTTTTTTTTTTTTTGTTACCCATCTTTAAAAACTTTCTTGGGATGATCTCTGCTTTGAAATACACTATTCTTGGTGTTGTTATATCAAATGGTCAGTTCTTCCAAAAAGTTTCATAAATTTAGAAAAAGCAATTTATACTTTCGTTATACTATTTCGTGCTCATCAGTTAAATTACTCATATTGAGCGATAATATTTAAAATTCACAAAATACTTACTTCTTCAAATTTTGAGGAGAAATCCATAGAGTATAATAACTATTATTCAAATCAATAAGTACACAATAACTTTCAAGAAAAAGAGAGGCCACAGTGTCTACCTTCAAGGTGCTGCTTACTAGCATGGAGAAGAAGACAAGTAGCATGTCTGTTTTAATATTGGTGTTATAAGTACTTATATACACATACTGGACATAGTTATCTAACAATCCGTACAAAAGCGAAGTGATTGAGTAGTGAAAACATAAGTGACCAGAGTCCAGAATGGACTATTCCATTCTAACAACAATAACTTAATACCTTCTTGGGGTATTTTTGACAAATCCCCATTCATTGTGGTTCTCTGTTTTGTTCATCAACACTCTTCCTAGTTGAAAGGAGATATGAAGAGAAGTGTGACATACACAAGAGCTGAAGTGCAGGAGTTGATAAAATCACAGGTGCACCTATTCTCTTGCCTTTACTTTTCAAGGTTATTTTAAAGGTTACTTTTCAAGGTTACTTTACCTTTCATATAGGTTACTCCCAAGGTCTAGTACTTTCAAGTTTCGAATATAAGCTGTTTTATACTAACTGATAATTTAAGATGGAAACAGTAGAAAAAGGAGTTACCAAAATGCTGAAGAAGAAAAAGAATCGTTAAAGACTAATGGCCTAGAGTGAGTATATTTCATTCATAGCTACATTCACATTAAAATCAAAGGAGTAACTGCATTTAAAAATTTTTAGTGTCTTTAAATTTTTAAATGTACATTATTACATGGATCACTGTGCAATGAGACAAGTATTTAAAGAACTGTAAATTTAGCATAAAGTCCTTTAATTTTTTTCAAGAGTAAGATGTTCTTGGTGCCAAACCCCCAATACCATTAAAAAATGAAAAAAGAAAACCCACAAAATGTCATAACCCTAACAAATCATAATTTTAAATACTTTATAACAAAGGATTTTGATTCCTTTATTGGCAGAAAATTTTTACAATTTCAGGAGAGAAATGTAACCTGAAAAACACTTGCAAAAGAAAAGCCTACCAAATCATTTCTAAGCATGCATGAGATATCAAGCTTTAAATTTTTGGTTATTCATCCTCCACAGAAATTTTAGAGAAAATTGTAGGAAAAAACCCAAAAGGATTATCTCAAGGTGCACAAGGCCAAATTCTAATCTGTTTTAGATCTCATTTATATGTTTATCAAGATTGTGTAATATCTTCTGTGAATAATGGGTGGATGAAAAATTTAATAAGGAAACAGGTTTTATTGTGAAAAAAAGACTAAAAATGGCGTTACCTGGAAATGACATTTGACCTTTATTATTTCAGTTGAAAGAGAAAAAAACTTGTCAAATTGTTCAGAGAAATTAGTTTTTCTCATCTTCTGAAACTTGTGACTGGCTGAATATATAAATTTCTGCTATGCCAAAAATTCCCATGACATCCATGTTACCTATAGTGATTTGGTGAGTCAAGCAGAGCAGTTAACACTGCAGACTATAGGACTGAAAGAGATTAAAGCGGTGAACCCACAGTACTTTATTGACCGAGGTCCCCACATTAACCTGATCTGATCCTGTAATTACTATGAATAGAATAGGGCTTACAGTTCTCCTTAATAACACCGCAGGCTTTTTTATTCTATAAAGAGATTTTCTATTCATGTTCTTTACTCCTTTCCAGATTTACAGATTTGTAGCAAGAAAGAATGTGTGTGGCTTTGCTGACACACCAGGAAAGAAAGATACCTAATGTTCATGGTCAATAAGTGACATGGTTCAAGACATCCAACACAACACAACACATTCTTTTTAACCTAACTTACTTTAAAGTTTTGTCTCATATTTTCAATTTTCCAGTTGCCTCCTGCTCCTTAGGAGTACTAAAAATTGATTTACAAACATTGATTAACTGTGAGGGAAGATTTAGCTTTAAACTTAGGGAATTGTTAAAATACCATAATTTTATAACTTTTTTACTGTAACTCTTAGAGTACATACATTTAAACATATTGAAAACCATTAGCTACTTTAACACAGAATGATAAGTAGTCAGAAAGTTCACATATGTGAGTGAGATACAATGCTATAATTAATAATCAGTATTTTCTTTCAATTTAGAAAAACAGCTGCAGCTAGCAGATAAGGTATATTATAAGAATAAAGTAAAACCTAGCTATTAATAATTATGATTTGGGATAATCCAAAATAGTGATGTAATCATTTCACTTTTAAAAATGGGTTAAAGCCTGTAAGTAGTTAAGAATTAAAAGGTAAATACTGGTTAATGTTAGGAGTTGTAAGTTTAGATTATCACAAAGTCTTTAAAAATATTATAAAGTAAGAATTTGACTTTTATATTAATAGCTTTTAATTTTTATTGCAAGTCTGCAAAAATTAGAAAGCACACCTTTGCCATTCAGAAATGATAAATACGTTTGTGAATGAAGTGAGTGAGTGAGCATGAGAGTAAAACCAAAATGGCTGTTACTCTTGCTAAAAGAAGGAATTCCCATATTAGAGAACTAACTTCACAATACTACAGTCAACATCTCAAGTAAAAATATATTTTGTAAGATTTCTATAATATTATATTTATCAAAAATTTTCTGAAGTGTCAATATGGGTCATTCTTTTCTAAAATAATAAAATAAGACCATTAATATATTTTGTTAGTTAACTGTTTTAAATAAGAATTTTTAAATATTCAAGAAAAAAGCCAAGCTACAAAATAGATTAATACTTTGACAGTTATGGAATAATGGATGGATGACATAACTTCATTTCTTTTTAAAGTTTCTGTTTAGAGCAATTAATACAAGTAGAAGATACCATTAAATATCAGAACCTTGTTTTAAGATCTTTTATCATAATTTTCCCATCTTCCCAAATAGAAGGATTATTATGAGTCAATTTGATTAGCCTGTCAAAAGCCTCTTTCTTTGTGGTATTTTATGAGTGTATGAATAATCTGTATCATGCTTTTAAGAAGTAAGAACTTGAAATTAGGCAGGTTAGTAGTTGGCCAAACAAACTCAGTTTGTTGGTGTTCATTATGAGAGCTATATTGCTTTAGAAATGTCATGTGCATAAATTCCAGTTTAATCATGGAATTCTTTGATGCTATTTTGGTACTTGATGTTTTACTATACTGAGGGAATATTGGTAATGTAACTAATGATACGAATATATTTTAGGTTTAAAATAACTAAGTTAGCAATTAGTTACTTTCAAAAAGTATATGGATGTATTTTATACTTTGCAATAATGTGTACTTGGTAAGAGATTCACAGTGAAACCCCATCTTTTTGGTGGCTATTTTTACCATTAAAATAAAACAGCATTTGGAAACAGTAGGATAGTTTTTATCTGTAGAATTAAAAAGAATCTGAACAGAAAATGGATTCATATCATCTTCTTTTTGGGTACTAAACATAGAAAAATATATAGCAGTTGATTTATTATAAGTGAGGTGAATTTTCTCTCCTGGTGGGCTTTTCAAACCTTTAGTTGCTGTTCTTATCCTTGCTGTGTGAATATCATTTTTATATCACTTTTTGTTAAAAGGAATTTCCATGAAAGCCCCACAAAAGTAGCCTGGAATCTGATTATCTGCTTTTCATGAAAATTTTGATGGGTTTGGGTCAGTATTCCACCTCTGTTCAGATGATTTAATTTGCACCAGGCTCTGTAATGAGGAAATTGTCCACGAATGAGTGTGGGCATTATAGACTTTAGGACCAGAGGGGATTTCTTCTGTAAAACACAAAAGCACAAAAAATGACAATCATAGGAAACCATGCTATTTCAAAAGGCTACAAGTTGGTGAATTTTTATGGTTATAGGAGATGATAATGTAAACATTTTTCCTCTCCATCTTGGAAAAATTAAGTGGAGAAAGAGGTTAGAGGAGAAAAAGTATTTTAAGAAAATTCTTTTATGTACTTACTTTAGGATGTTCAGTTTTTAAAATTTTTTAAATCACATGAATTATCTCTAGTTCAAACCTACTTGTCTTATTAAGAAAGAAGCTAGAATGTGATTAGGGCCTTTGAGTTGGGCATCAGAATAAATAAATGTATTTTAAAATGCAATTATTATTGCATTTTAATGCCATTAATGTAATTTTTAAACAATAAATTTGTATTTTGTATAATCACTCACAGAGTCCATTATAATAATGTTTGGTTGGAATATATACTGTGAGTCATAATAATTTTAACTTAGACTTTAGAGTGATATTGACTATAGGCAAAGATTTTACCATTTGTTTTAGAAAAAAATGGCAGCTTTTAAAGGCTTGCTTCTTCACAGCTATAAATATTTTGTTTTAGTAATCTAATATATAATACTCTGCATTATGCCACAAAATATAGAAACTTTGTTCTGTTGTTAACTTAGTGCTATTTTTAATTGGTTTATGTTTTCCTATCATGAAAAATTATATTAAAATTATTTAATTTATATAATTGCACTCAGTAGGAAGTTTAGCAGATTTGACATTAGAGATAATAAAAGAGGGCTATCAACTAAGCTATTTTCTTTCCAAATATAAACTAAAGTAGTGAGATTCATAAGTTTACAGTCAGAGAACAAAGTCTTATTCTTGCAGTGAATTAGCTTTTGATTTAAAAATTATGTAAAAAGACATAAATTTTTTAATTTTTCTATGTAAGAATACTCTGCATTTTTATTTTATTATAAATTTGTATTTCAGAGTTGGCTGTAGGGGATGTATGGAAATGGCAGTTAAACACTCATGGAGAGGTTCAATTTTATTTCAAAAATTGCTGTAATTTACCCTTCCTTCTTTCATTCCTTCCTTCCTTCCTTCCTTCCCTCCTTCCTTTCTTACTTCCCTTCTTCCTTCCTTCCTCTGAAATATATATTTACTATATAGGCTGCACGAAGTAAGATTTTTTTACTTTTATACTGCTACTATTTTTATTCATTATAACATTGATCTGTTGGAAAAGGAAAACATTTGAAAACATTTAAAAACATTTATTTCCTCTATGGTAAAAAAATCTTATGTCTTCCTTTTAAAAGAAAAATATTAAGCCAGATTAGAAGTAAAAAACTTAATACAACCTGACTATTTTGAATGGTGCAGGTAAAACTAAAAATTGAATTAAAAATGAGGATACACAACAGCGACAACAAAACACATTAACTGAATTCAAGAAGGGTCTTCTTACACATTAGTATTGATTGCTGCTTTGCATTACTTATGCAGAATTAATGGTGGCTTTTGCCATGTTCTAGATAATTCCTCTCTTTGGGTTTGATATGCATGATAAGAGGATAAATTGTACATGTGACCTTGGACAAAATTCAGGGCTGTAGGACATAAGCAGAGCTTCCATTTTCTAGCTTTTCATCCTGTATTTCTTTCATAGGTCATCAAATACAGGCATGTCAGAATTCTGAAAAACAAAGTAAATGTATGTTTTTTTTTTTCTCCCTGAGGTCAGTTGCATTCCTTATATTATTGGAGAACTTTAGTTAAAGCAAATTTTCCTATTGATACACAGTATGTATAATTCTGTGTGTACATATGTGTCTAAATTAGCCATAAGTTTCTAAGGAGGCCCTTTCAGAAAGGTTACAATATATGTATGTTACATACCTATTTGAACAAGTCTGTTATTAGTAGCTTAGTATATGAAATTAGGGCTGTGGTCATGATTTTTGAAAGATTACAAATAGTTGCATCTTACTGAGTACCTTCTCTGTGTTGTGTACTTTTCATACATTTACTCCTAAATTCTAAACATGTACATCTTTATTTTATAAGGGAAATTAAGGCTCAGAGAGGTTAAGTGATTTGCCAAAGGTAATGCAACCAATAAATGTAAGATGGAATTTTTAACCCATGTCCATTTGAATATACTCACCCTTTTTATCCCAGCATTTGGATAAAGATTTAAACTTTACAAAGCATCATGACATAAAAGATTCCAAGCTCATGAGTTGTAATAGAACAAAAAATTTCTAAAATGCTTAAAAAGCAAATGAATTTAATGGCATTTGGGGTAGCTCCACACTAGATGCGTTGACAAGGAATAAATGCATATTATTTTACATTCCATAGAAAGGCTTTAAACAGGATGCAAAATCCACATATTTTATTCAATGTAAGTGGCCTATTGGGCATAAGTGTTTCAAATGTAGTCTTCTATTTACAAATCAGAACCAAGCACTGGATAATGTATGACGAATGGGATTAGAAAGGAAATATTAAGGATCCTCTCTTGATTTTTTGTTCTAAAAAAATGGCAAAACTCCATTTGCACATATAAATTGCCAGGAGGGTTGAGAATACGTAGATTGTGTATGTTTTTGAGACTTTTTGGAGTTTATTTTCTATCAAATACGTATCCCCCTACTTTTTTCAATAATGAAATATATTTATACTAGTTTATTTAATACTATTATTAAATTATAGAATTATTTTTAAATTTTAATGCAAACAATTTTGTTTAGCTTCCACTCTCTGGAATGGACTGGGAGATCTTTTTTAAAAAAAGATAATTTTAATTTTCTGCTTTTTTTTTTTTTTTGCTGGATGTTCCAAAGATGCAATGTTGGTATTATAAATATACTATATATTTAATAATGTTTGGAGAAAAAAATCAGTGTTAGCTTTTGAAGACAAAGGTGCCATGAAGCTCCTTAGTTTTTGTCTGGTCATTCTATCAGCTGTCAGAAGGTGGGTGGGTTGGATGAAGGAAAGTTAATCACAAAGTATTCAGATACCCCAAATTTTCATTATAAGTAACACAAGTGAAATGGCTAAGGGATCCAGGTCCAAAGTCTAATAAACCAAATTATTTTAAATGAATTGTAAGATTTCATATTTTCAGTGACAGTAGCAAATGACTGTGCTTTCCCAGCAATTTATTCAAATTATTAATAGAAAAATGAACACTCCGGGGACAGAGTCTGGGTACAGTTCTTTATCAGAAGGTAATCTTTCATGGCCAGACATTACATTATCTTTTACCTTTGTAGTGCTCTTGACAAATATGTTTCACCTAAATTTAGTTGTTAAGAAAAACAATTGGAAGAAATTTAAATTGTGGGACATTTAAACAACTGACATGGGTTCTTCAAAAATTTCAGTGCATAGAAGACACATGCTGAGGAACTGTTCTAGATGAAAGGTGAATAAAAAGACATACAGCTAAATGCAAAGTGTGGTCCATAACCTTTGACTGAATTCAGATTATCTCCTCTCAAGTAAATTATAAAAGACATTATCAAGAGAACTGGAGAAATTTTACATATGGACTTTATAACAGAGAATGCTATTGCAACCATGTTAAATTTATTGTGAGTGATAATGGTATTGTAGTTTATGTAGAAGAATGCCCTGGCTCTTTGGAGGCACACGCTAAAGTATGTAGGGGTGAAATGTCATGATGTTTGCAGCTTAAGTTCAAATGGTTCAGTGTAAGAAAACGTGTTTTAGGTTAAAACATGATTTTGCCAATATTCATTATTTTGGACAGAGAGAGAAAAAAACAAATGTGGCAAAAATGTTAACAACTGTCAAATTAAGTGAAGGACGCATGAATGTTTGCTATGCTATTTCAAATTTTCTATAGCTTTGAAGTTTTTTGAATAAGTTTGAAAAAAGGTTACATTTATTCCTTACATTAGTGAGCTATAAAAATGATTTAGTTGAAATTGGCATACTGTACTCAATGTACACAGCTAATTCCTATTACCCAAGCCAAATAAAACCTCTTCATTCACAGTCACGGGGTTTAATGCTCAAATTATCCAAATAATTGCTCTATGGATTCACGTAACTTTTACAGAAAATAGCACTTATGGCTTATTCATCAGAAAACCATTTTGAAGTGTAGCTTGTAGTTCCAACTATAGGAGTATCCTTTGGTGTATTAATGGGGACATATTCTTATAGAACTCAAAAACTCTACTGGTTTGGTTAGTTTAGCAATGGCAAATTTAAATACTAATCTTACTTTAAAATTCTGCAGACGAAAATGTTTGTGGTTAAAGTATCTTCATTATACAAATTGAAATGTAGTATTTTCCAGATTAATATAAAATGTATTGAGAAATAATCAATATTTAAGTAATCCAGTAGGATTTTACATTTCATATTACCTAAAAGTCCTGATTTTAAATCCCTGTAAGTAAATTTGCATTTACTTGATTGTGAATTCTCTGCCCTATATTGCAGTGAAATACAAGCTGCAATGAATAGGCCCTAAGTACCAGTCTACAGGATTGCAGAAGATGCCCCTGGTGTATGTATCAGGTTGGGAATTTGTTTTGTGGTGATCACCCTTTCTGATTGGAAGATTGCATGACAAGGAACTATTAAAGTAAAGGGCAAAGAATTCAATTCCTTGATGTCGCTTTTCTTGGACAGGCTTTATAAATAGGTCATTTAATGTTATCTGGATTTGTGTATTACAGCAGCACCTGCTAACGCTGCTATGTTTAAGGGTCTATCAGAGTTTTCGTTTTCAGGGTTTCTAGACAGTATTTTGATACTCTAAACCTAAATATGCTTCCATTCAAATGGTAGCGAACAAGATCTGCAGGAGAATGCATATTTCTTTTATTATACTGCAATTAAAAAATGAATGTTTGCTTTAATATTCGCTAAGAGGTGAAAAACGAAAACATGAGATTAAAAAATCATCCTAACATTGGATAACTTAACATTTGGTTCTTTTAAGAAGGATCTATGAATTGTGCATTAGATATCTACTTAAAGATCCATTAAAATGGTAATTACAAGTTTCTGAAATTTTTGTGTTTTATTTTAATCATGAACATATTAATGTGCTACCTTTTAGCTATTGTTAAATTTCACTTCTTAAATGTGTCTAGCTAAGGCTTTTTAGAATGGGCAATTATGTTTTATTAACATGTGCTATTCTACTAATATAAAGATAATGCCACTAATACTGCGTGTATGCATCTACACATAGAGAGTTTTTATATACTAGGATTTCACTCAAGAAATATTTTGTCTGACATATCTGCACATAAGCCTATTAAGTGATATATCATAAAAATAGTAAGAATCAGTTTTGACGTAAATATTAAAACCAGATAACTGATTTAAACACTAGACACCACCTATGCCTTTCTTAAAATTTTACGAATTTCTGTGTTAACACAGCTGTATTTCAGCAATTTATATAAGTACAGAAATAAATTTGATACATGTTTCATTTTGTGGATTCATAATTATTTTAAAAACTCCAAAAGCTACAAATAAAAAGGTGACCATTCTATATGGTAGAGCAAAACTACTGTAATACCACTAGAATCTGATTAAATATAATAAAACCTGCTTTTTTGCTTGCCTGCTAGTGAGTTTTATATCATGTAAATTAGCAAGTGGTTACAGTGCCCTTAAATAAAGTACTAATTTTTAGTGATAATCTTAGCTTTCTATGAAGAAGTATCCTATCTCCAAATAAGAAACTGGAATATTAGAATAAGAAAAGTAAGTGATTATTATTTTGGGGATGTTAAGCCTATATTTGCAAAAACTGTGGGCACCTAATGCTATATTGCAAGCTATTCCTCAGTTAATAATATTGTATCTGTGCATTAAGAGTTCCTTTTATGTAATAAATTTATCAGATATTGTGATAGCAAGGATTCTTGAAATATTTCGGCTCACCAGGGTTGGAAAAAAATTAGTTTGAAAAAAGTGTCGGCAATAGTTTTCCTACCTCTCTTTGCTTGAGTTTTCTTCTTAAGGACTTTGATATTGGGATCGCATCCTGCAATATTTAAGCTTGATGGGATGAGTTAAGGATAGGGGCTTAAGATGGCTTAACTGTCATTTCTGCTTACATTTTAAAGACTTGGATCGGTGTCATCAGAGCCATCTTTGTAGTCTTGCCTGAAACAACGGAAAATATTAGAAATACAGATGGAACTTTGGGATGAGTCCATACTTTACATGTTAGGTTAATTTATATTTTGGCTAAGTTGCTTGTTTCATACAAAGGTTTCTATGGGCATTGATTTTTTTTCTTTTTATTGACATTAAATGAGAAAGCAAAAAAAAATTTTTCTCGAAAGCCAATGGTTTTCTAGGTAAATGAGTTCAGACTTAATTTTAATGGAAGTGAAACATAGTCAATAGAGGCAAATTAAAACCATATAATTTTGTAATCTTAGTTTAGCTATAATTGCAGCAATAAAACAGTGGAAAGAATAATTGTGGAACATATGTTTGTGAGTGACATTATCTAGGTGACTTCCCCTTTACGGCAATGTGCTGTCCTATTTGTTTCCCCTCTCTATGTATTGGAATGACAAACCTGCAAGCCCGGAGTTAATGCTGATTGCAGCAGCTGCTTACACATGGAGTCTCCATAGCAACTGTGAAGGTTGCCATGCAACCATATTCTTTTAGGGACAGTGAAAATGCCCAAAGGCTTACTAAAAATACACGGGGAAAAAATCTGAAATTTTCTTACTACTTTTAGTGGTTATAAAGAACTATGATACAAGTTGAAAGCACAGGTCAAGCAAATAAAAACCCAGCGCTGACCTTTCAAAAATTGCTTGCTGTTGCCTGAAATCTCAAGCTTTATTCACAGAGATGACTTTTGATCGATTGTAAAATTGGTAGCTTATGCTAGGCAGCCCTCAAAGAAGGGAAGATTCAGTATGGTGCTATTGGTATTCCTCGTGGGGTTAAAGGTCAGTAGAAAGTCATCAATGCAATATTGATTGGTGGGGCTGAAAAATGCCCATGTTTACACCTTCTCACTGCTTAGGGTTGCGTACCAAACCTTAAGAAGACTCATGCAGCCTCTGAGCGTGCTCTGGAACAAACCATTCCATCAGCAAATGTGACATCACTTCAGTCAGCTCAGCTGTTTCTTCAGCTTTCTATAAATAGCTAGATAAAAAATTGAAGACTACTTGCAGAGAATTTGGCCAACCAGTCTGCTTATTCGAATCATTTAAGATAGGCTAGGATTCTGGTTTTTAAACATCTTCAGTTGTTACTGATGTTTTTCAATATAAATTGTTATTTTAATAGCAGAATCCTTTTTAGTATACATATAAAATGTGCTGATGTATATGTAACTTTATTATAGTGCAACCCTTTTAAAAAATTGAACAGGCATTGGCCAGCATCTAATGGGGTAGGCTGTCATAACATCTGATCATACATGTTCACATACATATAGATTTCTTGAGATCATCTAATTTATTACTTTAGCAACACAAATTTAGTGAATAAATAATAATATGTCAGACAAGATGGCTATTATCAAATTATAATACTGTAAGGTTTTAAAAAATCAGCTAACGTAATAACAAAGGTATTAATATTTGAAAAGAATAAACAAAGAATGTACATGAATTTTCTTTAGTCATATTTCACATGTAATCAGTCATATTCTAACATTTACTATGAAATTTTCTCAGATGGTTGTGCATTTATATTTAAAATGAATCTATTCCCCTAAATATACTCTGAAATTGCAGACTCTATTAGACTAATAACAATACAATGTTCTGTTATTGAGGCATTTCTCAATTTTCCATAGATTTTGTGCCAGTAAAGATGATAGCAAGTTACCCAGGTCATTGTAATGAAGAAGTTTAGTACTTCAGATAGTCAAGACAGACTTCTTTGAAAGCTATTATAGGCTGTGTCTACAATTTAACAAAAATATGTGGTTAGCTCACTTAACGTAGTTAAAGGAGTACATGAATGCATTGTTTCCAAGGCTTCAAAAATCCAGACTAACCTAAGATGTGAATATAATATGTATGCCTGGAAAATAGGATAAACCTTCATCAGTTTGAAGCATCCTTAAGAACAGTAAAGAACACCCATCTAGTAGGAAAAGCTCGTGCTACAAACCAGCTAATTTCTTACTGTCATCTCGGGTATTTTTGTTATTGTTGCCAGTAGCTTGTGTTTTTAAAATACTTGCATCCCCTCCATTAGGAAAGATTATGGTGAGCAACCTAAATTTTATCTAAATCTACTCTCTTCTTAAAATCATGAACCAGGTATACTAGAGTATTAACATGCTTTTTCTGTTTAGTATTTCTCCTTAATTGATAATTCATAAAGATGATTGCAAGTGACGTTAAATTAGTGACTGAATTGAAATCTAGATTTGTTTTTAAATAAATATTTACCTTATTATTTCAGCAGACAATACCTAGAACCAGACCTGAAAGTAATCTATAGTACAGTGATCTGAAATGAAAGTTTTTTGAAAAATTATTATAAAATTTAATATGTAAAAAATTAATAACCATTAGATTTGATACCAAGTTGCATGAACACAACTAATACTTTTCAAAATTTAGAAGTACTTAAATTAACATTACTTAAGCAAACTGTAAACATGCAGATATAAACTATACAATAAGCAGTATGAATGATCTCTAGAGCAGAACTCTAGGCTTATATTCCACTATGCTGCTATTTCTTAAACTTCATATCTTATGATATAAATGGAAACATGATTTAGCATGCAAACAAAAAAAAATTAAATTAGTATTGTTACATCACTATCTCCCCCATTCTGGTATTCGGAAAGCATGAGAGAAAACTGTGCTAGTTTTATGATGACTTTCTTTTTCACAGCTGTTTGATATGTATTAAAACTACATATTTATATTTCATTTTAATTTGGCTTGGTTTGAAATTTGAATCTTTGTCAGGGAGCAGTTTTGAATTTGCATTCCATAGCCTGTTAATAAATTTAAGGATATAGGTAGACTATTTTCACTAGATTTGATAGGAGAGCCTCTTTCTGAGTATGTGCAGATTTCTAAAATGTTCTGAGTTTTTAAGATTATGATAATTAAAATTTTTTTGAGGAGCCATCCTAAAATAGTGGGAAGAATTTTGTGCAGATTTTATTTGAAAACTGAATAGAATAAGAGTATATAACTATGGCTATAGCTTTATTTAATTCATCTCAAAATACCCCTACATGTTCATCTTTGCTCAAATGTGATACCACGGCTAAAATTACACTTAATTTTTGAGCATCTGTTCAATGTGCTCTCAAGTTTTAAAAAATAAGCATTTAATAGCTTGGAAAGAGAAATTCCTAATAACAAGATACAATTGTTTATTAAAACATAACAAAATGCATTTTTTAAAAAATTGTGTAATCCTATTTTAGCATAGTATGTCTCAGGGCATTATCAACACTCTAAAAAAGCCAAACTTGAAAAAAATCTTTTTTTAGCTTTTTTTTTTTTCTTTAGGACAGCCAACCATTAAATCTCACGAGTAATGTTGGAAAGATCTGGTTGTGTGCATAGATTGCTCTTTACCCAGGATGCACTTCTGTCTACAAGATTCTGAATAGAGACACACCTGCTAGCTAGCTGATAACACTCTGGGGTCATTTCATTGAAGAAACTGTCAGCCAGGAGGTACTTAAAATAAAGCCACAGACAAAATCATGACCTACACTGTTGAGACTAAAAAGGTGTAAAAGCAGAAAGGAAATGTAGATAAATGCACATTCCTTTGTACCATAACAAAACTTTTACATGTAAATTCAACTGAATAGGAAAGAATGGGGAAGAATGTTTCCCTCTACAGTAGAAACAAATTAGATTGTTCAGCTGCACATTTGGCTCTCCTCCAAAGGAGTCGTGTGCCATGCTTGTTTGCCTACCAGTGCTGCTTAGATTGGCAAATGCCCATGCAGTTTGAAGAGGGCAGGCGGATGACTGGATGCCTGCCAGGAAGTGTGTGGGCCTGATGCCACTGCTGGACTCCATAGCCTGGTAGGAATGAGGAGTACAAAGGCATTCAATAATCTGAATGTCCCTTTGCTTCAAGAGAGTGGTGCCAGGCAGCTTTTAATGAGAGATTGCTTTGTTACAAAGTCCTCAACATCAAGTGGGCTGGTGAGCTCATTAACCTGACTGCAGCAAATAAAAAAGGCACACTCAGAAGACTCCCATGATAGCCTACTCAATGGTGTAAGAGCCCTTTTGCTTCCTTTATGGTGATCCATTAGCAAGCAGCAGTGTAAACACCATAAAGCAAGCCAGGTTTCTGATTGTTCAACTAAAGTCTGTTTCCCCTTGGGGATTATACCACCAGTTGATATAGGATTTTTCCTCTTAAGGTTTCCATCTACTATATAATGACCTTCTTTGCAATGAAGGATTTTGGGGGTTGCTCTTAATGGCATAGCTCCGGTTAAGGAAACATGAACTGTTCAGGTGTCTGAAAGAAGGTAATGATGTAGGACATACAGAGAAACAAACTACAAAGTGGAGTGATCCCAAGGGGAATCTTGCCAGTGCACTTCTGAAGCCCAAAATGGTGAACACATTACATTACTTTTCTATGTTCCCTTTATTTTTAGCTTTCATGGGGCTTTACATTTGTACAGGAGGTAGGCCACCCCTGCAGTCAGGAGATAGTTAGTTCACTGAGCATCTGTCTCTGAGTGCTGCTCTGACTCTCTAGGGATCACATTACTCTGCAAAGGCTCTCCAGCAAAGATTCATTTCTCCTCCATTTGAAACATATTTGATGGTTGATTGTGCAAAAATTCAACTTGCAGCATCTAAACAGGATGCTATAAAATAAGTGTTTTTTTTTTAATTGTCAAACTAGAAAGGCAAAGGAAGACCAAAAAGAAAAGACAAACTATTTCAACATTACGTCTTTAGAAATCTAGAGGCCATCTGTTGCTTTGTTACATGTCCAGTTACTAATCTGGGGATATCAGACTGGGGGAGTGTATGACTTTAGGGACTGGTTTGAAGACCAGAAAGTAAAAAGCCTGTTACTTTCAGGTCACCAGTTCAAATCCAGAACTAGTCACTGATGAGTGCTGGTCATTGTCTTTTGATTGATACTTGATGATCAAAATAAAATGTGTTAATTGTCTTGGATATATATTTAGTTGACATATGACTGTAGTCATCAAAATTACTATCCATACTTGCAATATAATATGGACATGGAAGTCATTGTTTTTGTTTTCTCAATAGTCATTTTGGAAAAAGTATCAAGTTTAGCTGTGATGGAACCATGTGTGAGACTGTTCTGGCACTTTGTTAATGTTTTAAAAAATAGAATATGTCAATTTGACTTATACATATTTCTGAGTGAAAGATGATGCTATGACTAGTGAATTGAATGAACAGGGAAGAAATAATAAAATTGCCATATATTTTAATAACATTGAGTCCATTCATTTGATCATACAAAGCAAAAGCAGCTCTCTACATTACTTTCCCATTTTGTATAAAGAATGAACTGTTTTAAAAAAAGATTATTGTCTTTATTTGTATATGAATGACTTAAAAATTAATTACCTTTTAATTAATTTAGGTCTAATACATATATCTATATGTAGAATGAATATTTATGCATATAGATACACATAAAGATATCTATATCTTTATATGTATATATACAGATAGAAAGGTCAAGTTAAAAATATCCATGACTTTATTTTGAACTGGTTTCCTGTTTAAGTTAAAATGGGAAGTATATAATGAGAAAAGTACCCTTCATTGGGATAAGGGAAATGGATTTTTAAAGGTATGGTTAGGCCACTAGAATGTCAGAAAGGCTTACTAAATATTTTAGAAGTCTTTTTCTGGTTGGGGAGTTTTTGGAGGGGAGCCACCGCAATTTATTTTTGTCTCATTCATCTTTGTTTTCCTCATGGTATTTCTTGTAGTGGTTTACAAAATACATTTAAAAGTTTATTTAATTTATTGTATAGAGATTTCTAAGCAGGAAGATAGAATCACATAGTAGAAAAAGCAAGAATTTTGAAGCAATGCAACCCTGGGTTATAATTCCATCTTCTATTCTCATGAGTTCTGTGTCCTTGGACGGGTTAGTTGATTTCTCTAAGCCTCAGATTCTTCACATATAAAATAGACAGGAATGCTTGCCTCATAGGAGATTAAAGGGCTCAGCATCTGAAAAGTAATGTGAACACTGCTGGTACAGAGTAGGTGGTATTGTTACTGTTATTTCAGTAACATTGCTATTTTGAGCTTTTGTTCATTCCTCCATCCTGTTTTTGTTGAATATCTATCATCCTAGGATCATTTTATTAAGCCATGCCCAGTGATTTCCATGTGATACCTTATATTAGAATTATAAAAAAAAGATGCTCTATTCCCCACAAAAAGTAACCATAGGATTTGATGCAGACAGCTTATTGATCTACCCTCTCTCACCAACAGTAGATAGCTGAAAATCTAAGAAGAAAGTAAATCCCTTTTTAAGCTCCACAGCATGCCCCGTACAGGAACTAGATATCAACATTCTTTTTATTTTAAAAGCAGTTAAAAATTATAACGACTTCTTTTGGTATTGTGCACTATAAAAGTAGGCCAAAGACAAACATTCCACTAGGAGGCAGCACAATGTTGTGAGAAGATCCAGGACTTTGAGGTCAGACAGACGTGGGTTCAAATCAGTCCGGTCATTGTATTTTGCTCCCTGTAAGGCTCCTTTTCTTGCATCCAGGGAGTGGGAACAAGGTTTTCTTTGAAGAATTATGGTTAGGATGCGTGAAATAGCAATGAACAATGCCAGGCACCTGCAAGGCAATTTTATCAGTAGTTGTTCCCTGGCACCTTACTGCTAAAGCTGCAGATGAAGTTGGAGCGTTGAGGACTGGAGAGGACTTGGAGAGCTGCCCAGCAGCTGTGAGAGTGTGTGGTGAAAGGGTAGTAGAGAATGTGACTCGGCAAACGGCTGGGAATATCAGAGGGCAACAGATTGGAATAGCGTGGAGTGGGGAAAGAAAAGCAAGCGCTTCTTCTTGAATGTAAGCTGAGTCAATAAGAGACGGTTCAGGCTTTGCTGTGCAGTGGAACTTCAATATGGCTGATCAGGGATAGAAAAATAAGCATAGAATTATTTATCATGACATGAAACGATCTAGTCCAAGAAACCATCCTTTCTTGGTTAGGCTGCTGCTGTAATGTCTGTGCTGGCCTCACTTAATCTGTTCTTGCGCCTTTTAAATCTCTTTTCCAAACTGAAACTGGATATTTTTCCCAAAAACACATATTCCTAATACTGTTATCTAGACTTCCTTATTCTAATTCTCCTGGCCTGACTCAGAGTTCTTTGGAGGTATCAAGGGGTAGGAGGAACATTCAAAAGGAGAAGTGACCACAATTGCTATAGTCTAAGTCAGTGAACAAAAGCCACCAGGTGAATAAATGCCATTTTCTTTTTGCCTAGACATTGTTCATTTACTGAAAATGAACAAGGTAATGCTCAGCATACAAAAAAAAATTAAAGTTCTCAAGATCCCATGCTTTCTGGATTCCTCTGTATTTATCACTCAAGTCATCCCCCTTTTTGTAATCTCGCTTTTTGTCCTCGCTTTATTTAAATCCTTTATATCACTACCCCCAACTCCTCTCCATGTGAATCTCACAAGACCACACATTACTTTAGCCCTGATTATTAGTTATGCATTTGCATATGTGTTTGCTCATTATAATGTTATTGGCTTGAAGAGCAGATCTTGTAACAGAAGTTATCAGGAGTGACCCTGTGCATTTCCTTTTAGTTGCAGTCTTTTCTCAACTTGGAGCTGTCATTTTTGTCATTGCAAAAAAATCTTCCTTTTTTGGCTCACCTCACTAATGCCTTCATATATTTGTGCACCGAGATACATTCTCCTAAATGCACCAAGTTAGCTTTATAGTTCTGCTAACATTACACAAAAATATTGCCAAGCGTTAAAAAAATGATTGTATCATTACAAACTATCCAAATAGATAAGCTCAATTTGGCGTCCCTATTTGTTATAAGACCCCCCTAACATACTATGATGCTATTTGTCTCCAAATCTTCTTTCCACGAATAACCTATATGCATACTTAAATATAATACAACCATAAACTGTCTAGATATAGCTCTCCATGCTTTGTGTGCTAGCAGAGCCTCTCAGCCAATACGAGCTAGGGTGACAGTTTGTGCTAGACTTACTCTCTCTGCCAATGAATGTCAGTGTACCATCCTGCAAATGCTTTCAATTTCAGTCTCTCTTTTGTCATTATTGTATGTTCCTGCGAATATTTTTTACTTAGGATGGCTGCCAGAAAATGTAATGAATCTGCCCACCCCCAAAAAACACAAACAAGGAATATCTTACCAAGCATAAAAATTAATTTTTGCAAATGGTTGAAGAAACTTAATGAAATGGTAAGAAAAGCCGGGTAAAGATCGCAGACAATTAAGGACTAGGGCTTTGGCATTATAAAGTTCATTAAAAACATCAGCGCAACATGGAAGTAATGACCAATTTTTTTTCATGCCCGGCTAATTTTTTTTTTTGTATTTCCACTGATTTTCTTTATTTTAAAATTTTAAATTAACATATAAACATTCTATATATTTTTGGTGTACAACATGTTTTGATAAATGCACACACTGTAGGATGGCTAAATCAAGTTAATTAACATATGCATGATCACAGATACAATTTTTAGTGGTGAGGATACTTAAAATCTCTCAGTAATTTTCAAGTATATAATATATTATTATTATTATTTTATATATATTTTTATTATACTTTAAGTTCTAGGGTACATGTGCACAATGTGCAGGTTTGTTACATATGTATACATGTGCCATGTTGGTGTGCTGCACCCATTAACTCGTCATTTACATTAGGTATATCTCCTAATGCTATCCGTCACCCAATTTTTTTTCTTTAATCTTCAAAAGGTACGACTGGGAGGATACTTGCACCTATTGAGAAAGCATGTGGTCCTCTCCCTGAGTGATTGCTGATGACATAGAAATGCATTGTAGCCTCTTTTCACTTAAAAATTACATATCAGGTACTGCTTACTCTAGATTAGGTTACAGAGCTGCCATCACTCCACATCATCAGCCCTGGGACCATTAAAGATGAGCAACTATTATACAAAATATAGTTGCAAACACAGAAGGATGTAGGTATGCCATGATTTCAGGGGATTGGAAGAGTATGAAAGAGTGACTTCATCCCTCTTTCCAGATGATGCTGAGAGCATTCATCTCTGTAGGGATGGTTCAGTTATTGCTGATTCAGCCTTCTTGCTTATAAAAATGCATTCTTTATGCTAAATGGAATATGCATGTATCTTTTGTATGCCAAGTTCTTAGACTGGTAGACTTTTTTGATCCAGGAAAAAGTTTCTTTTTTAGATCAATACTACACATCACCTTCAGTGATTCCTCAATCCTCTGATGACAGACTTTAGGCCACGCATAAATTGTTTCCTTTTTACATCTCCAGATTTAGGTCTCAATTTTTATCCTCATATTGTGCTGTTTTGAATGTGCTATTCCATCATGTTCTAGTCCTCTCACCTTTTTGCCTGGTGAAATATAATCCTTTGTATCTCCACTTTAATAACCCCCCTGAAGAAAGCCTCCCTTGAACTCCCAGAGCAGGGTAGGCCCTCATGCCAGGCCCCCATGGATTGTGCCCTCACTCTGTTAATCTCTTCTTCATGGCTTGTCACAAGTTAAATTCTTGTTTATTTATGGCATGTATTATGATATAATTAGATGACAGCAGGAATTATGTGTGCACCTTTACTCATCATATACCACAGCATCTAACACAGTATCCTTGGCACACTGTAGACATCCGAATATTATCTGTTAAAAAACTGAATGGATTCAAACTCACTTTCCAATTTCATCTCTCACCAACCTCCCATTTCCGTATACTCCTTATCCTCCAGTTATCTTAATGACAATGATACTCCCCAAACACATAATGTACTTTTAAATTTATCTGCCTATGTTTGTCATCTTCCTTCAGTATGAAATGCATTTTCTGCTTCTTGAAATTATACTCATAGCTTCAATGGCTCATTCTCTGATATTCATTTCCTAATCTCCCCACTTAAATTAGTTGTTTCTCTCATCTCCTCTCTACAACCTAGTTGTTTTTTTCTCAGCACTTCTACAATATACAACATTAAATTATATATTTCTTTAGTACTTCTCCTTTTTTTTTTTTTTTTTTTTTTTTTTTGCTTTCACCACATTGCATGCTCTCAGTGGGCCAAAACTGTGCAAATGTTCTTTGTTCCTCACCTGACTTTCATAGCACTTAGCCATGGGCCTTGAACACAGATTATACACTTTGTAATTCTTTTAAATTAAATTGAATTGTAGTTAAAAGTTTATTCCCCACATCTTCAGGAGACTGGGCCTTGCTGGAAAGAGTCAGAGTGTGCAACGTGGCTGCACTTTGCAGCGGGTAGTATTGGCGGAGAGACCATGTGTAGGGCTTATGGTGGAAGAAGAGGAGAGGCACAGCAGTGTGGAGGCTACATGGAGAGGGTGTGCGTAGGAGAGACAGAGTGGTTTCTGCACAGTCTATGTGGGGATCCCTGGGGGTTGAGACTGGTGAAGCGCTAAGCATGTTTTGCTCAGCACTGCTCAAAGCTTTCTGTGAACCGTTCTTTTCCCTTCTGGAAAATCTGCAGTAAAGGTCTACATTATTCTTCATGCATCTGGAATTGAATTTGTGGGGTTTGAGGTATGGTTGATGATGGGCAGGTCTAGGCCTCAAGACAGCTTTTTGTAGATTACATATAATGTTAAATGCTGAAAAGAAGAGGTAAAATAGAGGCTAGGAAGGCACATAAATCTACCTTTTTTATAGGCATCACAGACACAAGGAGAAAAATCCTTTTAACCCTTTTTACTAAATGATTCATATTTTCCTCCTGACTTTTTTTGTCATTTCATTTTTCTACAATGGTCTCCAAATTATTCAGTCATTAAAAAATTTATCATAACATTTGATGCAGTCACTGACGCATTAAAGGTCATTTATGGTTTATGGGAAATTACATTGTGTGAAGTGACATATTAAGTCCCAGTGGGCTAAAGAAAAAATATACTGATTTTGGGTTAAGGATGTACTTAGGACAGTGGATGTGATGTGAACACTGACAGCTCATGGAACCTTGTAGACTCTTAAAGAATAGGAATAAAGTTAATTGCCAATGTCAGTTGACTAGGGACATGGAAGCAAAGGAAACCAACTATTTACCTGTATGTTTTAAGCTGTTCATAGCTTAGTCTTGCTGAAATGCAGAATGACAGGATTCTAGGGCTGAAGGCTAGAGGAAATAATTTAACTCTTAGCAGCAAATTTAAACCTGTCAAACTCAGTCCTGTTCACAAAGATCCCGAGGAAAGAAAACATTACAACTTTTCACTGTGACCAGTTTGTAAAATAATCCTTATTAGTAAAAAATTAATTTTACATACAAAAGGGGTTTATCAGTGTTAACTATTTTGACCTTAACCTGAAAAATTAGTTGGCAAAAATTAGGAGACATTTAAAATTTTTTTCTCTCATTGAGTTAGGCCTCGGTGTCTCAGTATGTAGGCAGTTACCTGTTATTTTCCCAAGAAAGTACTTATTGGAGAGGAACAAAACTCTCCTTTCTCTTGACCTCAGAGGTAACCAGCTCCGCTCTATCTCCCAGTTACATTTGGGTAACTGAAAACAGGACAATCACACAATGTCATACTTTTAGCATGTTGTGGCTATATTGTTGTGTACATCTTTTGGTCTCTAAAACAAGTAGTGGTATTATGGATATGATAGTCTAAAAAGTTTGTCTAGTTTTCTCATATACTTTGTGAGAAGTAGTAAGAATAGAAAAAAAAGTCAAACGTGTCCTTCTCTGTTTAATAAATATATGTTAGAACTCAGTTATTAAAGTTATCCAAGGCTTTTCTTCTCCAAACTAAGTACTCTATTACTTCTAAACACTTTTTATAGGTTTTATATTGCAATGACGTTCTCAAATAATAATCAGTCATTCACTATAAGACATTCCATTCTCCCTGCCCCCTGCCAATATATACTATGTGGAAATAGAGCAGTGAACCAACAGCCGGGCTCCCTGCCTCCTGGAGCCTGCTTTACACTGACCTAAGTCACTGGTGAACCTGAAAAATGTATCAGACACAATTCCTCCATTCTAAGAAATTTCACTATAGGGAAGGTAAATATAAAATCAATGTTTATTAAACTTATGTACCAGGTACTATGAAACGTACTTTCACAAAACTAATGCCATTTAATCTTCAAATATCCCTTGAAGCTATGTATTATTTTCTCCATTTTCGTAGCAAAGAAAGCTGAAATTAAGTAAAATTAAGAGACTTCCAAAATATAACATAGGAAGGTGGAGGCAGTACTGGAACTAGGGTGTGTTTTTGGACTCTAACACCTTTTTACTGAAATTATGCACACAAAGTAATGCAAGGCACCATTGCCTCATAGCAGTTGTGCTATAGCAGTGCATTTCAAACTGTAGTGTGCATATAAATCACCTAAGTGCATACATATATACACATGCATATACACATATATACATATATATGTATACATATATACACATATAGGTACATACACATATATACACATATATACACACTTATACACACATATGTGTATATGTATACACACACACATATATATAAAGTATATATGTGTAAGCATATATATATATATATATATATTTTTTTTTTTTTAAATCTAGAATCTGATTCAGTAAATCTGGGGTGGAACCCAAGATCTTGCAATTCTATCAGGCTCCAAGGTGATGTTAACTAATGCTGCTGGTTTGAAAGCCATACTTTGAGCAGCAGGAGGCTATAGGAATATAGAAGTGAGGAAAGAGTTCAGGAGTTGAGAATGCCCTATAAAATAAGTGATATTTGGATAAGTCCTTGATTGACAGGAAGATCTTTCACAAGGCACAAGTGAGGAGGAGAAGGTGGAGCGAGCACTTCAGGTGGCAGAAAAGCTTGAGTAAGGGCTTGCAGGTCAGAGAAATAAATGTAGTGTGTTGTGGAATGGGTAAGAAGTCTATGACAACAAAAGTGTAGGTAATATGTAAGTGCATGATGTGTAATTAGAAACCAGAATGACAGTGTTGAGCAGATTACAGAGCTCCTCAAAGTGAGGCTAGGGATTATGAAATTAATTATAAATGCAGAAGGAATCTATTGGAGGCTTTTGAGTGTTATTTCTTATAGACTTATGATTTAGGTATTGTATTATGAAATATACTGTCAATGCTGTGTAGGAGGTGAGGAAAAATAGTAAATTGGGATATCTTGCGATGATTTCGGTATTTAGTAATGAAAACTTAAATTTCAATGATAACAGGGAAAACACAAAGGAATAGACCAAAGTAATTATTGACAATACTTTGCAAGTGTATTAATGTGATAGGCAAGAATATGAAAAAAGTCAACAATGAATTTGAAATTTACCCTCTATGTTATTAGCAGAATGGTGCTACCATTGACAAACTGAGGACACAGAAGGATTAGTTGGCTAAAGAGAAAATAAGATGCCCACTATATCATTTGTTCCCAGAATTCACTGCCTCCCTCCACTGGGTCCATTCTTACTAAGACTGTCTTTGGTCCCCATTCCTTGAAGGTAGACGTTTGGATTGATACCAGAGTGAGGGTTTGTAGTAGATGTGGCAAAATGACATTTGGTAATGAAGATATTATGATGGAGAGGGATGTCTGTGCTAGACTGGAAAAGACATGAAACTAGAGGTTTTGAGAGAGAGGAAACTGTGATCAAAACAGAGAATACAAGTTTATTTTATGTCTTAGTGAGTTTTGAGCAAGTGAAGTGAAAGTAAGGGACTGACAAAATGTGAAGATATAAGGCTGTGACCAGAGTGCAGGATATCAAAGTAAAATATTTCAGAAGCAAAACAATCCGAGTGATAACAAAGTCTAAATGTACTGTAGAAGTGCATGGCTGAACTGGGGTGGCTGAGGCAGGCCATCTGTATTAAGAGGTTCCCCAAATTTTGATAATAGATTATTGAATGCATGATTTGAAGGAGTAACATCTACTAGGTTAATGTTCAAAGATAGGATATAGAGAATGTGAGCCAGTACCAGATTTGAGGATGTGGCTCTATAATTGGCAGATTATGGGGAGAAAGAAAAGTAGAAAATAGTATAGCAGGATGGAATTAGACTTAAAGAGGAGAGACTTTGAATGGGAGTGTTAAAGTAGAAGCCTGAAAATGGCAACAAGATGTGGTAGATTGTAATACAATTTTCTGTGTCTTGTACATATTTATCTTATTTATTTTTTGGTGAGGGTGGAGGTAGGAGAAATGGCAAAAGAGGGGTTGAATGATTGCCCCATATCAGCAAGGAATTTGAAGACTAAGGGGACTGGGGTGGAGATGGAAAGGAACCCAGATTTCATTGAAGCAAAAAGGTCAAAAGTATGTATTGTAAACAGATATCAGATAAATGGAATCACACCTTTAAGTGAGGGTGCCAAGATAAGGTGGAATAGTAGTGGGAGGAGCCAGAGGAGATATTGTCCTACACACTAGCACCTTGGATCCTACCACAAATTTAAAGCTTTTAAATTACCATGTGACAAAAGTTGTCACTATATTTTATTTTATTGATTCTCACAACAATCTTAGGTGATAGATGCCATATTTCTATCTTGTAAATGAGCAAGAAACATCTCAAGGAAGGTGAGTAAGAATTTTGGAGATAGGTAGGTCATTTTGAGGCTACAGTGTGAAATATATCAGCTCCATCAATGCTGAAGTTGATGAGGATAATGACAAGAATTAGAGCAGAGAGAACCCAACTGGAGATCATTCAGCTAGTGAGTAGCAGAATTTACCACAATGTTAATACTCCTGGGCTCAATAAGACATATCACTTCTGTGATACGTGGAGGAAGAGAAAAATCTATAAATTTGAAGTAAAATAGAAGAGGTTTACTTCAAAGGATAGTAACAACGTGAACAATGAAGTGCCTCTGTAGAAGCCATCTTGTCATTAGAATGATTTGGAAGATTGACCAGTCCAGTTATTCCAAAAGTAATGTTGATGTGCACACATCATCTAGATTGTGGGTAGGCAGAATTTCTAGTCATAAATAAATGGCTTTGCAAGACACTCGGTTAGACACAATTGCTTAACTCTGCTCTTTTGACATGAAAGCAGCTGCAGACAATACCAAAATGAATGAGCATGGCCGCATTCCAATAAAATTTTATTTCTTTACAAAAGCAGGCAGCAAGCTGGATTTTGCCTGTACTATGCAGTTTGCCTATCCTTTATCTAGACCTTGTTCTCTTCTTCTAGAGGATGAACTTTCCAACACCACTTTGGCATGGACAAGGAGCATTAAGAGAACTAACTACTCAATGATTCCTGCCTTCATTATCTGAATCACTCAATTTTAAATTCTCCAATACCATAGATAAAGGTCTGCCAGAATCATTTTACCTACTTACCTTTCCCCATGTCCATCCCTGGTTCTGTGGTACTAGGTTTGCTTTTGAGGTTGACTCTGTTTTCACCCTTCTTCTGTTCCTGACCTCTGCAAGATGTTGAGATCATTTGAAATAATAATACTGTTTCTTAGAGTATTAAACATTATACCCAACTTGATGCCATGAATTTAATGAACATGTATTTTATTATCTGGGTCATTGGCCAGAGAACTGTGAAAATATAGGAAATTTAAACTTTCCTGAAAGGTAATAGAAAAATGTTTATTGATCCAAAAAGATTTATGAAACTCTTACTTAAAGTCTGAGTGAAGAATGGGTGTGGAGATTCCAAATACTTTCATAAAGAGCTCCTCTCCAATAGAATTAATGCATATTTCTTCACAATAAAGGATCGCATTGATGTGACACAACATCACGTATTTAAATGGTGCTATTCTCCAGAGACTGTGTAGCTTAATGGAATGTCTCAGATAAAAACAAAGATTTGTAATTTGAACTTTCTGGGTAATCTCATTATATTCCGTCTTAAGATATGTCACTACAGTAGTGTTAAATGTCAATCTAACATTAAATAAAATAGGCCACTAAGGCATGCTCACCAACTGAGAAATAGAGTTACAACAATTACGAATAACTTTTATCAATTGTTTTCAGTTACTTAAAGTGAGTTTTGAGCCTTTGTGATGCTCATAATTTTTTTGCTTTTTCTTCTGTAAACTAATATATTGCAATGTGTATTCAAATTCCCATTGCTACATAATATTCATTAGGTGTAACATTTCATTTTAATGTTCCTCTACAATTTTGAATTACATAAATCTAAAATTAGAGCTATCATTTATTTTTTCTTTTAGAAAAACTTTTTTTTTTGTTTTTTGAGACGGAGTCTCGTTCTGTCGCCCAGGCGGGAGTGCTGTGGCGCGATCTCCGCTCACTGCAAGCTCCGCCTTCCGGGTTCACGCCATTCTCCTGCCTCAGCCTCCCGAGTAGCTGGGACTACAGGTGCCCGCCACTGCGCCCGGCTAATTTTTTGTATTTTTAGTAGAGACGGGGTTTCACCGTGGTCTCGATCTCCTGACCTCGTGATCCGCCCGCCTCGGCCTCCCAAAGTGCTGGGATTACAGGCGTGAGCCACCGCGCCCGGCCTAGAAAAACTTTTTATTGTATTTTATGTCATAGTTCTGGCATCACCTCTAGTGTTCTTAATGTTATGTTACCACCTTGTTCTTTGTGTATTTCAGAATAAGACCTCATCAAGGTGAGAAAGGAAGGGTGAAAGCAAGTAGATAGGGGAACAGAAAATAATTATTTTTATTAGCAATTACACTAACATCTACCTAAGAGATATAGGCCAGGTCAGACGGAAGTTATGGCTGATGCCAGGGTGGTATAAATAAGTAGGGGTAGAGAATAAACTGCATTTATTTATCTTCTTATTTGTTGCTTCATGATATTTTGAAACCTGAGGTTTGCTAACTGTGAATAGTATATTTAATTTACTTTAGGTTGATTTGAATTATGCATATGTATGATGAAGTTCTTGTTCTTTGAAGCATGTAAAAGTTTAGGGTGAATTTTTAGTTTCTCTGTAGAACTTATTTACTTGGGGAAATAAAGCTACTTAGCTCAGGCTAATGAGATTAAAGTCCTGGGTCCAATATCCCTGCATGAGTCAGATAGCTTTGCTTTGTTCTGCAGACACCAAGTGCATCTGTCATCCGGCCAAATACATTTCAAGGGCCCATCACTAAGTAAATCAGGTGTTGAGATAGAGATGAGGCTGCACAAGTTCATTTCCACCGGAAAAACAGCAGAACATACATGTTTTACAGACAGTGGGTCATTAAATAGGCCTTGTATACAAAATACATGAAAGAGTAATATATAAAGACAAATTATTTGAGATATAGGTAAGTTTTCTATTCATTTTATTTGTGATCCTAACGAAACTATGACGGCAACAAAGAAGATGTTAAATAGGTGTTGAATCAAATCAAGCTTCTGACTAAATATTCCTGAATTAGGCCAAAATTTTCTAGGTAATACGCTGATAAGTGCACATCTGTTACCCACTTACCTTATGGTTATTATTATTCTGGTGATTATTATATTTTTGATTAAAGATAAATTATCTTCCTCATTTTGACCATCTTCACCCTCGGTTTGGCTTCTAGCCCTCATTTCATTGTTCTCCATTCCATTCGCAATGCAACAATACTCACACCATTTCTTCTTCTTATTTTGTTCGGATGTGTTCTCTTTGCTTTCCCAGTAAATTCAAACTTTGTATCTCATATTGTAGACTTGCATTTCTTCTTTCTTTCTGCCTCTCCCAGGTCTTGGAGTGTGCTCAGGAATATATACAGTTAGTCTAGTAAGATTCCATCAAGTGTTTTCTGTGAGACCCTTGTAGTGTGCTATAAAGGTAGAATTACATACATCTAGAATTAGAACTATCATTTATTTTTCTTTTAATAATTTTTCTTGTATTTAACATCATAGTTCTCATATCACCTCTAATGGCCTTGTGTCACTAGAAAGATGTTCCTAAATCGTCATTAGAATATATCCTAGAGATTACAAAAAAAATTCTGCATCATCACTATAACATGTATTAGACTCCTAACACTTATAAGGGGATGATCTAGGCTCCATGACTCAAACTGTTGTGGTGACTTGAAGACTGTATTAAAATGGAGCTTCTAATTTTGCTATAAATTATTTACAAGGACTTTCCCAGTGACTTAACTCTGTAAGTTTTAGTTTTCTCATCCGCAAATTTGGGAAAATGGGCCAAATTAGAGATTTTCATATGTTTTTGTAACAAAATCCAGTTTATAATTGAAGTCTTATTTGGTACTCCGATATGGAAAACAGATGAAAGCAAGGCATCCCCTACTGAAGAGTGAGGAAGCTCACTGGGCATAGCCTCCGTCCAGCCTCCCTGTCATCTCCCTCAAGGCTCTTCAGGTACTGCCTTGGAACACAGCTTGAAACAAAATGAGTAGATGCCTAAAGTCTTCTCTAAATCTGGATTTCTAAACATCAGCTGTGGTCTACCACGGTGGCCCCTATGAACAGGAACAGGAAGTGCTGAATATGTGTTGAATTGAACTAAATGGAATTAACTTGAATTAAGGAGCATCATTGAGATCTCCAGTGCTTTTCCAAACCAGCTTCTTGAACAACAAGAATGTTCTCTACTTGTTATGTTCACCTGGCTTGTAGCAGTTTGTAGGACTGAAAACGTAATTCTTTGTTTGATCTCATTTACATGCCATTAGAGGAGCACATATTTGAGTCCCAGATGATAAATGGTTTAGTGTTTATTTGGCCTTATTTAAACAGATATTATGTAATAAGTCCTTAAGAAAAGCAAACAAATGTAACTAATAATAAAATATAGGGTAAAGATGAACAGATGTAAGAAAAATTGGTCAAGAACTTACTTAGAACTTAAATGAGTATTTTCCGTTAATGAGTATTAATTAATGACATTTCCACAAAAATAAATTGATGTTTTAGGAATTATAAAATATTTCCAGAGATAAAATTAGTGCCTGATAAAATTTTTTTCATAAGCCAAATAGGAATTTAGTAGATTAAAATTTTAGCAGTTTAGAACAACTAAAAACCTTATTTACTAAATATGAATGAAAAATGATAAGTAGAACACTGGATATTGGGGGGAAGCATTTCTCTGGGAAATGCTTTTCCCACTTTATTTTGAAATTATAGGTGTTGGAATGCTACATTTTAAAAAGACACAGATAGCGGTTAAAAACGGTTATTAATTTTTTTGAAGTTTAAATGCAAATATGCCCTTCTCTCCCTCTCGTTCAATAGGAAGAAATGAATAATCAAAAAGAAATACAACAAACTTTTGTTTAGTCTGGGAATTGGGAATAGGAAAAGCACGGGCAATTAAATTTTACAACTAATTACCAAGACTCATTTTAAGGCAAGTAATTTTAACCTCATCCCCAATTGAAATCCAGAGCTGCTAACGAATTGAAAATCTGACTGGGTTTAATTTCATTTCCAATATTTTTCTTGCACACCCTCTGAAGCTGTGCCCAAATAAAAAGAGAATAATAGGAATGTCTCTGAAAAAAAAGTGGATAAGTGGAAGGATGCCTAATGAAGAAATGACTCTGTGGGCCAAAAGGAAGATGGCTGAGATTGATTATAGCCTCCTGCAGTTAATTTGACTGGATTGTCCGTAAATGAATTCTTGTGGATGTATTTCCCTGATCTCCCCAATGTATACAGTCCTTTTTAGGACCTATCTTTCAGAACAAATTGCCATGTATTAGGTCTGCAGTTAAAGTCCTGAAGCTTCCGGACCTTTCTGTTTGTGAAATCCATGTCAAAGCATCTATTTTCCTTGAGGATTGTTTATGACTTTATGTGTCATGGAGGAATTCAGCTGTCATTATAACTATTGGTGACAATAATGATTAGTGATTTTTATAGTGATTAGAACAGACGATATTGTAAGGACATTAGAAAGAGTTCAAATGCTGTACCACTCTCAATATGTAAATATTTATTTTTAATAAAAACATACATTTTAAATTAATGTCACAGTTCTCACATCCACTTGTTTGTTACTTTTACTTAGTCTTCATGGTCTAGCCATGTTAGAGACAAAACAATGGCTGGATTCATTTTACAGCCTTGAGTATGAAGTTGATTCAAATCCAAAAGGTCTTGCATTGGAAAATTTATTTTGTTTTGCTTGGTTTTAATATTAGTACATAATTTATTGCAATGAGGAAGTGTTTAAGACCTTGAACATGAGAAGACAATATTAATTAATCTTTGAAAGTGCCTTCCGAATCTTCCATGGTGCCCCCTATAGCCCCGCAAAAGGCTGACTTCTTAAAAAATTTATTTGAATTTCTACAGTGGCTCATACTGCGACTTCTACCATTTGGAAAGCAATGGGACACCTATGCAAGATGCTCCTCTAAACTCAAGTGCATTTTGGGACCAACAAGCCCAAAAGAACAAGCATACCCAAGTCATGGAATCACATTGGTCGCAGAAGCACTCCACTTTACAGAGTGAGGAGAGATTAATGTGGATGCATATTAGTGTTACTGCATCTCTTTCTTTTTCTACATTTCCTACTTTTCAGTACTGGGATAACTGCTCTTTGCTACCTCCTCTGAATCTATTAAGATAATGACACTGAATGGTAGAAGAATATCTGTTGATTTATCACTTCTTTAATAAAATAGACAATCACAAGTTAGGTACTGGTCAGATTGTAGAAGTTGTGTGAAAATATTTACAAGAGAGGAAATTAGCAAGATTTTGTTACAATTTAGGTGGCTGAAGATTCACGTGTTCAATGACTTCTAGGCTGATATGAGTGAAAGTATTATCCTGCAGTATAAGTAGGTAATGGAAGAATGGTTCCAGAAATATTCAAGCCCTAGGAAAAGAATTAAGTATGTGATGTAAACCCTAAATGTTGATTAAGTCTTCTTTTCCTGTTTTAATAAAAAATGTGTTCTTAACTCACTTTTGTTCCATGTTAAATTCCCAGGTGCTGAAATGTATCTGGCAGATAGTATATGCTTTATACATATTGGCTGAACTCTACTTATTTTATCTGTAGCCCTGTTCCAAGTACAAGTGACAAATTTAAATGTACTGATTTCTGGCATTTGGGTGGGGGCAGACTTTAACCATAAGGCCCTTCAGACCACTTGTTTCTTCGGCAGCAGAGTGAGGGAGGTTGGGCTCTGTGAGGCTTCCACAGACTCCATCACCAGGCTTTCCTGGAGTCTCTAATGCTATCTTTTCTTAGCTGGGTTTTCTGAGGAAACTTGCAAAATTTCAGCTTTACCATAGACTGAAAAAAAAAAAACACCAAAATCATGGTTTCTTCTAAATTAGAGCTTGCCTTACCTTCAATACCTTAAGCTTTGGCCTCAGAGTTGATAATCTATTTCTAGATATGAACAATCACCTATTACCAAGTTCTGTCATGCACTTTTGTTGAAACAATATGATGAAATATAAAATCTAACCATCTTAAACACATCTGAGGAAATCTTCATTCTTATTCACATCTAAAATATAGATAACTGGCACATTTAACTTTGAAATGTTTGAGATCACAGGTTCGTCTAATGAGGTAGAGATCTAACATTGATGTGGGTACCAATTAATTACCTTGGTGAATTCAGTGTACTCAGTGTTGATTCTCTTTAATGAACTTTATATCTGCACCTTAGGATAGTATAGTTACACTCACATCTTCATTTACTCAATAAACATCTGGTGAGTATTCTCTAGAAGGCAGGAAGAATGCTGGAAGCTGGAGTTGCCATGTCTAATGAAACATACTCTCTGCCCTGCCCTGAGAAGATTTCAACAGGAGTGGAGGAAGAACATTACAGTAGATAGACTGCCAGGATAAAATTATGCCCAAAGTGTTGTAGAAACATAGAAAGATTATAAAATACAGCAATGGAGGGACAGCAGGAGGTCTTCTAAAGTGAGTATGGGTTGGTTAGACAAACAACAGGACAAAGAGACAAGTGGAGATTTGAAAAAGTATGTCATCTTTGCAAAAATTTTCAGATTATGAGCTAGAAAAATCAGTGGCAGAGAGTCCATTTCGAATCTAAGGTGATTAGCTAAGGCATTACTATCCTGAGTGATGTTGGAAGCCCCTAATGGGTTTTAAGAAAGGAAGCATCATGATCAGATTTGTAATTCTTAAAAATCACTTTGGAAAATTATATTATTGAAAGAAAGACTATGGGAAGGAGGACATAGATGTCAGCCCGTGATAAAAAAAGAAGAGAACCTTTAGGAGATGAACAACTGAAGCCTGGAATCTGACAATAGAAGTTGGATTATTGGGAAAAGGCAACTGATAATAGAGATACACATTTTTCATTTCTTGGGCTTAAAAGATGTTTCAAATGGAGAGAAGTGGTGAGTTAAAGGGAAGAGCTTATGATAAATCTAAGATTTCTGGAATATAGGAGGGGAGACAACTATGAATTTGATATATTAAATTTAAGATGCCTGTAGGTGGGGCATAAAGATAGAGAGATCCAGTAGATTGTTAGGTTAAATGTCCATACGAGGTATTTAAGAGTGCTAAGTTGGAGATACAGAATTGGGAGTCTTGAATGGTCTTTAAACTAAGAATGTTCAAGTGAGTGAGTACACTGAGTGATAAAGGTAGAAGACTAAGAATGAGTTCCTTGGGAGCAGACACATTTCAGAGAAAAATGGAGAAGATTTTGTGAACGAATATAAAGGAGTAGCTATTGAAGTAGGAGGAAGCCAGGAGAGGCAGTTGGTATAGAAGTCAAGGGAGCAAAGAGTTTTACAAAGAAGGGTATAGTCAATAATGCACAATGCTTCAGAGAAGTCAGGTGTTCAAAAATGGTGTCCATAGGATTTGGTGAAATTGAATAATCACTGGTGACCTTAGAGAAACCATTTCAATAAGTTAGTGGTGCTGAATCAAAATTACAGTGGGTTGTTGGAAGACTGAGAGGGAAATAAGTAACAATTAGTATAAACTTACTGATAGTATGTTATTAGTGCCATTAACTTTTTATCCAGAAAGAGAAAGGAGAGTTCAGGGAAAAGACTAGTAAGCAGAATTAGTAATTAAAAGTTACAAGAAAAGCAAGGATGTTTTCAGAGAGACTACTTGATTTGAGCTTTGAAATAGACTATGATTTTTATAAAAAGGAGAAGTAGATGGTATATTATAAGTGGTAAGAATGACACTAACATGTGTGTGATGCTGAAAACATAATCACAAATGTTGGCATGCATTGAAATCACTTGGTGGGCTTGTTAAAACACATCCAGCATTTCTGAGTCAGAAGGTCTGGATGGGCTTCCAGAAATTTTATTTCTAACAAGTTTCCTAAGTGATGCTAATGTTGTTCTGGAAACCACACTTTGAGAACCACTGACTTAGGGTAGACTTTGAATGGAAATGAGTTATGTATAAAAGAGTATTAGGAGAGGAATCTGGAAAAAAATGTTCTAGTCCAGTGAAAAATATGCGACTAAGATCATATTTGTCCCTTAGAAAATGAAAATAACAATGTTTTTTAATGATATGATTGCAATTTTACTCTCAGATGTCTCATTTGTTAGTTCTAGTAAGGTATTAATGCATACATAAATTTATCATAAATATATTTGTTGAATACCGTGGAAATCATAATCCTAGATAGAGAGAACGTTTAAGAGGTTTATTCCAGTAGTTACTTTCCAGGTCAATGGTGACATTTAGAAATCATGGTAAAGACAATGACATTGAAAAAATAAGGACAGGTTCAAGAGGCATTTCAAAAGAAGAAGGAATGAATCAAATATGTACATAAAGTTTTATAACTGATAGAAGGTTCTACTATTAATAGAAATGTCAACATCAAAAGGACGAACTATCTTCAGGAGAGAATTCATTCTTTGAACTCCTATGTCACATAGAATTTCACTGCAGTCCTGCCAAATTTGAAGTACTTGTGGGGCATTCAGGTTAAAATGTCCCAAGGTAGCAGAACTGAAGGAAGAAATTAAGCCTATTTTATAGTTGAAACCAAAGGAATGGACAGGTTCACCAAGAGCTTGAAGAGCTGGAGGGATTGTGGATCATGTAGTTGTATACCAGAACTTAAGATTTCAGACAAAAGCAGTTCCAGGTGTTGATGTATACCAGGATAAAGCCATGGGAGTGAGTGGCTGAAACAGAGTAAGGCAAAAGACACTGAAATTGAGAAAGTCAAAAATCCAACTTAGGTTTTGGGATAATCTACGTAGACTCTTAAATTGCCCAGAGAGATAGCTGAAAAGAAAGACTGAGCTAATTGTTAAGTCTTCAATGAACTCTGAAAAGTGACTAGGACGACAGCATATGATAGTGATAAGGAGGAATAGAGTGTCATATGCACAGACATGTGATCAGCAAGCAGACTTTTTTTTTTTTTTTAAATGAAGGAGCCAATGTGGTACGGTTTGGCTCTGTGTCCCCACCCAAATCTCACCTCAAAATGTAACAATCCCCACAGTGTCAAGGGCGGGACCAGAGGGAGATAATTAAATCATGGAGGTGGTTTGCCCCATGCTGTTCTCGTGACAGTGAGTGAGTTCTCACGAGATCTGATGATTTTATAAGGGACTTCCCCTTTCGCTGGGCACTCATTCTCTCTCCTGCTGCCCTGTAAGGAGATTCCTTATCAAATGATTGTAAGTTTCCAAAGGCCTCCCCAGCCATGCGGAACTGTGAGTCAATTAAACCTCTTTTCTTTTTATTTATTTATTTATTTATTTCTTATTATTATAATTTAAGTTTTAGGGTAGATGTGCACATTGTGCAGGTTAGTTACATATGTATACATGTGACATGCTGGTGCGCTGCACCCACTAACTCGTCATCTCGCATTAGGTATATCTCCCAATGCTATCCCTTCCCCCTCCCCCCACCCCACAACAGTCCCCAGAGTGTGATATTCCCCTTCCTGTGTCCATGTGATCTCATTGTTCAATTCCCACCTATGAGTGAGAATATGCAGTGTTTGGTTTTTTGTCCTTGCGATAGTTTACTGAGAATGATGATTTCCAATTTCATCCATGTCCCTACAAAGGACATGAACTCATCATTTTTTATGGCTGCATAGTATTCCATGGTGTATATGTGCCACATTTTCTTAATCCAGTCTATCATTGTTGGACATTTGGGTTGGTTCCAAGTCTTTGCTATTGTGAATAATGCCGCAATAAACATACGTGTGCATGTGTCTTTATAGCAGCATGATTTATAGTCCTTTGGGTATATAGCCAGTAATGGGATGGCTGGCTCAAATGGTATTTCTAGTTCTGGATCCCTGAGGAAGCGCCACACTGACTTCCACAGTGGTTGAACTAGTTTACAGTCCCACCAACAGTGTAAAAGTGTTCCTATTTCTCCACATCCTCTCCAGCACCTGTTGTTTCCTGACTTTTTAATGATTGCCATTCTAACTGGTGTGAGATGGTATCTCATTGTGGTTTTGATCTGCATTTCTCTGATGGCCAGTGATGGTGAGCATTTTTTCATGTGTTTTTTGGCTGCATAAATGTCTTCTTTTGAGAAGTGTCTGTTCATGTCCTTCGCCCACTTTTTGATGGGGTTGTTTGTTTTTTTCTTGTAAATTTGTTTGAGTTCATTGTAGATTCTGGATATTAGCCCTTTGTCAGATGAGTAGGTTGCGAAAATTTTCTCCCATTTTGTAGGTTGCCTGTTCACCCTGATGGTAGTTTCTTTTGCTGTGCAGAAGCTCTTTAGTTTAATTAGATCCCATTTGTCAATTTTGTCTTCTGTTGCCATTGCTTTTGGTGTTTTAGACATGAAGTCTTTGCCCATGCCTATGTCCTGAATGGTAATGCCTAGGTTTTCTTCTAGGGTTTTTATGGTGTTAGGTCTAACGTTTAAGTCTTTAATCCATCTTGAATTGATTTTTGTGTAAGGTGTAAGGAAGGGATCCAGTTTCAGCTTTCTACATATGGCTAGCCAGTTTTCCCAGCACCATTTATTAAATAGGGAATCCTTTCCCCATTGCTTGTTTTTCTCAGGTTTGTCAAAGATCACATAGTTGTAGATATGCGGCGTTATTGCTGAGGGCTCTGTTCTGTTCCATTGATCTATATCTCTGTTTTGGTACCAGTACCATGCTGTTTTGGTTACTGTAGCCTTGTAGTATAGTTTGAAGTCAGGTAGCGTGATGCCTCCAGCTTTGTTCTTTTGGCTTAGGATTGACTTGGCGCTGCGGGCTCTTTTTTGGTTCCATATGAACTTTAAAGTAGTTTTTTCCAATTCTGTGAAGAAAGGCATTGGTAGCTTGATGGGAATGGCATTGAATCTGTAAATTACCTTGGGCAGTATGGCCATTTTCACGATATTGATTCTTCCTACCCATGAGCATGGAATGTTCTTCCATTTGTTTGTATCCTCTTTTATTTCCTTGAGCAGTGGTTTGGAGTTCTCCTTGAGGAGGTCCTTCACATCCCTTGTAAGTTGGATTCCTAGGTATTTTATTCTCTCTGAAGCAATTGTGAATGGGAGTTCACTCATGATTTGGCTCTGTGTTTGTCTGTTGTTGGTGTATAAGAATGCTTGTGATTTTTGTACATTGATTTTGTATCCTGAGACTTTGCTGAAGTTGCTTATCAGCTTGAGGAGATTTTGGGCTGAGACAGTGGGATTTTCTAGATATACAATCATGTCATCTGCAAACAGGGACAATTCGACTTCCTCTTTTCCTAATTGAATACCCTTTATTTCCTTCTCCCGCCTAATTGCCCTGGCCAGAACTTCCAAAACTATGTTGAATGGGAGTGGTGAGAGAGGGCATCCCTGTCTTGTGCCAGTTTTCAAAGGGAATGCTTCCAGTTTTTGCCCATTCAGTATGATATTGGCTGTGGGTTTGTCATAGATAGCTCTTATTATTTTGAGATATGTCCCATCAATACCTAATTTCTTGAGAGTTTTTAGCATGAAGGGTTGTTGAATTTTGTCAAAGGCTTCTTCTGCATCTATTGAGATAAGCATGTGGTTTTTATCTTTGGCTCTGTTTATATGCTGGATTACATTTATTGATTTGCGTATATTGAACCAGCCTTGCATCCCAGGGATGAAGCCCACTTGATCATGGTGGATAAGCTTTTTGATGTGCTGCTGGATTCGTTTTGCCAGTATTTTATTGAGGATTTTTGCATCGATGTTCATCAGAGACACTGGTCTAAAATTCTCTTTTTTTGTTATGACTCTGCCAGGCTTTGGTCTCAGGATGATGCTGGCCTCATAAAATGAGTTAGGGAGGATTCCCTCTTTTTCTATTGATTGGAATAGTTTCAGAAGGAATGGTACCAGCTCCTCTTTGTTCCTCTGTTAGAATTCGGCTGTGAATCCTTCTGGTCCTGGACTTTTTTTGGTTGGTAGGCTATTAATTATTGCCTCAATTTCAGGGCCTATTATTGTTCTATTCAGGGATTCAACTTCTTCCTGGTTTAGTCTTGGGAGGGTGTATGTGTCCAGGAATTTATCCATTTCTTCTAGATTTTCTAGTTTATTTGCATAGAGGTGTTTGTAGTATTCTCTGATGGTAGTTTGTATCTCTGTGGGATGGGTGGTGATATCCCCTTTATCATTTTTTATTGCGTCTATTTGATTCCTCTCTCTTTTTTTCTTTATTAGTCTTGCTAGCAGACTATCAAGTTTGTTGATCCTTTCAAAAAACCAGCTCCTGGATTCATTAATTTTTTGAAGGGTTTTTTGTGTCTCTATCTCCTTCAGTTCTGCTCTGATCTTAGTTATTTCTTGCCTTCTGCTAGCTTTTGAATGTGTGCTCTTGCTTCTCTAGTTCTTTTAATTGTGATGTTAAGGTGTCAATTTTAGATCTTTCCTGCTTTCTCTTGTGGGCATTTAGTGCTATAAATTTCCCTCTACACACTGCCTTAAATGTGTCCCAGAGATTCTGGTATGTTGTGCCTTTGTTCTCGTTGGTTTCAAAGAACATCTTTATTTCTGCCTTCATTTTGTTATGTACCCAGTAGTCATTCAGGAGCAGGTTGTTCAGTTTCCATGGAGTTGAGCGGTTTTGAGTGAGTTTCTTAATCCTGAGTTCTAGTTTGATTGCACTGTGGTCTGAGAGACAGTTTGTTATAATTTCTGTTCTTTTACCTTTGCTGAGGAGAGCTTTACTTCCAAGTATGTGGTCAATTTTGGAATAGGTGTGGTGTGGTGCTGAAAAAAATGTATATTCTGTTGACTTGGGGTGGAGAGTTCTGTAGATGTCTATTAGGTCTGCTTGGTGCAGAGCTGAGTTCAATTCCTGGGTATCCTTGTTGACTTTCTGTCTCATTGACCTGTCTAATGTTGACAGTGGGGTGTTAAAGTCTCCCATTATTAATGTGTGGGAGTCTAAGTCTCTTTGTAGGTCACTCTGGACTTGCTTTATGAATCTTGGTGCTCCTGTATTGGGTGCATATATATTTAGGATAGTTAGCTCTTCTTGTTGAATTGATCCCTTTACCATTATGTAATGGCCTTCTTTGTCTCTTTTGATCTTTGTTGGTTTAAAGTCTGTTTTATCAGAGACTAGGATTGCAACCCCTGCCTTCTTTTGTTTTCCATTTGCTTGGTAGATCTTCCTCCATCCTTTTATTTTGAGCCTATATGTGTCTCTGCACGTGAGATGGGTTTCCTGAATACAGCACACTGATGGGTCTTGACTCTTTATCCAATTTGCCAGTCTGTGTCTTTTAACTGGAGCATTTAGTCCATTTACATTTAAAGTTAATATTGTTATGTGTGAATCTGATCCTGTCATTATGATGTTAGCTGGTTATTTTGCTCGTTAGTTGATGCAGTTTCTTCCTAGCGTCGATGGTCTTTACATTTTGGCATGATTTTGCAGCAGCTGGTATCAGTTGTTCCTTTCCATATTTAGTGCTTCCTTCAGGAGCTCTTTTAGGGCAGGCCTGGTGGTGACAAAATCTCTCAGCATTTGCTTGTCTGTAAAGTATTTTATTTCCCCTTTGCTTATGAAGCTTAGTTTGGCTGGATATGAAATTCTGGGTTGAAAATTCTTTTCTTTAAGAATGTTGAATATTGGCCCCCACTCTCTTCTGGCTTGTAGGGTTTCTGATGAGAGATCCGCTGTTAGTCTGATGGGCTTCCCTTTGAGGGTAACCCGACCTTTCTCTCTGGCTGCCCTTAACATTTTTTCCTTCATTTCAACTTTGGTGAATCTAACAATTATGTGTCTTGGAGTTGCTCTTCTCGAGGAGTATCTTTGTGGCGTTCTCTGTATTTCCTGAATCTGAACATTGGCCTGCCTTGCTAGATTGGGGAAGTTCTCCTGGATAATATCCTGCAGAGTGTTTTCCAACTTGGTTCCATTCTCCCCATCACTTTCAGGTACACCAATCAGACGTAGATTTGGTCTTTTCACATAGTCCCATATTTCTTGGAGGCTTTGCTCATTTCTTTTTATTCTTTTTTCTCTAAACTTCCCTTCTCTCTTCATTTCATTCATTTCATCTTCCATTGCTGATACCCTTTCTTCCAGTTGATCGCATCGGCTCCTGAGGCTTCTGCATTCTTCACGTAGTTCTCGAGCCTTGGTTTTCAGCTCCATCAGCTCCTTTAATCACTTCTCTGTATTGGTTATTCTAGTTATACATTCTTCTAAATTTTTTTCAACGTTTTCAACTTCTTTGCCTTTGGTTTGAATGTCCTCCCATAGCTCAGAGTAATTTGATCGTCTGAAGCCTTCTTCTCTCAACTCGTCAAAGTCATTCTCCATCCAGCTTTGTTCCGTTGCTGGTGAGGAACGGCATTCCTTTGGAGGAGGAGAGGCGCTCTGCTTTTTAGAGTTTCCAGCTTTCTGTTCTGTTTTTTCCCGATCTTTGTGGTTTTATCTACTTTTGGTCTTTGATGATGGTGATGTACAGATGGGTTTTTGGTGTGGATGTCCTTTCTGTTTGCTAGTTTTCCTTCTAACAGACAGGACCCTCAGCTGCAGGTCTGTTGGAATACCCTGCCGTGTGAGGTGTCAGTGTGCCCCTGCTGGGGGGTGCCTCCCAGTTAGGTTGCTCAGGGGGTCAGGGGTCAGGGACCCACTTGAGGAGGCAGTCTGCCCGTTCTCAGATCTCAAGCTGCGTGCTGGGAGAACCACTGCTCTCTTCAAAGCTGTCAGACAGGGACATTTAAGTCTGCAGAGGTTACTGCTGTCTTTTTGTTTGTCTGTGCCCTGCCCCCAGAGGTGGAGCCTACAGAGGCAGGCAGGCCTCCTTGAGCTGTGGTGGGCTCCACCCAGTTCGAGCTTCCAGGCTGCTTTGTTTACCTAATCAAGCCTGGGCAGTGGCGGGCGCCCCTCCCCCAGCCTCGCTGCCGCCTTGTAGTTTGATCTCAGACTGCTGTGCTAGCAATCAGCGAGACTCCGTGGGCGTAGGACCCTCCTAGCCAGGTGCGGGATATAATCTTGTGGTGCACCGTGTTTTAAGCCCGTTGGAAAAGCGCAGTATTCGGGTGGGAGTGACCCGATTTTCCGGGTGCCGTCTGTCACCCCTTTCTTTGACTAGGAAAGGTAACTCCCTGACCCCTTGCGCTTCCCGAGTGAGGCAATGCCTCACCCTGCTTTGGCTCGCGCACGGTGCGCGCACCCACTGACCTGTGCCCACTGTCTGGCACTCCCTAGTGAGATGAACCCGGTACCTCAGATGGAAATGCAGAAATCACCCGTCTTCTGCGTCGCTCACGCTGGGAGCTGTAGACCGGAGCTGTTCCTATTCGGCCATCTTGGCTCCTCAGGCAACCTCTTTTCTTTATAAATTACTCAATCTCGGGTATTTCTTCATAGCAGCATGAGAATGGACTAATACAAAGTCCTTTGGCTGGAGGCAACAGGAAAAATTCTGACTATCATTTCCCATGCTACCCCTCACCTTTCAAATCCTTTACAATATGGGGAGCAGGAGAAAGGCAGATCTTACTTGAGAGGACCGTGAGGGGAGCAAGGTCGAGAGTCCACATGGAACCCCAAAAACTAGGAGAGCTAGAACAAGGACATTTGGTAAGAAGCTCGTGGTTGGAGGTGTACGGGAGATTTCTTGGGATGGGACCTCCAGTAAAAGAGTGGGCAACAAGAGCAGCAGGCTTGAATTAGAGACGATAAATATGGCATTTAAATGAATGATTAGTAGACAAGGAATGAGTAAAGGGGCATGCATTTTGAGAGGCGGCCTAATATAACTACTCCTGGTACTTCAGACATGGGAATTTGTTCAAACTGATCTGTCCATATAACTTTTCAGCTAGATCGACTGCAAAATTGGTATTGTGTTTTCCAAATGATACAAGCTTGCACTACTTTTTAAAAAAAGGTATGCATACTTAAATTCTCTTTAAGATTTTGATTTTGTGTAATCCATTCCAGAATCTATGATAGTATAGTGGATTCAGAGTGCTTATTTATAATTCCAGAAATTTAAAAGTAATTTTAGAGACATGAAATTCAACTACAATGCAGAGGTTTACATACTTATTTTTCCGTTACTTCTTAAAAATAAGCAACTAGAAAGGTGCAGTCAGTTGACTGCTGTTCTAAAAAGTTGATAAGAAAATACATAAACAGTCTTCTAAGGTTGTTTTACATAATTCATTGAGATGGTGTACACAGTTTTAATTTTGTTTTCCCTTAGTTTACCATCAATATTTCTTTATCAATCTTACCTTGTTTTTTAGTCCCCTCTCCCATGTCTGTTTTGTAAAATAGTTGGAGCCACAAGATGGGTTTACAAAACTTCACTGGTTTTAAAGGTCAACATGTAAATGAACTAATTAGGTCAATGCAAATTACTATAGCACTTTCAGTTACAAACCTCACACCTTTTAAATTCTTTCTGAATTAAATAATGAGCCATATTGTTAACAGAACTAGCATAACATGAAAAAAGATATTAAATACTTAAGCGTCCTAGATAAACAGAAAACTAATTTGCAGATATTTTACAATGATAAAATAATGCATAAAATTAGAAGTATAAGATTTACACAGTACAATATTTACAAAATGGAAATGTAACCTTAGCACTGAGGAGAACAGGAAATTATAAAATGAAATTGAAAGGAATCAAGGGAATGGAACCAACTCTTCATTTGTCTCAAAAGAAATTTCTCTTTTGGCTTTCTAAAAACCTGTTTATTAAAACAACACATGAACAGACAATAAACTAAACTAAAACAACCCCAAACGAAACAAAGATTTGTATTATCTGAAGTACTTCAATTAATTAGAAATTTTGGGATTTCATTGCATTTATATCTATTTATCTTAAATAGCTAAATAGATCTATATATTAGCCATATCTACATATATGCCAGCATATATCTGTATGTAGATGTACCTGAGCTATATATTAGTTTAAGGATAGCTAATAAAACAACAATTCTTCCTCTTTTGCACCTGCGGTTTGAATGACTGTTATATTGTTATCCTGCTATATCTAGTCAGGAATTCCTTAATTACTTACTTAGATTCTTAAAATATTTCCAGGGACGGATATCAAATGTAACTATTTGCAACTCAATGGGTGGATTAAAAACCATTTTTAACATTTCTTTTTGCAAAACATTTTTATGTTTACAAGGTAAATGGAGTAAATAGAATACTAATGCTAATTTCTATTTCTGGAATTATATATAAGTTATTGAACAAATCCATTCTCAGCCTTGTATCAAAACTTAAAATAGGAAACCCTTTTATTCTCTTTCACTGCTTTGAGCATTTCAAAGACACCAGATGCCTCAGTTCTGAAAATAATAAATACTTAAATTTTTTATTTTGATATGCAAATGAATTGTTCTGTAAAAAATATAATAAAACTGACGTAATTTACTTCATCATATCTAATCATAATATGAGTTCTCTGTAGAAGTTATTTCTTTTAAAATCTTAAGTATTTTTATTTTTAAAATAGTAAAATTTAAAAAAGAATAACAAATGAGAGACTAACTTATAATGTATTAATTCATGCAACAGCAGCTGCCTCTTTTGCTATTAGAGTGTGCTTATGTTCTCAGTTTGGGTGAGAGAGCTCATGTGAGCACACTTCTCTTGTAAAAGAGACAGCTGCTGCTGCATGTATTAATACATATCAAATGGCTCCAGAGTAAACACAATGCTATAAATTACTTGCCCTCTCTGCTGACGTCATAAACCCTGAGACTGCAGGAGAGTTGATGAGATTCTTTTCCTTTGATGTGACATCATTGCAATAGCAGAGATGGGGAGGGAATTTCATCATCTTGTTTTTGCTTATTGGCCTACACAGGTCATCCGTAATACTATTCATTCTTCTTAGTTGATTCACAGAAAGGGTACAGCTGTCTTATTTTAAAAAGTTCAGTTGGTGTATTTTAAGCTTTTCTTCTTTTCCTTTGCTGATAATTTCTCTGGTCCTAGGTAGGTGCTGATACTAACAGAATTTCCAGTGCCCAATCACAGCTGGCTTATCCTCTGAGAAACTGTGATGCAGACGGCAAGACAGATATATTTTTAAAAAGGAAGCAGTAGGTGAAGTAATTGATGACATTGGGTTAATAATTTAGCAAGACCTTCCTATGTAAGTCTAAGGAATGCAGGCAAACATGTCCTGTAGCTATGTTATTAACCATATTAATAACTTACATTTATGTTGTTTACTGTATGAAATATACTGTTTTTGACACCTATACAAAATTATGCAAGTTTATCATAGTATCTATATTCACAGATAATTTAAGAAACATTTAAAGCTCGCAAAAGAATATTTTTCATTTATTAAGAACAAACACGTCAAATCTTAGAATGAAGAAACTTTTTCAGACACTTTGCATTTTCATTCCTCTTTAATAAAAACCTCTTTTTGAAGTTCTTTTATCATAGGAATTTTAATACATATGCTTAACAAAATAAGTAATAATTACTTAATAAAATAAGTCATAAAATTTACTTAACAAAATAAGTAAATTCACCATTCTATAAAAGTGAATACATTTATTAGTTAATTTTTTTATATTATTATACTTTAAGTTCTAGGGTACATGTGCACAATGTGCAGGTTTGTTACATATGTATACATGTGCCATGTTGGTGTGCTGCACCCATGAACTTGTCATTTACATTAGGTATTTCTCCTAATGCTATCCCTCCCCCCTCCTCCCACCCCAAGACAGGCCCCAGTGTGTGATGTTCCCCTTACTGTGTCCAAGTATTCTCATTGTTCAATTCCCACCTATGAGTGAGAACATGCAGTGTTTGTTTTTTTGTCCTTGCAATACTTTGCTGAGAATGATGGTTTCCAGCTTCATCCATGTCCCTACAAAGGACATGAACTCATCCTTTTTTATGGCTGCATAGTATTCCATGGTGTATGTGTGCCACATTTTCTTAATCCAGTCTATCACTGATGGACATTTGGGTTGGTTCCAAGTCTTTGCTATTGTGAATAGTGCTGCAATAAATGTGTGTGTGCACGTGTCTTTATAGCAGCATGATTTATAATCCTTTGGGTATATACCCAGTAATGGGATGGCTGGGTCAAATGGTATTTCTAGTTCTAGATCCCTGAGGAATCACCACACTGACTTCCACAGTGGTTGAACTAGTTTACAGTCCCATCAACAGTGTAAAATGTTCCTATTTCTCCACATCCTCTCTAGCACCTGTTGTTTCCTGACTTTTTAATGATCGCCATTCTAACTGGTGTGAGATGGTATCTCATTGTGGTTTTGATTTGCATTTCTCTGATGGCCAGTGATGATGAACATTTTTTCATGTGTCTGTTGGCTGCATAAATGTCTTCTTTTGAGAAGTGTCTGTTCATATCCTTTGCCCACTTTTTGATGAGGTTGTTTGTTTTTTTCTTGTAAATTTGTTTGAGTTCTTTGTAGATTCTGGATATTAGCCCTTTGTCAGAAGATTGCAAAAATTTTCTCCCATTCTGTAGGTTGCCTGTTTACCCTGATGATAGTTTCTTTTGCTGCACAGAAGCTCTTTAGTTTAATTAGATCCCATTTGTCAATTTTGGCTTATTAGTTAATCTTAAGGTGTTTGTAGAACTAGATAAAGAAGGTTGTTAGTATCTGACTTCTTTCAGTTAATCAGGATTGGGAGTTCTAATTGGCTTAGGAGAAATTTTGTATCCTGGTAACCTCAGGACATCCTAGATACACCAAAGCTTATGGCTCAAGGAGAAACTATTATTAAAGATAAAAAGGATTATCTAATTTGAAATAATTTCTACACCTCTATAGCCTCCAGAAGTTTTTTCTTTCTTCCTTTTCTTCTCTTTTTTCTTTATTTTTTAAAGCAATGAATAAATGAGAAAACATATCTTTGTTCTAACAGCCTAATTCCAAAGACATCCATCCTAATAGAATGTGAAAGGTCCTGTGTAAGACATTGCAATGCAGACCTGTAAATCTATAACTCGCATAGGTGTGAGACTCCACTACTAGAGATGAATGTAGACTCATTTTCTTTCTTTTTTTTTTTTTTTTTGAGACGGAGTCTCACTCTGTCGCCCAGGCTGGAGTGCAGTGGCGCGATCTTGGCTCACTGAAAGCTCCGCCTCCTAGGTTCACGCAATTCTCCCGCCTCAGCCTCCCGATTAGCTGGGACTACAGGCGCTTGCCACCACGCCCAGCTAATTTTTTTGTATTTTTAGTAGAGACGTGTTTTAGTAGAGACTGTGTTAGCCAGGATGGTCTCGATCTCCTGACCTCGTGATCCACCCACCTCGGCCCCCCAAAGTGTTGGGATTACAGGCGTGAGCCACCGCGCCCGGCCCCCGTTTTCTTAATAGCCAGGAGAAACCAGTGAATCCCTCACCCTAATTTCCTCTTGGAAATATTATACAGAAGCTTCCTTAGAGCTACAAACTTACTAATATTTGAACTCACCTAAACTGCCAGTGTCTTTAAGATTTTAGTATATTATTATTCAAGTGTTATGAAACACCATTTCAGACGTTATTTTCATTACATTTAGAGACAAAATTCCTTATTCATATTGAGTCAAGGTCAAATAACAAAAGGAATAATTTCTGATGCTTAGGATGAGACCCATCTCCTAAGAACATCTCCTAATCAGAAATGGACTTTAGAAATTATTTCATTCGACCACCTGTTTCTCATATGAGTAAACTGAGGTCCAGCAGAGTGAAATAATTTGGTAAAAAGGTTGAGCTATTCTTACTGAATATTCTCTCTCATTGTAATTTTTCTTATACTCCCAAGATTATTTATTGATTGTATTTATAATATTTGTTTATTATTCAAAAATTTAAAACTATGATAAGCTTAGCCTAGTCTTGATTAAAGAAAGAACGGCCATCAATCTCTGTGCTGGTTGATTTTGTTTTTGTTTTTTCGTCATTACTATGCAAGACAAGGTTATGTCCCATCTGCACCGAGAGACCCTGCATAAATAAATAAGCAGCCCTAACCCTAAAGGAGAATGCCTTCTATTACAAAGATATATTTAACCGTGCCAATTTATTTTAAAAAGTTCAGTTAGTAAGTCATTCACTAGCAAACCGATAATGAAATATGACTGTAACTCATCAAAAATGAGAATGACTCACAAAATAATGTATTCAAAAAGTTTGTGTTAGAAAATGGAAAAAAATAATTATTTTCAACTGAATCTTCACAAATTGACTCCCTTTTTTAAATTGATTATTGAATTGAAAGTATTTTCCAAGAAAAGTGTCTGATCTCTTTTTAAAAAATAAGAGATCAAATTCTAAATTCCATATTTATCCATCTGGAAATGTTAAGGACAGGTGAAATGGAGAAAGGCACAGTTTGGGAACAACCCACAGGAGGTATAGGAAGGCTATCAGAATTGTCAGGATAGTCCATGGCAATTTGGGTGCACAAACCTCAAAGTGTTTAGGATTTTTTTTTTTTTTTTAAACAGGTGGAAGCAGAATCCCTGGCTCCTGTAGGTATTGATGGTAGGGTAGAAAAGTTCTGTCCCTCCAAAGAGGCAGGTATTGTAAGAGAGGATTAAAAAGATTTCTGAGGAAAGGAAGATGTGGGGGTGGGGAATGTCACCCTGCATGGAAAGAAAAAAAATAAGCAAAAGAGAAAAGAGAGCCTGCCAGCTGTCCCGGTCTGTTTCATGGCCGTAGTCTCCCCAGTTGTTCCCTGGAGGCTCCAGTGAGAATCCCCAAAGAGACTGCTTTGCTCTTTTTCAAGAACTCTGTTCACCAAATGCCTGCTTCCTCTCAAAAGAGATAACATTTGGAATAAGGAAACTTGGGCAAGAAGAAATATTATGTACTTTAAGTGGGATTTAGGTGGATTCACCAAGATGTTTGGGAGATTAAAATAAACTGATAGTTATGTGAATACCCAGTGTCCCTGGAAATCCTGCATGTCTGGAAAATTATCTGCATCTCAATAAATTCCCATTATTGTGCGTAATACTGTTTTACAAGAAATATACTGATACTGTACGAAAAAATTTTATTTGGGAGTGGAACGTTTCCCTTGGCAATCCATTTATCTTGTCACCTAGTAGCAATGTGAATTTGTTAGTAGCTAGTCCCAAGTACAACTAAAATTACTAGATCTAGCAATTTCTAGACAAAAGGAATTGGCGAATATATACGTGAGAAAAACAAGATGGAACAAAAGCTCTCCTCTTCCCATAAAAGGGCTTGGAAGGATAATAAAGTTAATTTACTAAATTTACTTTACTAAATTTAGTTAATTTACTAAAGGTGTATATATATATATACACACAGTATATATATATATATATACACACACAGTATATATATATACACACACAGTATATATATATATACACACAGTATATATATACACACACAGCATATATACTATATATACTATATATATAGTATATATATACTATATATACTATATATACTATATATATACTATATATAGTATATATAATATATATACTATATATATACTATATATACTATATATATACATATATATACTATATATACTGTATATATACTATATATACTGTATATACTGTATATATACTATATATATACTGTATATACTGTATATATAGTATATATACTGTATATACTATATATAGTATATATACAGTATATACTGTATATATAGTATATATACTATATACAGTATATATAGTATATATATACTATATATACTATATAGTATATATATGTATAGATATAGTATATATATACAGTATATATATACACAGTATATATATATATACAGTATATATATACACACACACAGTATATATATATATACAGTATATATATACACACACACAGTATATATATATATACAGTATATATATATATACAGTATATATATACACACACACAGTATATATATATATATATATATATATATATATATATACACTGCTCTATACTAAGGGTAGCTGCATACTGCTCTTCTGGGACTACCTACACATTAGCAGCCCTTTTGTTAGCTCTGAGATTATTTATTATTGATTTGATTTCTACAGAAACCAATATTATAAAGTGCTGTGTCCATCAGGAATTGAATACTACTTACCATTACTCGTTGTACCTATGTTTAAAGTTGCTTCTATTATAGATTTTAAACTTCAAAATTTATATCACTACATGTGATATGAATATTTTCAGAAACAATGATTTTATTGGTCAAAGAGAGATAAGCATATACTCTTGTTGGTTAAAATGTTTACTTTCTTCTTGGTAATTGAACTATATAAAATATGTCTTTATTTAAATTTGGATTATAGGAACAAAGCAGCTTAGTGTAAATGAGAAATTAATTATAACACCCTAAAACAGAAAGTCCTTAACTTTAAGTTAAATTTTAAAATGCTCCTCTTACAAGATATTTAGGTCATATTAATGTGTTTTTTGGTGTCTTATATTTATCTTTACAGTTCTTATAGAAATTCTTGGGATTTCATATGGCAAAGCTTTCTTGTATTACCTAGTGAAGGTTTGAAGGTCCAAAATTTTCATTTGGCAATTCTCATTTCATAGCTGGGAAAACTGCAGTACCCAAAAGTTAAGTGAGTTCATCCAAGACATTCAATTACTGAACTCAGTACAGGAGGCCAAATCTTTAACTCTCAGTCACGTTCCGTAATCTAGCCTTGACAATCCTTGGGGAATTTTTTTCCTTGCTCTAGGAAGAATTAGTTACATACCTTTATTGAAGTTATCCAACTGTAATTTCGAGTTGGCTTCGATTTTGGAGATCTGTGGGTGGGCTTTGAAAGTTACTTTGTGTGTTCCCTTATAAATGGATTTGTTCAAGAGTAGCATGGGATAGCAGAAAGATCATGGGATTTAGATCTTTCTGTAGCTGGATTGGTTAGAATCCTGGTTTTGCATTTTATGAATTGTGTCATTGAGGGAAAGCTACTGAAATCCACCAAGGCTGTTTCCTCAACTGTAAAAACAGAGTAGCCATGCCAAACTCATATCATAGAAGGTATATGATTCACCTGCTATGCTGAATGCTTAATTGTTGTTTCTTTCCTTCTCTATTGAACTTTTCATAGTCAAGTCTTAGGTATCCTCTAGGCTGGGAGTCATCTGGGGGCCACAAGTAAAGGTAGTTAACCCAAATCCCAGGGCATACGCTATACAATGGCTTCATTTTGGACATATCCCAACTAGCTTAGCTGGCCCTATGAACTCTTTTTTTTTTTTTTTTTTCAAATTTAGGATTTTTTTGTTACTGGTTGACTGGATTAACACTGCTTTATCAGGACACACACATATCTGACTATTTGTGCCATTAGTGGTAGTTGATGAACATTGCCTAGATTCCTTAATTCATTAAGGGCTGAAAAGTGAGGATATTCTAATTCTCTTGTTTCTTCTTCATTTTTTAGCCTATTAACTCTTAAATCACCTACTGGTGCATTAAGATTTCATATTTTGTGGTTAAAAACAGTATCCCAAGTTACCTTTCTGCTTGGCCTATTTTAAGTGTATCTGCTTACAGTCTTTGAAATAAAGCCGATCAAAACTCAAACAGTGACTTGAATATCAGTTCTTTGATATGGAAGATAGATGGTGAAAATCACCAGAGAATTATGAAGAGAGTTTTGAATGGGCTACAGCCATAGTAGCCTACTCTGTACAATTAATTGCACATGTTATTATTAATATATTTTTCAAATATATGTAGAAGTGGATGTAATTAATAAAATATAATTTAATAGTGCTACGAAACTTATACAGCATTTTGTCTTTGTTTTATCTCAGCAGATACAAAAAGAAAAATTACTGTCATGTGATGTGTGATCCATGATACCGTCATAGTTTTGTTGTAAGTAGTTTCTTTTGTTGAAAAAGTGTGGGATCCTTGGTGCAACAGAGAGATATTGGGTCTGCGATTTAACAGAGGACGGTTTTGAGTCCTGACCTAGCCACTTATAAGCGATGTGACCTTCATCAACCTTTCTTCTTCCCTTCCTACACATTTTTTCCTTATTAGGGGGCATAGCAAAATAAGTGTTTTATTCTGATTTATATCATTAGTATGTATAGTATATGAGAATATCTCGTTGTTTATAAGTAAATTATCAAAATGGTCTTGCCCAAATACCGAGACAAGCTTTATTTGGGACTGAAAAATTAAACCAAACAAGTTAAATGATTTTGAAAAATTACTTGTGCATTATTTTTTAACATTTAGGAGACTTTTTAATCAAACACCCACAATGAGCTAGGCTGTTAGCATCGAAGGGTAAATTGCTACTTTAAGGAAATTCTAGCATTTTAAACACATAATTACAAAATAATTGTTTCAATTCAAATTAATTTTTCATGCCTGAATCAAACTTTCTCCTATCCTTGCACAGGGGCCCCCTCACTATATTCCATATGAGCATGCCATCCACAGATAGGCCAGACTTTGTCAATGACTTATATCAACATAAATATCACTTGTTTACATTTCTATATTGCAGTAAATATGACTTTCTAATGTCTCTACTTAAAAATCTTCATGGCTGAGTCTAAACATTGTGATCTAATAGTTATTATTTCAAATTTATAGTGCTGGGACAATTGAAGAATTTTGAGAAACTATTACCCCTTTGACATTCAGATACTGAAGCCTTAAACATCTCAAGTGCTCCCAGCACTTTACTTATATTAACTCCATTAGAACTCATGACAACTCCCATGAGGCAGATACTTCTTATTACCTCCATCTTACAGATGAGAACACTTTAGCACAGAATGATTAATAACCTGGCCAAGGACAGACAGCTTCTAGGTGCTTCAGTCAGGGTTTCATTCAGTTTAGTTGCTGAGTCCATACTTTTAACTGCAGTGTTCCTGTATCTTGAACACTTATAATTGGCCAGATCGTAGGGGCTCTAGGTTCATTAGTAATAAAAGACCCCATCCCCAGAATGAACCAGTTGATGAATGGAAAAGCTGAGCATCTAAGCAAATTCTGAATTAAGAAATAACTTGAATTTAGCCCCTCCCCCACCTCCTCTGTGTGTGTATGTGTGTGTGTGTGTGTGTGTGTGTGTGTGTGTGTTTAATCATAGCTTTATTGGATATCATTCACATGCCATAAAATTTACCCTTTGCAAATCTACAATTTGGTGGTTTTCATAATATTCACAGAGTTGCTCAACCCTTACAGTGATCTAACTTTAGAATATTTTCATCACCCCCAAAAGAAACTCAATACCCATTAGAGTCATTCCTGTTTCCCTTTCCATCTTGCCCCTGTAAACCACTGATCTACTTTCTGTTTGTATGGATTTGCCTATTCTGGATGTTTCATATAAATGGAATCATACAATATGTGTTTTTTTCTGTGTGTGTGTGTGTGTTTCTGGATTTATTTACTTTAGTATAATGTATTCAGGGTTCATCTATGTTGTAGCATGTATCAGTACTTCACTTCTTTTTATTGTTGAATAATATTTTATAATATAAATATACTACATTTTGTTTACACATTCATCAATTGATAGACATTTGGGTTGTTTCCACTTTTTAGCTATTCTGAATAATGCTGCTATGAACATTTGTGCACAAATTTTTGTGTGGAAATATGTTTGCATTTATCTTGGGTGTATACCTAGGAGTAGAATTTCTGGGTCATACGATAACTCCATGTTGAACTTTTTGAGGAATTGTCAAAAATTCCACAGCATCTACATTCCCACCAGCAGTTTCTGAGGGTTCCAGTTTCTCTACATTCTTACCAACACTTGTTATTACTCTTATGTTTGATTGGACTCAAACTAGTGATGTGAAGGGGTATTGCATTGTGATTTTTGTTGTGGATTTTTCTGATGACAAATGATGTTGAGGATCCTTTTATGTGCTTATTGGCCATTTGTGTATCTTCTCTCCATTCAAAAGTCCACTTAAATCTTTTACCCATGTTTTAACTGTTTTTTTTCTTTTTTTTTCTGTTGAGTTGTGTTCTTTACTTATTGTGATTTGTAATATTTTCTTCTATTTTATAGTTTATATTTTAATTTCCTTGATGATAGGTCTTCGACATGCAAAAGTTTTTAATTTGATAAGGTCAAACTTATTTTTTTCTTTTTTGGCTTGTGCTTTTGTTGTTTTATCTAAGAAACCATTGTCTTACTCAAGTTCACTAAGATTTGCTTCAATGTTTCCTCCTAAGAGTTTTAGAGTTTTAGCTCTAACATTTAAAATGTGTGGGTTTTTAAAAATAATATTGAGTTTCTAAATTTTTAATAGAAGCACACATCTTTTAGGTCATTTTCATTCTCAATAGTCAAGGACCAGGGTATTTCTAATAACTACTTTGTCCCTTAAGGTTACAGTACTTTTCTAAGTTATTTTAATGTAGTCTTGAATGGAGCTTCAAATTTTTGTGATGTGGTAAGTATTGTTCCATCCATTTTTCTTTTCTAGAAGATAAGAAGGGCACAGCTAATTGGAATAAGTCCCATACTTTTGACTGGCTTATAACCATTTCCCATTGTAAGGTTTTCTGGGTTCTGCATCTTCATTTACTTTTAAACGTTGAGAGAGGTAAACGTTAGCAGATGTTTCTGTGATGCCTGTTGCTTGCAATAGGCATGCCTCGTGATGCTTGACATATCGAACGCCACTGGAGTCTCTGCAGGTACATTGGAATACCTGTCACTATTAGTTGAGGCTGATAGAAAGGTTAACAAATTATAACACTAACCATTTTCTCATGTTTAAATTAAATCCTTTTGAACATATCATTTAGAGTTGTCCTTACCAATAATTAGCTGTATGAAAGTGTGAATGTTTCGAAAGCTGTTTTGTATGGGGTCAAAAAGACCATGCTGACTCAGTTTTGCATTCTCAGCCTTAATTTCTCTTTGTCAGCCTATTTTGGTCATTTGTTCAAACGTTTACTTGTTATGAGAACTGGGGAAATGGCATAGGACCTTATTGTTTACTTTGAAGACTAGTGCTTGGGTGTAACCCTGACTGATTGGTTGTCCTTTGACACTCAGATTTTCCATCTGTAATATGATAATTCCCTTTTCTTTTTTACTCTGATGACATTATATAAAGAATATATAAATTTAGAATGTCATTGTTTCTAATGATATTTCCAAATAACAGTTTCCTTCTTCAAGCAAATACTTATGTTATATATAGTATTATTCCATTTTGTTCCCACGCTAATTGCTTTGGAATTTTTCTAAAATAGAAGGCATTTTATTTATTTTCATAGTTTTAAAATGATGTTAATTTTGATTGTGAGTGTTCTAGTCTGGACCTCTAAAATATAATTCATTTAGGATATAGAAAATAATATCAAATTTTTTTTTAGTATTACCGAATACCTGAAAATATGACAAGAAATGGATGTAACTTTATGTTCTGTCTCCCACAGTATAGCTCAAACATATGTCTTAGCACTGTTCAGTTCTGTTTAAAGCACTTTTTAAGTAATAGTCATTCTCTTAAGTGAGCATTCTGTAGAATAATAGAAGAGAGTGTCAATGAATTATACTTATTAAGCCTGACATAACATTCATAATCTATATTAAAATATACATTATTAGAAAGGATTTTTATAAATTTAAAATATTAGGTCTGAAAGCCAATGATTATTCTTAATTTCTATAATTATTTCAGAATTTCTTAGCAATAATGACTTTCTTCAGTGAAATATAAAAATAATCATATACGCGATATCAAATCAAGAGTAGTTTTCCTCTTCCTCATCATTTCAGAATAAAGATTTCTACATTTTTTTCTTCTAAAGTCAGAAAATTCAAATGAGGTACATACAACTTGGTTGCCTCATAATTTGCAATGGAAAGCAGGATTATCTCAATATATTTTTAACCAGGGTGGTAGCAGACATATGAATTCCAGTCTAGAAACCTGCTGTATGTTCCACTATATTCCGTCCGGGATGTATAAAAGTAAGCCTTTTTTTAGTATCTCCCAACCCCCCACAGGATGGTAATTGCAATGTACATAAAACCTGTCAAAGCTCCAATTTCCAATATTCTAATGAATATCAAAAGAGTCCAATATTTCTGACTTTGACAAATTGCAGATGAGGTTTTATTCATTAAGAGGGGCTGCTAATGTTTATTTAAATGCAATTTACTGTTGCATTATTGATTAGCTACTGCAAAATTATCTTACAAGGAGCACGTGTGGCAAGAAGATTTCAGGTTGAGAGCGGATTTATCTAGGGAAGGCCTGTAGGCTTGATTTAGGCCCCAGGACATGAGAGTTTTAATTTATCTGGAAAGAAAGGCCTGGTGGAAGGTTTGCTTTGTTTGCGTTTAGACAGCAGATGAAAGGGGTTTTGATGTTGAGCTGGGAGAAAATGGCTGCCACTCTTGTTATTCACGCAGAGAATTCAGCAAAAGAAAAAAATCTATTACTCAGGCAAGATAAAACAAGCCTTTTCTTACCCTCAAATCATTTTTTGAATGAAATATGTGGCTCTTGTTATCTTCCAAAGAAGAAATAAAATTTTCAAAATGCTGTTATCTAAAATCTTTAAAAATTTTTTTCATGATGCATTTGTTACTAAATATTCACTTTCGATTGTGGTTCTACATCTTTTGGTGGGGTCATTGTGTCTGAAGTATCTTAAGACGGGAATGTAACTTAATAAAAGAACCAATACGAGACAAATATTTTAGTGAAAAGTGAACAAACAGACCTTTTATATGCTCTTTTTGAAAAGTGGTAACAGAACCAGTATTTAGGTAGAAAGTCTGTTAGACACACTAATAATACATTATTGATTCTGTGAGGTAGACATATTTGCCCTAAAAGGTAAGGCTTTTTCGTGCTGATTTATTTTAGCTTAATCACTATGAATATATTAATGGGTAAGACAAAGCCATTAGGATTGCAGTAGTAATCTTCATGTAACTAATAGCAGCGTATTTCTATGCATATAGACAGAAGGATCACAATCATATCAAAATGTTATTTAAAATGAAGAAAATGAGTACCAAGAAAATTCATGAAGTTTGTAGAGGAAAATACTCATTTTATAGTTTTTGTGTATATTAAGAAAACAACAGAAGTGTCTTATAATTTTTTGCCCAGACAACTGATGGGTTTATTCTAAGTAAGTAAAGAGATTTTGTTTATTCAACTCTCTCTATATCAAGGGTGGAGAACAAGTTTATATAGATAATTTGAGGACTTATGATTTTTTTTATTGTGTGAAACTGAGAAATGCATATGGTGAGAAATGATGTTTAAAAACTCATAACTTCAATATACTGGAGGGCAACTATCAGTTTGGTATTCCTAAGAATCCCACAATAGTTACTTTGAATGTGTGTCAACCAGCCACAGGAATTTGGACAGTGTCTCAATTGATCAGTAACATGTATGAATTGAATTTCAATATGTGATAATGTGATACCTAAATCTGGACTCTGAAATGATATCATTCAGAAGACATTTCAGCTAGTTTATTATTCTGCACAAATAAAATTCATAGGCAGCATTCTGTGTTGAAAAAGAAGCAGAAAAGAACTTTTTCTCTGTGATTTCGGGCCACAAATGAGAGTGACAGCAACAAGAATTACGTTTTCCTTTGGGGTTAATACCACTAGAGACACAGTGATGATGACTGAGTATCAGTTCTGACAATCTGAAGGTTAATTACTTACCTCATATTTTGGATCTGCAAGGATAGGATACTGCTTTGCATTTGTTTACAGAAGTCTGAAGTATTCACTGTTTTTTAAACTTCAACTCATAGTAATGGAACACTATTAACTTCACACGTCTTTTTCTTTTTATCTGCAATTCTTAGTTTTGATTTCCCTTTTAGATAGCTTTCTCCTCTGTTCTTTCTCAAGGAGGCTCTTGCTATTTTCCTCTTCATTCTCAGTTCTTGGCAAACAGCACAGCACTCCAACTCAGAAGAAGAGCAATTAAAAAGTAAAGCTAGATGTTACACAGTCCCCTTCTAGATACATGAATATGTTGTTCTGTTAGAAGCATTTGAAAATTGTGATTTGCTCTTCCAACATGAAACTTGGGGCAGATTTGGCCTACTAAGTAAAACAAGAGGTTTATCTTTGTGATAAAAGGGTTACAGAGGTACCCAGAGGGGTGAAAACATTTGAATTTCTTGAGATGGTATCATTGTGAGTTATTTATTTTTTCAATTGTTGTTTTATATTAATTTATTTAATTAATGTGATCACGATCTAGTTTGTATCATATAGAACAATGAAAAGAAAGTAAAATAAAGATTTCTTGGAGGTAAGGGTTAAAAAGTTACATATGCATACAGTGGTCATTACTTGGATGATAGACTATTGGACTAGAAGCTCAAAACCCACCATTATGCAATACATCCATGTAACAAACTTGCATATATACCACTGAATCTAAAATAAAATAAAATTTAAAAAGAAAAAAATTATTTAAGATAGTATTAATAAAATATGGTATATTGAATTATACTAGCTTTATTTAAAAAGGATAAATGTGGTGGTGGCTGTAACTATGTTATCTGGATTGACATTTCACTTTTTTAAGCTCTCTGAAATTTTATATATGAAAGTGCTTTACGTGGGAAAAAATGGAAAGGAAACACCAAAACAAGAATTAAAGGAGAAAATTTGGCAGCTGTAAGAAGCATTAATTAATGTGCTCATAGCCTAAAATAAATAAAAATATGATAAGTGAGAACTAGCAAGTGAATTTAAGAAATAAAATCTATTTGCTCATTGATTAACTGATATATTGATTCATTTATTTATTTAACATATGTCTACCACTGAGCTCCTACCAAGTGTCAAGACTATTCTACGTGTAGGCATCTGCAATAATAAAACATTTATTCTAGGTGAGGAGATAGATGGTGAGTGAATGTCAAGGACTGGGTTGCAAATAGGTGATTTTTAAAAATTCCTCTCAGTGCAATGCTGAAACATCTATTATTTCCCTTTTGTTTTCTCCTGAGCATATTTTGGCAAAAGCTCAGCCATATTGCCATCTTTTGCCATTTATTTACTTGAATTTCATATATTTAGATTGATTGATGACTTTTATCTGCCTAGAACTTGGAGAAACATTTTGCAGTATTTTTTTTTGTGTGTGATGTAACCCAAAATTTAGGATGAACAGCGGTGATTATTAAACAAATTCACCTTTAAATGCAGTTACCCTTTACTCCCTTTTTAAAAGGCTTCTGAGTCAAAAATCTCTAGTAGGAGGTGGTTACCAGAGGCTTGGTGGTTAGGGAAAAGGGGGAGAGGGGGATGTGTTGGTCAAAGGATACATAATTACAGTTAGGAGGAATAAATTCAAGAGCTCTATTGTACAGCAAGGTGACTATAGTCGATGACTGTATTCTTCAAAAACTGAAAAGAAAGGATAAGTGTTCTCATCACAAAATAATAAATATTTGAGGTAATACATTTGTTAATTAGCTATATTTAACTATTCCATAATGTATATATACATTGAAACATCATGTTGTACATGATAAAAACATACATGGTATATGTCAATTAAAAAAATTAAAAAGTCTGTAGTGGCAAAGTTACTTTTTCCGTAAAGGATAATGGAGATGTTGAACTGAAAGAAATAGTCACCTTTTCTGAATGAAATAGAATTTTTAGAATCCATATGATTTTGAAAATTAAAAATGGGTGAAATGGAGACTGGATATTCTACATTTCTTGGCTTGAGCTAATGACCCATATTTTTACTTCTGAAATTGAATATGAAGAGATTTCAACACAGTATCTAATGCACAATAAAAGCCGTATAGCCAAATTCACAGCACTTATTTTCATGTATATTTTCAGCACTTATTTTCAGCTATGTCTAATTTCTTAATGTTTTTGATAAAAAGGTTTGGAGAGATGCTCAGAGAGGTGAAAACCTTTGGATTTCTTGAGTTTATATCTCTGTGAGTGATTTATACTTTCTATTATTTCTATATTTCTATTTATTCAATTAATGTGATCACTATGTAGTTTGTATCAAACTGAATGATCATAATGAACTTTTTCATAATTCTCCATTGAAGTGTCTCTTTTTAGTTTTCACAATCAGGTCTGTTGCTATCTTTTCAGAGCTTAGGGCAGGAATACAAATGGAGACCTCCATACCATCTAACCTAATATTTGAAATTTGTAAGTCAAGCTAACAAGTCATAAAACTTTCTATCATACTTTCTTGGCAAATATACCTTCATAGAAACTGAAGAGTGGGTTTAAATTTAGAATCTCAGACTCCTTCACCAAAAGCATAGAGAAGTAGGAGGACTGCCACCTGGCCCTTGGTCTCCACAGCCTGCTTCCTTTGTGTTCTCTCAGCATCTCATAGGCACATCCATGTCCACCACAATGTGACCTTCCAAGCTCTGTCTAAATCCACCCTCCTGGCTTTCACCCAAGAGCCACTCCTTGATCATTCCTCAGGTTAGTAAGTAGCATTATTCACCTTGGTTCAGACATAGACAAATACCAGCACAGGCCATGGAAGCAGTCTTGGGATTTTGCAAAATGCCAATTTCCCTGAGCATGATATGAGGGTGGAGCATATTCTCTAGCTTTAACTGCATGGACTTATCACTCTGTAAAGGAAGGTCAGAGTGAGGTCTTTCAAAGCCTTGCCCAGAAGGCTGGCACTACGTAGAATCATTTTCAGACTTCTCATTTTTCTACTGCTCAGTGGCATTATCTTCCCATTTTTAGTTATTTGGTATTATAATTTGGATTACAATGAGCATTCTTGAACATTGTACTGGTGCTCCTGGGCAAGGGTTTATATCTCAAAATAGAATTGCTGAATCTTAAAGTATGAACTTTTTTTTTACTTTAATACAAAATTATTTTCCAAAGTGAATGTACCAATTTACATTCCTACCATTGGCACTCCCATTATGCCATAGCCTTGCAAAAATTTGGTAGGCTTTAATTTTGCCAAATCAGTGGGTGTGAACTAGAATCGTGATATGGTGTTAATGTGCATTTCCCTAGTTACTAATGAGATTAAGCATATTCTCATATGTTCATTTGGCATTTTCCTTTTTGTAAGGTGCCTGCTCATGTCTTTTGCCCATTTTCTATTAGGTTGTTTTTCTTGATTTATAAGAAGTTTACAGGGGCAGCATACACATACTGTGGACATACAGGATTGGTTATATATTACACAAGATGGCACATCTGAAGACACACCATTCATGTTTGATCAATTATATCAATGTGCAGGCAAGGCCTAGTCCTGAAATAGTGAGGGAGAGCCAATTCCTTCAAAATCCCACAGGAGTACACACAGCTACTACAAATAACCATATACACATTTGGGAAAGCAAACACTATGAAAGCATTTACTGAGCTCTGGCTTCACCTGAAGTCATTTCTATTGCTTCTCTCTCCTGCCTCCAATTTTTTTGAGGAAAGGGTGCAGGGAATTTATTTGAAAATGATCTCAGGAAGTACTAGTGATGGAGTGGGGAAATGAAACAGAGAAGGGAGAAATATCAATACATTGTACATTAATGGATGAATTAATACCGTGAACACCTCGGTCTCAATTCCACTGAGGATGATCTCAGAAATCATTTAGAATTTGCCTCAGAATTTTCCCTCAATAGGTAGGGAAGTGGAGTATTTATCCACAGTTTTCTGTCTCTTATTTTGTTGAAGTTTGCCCCGTGGCATTAAATCTTTCACATCTAGGCAGCCCTGAGCATGGACTGCATAAGTTCTTGTAGCACTAGAGGAAGTTCTCAGACAGAGAAGCACAGAGACACGGGCTCTTAAAGTCAGCATGTGTGTGAAATGGGACAGACATCAATAGTGTCTGCAGGTCTTAAAATTTCCACATTCTGCTTTTCTTCCAAAAAAAAAAATATGCAAATCCTGTTCGTACATTTTTTGCCTACAGTTGTGCCTACGGTTGTACTAGGCTCTGTAGGCATTTGTTTAAAACTGTTGTCCACATCTTTACCTCAGGATCAATATGTCTCCTTTGGCTCTAAATTTTTTCACTCAGACACTTAATCATCTGGCTATAAATCACCTTCCCAGCACCCCTATCAACTAGTCTTCTACCCCCTGTACACAACATCATGCTCAACTACTCATAATTTTTCTAATATTCTCAGAACCATGTCTAATATTCTCAGAACCTCTATTTAGGCCTACTTATACTCTATTATAACCAGTTTTCATTATTGTTTAAACAATTTTTAATGGACAAATAAACATTATATATATTTATTGTATACAAAATGATGTTTTGAAAATATGTATTTAGACATTGAGGAATGGCTAAATCAAGCTAACCAGCATATGCATTACCTCTCACCCTTATTTTGTTATGGTGAGAACACATAAAATTGATTCTCAGCAACTTTCAAGTGTACAATACATTATTATTAACTATAGTCAACAAGTTGTACAATAAATTCTTGAGTTTATTTCTTCTGTGTAACTGAAATTTTGTGTCCTTTGACCAACACTTCCTCAGTTCACCCCATTCCACCACACTACATTCTACTCTACTGGTAACCAACATTCTACTCTCTGCTTCTAATTCAACTCTTTTAGATTACACATATAGGTAAGATCAAGCAATATTTGTATTTTTGTGCGTGGCACATTACATTTAACATAACATCCTTCAGGTTTATCCATGTTGTTGTAAATGATAGGAAAGGCTAAATGTAATTATTGTGTATACATACCACATTTTAAAAATCTATCTGTTGATGGACATTTAGGTTGATTCCATATCTTGGTTATTGTGAATAATGCTGCCATGGACAGGGGCATGCAGATATCACTTTGACATACTGATCTAATTTCCCTTGGATATATAAGTAGCGAGATTGCTATATCATATGGTCATTCTATTTTTAATTTTTTGAGAAACCTCCATACTGTTTCCCATAAATCCAGTTTACATTCCTGCCAGCTGTGTGCAAAGGTTCCCGTTTCTTCACATCCTTGCCAGTATTTGTTATTTTTTTTTTACCTTTTTGATAATAGCCAATCTAACAGGTGTGAGGTGATACTTCATTGTGGTTTTAATTTGCATTCCCCTAATGATTAGTAATGTTGGACATTTTTTCATATACCTGTTGGCCCTGTGTATGTCTTCTTTTGAAAAACGTTTATTCAGGTCCTTTGCCATCTTTTAACTGGATTTTTGTTTCACTGTTATTGAATTGTTTGAGTTCCTTATGTATTTTACATATTAACCCTTCATCAGATGTATAGTTGACAAATATTTTATCTCATTTCATAGATCGTCCCTTCACACTGTTGACTGTTTCCTTTGCTGTGCAGAAGTTTTCTGTCTATTTTTGCTTTTGTTGCCTGTTGCCTGTGCTTTTGGGGTCGTAGTCAAAAAAAACCATGGTCTAGATTAATAACATGGAGTTTTTTTTCTTATTTTATTCTAGCAGTTTTACAGTTTTGGATTTTCCAGTTAAGTTTTTAGTCCATTTGAGTTGATTTTTATATGCTGTCTCCAATTTTGGAGGCTTGATTTCTACCTCTACCTAAAATGATGGCCTCATCTGGAGGTCAAAAGAGGGCATGAAGTGTGTGTATTGCTGGTATGTGTGCCCCAGAATCTGGTTGAAGGCAAGTGTGTGTATACATGACAGTATGGGATGTAGGGATGTGAAGCCAGAGATTATGTCTACTGAGGCATTGGAAGGCTTCCCAATTAGAACTGTTCAAGTTCTACAAAATGATACTAACAAAAAAAATTAAGGAATGATGCCTTTCCTAATTTGTCCAAAGGTGCTATATGGGCACCTTTTGTAATCATTGTTAGTGGTTGGCTAAGGTCATTTATGTATTCTCCAAAAGTTGGATACATAAATGACCTTAGCCGGCCACTAGAGCCCATTATAGCACTTTTGGACATCACTTTTTGGAGTACATCACTTTCTTTATGTTGTTTTAAAGACAGAAATTCTTATTTTAAAGGAAGTCATATTAATCAATCATTCCCTTTGTGGCTTGTGTTTTTTTTCCCCTTGTTTAAGAAATTATCCTTTACTGTGATGCCATAAAGTTATTTTCCTATATTGTTTCTATAAGTTTTATTGCCTTGTTTGTTACATTTACATCTTTAATGTACCTGTAATTGAATGTAGCTTGCAGTTTTGTGTGAGATATAAGTTAATAGTCCATTTTAATAAAAACATCAACCAAATATTGGAAATACAATTGAATTTATAAATCAATTTGGAATCTTTTGACTAGTCTTCCAATAAATGAACACAATGGTTATCTCTCTAATTATTTGTCTTCTTTAGTGACCAAAAATATTTTCAAATATTCTCCAAGAATTTATTATGCAAACTTTGTTAAATTTATTTCTTGATATTTTATACTTTTTGATCGTAATTAAAAATTACATTTCCTAGCTGTAAGTTTCTGACATATAGAAATGCAATTGACCTTTTATGTTGATTTTTTTTAATTTAGAAATCTGCTAATCTTTCCCATTAATTCTAAATAGTTATCTAGGCACTCACATCTTCTGTATGTAACAAAAACCAGTTCTTGTTCTTCTAATTCTTACATATTTCATTTATTTTCTTACCTACTGCACTGTTTATGATTGTCAGTATGATGTTGAATAGATGTGGTAGAAGAAGTCATCTTTTACCTGTTTCTTATTTTTACCACTAAACTTTTCCTGCATAGATTTACTATAAAGCTTTACTATACTATAGGTTACTATACTATACCATAAAGCTTACTATATAGGTATAGGTTTTGGGAGCTAGTATTTATCAAGCTAAGGAAGTGTTATTCTATTCCCAATTTTGCAAGTGTTTCCAAGCTTTTTAAATCATGAAATGAATGTTGGATTTTATCAAATGATTTTTCTGCATCTACTAAGATGATCATATGAAATCTCTCTAATAATATATTAATATGATTAATTATATCAATTTATATTTTTAGTATTAAACAACTTTGCATTTCTGGGATAAATCCAGCATAGTAATGGTATATTATCTTTTTATATTGCTTGATTTATGTTTTTTGGTATTTTGTTTTAGACTTTTACATTTATGTTCATGAGTGAGATTTGTCTTTACTTTCCTCTTTCATGCTGATCAGGCTTAGGTACGAAGAATATCCTATTCTTACAGGGAGGAGAAAAGTGTTCTTTCTTTTTCTTATCAGTATAAGCATTCATGTATTTTTTTCTTATGCAGAGATGTTAAACTACTAATCTAGTTTCTTAACTGATTTGGGGCTATTTGTTTTCTATTCTTTCTTGAGCAGGTTTAGTAGGCTAACAATTTGTTCATGTTATCTAAATTTTAAATTAATTAACTTGTTATTTACAATATTCTTTATTTTTAAAATTCAATTTATTAACTTACTTTTAAAGTATGTAATGTAGTCAATTGCTGGATGTCCATTCCCATGATTATTTCCTTTTCATACAGTTCCCAAGTTTTGTAATCATTGCTATTACTTCTTATTATCCTGTAGGCTAGTGCTGATCAATATGTTAAGCCACTAGGGACAAGTGCCAAAGTAGTTCATTAATAATTTTCATATTGACTATATGTTGAAATAGATATACTGGGTTAAAAATATACTATTAAACTTTAGAAAGCTTAAAATTATACATGAAATTTGCATTTGTGGCTCACATACTATTTCTATTTGACTACAGTGCTTTAGACATGTATAAGCAAAAAAAAAAATTTTTTTTACACTAGGTGTTGCCTAGGGTGGTGTGCAGTGGTGCAATCATGGCTCACTGCAGCCTTAAACTTCTAGGAACGAGTAATCTTCCTGCCTGAGCCTCCCAAGTAGCTGGGACTACAGGTGCACATCACCATGTCTAGTTAATTTTTTATTTACTTTTTATGTTTTTGTAGAGACAACGTTTTCTTTGTTGCCTAGGCTGGTCTGAAACCCCTGGGTTCCAGTGACCCTCATGTCTTGGCTTCCCAAAGTGCCCAGGTTACAGGTATAAGCCACTGTTCCCAGCCCAATTTCCTTTTTTATATTAAAATATACCTGATAGATTGTTTCACATATATGCAGAGATATAAATTTATTTATTTTTACAGCTGCATAAATATGTATTGTGTGAATGAACATGCAGGTTGTTTCTAATTTAGTGGTATTGTAAAAATGCTGCCTTTTATGTAAGTTATAAAAATGAACTGCCTTTTATATAAGTTATATTTTATATGTGCAAGTGTATCCAAAGATAGATTCTTAAGAGGGAATTTCTTGGTCACAAGGTATTGATAGATATTGACCCATTGTCTATCATGCGGATTTCATAGACAGTGGCAATGTGAGAGTGCCTGTTGCTCAGTACCTTCACAATTTTCAGCATTTTATCTGAGAGAAAGAAACATGGTTTCTCATTGTACATTTATTATGAATCTCCCATGATGAAGAGAGGTTGTACATATTTTTATATGTTTTACAAAATGTTTTTTCTTCCTCTTTTATTAACTCATTATTATATATATTTGTGGAGTACAGGTGATATTTTGATACATGCATACAATGTGTAATGATCAAATCTGAGTAATTGGGATATACATTACCTCAAACATCTTTGTTTGGGGATGATTCCAAATCTTCTAGGTATTTTGAAATATACAATAAATTAATAATCATTGTTACCCTACTATTCTGTTGAACACTGTAACTTATTCCAGTATTCCTGTTGAATACTGTAACTGTATTTTTGGACCCATTCAGCAATTTCTGTTCCTCTCCCCTTTCCATTACCCTTCTCAGTCTCTAGTAACCACCAATGTGCCTTCTACCTCCATGAGACAAACTGTTTTAGCTCCCACATGTGAAAACATGCGATAAATTTCTTTCTGTGCCTGACTTATTTCACTTAATATAATGTCCTCCATTTCCATCCATGTTGTTGTGACAGGATTTCCTTTTTTATGGCTGAATAATATTCTATTGTTCATTTTACATATATATATATATACCACATTATAAAAATCTGTTCATCTGTTGATGGGCACTCAGGTTGATTCCATATTTTGGCTTTTGTGAATGCAGTGAACATGGGAGCAGATATTTATTTGATATTACTGATTTCCTTTCTTCTGGATACATACCAGCAGTGGGATTGTTGGATCATGTGGTAGTTCTATGTTTAGTTTTTGAGGAAACTTCATACTGTTTTTCATAATGTCTGTACTAATTTACATTTCCACCAACAGTGTATGAGAGTTCTCTTTTCTCTACATCCTCACCGGTATTTATCCTTTGTGTTTTTGATTATAGTCATTTTAACTGGGGTGAAATGATATTTCATTGTGGTTTTGATTTGCATTTTCCTGATTAGTGATGTTGAACATTTTTTTGTATATTTCTTGGCCGAGTTTATGTCTTCTTTTGAGAAATGTATGTTCACATCATTTGCCCACTTTGTAATCAGATTATTTGTTTTCTTGCTGTTGAATTGAATTTGTCATATATCCTGGTTATTAATCCCTTGTTTGACGGAAAGTTTGCAAATATTTCCTCCCATTCTGTGGGTTGTCTCTTCATTCTGTTAATGGTTTATTTTGCTGTTTAGCATCTTTTCAGCTTGATATAATCCAATTTATCTCCATTTATTTTTGTTGCCTGTGTTTTTTGAGATCTTTGCTAAATATCACGTGTTTGCTAAATATCATGTTCTGAAGGGTTTCTCCATGTCCTTTTTTATTGCATCTTTTCTTTGCACATATATTCTGTTGGATCATAGGTCTTTTTCTTAGCAATATTGATAAATTCAATATATCACCAAAATTAACTTTGGTAGGGGCTGAAAACATATTTTCCAGGTTTAATTTTTATTTTTATGTGTTTTATAATTTTTCTTGCTAACAAATATTTTGTTTTTCATGTAGTAGCATCTACCCATATTTTCTTTGATAGATTCTGGATTTTGAATCTTAGTTAAAATGACCTCTTTCACTCTCACTTTATAAAAATTTTTTTCCCATGTTTTGCTGTTTTAAAAAATTATAGAAACTTAATCCATTCAAAATTTATCTTTAGTGTATGATAAGAGGTATGAATCTAACTTAATTGTATCCAGATGACCACTCAACACAATTAATTATGTAATTCGTCTTTTCTTCATAAGTTTGAGATGTCATTTTAATCTTTTTCTAAGTTCCAAAATGCACAGGAGATCTGGATTTCCTTATCTGTTGTTTTGATCTGTCTATTCATAGTTGAGGCCACATAGTTATTAAAATATTATAACTAGTTCTCTCTCATTGTTTTAGGTTTTTCAGATTTAATTTTTATTTTTTAATATGAAGTTTATAATCAGCTTGTCTATTAATAAAACTTGGTATTTTTGAAGGATCATATGAAATTATGAAAATGAGAGCATTGGTCTGTTGAATCTTTGTATCGATAATTTAAATGTTTTTCCATTTTTTCAAGTTTTTGTTTGTGTTTTTTAGTTTGGTTCATTTGTGTCATATACTTTCCTTAAATTCATTCATAGGTATTATATTTATTTTCTTTTATATAGTTTTTATCTCTTCAGAATCTATATTTATTTTTCTTCCTCATTTCCTATTACTATTTGTTTGTACCATTCCCCCCTCATTTGATTAATCTTCCCAGAGTGTTGTCTATCTTATTTTCCCAGATAACTTTGTTGATCTTCTCTATTGCACGCTTGCTTTCCATTTTTTTATTTTTGCACTTATCTTTATTGGTTGCTTTCTTCTGCATTATTTGGTTTGATTTTTTTTTTTTTTTTTTTTTATACGGAGTTTCGTTCTGTCGCCCAGGCTGGAGTGCAGTGGCACAATCTCGGCTCACTGTAAGCTCCGCCTCCCGGGTCCACGCCATTCTCCTGCCTCAGCCTCCTGAGTAGCTGGGACCACAGGTGCCCGCCACCACGCCCGGCTAATTTTTTATATTTTTAGCAGAGATGGGGTTTCACCGTGTTAGCCAGTATGATCTCGATCTGTTGACCTCGTGATCCGCCCGCCTCGGCCTCCCAAAGTGCTGGGATTACAGGTGTGAGCCACAACACCTGGCCTGATTTGGTTTTTCTTTTTCTAGTCTAACAGATATTCTTAGCTTATTAATTTTTAGTTTTTTTCTATAAACACTCATGGCTATAGATAGACCTTAAAGTACCACTTTGGCAGTATTTCATAGGTTCATGATAATTTAATTTAAAATACTTTACATTTATTTATTTGATGTATTCACTACTTATAAGGTGTTTCATAATTTCAAAGCTTGTTTTTATTTTCAACTTTTTCTAATTATCTTTTGCTTATTGATTTCTTACTTATTTGCATTGTGGTCAGAAAATTTGATTTGTATACTAATTTCCTGAAATATATAAAGATTTAGTTTATGGCCCAGCCTGTGAAGAGCTTTCATAAATGTAATATTATGTGCTTAAATCTGTACATTATCTAGTTTTAGAGTAAAACTATATGGTCATTAGATGAAACATACCAATTATTTCATTCAGATATTTTGTTTTCTTTTTACTTTAGCTCCTTGATCTATTAGTTACTTAAAAAGTTGTATTAAAATATTCCAGTGTGATGATGATTTTATCTGTTTCTCCTTAAAATTTTGATCATTTTTACTTTATTATTTTGAGGTTATTTTAGTAGGTACTTATACGTTCAGGATCATATCTTCTTACAAAATAAAACTTTTCTCCTCTTTCTGATTTTTGATCTCTTTATCTTCTTTATTTCTTGGTAATATTTTCTGATTTTCACACTATTTTATTGTTGCTAAAATACCCTTACCAGTTTTCTTTTGATAAACAATTATTTTAGCAACGATTTATTTTTAACCCTTATGTATCTTCATGTTTTAGATATGTGTCTTGAAAATGACATGTGGCTGGATTTTCAATAACAGTCTTAGTGTATTTGTTCATTAGCCATGGTATTTAGTCAATCGTTTTGAATTAATATTATTTGACTTTATTTGTACAATTTTTTGCTTTCTATTTGATCTTTCTCTATATTCCCATTTCTCTTATTTTGCCTTATTTTCCTTTTCTTTTCTTTCTTTCTTTTTTCTTTCTTTTTTTAAGATGGAGTCTTCCTCTGTCACCCAGGCTGGAATGCAGTGATGCAAACTTGGCTCACTACAACCTTTGCCTCTCTGGTTCAAGTGATTCTCCTGCCTCAGCCTCCCGAGTAGCTGGTATTACAGGTGACTGTCACCACACCTGGCTAAGTTTTGTATTTTTGGTAGAGACAGGGGCTCACCATGTTGGCCAGGCTGGTCTTGAACTCCTGACCTCAAGTGATCCGCCCACCTTGGTCTCCTAAAGAGCTAGGATTATAGGCATGAGCCACTACACCTGGCCTATTTTTCTTCTCACTCAAAATTTTCCCTTTAGTAACATTCTAAGTTATTCACTCTATCTTTATGATTTGTGGATGAATTTGGAGATTACTCTAGAAATTTTAGATACATTAAAAAAAATCAAACTATAAAGCTAATACTGGACCCTTTAACAGTTATCACCCCTTTTCTGACATATACTAATGTTATTATATGTTTTAATGTTATCATTTAAAAAATCTATTTAAAAATGTTCTGTAGTTAATGTCAGTTTAAATATATTCACAAATGCATCACTTACTTTTTTTCCATCCCTTTGTGCATCTCACAGCACTGTCTGGGCCCCACTCCATCTACTCAAAGTATATCTTTTATAATTTCTATTAGCAATGATTTTTTCATTGGAAAGTTCTTTTCAGGGATAACTTTTATCGTTTGTTTGTCTATTGTACCCTAAGTTTTGAAATACGCTTTTGATGAGTAGACATTTCTAGGCTTATAATCATTTTTTCATAGCACACTGAAATTATCTGTGTTAGTTTTCTCTCTCTGTGCAACAAATTACCACAAATAGAGAAGTTTAAACAGCTGCCATTTACTAGGTAAAGGTTCTACCTAGTCTGGCATGGTGTAGTTGGTTTCTTTGATAATGGTATATAAAGGCTAAAATCAGAGTGTTGACTAGTTTGAGTTTTATTCTGCATGCTCTGGAAAAAAATCTGCTTTCAAGCTCATTCTTGTTGACAAAATTCAGTTCCTTGAGGTTCTATCTGTTTCCTTGCAAGCTGTCAGTTAGGGGCTGCTCTCGGTGCTTAGAGGCTGCCCACATTGCCTGCTGTGTAATGTCCCTCACATTTAAACCAGCTTCTGCATGTCAAATCTCATGGTTCACGTTTCTGACTTCCTCTGTCTCTGACTTCTAGACCCAGATTTAAAGAGTTTATATGATTAGGTCAGGCATACCTAGTCTTCCTATTTTAAGGCTAACTGATTTGGGGTCTTAATTACATCTGAAAAATCTCTTCACAGCAATGTTGGATTGACTACACACCTAGAATTCTACCTACCACATCATTCAAAAGACTTAGAGCTTTCATTTCCGGTAAATAAGCCAACTTTGAGTCCAATTCTTGTCCCTTCCATTTTTCTTTATTTTCTGACTATTGTTAAGAACTTGTTTTTGCTTTGGCATTCTTTTTCTCTAGATAGAAGTTTCCTTTTATATGTACTGTTTGGAATTTGTTACTTTTCCAGGGTCTGTAACTCAGTGTATTTTTAGCTTTGGAAAATGGTTTGCCATTATCTTGTCAAATATTACCTCTCTCTCATTCTCTTTCCTATCTCTTTCTGAATGTCTGTCTATATGTTTTTAAACCCTGCTCTCTTTACGCTCCCCATCTCTTAACCTCTCTTTTGTATTCTCCATCTCAAATCACAGATGAAAGCCTGAAAATCAAAGTTGAAATTCACCGAATTTTGTAAATTCTTGCTTTTGCCTGGTGTTCATTTCTAATTATTTGTTATTTTCTTTCTATCCATCATTGCATTTAGCAGGTTTTAAAAATATATTTTATTCAGAAAATTTTTGTTGTTTCTATTGGTAGGATTAATAAAAAAAGTAACCTATTTTACTGTCAGAAATAAAAGTTCTTCAAAGGGAGAGAGAGAGAAAGAGAGTGTGAGAGAAGAAGTGTTTACTGGTTAAAAAAGCTGAGAGAATGGAAAAATTTATTAAGTGTTTACTGTGTTCTAAGCACTAGAGATACAATGATTCCTAAGCAAAATATATATGGTTCTTATCCTTACATGCTCACTAACATAAACGTCAATCCAGTGAGAAAACCAGACCAATCAAATAATAAAACAAATAGCCTTCTATTTCCTTTCGCCACTTCCATTGATTAATCGAATGAAGCTTCCCTTACTTTTGTGTTATATTTACTTTTTATTCTCTTGTCATATACATAGTTCTATACGTTTTCAGAACTTGGGACAGATAAAATACAAAGTTCCGCCTACCATGTGTCATCTGCCCTACTTTCTTTTCTAAAAGAGGCCAAAATGAACCTCAGGAGGACTCTGGAAAAGTAAAAGAAATCCAGGAAATAGCTGGCCTTTTGGCTGTGGGAGACTGAGTCAAGGAAATTGAGGTCCTTTTCATCCTAAGAGCTGTGTTCATGGGCTGATTGCAGGACTCATGCACTGCACCTTGGTACTGGTCATTCATTCATAATCGCTCTAATATTTGGAGTGTCTGCTCTGATTGGTAGGTACTTGTGGTGTCCTCGCTGTTCAGAATTTTAAGTATTATTCATCACTGATTGTGTGAGCCAGAAATCCTTTTTAGTGCTGCTTTACACCACACCTGCTACCTACCCCCAAAGCCCATATTAGTAAAAGAGAACCGCTATGGTTTGGATGTGGTTTGTGCCCATCAAAACTCCCATCAAAACTTAATCCCCAAAGTGGCAGTGTTGGGAAGTGCCTAGAGGGTGGGGTTTGGATCATGGGGATGGATTTGTCATGAATAGATTAACACTACTTCTAGGGGGTGAGTGAGTTATTGCTCTCTTGGGAATAGAGTAGTTTCCCAAGAGAGTAGGTTGTTATCAAGGAAGGATACGTGTCTGGCCCTTTGCACTCTCCTGTGACTTTCTGCCATGATATAAGACAGCAGGAAAGCCCTCACCAGAAGCCAGCATCATGCCCTTGAAACTCCCCAGACTGCAGAATGATGAGCCAAATAAACCTCTTTTCTTTCTAAATTACTCAGCCTCAGGTATTCTGTCATAACAACACTAAATGAACTAAGACAAAAAAATACCTACTTTTATCTGTCTGAGAGTGGAGCCTGTAGCATATGTCAGAATTTGAGTTGATCCTACCAACTTTCCTCCCCTTTGGTAAAGAACAGGATTAAACAGGTTATACCCCACAGTCATTTATCTTGCTGCAGGAAACGGGGCAGAAAGCTTTATTTATGGATGTGTGCATATGTAAAGTGAGCTTACTTTTGGGTTTCCGGATCCGACTTAGCCTTCGTGTCAGCTTAGTCCTCCCTGTTTCAATTCTCTTCCTGAGACTGACCCCTGTTTTCTGGGACACACATTTGCAAACCCTTCTGCTTCACTGCTCTTCTGTTCTGGTTCCTCATGGTGACAACCCCTTAACCATCACTTTCTGCATCTCAGAGAGTCAAACTAAATGTTTTTAAGGCCCTCTGCTCTCAGTTTCTGGACTCTCTCTTTTGAACCAAACTGTTTGCCTTGCTCTCCAACTTTGTTTTAAGCTCCATGCTTTTATTCTGGCCTTCCATTTTCACTTTGTTTCAGATTTAACTGCTGTATTTATTTCTCTCCTTGTTTATATACCAAATATTGAAGTGGAAAGATCATGCTAAGTTAAGAGTGTGTCCAGTTAAGAGTTCAAGTGGACAGAATATGTTTTATGAGGAAATTTACCTTTTAGCTTCTAGTCCAATGGACATACAACATTAAAGGAAAGACTCAATTATCTAACCTTTGGGAAGCTTCTAATTATTTAATGAGTGTTATAAACAAGGGGAATATTTTTAAAAATCCTTTTCTAGAAGGCAAAGTCCTGACAAAGTCAAGTTTGCAGGCTTTACATTTATATTTGCTTAATTTTTTAAATTGTTATCAAGCATAAATTAAGTTGCTTGGATAATCAAAAAATCAAATTTGGGCATTGCAGATAAAAGTTTTTCAAAATTATATATTTAACAATGTTCCTGTCTCATAGTTGGGTATGTACCTGCATTTCTATGATATTTCATTGTTAAGTAATTCATGAATACTTTACCCCCCCCTTTTTTGAGATATTGAAGGTCAATTTGTAGAAGGAAAATTAATTTTAGAAGATTTAAAGAACAGTGTATGGAAAACACTTAGAATATGTCCATTTGGGTAGTGAGGAGGGAGATGTAATGCATGGATATTATACAATATTTTAGAAAATGATAGAACTTCAGAGTTGTACCTTCTAATAAAATCTTCTCATATAACCCTATACCTAAACCAGAATTTTCTATCTCCTGCATTTTGGTTGTGTAGCTACTGACCAATACTCGCTTAACTTGTACTTTTATAATGCAGTGAATTTTTAGACTACTCTCTCTTATGTTAAGCAGAATCCACCTCTTTGTAACTAATCTTCTAATTAATTAACTTTCTTATTTCTATTATAAAATTTACTGCATACAAACTGTGTACTAGGTTGTATGTTTAGATGTATGGGTACAAAAATGCATAAAACATAGTCCCTATTCTGGGAAGTCTCACAGGCTAGGTGGGAAGATAGATGTGTAAACAAATAATTACGGTAGAGAAAGAAGTGCTAATAGAGGTACTCACAATAGCATTATGTGAGTAGAGTTCTTTGAGCTATTCATCATATAATGTAGATTCCAGGCCCTTTATCATCATAATAAAAGACTCTTCAAGTAAAGGTTGAAGAGATCTTACAAATTGCCTACTTATGTGAGGTGACTGTTCTGAGGCGTTCAGTTATAGTAAGTATGACAATAATTAGGACTCCTCTACAAGGTGGTTTTAGATAGAAATAAGTAGTGCAAGTTCAATCAATTCTGGATTGTCCATGCACAGACAAGAATATGTATTTGAATGTATAAGTGTAATTTATAAACAGTAATGCAATTCATTAGCTCTCAGAAATAAGTTAGTAATGATGTTTGTCTATTCAACAGAGGAAATTTCCAAATTCTAACCTCTATTAATATTAATACATTACTCATGTTCTGTGTTTTAGGATTTTAAAAATGTTTCCAATTTACATTCCTTTTAATTCTAGTTTTTTCATGCTTTGATGTATGATTTCTAGTTCAGAAGTTTACAGGGATTTATATTGTCTGCTTTATTAAATGGATTGGAATAATAGTACACATTCCATTATTTCTTTCATTTTAAGTAGGTGGCGGTGACAATATTTGGGACCTGAATTCAGTGTGGCTTTTAGAATTTTACTTGATTTATGGATTGGAGTGCTTTATCTTATGAACAAAAGAAACAAAGAAAGGGGTTCCAAATTGTGCAGATGATTCTGTTTTCACAGAGACTTTTGCTTTGTATAATGTCCTTAACATGAGCTTTTTTGAAAGCACTTGTAATTTTATGTGAAATCTTGTGTTTATGTGCATAGGATGTGCATTTTTCTATGAAGAACATTCCAGAGGATTGATCAAACACTGCAGAGAGGCTGGGTTCCTGTAAAAGTTTGTCGATCCCTGCAGTATATCCTTCATGTCAGAAATTCATGCAACTATACCAAATGGCAAGGCTCCCAAAGCCACAAGCATGCTTTATGCTTTATATAATTCATTATGCCATTATATACTTCATTTATGTCATTCTTGACATAAATACTAGTATATATTGTTTTTAAAATGGATTTATAAAGATCATGTTATTAGTTCCTGACTTTATAGTTTCAAAACACTTTCAAATATCATCTAATCCTTAAAACTTATGAAAAAAATTATCCCCATTTTAGAGAAGAACAAACTGAGGTTCAAATATATACAGCTCATAACTCATAGAACATAAACACAAGTCAGCTCTTCAGAGCTAAATATTCTTTTCCACATCAAATAGTTATAATAAAAATTTTCCTTTGATTAATTATGTTTCTTATTTAAAGAAAGGGTGCTGGACTTGCTCTATAATAAGGGAAGCATCAGCACAATAAACTATGAAATGAAGGAAGCCGTGCAACCTCTTGAGGCCTTGGTGTTCTCACATGTAAAATGAGGTAATAAACCTAACCCACACTCAGGTACCTTCCAGCTCCCACATTCCATGTGTCTCTGTCAAAGTTTGGCCCAAAACTTCGTCTCAGGAGAGCAGATCCATTTATTACCTCTGCATGCTACATGAGTTGGCCTGTTCCCCATCCACCACAGTTATTATGCCCAAGGCTGCAAGCTGTGTGTCTATGATCTTTAAAGGGTTTCTTCCTGTTTTAGGGAACCCATCTTGGTTAATCTTACAGAAACAGTTTGCCGTAGCTGACTTTCATTTGTTTTCTCTTCACTCACGTCTTGTCTAGAGAATTATGTTAATCATGGCTTCAGTGCCGTGAGGCCGTTTATGTTCTAAGATATTGTTGTGGTTTTCTTGCATTATCATGTGCTGTAGAGTATGTAAATCTAGTTTGTCCAACCCTCAGCCTGTGGGCCACATGCAGCTCAGGATGGCTTTGAATGCAGCCCAACACAAATTCGTAAACAGTCTTAAAATACTATAAGATTTTTTTGCAGTTTTTTTTTAGTTCATCAGCTATAGTTAGTGTGTTTTATGTGTGGCCCAAGACAATTCTTCATCTTCCAGTGTGACCCACGGAAGCCAAAAGATTGGACACTCCTGATGTAAATCAATGTGAGGAGTGTGGTGCTTGGGGAACTTAAGCTTCAGAGCAAAAAAATATTGTGTAACAAACAATATCAGGAATTAGCTTGATTAAAGTTCCAGGCCTTTAGAAGGCTTGAGTTTGAGTGCTATTATTCCTAGATCTGTTTCAGAAGTTGCATATCTTGGTGGAAGGATGATTGAACTGGGGATCTGCGGACTTGGTTTTCAGTATAGGCTTGTCACTGGACAAGTCACTCAGTATAGTCTTATCTTTGTCACTTATTAACAGGAAGTTGAATTAGGTAATCTCCAAGAGCCATGGCAGTCAGAAATCATCTGCCTTTTGAACAGTTTTATTAATAATCTTTAATATACTATTTTCTTCTTACTCTCCTTATATATTGCAGGATGACTTAGCTTTCTAATGTTGTCCTTTTAACACTTTAATAAGATCTAGACTTTTCTCTGATACATAGTTTGAAATCTGCAATAGGCATTTTCCTCCACTTTGCCCAAACCTAACCTTCCAAAATTTTTCCCTGGAATTGTTTGACTTTTTAATCCTTCTATTCCTTTTATTTTAAATTAGTTGCATAAATGGAAATTAAAGCCACAGTTAAAGCCCGAAATACAGTAGGTCAATATCAGCCCTCTTGACCAAAGGAGGACTGTGTATGCAGGCTGGTAGTTCTCAAGCTCAGGATTAAGTGGTTTCTTCATGGAGATCCCTTCATAGATTATGCTCAGCACTCTGCACCACCTGGTGCAGTATCCACTCCAGAGCTGAAATCACAGCCTGGATTTTTATAATGATGGGATAACTTGCTATTGAAATACGATTTTGCTGTCCTATTTGCAGCCTGCCACCTGATAAAAGCTAGATTATGAGTCAGAATAATAAACACGAAGGTGTTGTGGTAGGCCAAAATGCTTCCCATTGTCTACTGTTACATCTGTCTTTTTAGGCGTATTCTCCAAGGACAACAAAATTTGAATGTTTGCCTGTACACTAACAGTTTCTGGAAATGGCAGCGCCTATCCATTTTCTTTTTAAATAAAGGCTTTCTGTAAACGGCTCACATAACCAGTTATTTGGCTTGAAATGACCTCCTCATGAAAATGCCTGCTTTAATGTCAAGGCAGGGAATAGTGAAGCTTTGCTGGAGTCCCACTGTCTAGCAGATATACTATAAATTTAATTTCATGGCAAAGTGAAGTCTATTACACAAAATCAGAAAGAACTACCTTCTCAGCAAGGCCATCTCTCTTTCTTTATTGAGTCCTTTTTGTGTGGCTTTTCCCAGCTTTGTCTGCACCTGCCAATAAAAAAGGGGCTCTTTGTTTGAGGACAATACTAACAAATTAACCAGCAAACATATTTCCAGTGGTGGGTTGGGGCAGAGGTTCAAGAGAGGGTCATGGCTACTACCTGTTTTATTATACCTGCAACAGAGGATCTCGGTCTTGTTAACAGTTTTGATTCTACTAAATTTGAATAGTCTTGGTTCTCTCGCTGTCTTAATACATTTGTCAGTGAAGCTGGGACATTTTTGTACATTTTGCTGCTGTAAAGGCATAAGCCAAGAAAGGAGGAAGATGAGGTGGATATGAGAACCATGGTGCCTTGAGGGAATCCCAAAGGTTCTCAGAGACAAGTAAAAAAATCTTCCAAGTCATACAGAAAGTATTTCTTAATTGGTGTTTACTGGTTTGTTGCCATGTGATATAACACATTAATTAAAGACCTACTTGATACTTTGAATAAAACAGCTGATGGCTTTGTAAGTGTTTGATTTAGCCAGGAATCATTATTTTCTATAGTCAACATAAAATTTTTCTTGGGCATTTAGAGAAGAACTACACTGACATATACTATGAAAGGGATGAGCTGGAACTGTCATTATTAGAACCCCTGGAACTAAGGTTTTTGAGAGATTTCCTCCAGCTTTCTTTCGAAAATTACCATGGAATACAAGCACTAAGCTTTTCTGGTATATGCAGGAGTGAACTAGACAGTACATTAAATATGAACATAAAGCAACAACTCCATCACCACACTTTTCCTGTAATTAGCTGAATGATTAGGAGTTTCACTAGGTGTTCCTTCATTGACGTCTGGTGGTTCAGTTTTAACCCAGATCAATTTCTTATGAATTTCTTTTTATGAATCAATTCTCTATCAGTACCTATGAGGCTGCTGGTGCTTTTCTGTGTTTTGTGACATACAGAAATAATAAATATGACTCCTATCCTTAAGGAACTAATTAAACATTCAGCAGACCTCCATCAATATTTTTTAAAGCAGTATAAGTAATAATCATAATTGCAAAAAGCAATATTTATTGAATGTTTGTCAAGTGTCAGGCACACACTATGGGATGTGCTTTTCCTTAGGTGTCACATATAATTCTTATAGCTATATTTATGGAAGACTTAATGATGTCCATTTTATGAATACACATCTGGTGCTTGGAATGGTTATGTCACATGCCCTATATTGTATAATTAATATTGGTTCCCAGGTCTTTCTGACTCTAATGTCCATGCAATTAATTACTACTCTCTTCTACTTCCCCAACACTATTTGAATGTAATCAATGTATTTATTGTCAAAATTATATTAGCATGGCTAAGTTTCACATCTACAACTAGAATGTAGAGTTAAAAATATTGATTGGTACCATTTGCCAAACTATTGTGTGGGGAAAGAACCTGGATGACTGAAAGTGTTAGATAGTCCTTTATGAAATAGTTTACTCACTGCTGGAGCCCAATTCATCTATGATTTGCTATCACCTTATTTACAAATATAATGAGAGCTTTAGGAGGCCATTATCCTGGGTAAAATGTGTCTGTGCGTGTGTGTACGTGTATGTTTTGGGAGCAAACATTATGGGCGTCTACTTATCTAAAATCTTCTCTCAAAAACTTTCTCATAGAGCAGAGGTGTATCCATGCACATTGTATTCTACTAACAATGGTATGTGAGAGAACTGCTGACACAGGTAGAAACTGCCTTTAATTGTAGAACTTTGGAGCTAAGAGGGACTTTGATAATCATCTAAATACATTCCATCAGCCATGTTATGGGGATGTTAATAGGTGTTTCCTGAAAAATTGGGGAAAATTATGTGATAAATAAAGTTCGTTCATTTGTTTTTAGCTTCAGGGCTTCTCAGTTTCCTTAATGTTGCTATGGAATAGAAACTTTACGACAGATTATAATAAGTAACATTTCCTAAACTTACATGGCCATGAAGCCAGCTTTCTTTGGGAGCATCTTTAGGAATTAGTGCTCTAAGAAACACTTTGGGAAACCTTAATCTATTCCAATAGTTATATCCTAACAGGCACCATGGTAAAATTATTTATCACACCTTCTATTACTTAGTTTTATATCTATAAGTACTTTAAACACATACAATCTTTGATCTAAAATAGGTATAAATCATTGTTTATCCTGAAATAAAAATGAATGTATTAAATGAATGATTAGATAAAAGAGTGCTTACATATTAGAATTTGACAGTTGGAAATTTGGCTTTAGTGCATAGTTCAATTATTAGCGAGTCTACTCTTGGCTGGTCATTTAACAAAATATCCAAATTTAAAGGGACTTAAACTGTAAGGATGCGTTATTCTCCACATATTAAGAAGTGGGCTGTGGGGTGGCTTAGTTGCTACATGAAGTCAGTGAGGACTGAGGCTCTGCCCATGGTTCAGGTTTGTTATCCTCAATGTGACAGTGATGTTGCCATTCATGGTGGTCCAGGTGGCTGCAGCAACTTCCAGACAGGCATCCTTAAATGCATAGTCATGTCCAAAAGTATGGAGGTAAACCTCTCTCAGAGCTCTGTACTCCAGCCTCCAGCCCCCTTACCTAGTGAACTTCCCTGAAGGTCCATTGGGCCAAAGTGAGTCATATACCCAGGCCCTAGACCCAGGATGCTGAGAAAGTGACTGTCTTGCCTTTCAGCCTCTATCCTGGGTACCAGCTCTGCCAGGAAGGAGAATGGTTGTGTTCTTCATGTGTTTTTAGTATTTATATTTAACTACTATTTTGCTATGGCAATGTGCTAGCTTGCTATTGCCCAAAATGTCTTTGTTAGTAATTTAAAATGAGATTAAATGCTGAAATACTGTAGAGTGACTGTAAATATGGACTTACTGCAGAAAATGACAGTATTATAAAAGAAAAGATTCTCTGGATATGCTTGACTCCTTAATTATGGTTAGAGGTGTTTTTTTTTAATCCACTTGGTTTTAAATCAAAGGTTTCCCATCATGACCATAAACCTTAATTTCAAAGAAAGCTATCGTTTATAGAAAAGAAGTAGGAATCTGTCAAGTACTGGCTTTTAAATGCTCTTTCTTACCTTGCCCAATTCCAGTTTGTGCTCCTCATGTCTTTCGTGTTTTATATTCCTAGTCAGGCTCTTGGATTCTATTTTACTCGTGATATTCCAGAAGGCTATTGCCTTCTTCCATTTTTCCCAATCATGAGAGATAAGTGGAGACAGGGAGCACTGATGATAGGTTCCAACACAGATATAACTGGTTTTGCTGTTGTCGTTTGATTGCTTGTTTTTCTTTAGCTCAGCTTGGAAAATGACATAGATAATTTATAGATGTAAAATTTCGACACTGCAGGATAGAAGACAGCTCCCTGGTTTCCCCTGTTCTCAACTTCATATACTCTTTTTCAGCTACTTGGCAGTTGAGCCAGAATAGAAAAGGCAGTGTAGCAAGAAGAGCAGTTAAGTATAATCTGAATATGATCAGGGTAGTTTGTGAATCTGATAAGAAGTACACACCATGAGTGGGGCATGTGTGAAATTGCCATAGACTGACTGCCAGGGGAACCTAAGCTATTTGAGGTGTCATTTGAAAGAGTGTTGATGATCCCTGAAGGCCTGTGATTCATTTCAAGTATCTTAATGAGGAGATTTGGAAAAGGAGAGGAAGCACATTTGACAGCAAGTGTATGTAGAATAATGTGATACTTTAATGTATGAATGAAATGAAACTTTATTATAAAAAAAACCATTTTTTTCAGGCAACATTTATTGAGTGTATACTTGTGCCAGGCACTGGGCTGCTTAAATTTGAAATAAGTCATAGTCTCTACCCTCTGGATGCACGTGGTCTAGTGGAGGATCAAGTTTGTAAGCACAGAAATTATAATAGCATATGACAAAAGTTATTCATTGAACTACAAGTTATTGAATACCTTCTGTATGTCAGGGTTAGAACTGAATATTGGCCATTAGACGTAGCATCAGGGAGATTACGGTGACCGTGATAATAAGAACTATTTCAGTGGAATGTAGAAAAGTACATGAGAGTCATTTGTTCAAGAGAAACTAGAAGGTGGTGATAGAATTGGTGATTATAAATGACATTTTTAGGACATTTATTGTAAAGAGGAGCAGATACATGGTGTGGCAGCTGGAAGATCAAGGGTGAGGTTTTTGTTATTTGCTTTTAAAAGACTGGGAATATTCATCATCTAATATCCGGAGTCTAGATAAAATAGTATAGGAAGATTCAAGAGTCATTTGGAAGATAGATTTCAGTAAGAATGACCTCTATATGTGGAAATGAATGAAAAAGGAATTGAAAAATGTGTTCATATTTCTAGTTTGGGGAACATATAAATAGTATCAATTTAAAACTTTTTAATTTGAGAGAAGAATTTTTCTGACTTGTCCTAAATTTTAACTTATGACAGAAATCTCTGATGATGAGATTTGATGGGTGTTAAAGATGGTAATAATAACAGGCATTATGGTGATAGTAATGTAGTTAACATTTATTAATTTCAATGTAGCTTCAATCCACTATTCAACAGTAGAGTATGTACTATTCTTAACCCTATTTTAGTGATGAGGAGACTAAAGCCCAGTAAGAAACAGCAGCTTACCAAAGGTATCGGAGTTTGTTGTTAGATCCAAGTGTACTAATAAGAAAGTCCAGTTTATTCAAGAAATCCTATTGACTCCAGTAAACATTTGAAGTAGATAGATTTTTACTGAATGCAGAACCAAGCCTGGAACTTGGGTTTTAACATTCACTCCAGTTTTCTCCTATCATTTTTACATCTTCATCAGACAAATGATAATTGCTTAATCAACTGCAACTGATGTTATCAAAATCCATTCTTTTTCTGGTCCTAGTTTTCTTGTTTCATTTCAGCTCTTACCAGGCCTTAACTAGAGATTCATGGAATACCTTCCAGTCAGTTCAGTCTCTCTCCTGCTAGTGAGGTTATCTATGTTTCTAACAAGAACAGAAAGATAAGGTATTAATTTGAGCCTGCATTCTAAAGTATACTTGAACATGCACACACATGCACTGACACACACACTACTTGAATCCATTACGAAACACTACCAAAAATATCTTCCAGAGTACTTAGACTCCTAATTCTTTCCAACTTCTCTGAGCATTTAGGTTTCCCAGAGTCCCATGTCTCATTTGCCCCCAATTCTCTCACATAATAATCTCATTCCAGAAGGAGGTAAACCCAGGTACCTTGTGGACATTTTTACTACATATTTCCCACCTTGCATGTACCCCTTGGCTCTATTGCTGTCTTCAGGTACTGCACACATAATTCGACAGGCAGATGGCAGAATTGGATAATGAGGTGATTCTTATACTTTTCAAGTGTGTTTTACCTGTGGATTCCTTTCTTTAACTGGGCCTTTTAACATTACGGATATGAGCACAAATAGCTTGTGTAAGAACTGACAGTAGTGGTTAATGCCATGGCTATGGGTTTTAATTTTAACTCTACCACTATAGAGTTATGTGCATGGAGTACATATGTTTATGTGACCTTGCCCAAGTTATTTAACATTTCATGAGGAGTGGCATATACTTGTATTATTATTTTCTTATGCCTGCTGAAATCTTTTGAATTAAAGTTTAAGGATAATATAGTATACTTAATCAATTTGTTATTTTCCCTAATTATTTTTAAGGAGTTAACAATATATAAATACACTATAAACAGATGTGAAAATTTCTACTCATGTTCAGCTGTCATTAAATGATAAGTCATCTGGAATGACATCCTCACTGGCAGGATTTTTTGAAGGAGGGTAACAGATCTCACTGCAGTTCTAGGAGTATTAGTCTCTTCTCCTGCATGCATTTCATGTTTTGTTAAAATTTAACTCTTGAGACTAATTATATTCTTAATGGACATGTGTTTTCCAACTGCATATAAATATTGGTAAAGAAAAAAATGGAAGAAAAGAAGAGAGCCAAGCAGGTAGACACATTTCATATATCAGATCTATCATTCAATTTTGAGGGAATGCAATTTTATGGAAGGCAAATGAGAAGGAAAGTGTCAGGAGATGCTAAAACGTGATGTTCACATATATGTATACTCATACACAGACTTAATTTTCTCGTATATATGAAACAAAATCCCACCCCTGCAACCTCATCCTTTAAGATACATTTTTCTGTTTGCAATTCTGTCTACTACCAAGATTTATCTTGATGTTCATTTTGACAAGGTTCCATTGGTATAAAAAAGTTGAGCCTTTGGGGAAGGGAGAAAAGGAGAAGGGCACAGAGCATGATTTGCTTCGTGTGTTACATACCTCTAAGGATATCTAGGTCCATAGAAAATAATTACCTTTACCTCAGCTGATCCAGTAGTAAAGAGGCCGCATGCCAAAACGTCCAATCTTCTTAGAGGCCACAGTGACATAAAACAATGGTCATGGAGCCGTTTTGGTTTTAATTTTGATCCTTTGCAGCATTCAGCACTGTTCATTATGCTTCCTTTTGATGTTTCTTCCCCTCAGTCATTTCTAGACCACTCCCTCTCTGAGGACCTCTTCTTCCACTTAACTGTGAATTACCAATTTCTCCCAAAGGGCTGTGTTCCACGACCCTCTGACCATTTCATTTATTCTGTTCATTTCATTCGCTCTGCTGCCCAGGCTGGAGTGCCTAGCCTGGAGTGCAGCGGTGCAGTTATAGCTCACTCTAGCCTTGAACTCCTGGGCTCAAGAGATCCTCCCACCTCAGCCACCCAACTAGCTAGGACCAGAAGTGCATGTCACCATGTTGGCTAATTTCTTTCAGTTTTTGTAGATACTGGGGTCTTGCTATGTTTCTCAGGCTGGTCTGAAACTCTTGGCCTCAAATGATCCTCCAGCCTTGACCTCCCAAATTGCTGGGATTACAGGTGTAAGCCACTGCACCTGGCCTCCTTTTCATTCTTTATGCTCTCTCTAAGTGACCTTTTCCAGCCTCTAGGAAGGTAGGCTACCTATATAGTCTGCATCATTCTGTTATGCTGAGTTCTATTTATCTAGTATCCAAATATTAAAATTTATTATTCTGCTCCAGAAACCCACTCTTCCTATATACTTTTTTTTTCAGTGAATGTCCTCCAGCAAACACCCATTCACTCAAGCCTGAAACATAGAAGTCATCTTTGACTCTTCCCTCTTCCTCATACATAACAAGTCATGGCATTCTTCAGATCCACCTTCTCAATATCTGCCTTTTTCTCTTCCATACCCATTGTCGCTGTCTTAGTTTCAGTTCTGTAGTTTATTTCTTACCTAGGTCATGCCAACATCGTTCTCTGATCTCTTCATATTAATACAGAAGTGATCTTCTAATATGCAAAACATGACTGTGTTACTCTACTTAAATCCTTTATTTATTTCCTTGAACATTCAGAAAAGAAATTAAGACTTCTGGCTTAGCATACTAGCTAGTGAATGATCTGTCTCTTGTTCACAGTTCTGATCATATTTCCCTTCACTTACCCATACCCTCTCTTTGTTCTAACCAACCTATTTAGAGGCTGTTCTCTGAATGTATCATGCCACATTGTCTCTGCTAGAAATGCTGACCCTGCATTTTTCTCTCCCTTATTCCAGGTCATTTTTTAAATCTCAGCTTGTGTTATATCCTCCTGAAAGCTCATAATGCGCAAGAGTTTTTCGAGATTAGATAGTAAATCTGGTGAGAAAAGTAAGCTTGAAGCAGGTTACTGGTAATTCAACAGACACGTATTGAACCTCTTATAAAGTTTTAAAATTGAATGATATACGCTTTATGACTTCAATCAATTTATAGGTCAGTGAAGCAGTCAGAGAAGGAAATCAGCAAAAGGCAGTGTAGCCCTATGGGTATGAACACATCTTTGGAGACAGGAATACTTAAGATCAGTAACTGTCTATACCTGTTCTCACTGTGTGTACTTGAGAAAGTCACTTAAACTAAATTCTTTTAATCTGTTTATGTCAAAATAAAAATATCTACCTGAAAGGGCTATTGGGATTATTAAAGTAAATGAGATTGTGCATATGACTCATCATAAGTGCTCACCTTGTGGTGGTGAAAAGGGGGATGTTTATGATGACAATGACAACTGCAGTGCCCTGGGATAAGTACTGGAACAGTACATGCAGTGGGTACTAATGCCAGTGCAAGCACAGATAATGGTAACTCTACTTCAGAGGGTCAAGGAAGGTTTTCACTTACTTAAATTCTTCATTGATTAAAAAAATAATAGAAATAGCATAGAGTTGTGAGGATTGAATGAAACAATGACTGTGAAAGTTCCTTTTAAGAACATGGCACATTTAATAATCTTAATCTTAATTAATATGAATTAACTTGGGTTTACATTGACCTTCTCCCCTCTCTATGTCATTATGTCAGACAACTTGTTGAGATTCTTAATGACAGTCAGCTATTTATTACTCACGATTTAGGTAGTATCCAGAAACCCTTGACTTGTATAAAATCAGAACATTTCTACATTCACAATAATTCAATATATACATATCTTATTCATACCACAACAAAACTTGTAAATTCCACCATGCAGCCAACATTTACTAACAGCTAAGGTGCCCAGCAGAGTGCTAAATATTTGTTGGATGATTCAGGTATCATTATAGAGGCATCATAGAGAAGGATGTCTACCAACGCCTGAAAGAATAACATGTCCATCTTCGAATCTATAACTTAAATGTGTCACTAAGAGGAACCCTGTTTAATGTCTTTACAACAACTTTAACAGAAGTCTCAAGTACTGTTACAGTGATGAAGTATGGATGAGACTTTGAACTAAACGTTACTCTAGAGATTCTGGGAAATACTGCATAGCATCTGTCATTCCACGGTGCACTGAAGAAATATGGCCATTGCAAAGAAAGGACTGATGCTGCCATCTTAAGTACCACGTTAGAGAGGTGTAATAAATGTATGCTGACTTAAGAAAGGAAACCAGTTCTCTTTAGGGCAATCATTGTAGTACCTTCCACATTTCTATTGCACTTAAACATAAGTTCTTGATGTGCTCTACAGCTCTGGATCACAATTTAAACATAATATTTACTCTATCTCAGATACGGCCTCTTTAAAACCACAACTTTTGTTGCATATTATTTAAACCAAACTGTCATTAATTAATGTATTAGCTAAATAGACATGAACCCATGATTATATGCCATGTATTATTTTAGACCCTAGAAATATGCTGATATAAATACTCTCCACTTCATGCACTCAGGTAGCTCATAGACTACTGAAGTAGTCATGCTAATAGACATATAGTAAAATTATGTTGTAATGGCAATAATAAAGGGATAGAAAAGTACTATGGAATCCCAAAGATTGAAGTTACTAATTTTGTCTAGGGAAAATTCTTGGATGCTTTCTCATATTTTTAAGCATAAATTGAAGCATCAATAAAAATATGCCCTGAGAATACATGATAGGGCATTCCAAGCATTGGAAACAAGATATGCCAAACTTTGAAGTCATACAACAGCCTGCTATGCTTGGGGAAATTTAATGGTGGTGGAGAGCAGGCTCTACGCAGGAGGATGGTTAAAGGTGAGTCTAGGCCGGGCGCGGTGGCTCACGCCTGTAATCCCAGCACTTTGGGAGGCCGAGGCGGGCAGATCACGGGGTCAGGAGATCGAGACCATCCTGGCTAACATGGTGAAAACCCGTCTCTACTAAAAAAATACAAAAAAAAAAAAAAAAAATTAGCAGGGCATGGTGGCCGGCGCCTGTAGTCCCAGCTACTCAGGAGGCTGAGGCAAGAGAATGGCGTGAACCCGGGAGGAGGAGTTTGCAGTGAATCCAGATCGCGCCACTGCACTCCAGCCTGGGCGACAGAGTGAGACTCCATCTCAAAAAAAAAGAAGGACTTTGTCTCAAAAAAAAGAAAAAAAAAAGGTGAGTCTAGAGAAGCAAGCATGGGCCAGGTTATGAGCAGCTGTGAATATCATTTGGGGTTTGAATTGTATTCATTTTGTACATGGTAGGAAGAATAAACTAGAAAACGCAGACATCAGTGTTTAAGAGACCTCGTTGTCATGATCTAGACAATATTTGGTAGAGTCTGAACTGGAAAGAATGGAGGTGGTAAGAGATGTATAACCCAGGTATTATCTGGAGGCCTTCTTGCCTTAGAGTTTAACTGAAATGACCTTGCTCCAAAATCCATCTCCATTTTTACCACTGGTGAAGTCAAATTTTGCCCCAAGACTATGGCTAAATTTTTGATGTGGGTGGATGGAAAAGAGTCTTGGACTTTCCTACCTATTTAGTTTCCATAACCAATTTTTTTTATCATACCAAGTGTTCATGAATTTAATGAGCTAAATTCAGGTTTCTTTTAAAGGGCATCATCACTTAGCACCCAGGTCTTAATCACTTTACCCACTCTTCATACCTCTCTGTTCTTCCCGTTACTGCTGTTTAGTCCTTCCATTGCCCAATAGGTGATGCAAAAAGTTATCACTCTCTTATGCAGAGGAAATCAACGCCCTCAACTTATGCAAAATCCTTTCATTAAATGTTTATCAGATGGCTCTCAGTGCCATGCCTTGTGACTTGTGGGGCCAAGAATGTTTAGTAAAAACAAACTCCAACTCTTCCAATCTGTGAATATGAGATTTTGATCAAATAATCATATATGTGAATTACTATAAATGCAAATAACTGCCAAGAAAAGAGGCAATGTGATATAAGAAGGGTCAGAGAAGTTCTCCTGGGGACATGTGAGCTGAAATCTGTGGTGGGATGAGGGGTTAAGTAGGGAATTGTGTAAAGGGTGGGAGACATAGGGCAGAAGGGCTTTCCTAGCAAATGGAATAGCATGCACACAGCCCTGTGGTGAGAGGTGCTTGCTGAAATTAAACAAGTGAAGACCGAACTAGAATCCACTTGCAAATTGCTAAACCCCAAATCAAGTTGTTTAGTAAAAAAGGGCTTTGGTATGCTCAATTTGCAGCTCTTATTAAAAGAGAATCAGTCTCATTTTCAAAAAGGTCCTAGGCATCTTTAAAGAAATGGCTTATTCTTTACCTAAGGAAGGGCCAACAGGGATAAGATATATCAAGTTAAAAAAATTAACAACAAATATTTACTAAGCTCCCATTATGTGGTTAGTAATGTTTACTAAGATACCATTCCAGGTGCTTAGGATATAAGGGTGAAAAAAAAAAAACAGGGAAAAATCTCTGCCTTCATGAAACTTACTTTTTCTAGGAAAGAAAAAAGAAGTAAACAAGACAAATAAATAAAATGTACAGTTTGCTAGATAATAAGTTGTAAGGAAAACAATACAGGGAAAATTATATGAAGTTTCATGATCAGGGATTAAATATTACATAGGGTAGCCAGAAGAGGCTAACTCTTTTGCAAAGCTACCTTTTGAATAAGGACTTGAAAGAAATGTTGGAGCAAGCTAGTCACATCACAATCTGAGGAGAAAGCATTAGAGGCAGAGAAAAGGGAGCAGGGGCACAGGCCTGGAGGCAGGAAGGTACCTGGACTATTGGGGAAGAGAAAAGAGCAGAGAGAACTGAGAGTGGTTGTGGACACAGGTGAGGCACTGGCAGCTGCCCATCCACTGTGCCTCCTTGGTTGTAGGAAGAAAGTGGCTGTCCTCTGAGAGATGGAGAGCTGCTGGAAGGTTCTGAGTTGAGGGGGGACCTAAACTGAGTCACATTTCAAAAGGATCCCTTTTTCTATCTCTTTCTCAAGGGCCACAGTTATATAGTGTATAATTAGAAGGGGTTTCTTAAAGTATGCTCTAATGAGATTTTTGTCTCCATCCAAACTGAGAACAACTAGATGCCCTTTTACTAAATATGAAGAAAACAAATTCTGGAGAGAAGTTGGCTAAATCATACATTTAGCAACAGTAAGAAAGCCTTTCAGAACTTCTAGTGGCAGGAGGTGCTGGGGAGTGAAAAAGGGAATTTTTTTTTATAGTAAACTCCTTTCTTGGAGATTAATTTCACTGACACTCAAAAAAGCAGCTGGTGAATAATGAATGAAGACAAAAGAATGAATGAGGGGAAGCATGTGCATTGAGCAGGTGTGTTCAAAGCTAAATGATTTGCCCAAACCTGTAGTGAGGAAGGTGAACCCCAAGAAATGAAGTTCTGGTTCTCTCTCAATGATCGGTCATTCCACATTTTTGGTTTTTGGACCTGGGGGCATCTTTTGGTCTGGGTACAATTGCGTGATTGTGCTCCAGCAGTGAACAGTAGACGCTGATTCCAGAATCATTAACAAAATTTACCACTTAACCACCATTTTCACTTAAAATAACTTTCTTTGCTCCTAAAATGGTGAATGGGGGAGTTACTTTCTGATGAGATATTTATATGAAAAATGAGCAGAAGGCAGTTTAATAGAAGGAAAGGTCTGGTTCAGAGATCAGTGTCCCTCTGAAGTGCTATTCTGGAAGGCTAGAGGACAGTATGCTATGGATTCTTTGTGGGGCCAAAGTAAAAGACAACCTTGCAATTGTATCGGGTGATCTTAAACCATTTTAGCAAAACCCAATGCAGGAGGCTTCCCTATGGTACTTTGACTCTGACAAGTATAAAGACTCCAAATATTTTGTCTTGGTTTTATTATGTATTTTAAAAATAAATCTTAATATGTATATTCGAGGTTCACAACATGATGCTACGGCATACATATAGATAGTAAAATGGTTCATATACTGAAGCAAATTAACATATCTTTTTCAGTTATGATTTTGTGATGAGAGCAGCTAAAATCTGTTCATTTAACAAAAATCATTAATACAATTTTAGTAACTATAGTCCTCATGTTATTCATTAGATCTCTGGACTTGTTCATCACACATATCTGCTACTTTGTATTTGCTGGCCTACATCTCCCCATTTCTTGTCTCTCACCCTGACCTTGCTAATCACTTAACCACTGTTTTATCCTCTGTTTCTGTGTATTTGACCTTTCTTTCTTTATATCTTTCTCTTTTTTTTTTTAGGTTCCACATATAAGTGGGATCATGCAATAGTTTTCTTTTTGGGTCTGGCTTATTTAACTTTGTATAATGTCCTCCAGGTCCATCCATGTTGTGGTAAATAGCAGAATCTCCTTCTTTAAGGCTGAATAATATTTCATTGTGTATATATAAAACACATTTTTAAATCAATTTGTCCAATAGGCTCTTAGATTGTTTCCATGTCTTGACTATTGTGAACAATACTGCAATTAATATGGTACTTCAGATATATTTGTGAGGTAATGATTTAATTTCCATACCCAGAAGAGAGATTCCTAGGTCGTATTGTAGTTCTATTTTTAATTTATTTAGGAACCTCCATACTGTTTTCTATAATGGCTCTACCAATCTACATTCCTACCAACAGTGTACAAGGGTTCCCTTTTCTCTATACCCTCACCAACGTTTGTTATCTCTTGTCTTTTTGGTAATAGCAATCCTAATGGGTGTGAGGTGATATAGTGGTTTTAATTTGCATTTCCCTCATGATTAGTGACATTGAACACCTTTGCATGTACCTGTTGAACATTTTTCTGTCTTCTTTGAAAAAATATCTGTTCAGATCTTTTGCCAATTTTTTAATTGGGTTATTTGTTTTTCTGCTATAGAGTTGTAAAGAATTATTTATAAATTTTAGGTATTAATCTCTTATCAAATATATAATTTGCAAATATTTTTCCCAATTAAATGTTGCCTTTTCATTTTGTTGAATGTTTCCTTTGCTGTGCAGAAACTTTTTAGTTTGATGTAATTAGAGCTGTTTATTTCTGTTTTTATGGCCTGAGCTTTTGGTGTGATTTACAAAAAATCATTGCAAGATCCATGTCCAGGAAATTTTCCCTTGTTCTTTTCTAGGAATGTTATGATTTCAGGTCTTACATTTTGGTATTTTATCCATTTTAAGTTGATTTTTGTGTATGGTATAGATAAAGGTTCAATTTTATTCCTTTGCATGTAAAAATCCAGTTTTCCCAGTACCATTTACGGAAGAGACTATCCTTTCCTCACTGTGTCCCCTTGGTGATCTTGTTGAATACAGTTGACTATATATGTTTGACCTTTTTTCTGGGCTCACTATTTTATTCTATTGGCCTATGTTTCTTTTTTTGTGCAAGTACCATGCTGTTTCAATTACTATAGCCTAGTAACATAATCTTAAATCAGGAAATGTGATGCCTTTAAATTTTCTTTCAGTGTTGCTTTGTCTATTCAGTTTTTTTATGTTCCTTGCAAATTTTAGGATTTTTTTTTCTATTTCTGTGAAGAATGCCATTGGAAATTAGATAAGGATTGCATCTAATAGGGATTAAATTTTATGTGACATAGTCGCTATCATCTGAGAGGGATTGTGTATTACTTTGACCAATATAGACATTTTAATAATATTAATTCTTTTGATCCATGAGCATGGGACAGCTTTCCATTTATTTGTCTTCAATTTTTTCATCATTGTTTTATTATTTTCAGTATACAAGTCTCACCTTCTTGGTTAAATTTATTCCTAATATTTTATTTTTTTGATGCTATTGTAAATAAATTATTTTCTTAATTTCTTTTTTAGGTAGACTGTAATGTGTATGTTGAAATAATGCTGATTTTGTATGTTGATTATGTATTCTGCAACTTTGTTGAATTCATTTATTAATTCTAATAAGTTTTATTTTTACTTATAAAATCATTGGGTTTTCTCTATATAGGATTATGTCATCTGCAAATAGATGTAATTTTATGTCTTTCTTTCCATTTTGGATGCTTCCTTCTTCCTTCCTTCCTTCCTTCCTTCCTTCCTTCCTTCCTTCCTTCTTTCCTTCCTTCCTTCCTTTCTCTTTTCTCTCTCCCTCCTTCCCCTCCCTCCCTCCCTTCCTTCTTTTTCCTTTGTCTGATTTCTCTTGCTAGTACTTCCAGTACTATGTTAAATAGAAGTGTTAAGAGTCGACATCCCTGCCTTGTACCTGATCTTAATTGAAAAGCTTTCAGTTGTTACTAATTCATTATGATGTTAGATATGGGCTGTTCATAAATAAACTTTATTATGTCAAATAACTTTTCTTCTATACCTTAACTGTTAAGAGTTTTTATCAAGAAAAGTTGCCGAACTTTGTTAAATGTTTTTTCTGCATTGAGATGATTGTGTGGTTTTTCACATTCTATTAATGTATTATATCACATTGATTGTCTTGCATGCCAGAAATAAATCCCAGTTGGTAGTGATGTATAATTTTTTGTTTGCAAATATTTTATTGATAATTTTTTGCATCTATGTTCATTAGAGATATTGGCCCATAGCTTTCTTTCCTTGTGGTGTCATTGTCTGGCTTAGGTTTCAAGACAATACTTGCTTTGTAAAACTTGTTTGAAAGTATTCTCTCTAGCTGTATTTTTCTGAAGAATTTAAGAAGCATTAGTAATAATTCCTTTTCGAATGTTTGGTAGGACTAATCTGTGAAGCCATTTGGGCCCTGGCTTTTCTCTGTTGGAAAGTTTTTGGTCTGTTTGAGCTTTCTATTTTTCCTGATTCAACCTTGATAGTTTACATTTTTCTAGAAATCAATCATAGAAAATTTATCCTACAAATTTTTCTCTTTGTGGGGGAATAGCTTTACTAGGATATAATTCAAATACCAAACAATTCTCACATTTAAAATGCACAATTTGATAATTTTTAGTATATTCACAGACTTGTGCAACTATCACCACAATCAATTTTAGAACATTTTCATTATCTCAAAAAAGAAATTATACCACTTAGGTATCACCCATCAATTTCCGCATCTCCTCCAACCCTCAGCAACCACTAATCCACTTTTTGTCTCTGTAGATTTGTCTATATTGGGCATTTGATATAAAAAGAATCATATAATATTAGGTCTTTTGTGATTGGCTTCTTTCATTTATTAGTATAATGTTAATAATGTTAATAAAACATTAACAGCATAATGTTTTTGGGTTCATCCATGTTTGTAGCATGTATAAGTACTGAATTCCTTTTTATGGCTGAATAATATTCAATGGTATGGGCTATCATATTTTGTTTAATCATTTATCAGCTGATGGACTTTTGGATTGTTTACCCCTTTTATGTTTATGTTGCCATACATATTTGTATGCCAGTTTTTGGGTGAACATATGTTTTTATTTTTCTTGGGTACATACCTAGGAGTGGAATTGCCAGATTAAGTGGTAACCAATGTTTAACTTTTTGAGACACTTCACACTGTTTTCCAAAATGGCTGTACCATTTTACTTTCTTACTATCAATATGTGACAATTCCAGTTTCTCCAAATCTTAACACCTGTCATTTTCTCATTTAAAAAAAATATATAGCCATCTTAGTGTGTGTGAAGTAGTATCTCATTGTGGTTTTGCATCACATTTCCAGATGACTAATATCATATCTATAAATCTTAAAAAAATATTTTTTCACCTATGGTGTTGTTGCAGTCACTCTGGGATTATATAATACTCAATTTTTACCCCTTGAGTTTTTTGGTTTTCTTTTTCTTTTATTTATTTTTTTAACTTCTATATTAAGTTCCAGCGTACGTATGCAGGTTTGTTATATAGGTAAACTTGTGTCAGGGGGGTTTCTTGTACAGACAATTTTGTCACCCAGGTATTAATCCTAGTATCCATTAGTTCTTTTTCCTGATCCTCTCCTTCCTCCTATCTCTCACAACCAGGTAGTCCCCAGTGTCTGTTGTTCCCTTCTATGTGTCCATGTGTTCTCATCATTTAGCTCCCACTTACAAGTGGGAACATGTGGTATTTGGTTTTCTGTTCCTGCATTAATTCACTAAAGATAATGGCCTCCAGCTCCATCCATGCTCCTACAAATGACATGATCTCATTCCTTTTTATGGCTGCATAGTATTCCATAGTGTATTTGTACCACATTTCTTTATCCATTCTACCATTGGTGGGCATTTAGGTTGATTCCATGTCTTTGCATTTGTGAATAGTGTTGCAATGAATATGCACATGTGTCTTTATGACAGAATGGTTTATATTCTTTTGAGTATATACCCAGTATTGGTAGTTCTGTTTTTAGGCCTTTGAGGAATCACCACACTGCTTTTCTCAATGGTTGAACTAGTTTACACTCCCACCAACAGTGTATAGGCATTCCCTTTTCTCTGCAATCTCACCAGCAACTGTTATTTTCTGACTTTTTAGTAATATCCATTCTGACTGGTGAGAGAAGGTATCTCATTGTGGTTTTAATTTGCATTTTTTAATAATCAGTGATGTTGAGCTTTTTTATTATATGCATGTTGGCCACATGTATGTTCTCTTTTGAAAAGTGTCTATTCCTGTCATTTGCCCACTTTTTAATGGGATTATTTTTCTTGTAGATTTGTTTAAGATCCTTATAGATGCTGGATGCATCTTGTCAGATGCATAGTTTGCAAAAACTTTTTCCCATTTTGTAGACTGTATGTTTATTCTTTTTATACTATCTTTTGCTGTGCAGAAGCTCTTTAGTTTAATTAGACGCCATTTGTCAATTTTTGCTTTTGTTGCAATTGCTTTTGGCATCTTTGTCATGAAATTTTTGCCTGTTCTTATGTCCAGAATGTTATTGCCTAGGTTGTCTTCCAGAGTTTTCATAGTTTTGGATTTTATAGTTAAGTCTTAAATCTACCTTGAGTTGATTTTTGTATATTGCATAAGGAAAAGCTCCAGTTTCAATCTTCTGCATATGGCTAACCAGTTATCCCAGCAACATTTATTGAGCAGGAAATCTTTTCCCTCTTGCTTGTTTTTGTCAGCTTTGTCAAAGATCAGATGGTTGTAAGTGAACGGCCTTATTTCTGTACTCTCTAGTTTGTTCCATTGGTCTATGTGACCGTTTTGTACCAGTACCATGCTGTTTTGGTTATTGTAGCCCTGTAGTATAGTTTGAAGTCAGGTAGCATGATGCCTCCAGGTTTATTCTTTTTGCTTAGGATTGCCTTGGCTATTCAGGCTTTTTGTTTTTTGGTTTTATATGAATTTTAAAGCTTTTTCTAGTTCTGTGAAGAATTTCATTTGTAGTTTGATGGGAACAAGTGTTGAATCTATAAATTTCTTTGGGCAGTATGTACATTTTAAATATATTCATTCTTCCTATCCGTGAACATGGAATGTTTTTCCATTTGTTTGTGTCACCTCTGATTTCTTTGAAGAGCATTTTGTAGTTCTTATTGTAGAGATCTTTCACCTCCCTGGTTAGTTGTATTCCTAGGTATTTTATTCTTTTTGTGGCAATTGTGAATGGAATCGTGTTCCTGATTTGGCTCTCAGCTTGACTGTTGTTGGTGTGTAGAAATACTGGTGACTTTTGCACATGGAATTTGTATCGTGAGACTTCACTGAAGTTGTTTAGCAACTTGAGAAACTTTTGGGCCAAGACTTTGGGGTTTTCTCGATATAGAATTATATTATCTGGAAACAGAGATAGTTTGACTCCCTCTCTTCCTATTTGGATGCCCTTTATTTCTTTCTCTTGCCTGATTGCTCTGGCCAGGACTTCCAATACTATATTGAACAGGAGTGGTGAGACAGGGCATCCTTGTCGTATGCTGATTTTTGAGGAGAATGCTTCCAGCTTTTGCCCATTCAGTATGATGTCAGCTGCAGGTTTGCGATAGATGACTCATTATTTTGGGTATGTTCCTTCAATACCTGGTTTATTGAGAGGTTTTTTTTTACATGAAGTGGTGTTGAATTTTATCGAAAGCCTTTTCTGCATTTATTGATAATCATGTGATTTTTTTCTTTAGTTCTGTTTATGTGATGATTCATATTTATTGATTTGCATATGTTGAACCAACCTTGCATCCCAGAGATAAAGGCTACTTGATTATGGTGGATAAGCTTTTCGATTTGCTGCTGGATTCAGTTTTCCAGTATTTTGTTGAAGATTTTTGCATTGATGTTTATTGAGGATATTGGCCTGAAGTTTTCTTTTTTTATTGTGTCTCTGCCAGGTTTTGGTATCAAGATGATGCTACCCTCATAGAATTAATTAGGGAGGAGTCCCTTATCCTTATGTCTTTGGGATAGTTTCAGCAGAAATGGTACCAAATCCTTTTGGTACATCTGGTAGAATTCAGCTCTGAGTCTGTGTGGTCCTGGGCTTTTGTTGGTTGGTAGGCTATTTATTACTGATTCAATTTGGGAGCTTGTTATTGGTCTGTTTAGGGATTCCATTTCTTCCTGGTTCAGTCTTTGGAGGGTGTATGTGTCCAGGAATTTCTAGATTTTTCAGTTTGTGTGCATAGAATAATTAACAATATTCTCTGATATTTATTTTTATTTCTGTGGGGTCAGGTGTAATATTCCCTTTGTCATTTCTATGTGGAATTGTTTGTGTGGATGCTTTATAGTGTCATTGGTCTGTGTACTTAGGTTCGTTTGTGTCATGGCTGTTAACGGTCTTTTCTTCCCAAATCTAGTGATTTCTTTAGGAGCTCTTATAAGGCAGGTCTGGTGGTAACAAATCCCCTCAGTATTTATTTGCTTGTATGAAAAGAATCTAATTTATCCTTCACTTATGAAGCTTAGTTTGGCTGGACATGAAATTATTAGTTGAAATTTCTTTTCCTTAAGAATGTTGAATATTGAGCCACAATCTTGTAGAGTTTCTGCTGACAGGTCCACTGTTAGTCTGATGGGCTTACCTTTGTAGGTGTCCTGACCTTTCTCTCTAGCTGCCTTTAACATTTTTTCTTTCATTTCAACTTTAGAGAATCTGATGATTATGTGTCCTGGGGATGAACTTTTTGTGAAGTATCTTTCTGGAGTTCTCTGCATTTCCTGAATTTGAATGCTGGCCTCTCCAGCTAGATTGGGGAAGTACTCATGGATGATATCCTGAAATATGTTTTGCAGGCTGGGCATGGTGTAATCCTAGCACTTTGGGAGGCTGAGGTGGGTGGATCCCCTGAGATCAGGAGTTTGGTGGTCAACATAGCGAAACCCCGTCTCTACTAAAAATATGAAAATTAGCTGGATGTGGTGGTGCATGCCTGTAATCCCAGCTACTTGGGAGGCTGAGGCAGGAGAATCGCTTGAACCCAGGAGGCAGGGGTAGCAGTGAGCTGAGATAGCTGAGATAGCGCCACTGTACTCCAGCCTGGGTGAACAAGACTCTGTTTCCAAAAAAAAAAAAAAAAAAAACAAGAAAAGAAGAAAAAAAGAAATATGTTTTGCGAGTTGCTTCCATTCTCCCCATATATTTCAGGGACACCAGTGAGTTATAGATTTGGTCTCCTTACATAAGCTTATATGTTTCAGAGGGTCTGCTTGTTCCTTTTCATTCCTTTTTCTCTATTCTTGTCTGACTGTCTTATTTCAGAAAGCCAGTCTTCAAGCTCTAACATTCTTTCCTCAGCTTGGTCTATTCTGCTATTAATACTTGTGATTGCATTATGAAATTCTTGGAGTGTATTTTTTTTCATGTCAGTTATATTCCTCTCTATACTGGCTATTTTGTCTGTCAGTTCCTGTATTGTTTTATTTTGATTCTTAGCTTCCTTGGATTGGGTTTCAGCATATTCCTGCATCTTGATGATCTTCATTCCTATTCATATTCTGAATTTTATTTCTGTTATTTCAGGCATCTCAGCCTGGTTCAGAAACCTTGCTGGAGAGCTAGCGCAATCATTTGGAGGAAAGAAGGCACTCTGGTTTTTGAGTTGTCAGAATTCTTGCTCTGTTTTTTTCTCATCTTTGTGGGCTGATTGTTCCTTCAATCTTTGAAGTTGCCATGGTTTGGACATTTTTTAAAAAAAATCCTATTTGATGACCCTGAGGGTTTGATTGTGGTATAAGGTAGGTTCAGTCTACTGGCTTCATTTTTGGAAGATTTTAGGGGGTCAAGGCTCAGTTTCTAATACCTTGACTGTGCTCTCTAACTGGGGGAGTGGTATTCAGCCCTTTGTTCTCTGGTTCCTCGAGGCTAGCAACCTCCTGTGCTGGGGAGGCCAAGGTGTTCCTGGATGCTGGTCACAACACTCTGATGGGTTGTGCCAGCCAAAGTGTTTTGTAGGGCAGTGGCAGTGGGATTCATCCTTGTTTGCACTTGCCAGCAGAAGTGGCAGTGGCAGTGCAGTGGGGTGAATGCTTGTTGGCAGCGGCAGGGTGCTAGCAGGTGCCAGGGTTCTGGCCTCTGTGTAGGCATTCACAGGAGCAGCGGAGGAAGCCCAGCTGGGAAGTGGTGACTGGGTGTGCAGTTGCACTGGTAGTGGTGTTAGCACATGGGCGAGCGCTGGGAGGTACAGGACAGTGTGCACCCTCCGTGCGTATCACGCAGGTATAGCTGGCCACTCAGGCTGGTGGAGGGTCTACTGTTCTCCATACATAGTTTTACTTCAACAGCAATGTTGGCTCAGGGGCTGGGCACTGATGTGGGTGGCACTGAGAGGCTCTGTGCCTGCTAAGGCTCCCACTGCAATGGCTTTACAGTGAGAGGGTGGATTGCACTCATGCCAGCAGCAGAGCAGGGCATGGTGCACAAACACACACACACACACACACACACACACACACACACACACACACACTAGCGGGGCAGGGAAGGCAAAATCCACCTGTACATACACATGCCAGCCAAGAGATGTGGGTGGTGGCTGTGGGCCTGGAGGAAGCCACAGTGGGAGGAGGAAGCGGGTGGGCTGGTGCATGTCCCTGGAGCTCACTCTGTTGGAGCTCTGTACTGGTCAAGCACAGTCCACCAGTGCAGGAGGTGTCATGCAGGCCTCTAGAGAACCCAAGACTGCACTGCATGCAGGTGTGGCCAGGGTGGGGCCCCAGGAGAGGCCAGGAGACCAAGCAGAGCTCAGATCACACTGATCCCATCTGATAGGCAAGACTGCACTGCAGAGTTTAACTCTAACTCTTCCTCTCGGGCTAAAGTTTTCTGGAAGCAAGTTGAACCTTGGGGGATGGCCATCCCTGGCTCTGCTCCACTACAGACGCTTCTGCAGCAAATCCTCTGGGCTTCACTTCAACTTGATTGCTGTCTCTACTACTTTTCTAAGTAGCTTTCCCTGCCAACTCAAGTGTCTGTGGTGGTTGAAGGCTCTCCTCCTATTAGAATTCCAGAGGACCATAGCAAGAGCAAGTTGTTCCTTGCCAGTGCAATGCACCCATTCCTTCACAGTCACTAGGCACCAGGAATGAACCCCAATGCATGTTAGCCCCATGCAAGTTTTCCAGCTTTCTCCCCCTTCAGCCTAGTTTCTGTGTCTTCCCTCTGTCTGCTCTCAGGGCCTTCCCCCTGAAGATCAGTTAGGAGTGTGCCAGTTGTTCCAGACCCTCAATCACTGCTGCTCCACCTGGCTGCATTCAGTCAGCCATCTTTTGAAATTTTTCTTTAGATTACCCAATTTATTGGCACAAGGGACTACATTTATTATTTTTGAAGTGTCTGTTTCAATGTCTCCATTTTATTTTATTTGTGCCTTTTCTCTTTTTTTTTCTCAGTCTCAGTGTTTGTTGATTTTATTTTTTCAAAGAACCAATAATATCAATATTATTGATATTCTCTATGACTTTTCTATGCTCAATGTGATTTATTTCTATTCCAATATTTGTTATTTCCCTCTGACTGCTAACTTTGGGTTTAGTTTGTTCTTATTTTCTAACTCCTTGAGGCATAATATTAGGCTATTTATTTGGGATCATTCTTCTTTTGTAACATAGGCATTTATTGCTATCAACTTCCATCTTAGTAGTGCTTTTGCTGTAAGTCAAAGGTTTTGATCTGCTGTATTTCCATTGTCATTTGTCTCAAAACTTTTATAATTACCCTTTTGATTTCCTCTGTGACCCATTGGTTGTTCAGGAGCATGTTGTTTAATTTCCACATATTTGTGAGTTTTCCAAAATTCTTCTTGTTATTGATTTCTACTTTCATACCATTATGGTTGGAAACAATACTAGATATAATTTTATTATTCTTGAATTTGTTAAGACTTGTTTTGTGGTCTAACACATGGTCTCTCCTGGATAATGTTCCATGTGCATTGGAGAATTATGTGTAGTCTGCTGCTGTTGAAATGAATGTCCTACATGTTAGGTCTATTTGAGCAAAAGTGCAGTTTAATTCCAGTATTTCCTCACTAATATCATGTCTGGTTGATCTCTCCACTGTTAAAAGTGAGGAATTAAAATCCTCTACTATTATTGTATAGCTGTCTATTTCTTCCTTCACGTCCATTAATATTTGCTTCATATATTTAGGTGTTCCATTTATGAGGTACATATATATTTATAATTGTTATGTCCTTTTTCTGATTTGACCTCTTTGTAACTAAGTAATGACTGTCTTTGTTTTTCCAAACAGATTTTGTCTTGAAATCTATTTTATCTGATACAAGTATAGTCACTCCTGCTCTTATTTGATTACTGTTTGCATGGAATATCTTTTTCATTCATTTACTTTCAGCCTATGTGTGTACATAAAGCTAAAATGGGACTCTTGTAAACAGTATATAATTGGATCTTGTTTTTAATTCATTCAGACACTATTTTTTATTGGAGAGTTTAATCCATTTCATTCAAAGTTATTACTGGTAAATAATTATTTACTCCTTCCATTTTTGTTAATTGTTTTCTGCTTGTTTTGTAAATCTTTATTCCTTTCTTCCTCTCTTGTTGCCTATCTCTGTGGCTTGGTAATTTTCTGTAGTGCTAAGCTTTGGTTCCTTTCTCTTTCTTTTACTTTTTTTTTTTTGTTTGTTTTTTGAGATGGAGTCTCACTCTGTTGCCCAGGCTGGAGTGCAGTGGCACAATCTTGGCTCACTGCAACCTCCGCCTCCCATGTTCAAGCGATTCTCCTGCCTCAGCCTCCTGAGTAGCTGGGATTACAAGCACGTGCCACCACATCTGGCTATTTTTTTATATTTTTAGTAGAGATGAGATTTCACTGTGTTAGCCAGGATAGTCTCGATCTCCTGACCTCATGATCCACCTGCCTTGACCTCCCAAAGTGCTGGGATTACAGGCGTGAGCCACTGTGCCTGGCCTCTTTCTCTTTCTTGCTTGTGTATCTGCTGTAGTTTTTTTGCTTTGTGGTTACCATGAGACTTACATAAAAAATCTTATAATAGACTATTTTAAGCTGACAACTGCAGTCTCTTATGAATACTCTAGCCTTTAACCCTCCCCCACAATTTATATTTTGCTCTGTCAATTTAGATATTTTTGCATTATGTATTCCCTAACAACTTATTGTTGTTTTAGTTATTTTTGACCATTTGAAATTTTAGCCTTCAGAGTAGAGATTTGAAAGATGTATATACCACCATTACAGTTATAAAGTATTCTGAAATTGACTGTGATTTACCTTTACTACTGAGTTTTTACCTTCACATTTCTTCATGATAGTTATCATTGTCCATTCACTTATGGTTGAAGAATTTTCTTAAGCATTTCTTGTAAGGCACGCCCTATGGTGAATTTCCTCAGCTTTTACTTGTCTGGGAAAGTCTTGATTTCTCCTTCATTTCTGAAGCACAGCTTTGTTGGGTATCATATTCTTGAACGACAGGTTTTGGCGCTTTGACTATATTATCCTATTCTTTCCCGTCCTGCAAGATTTCTGCTGAGAAATCTCCTGCTAGTATAATAGTGGTTTATTTCTTTGTCAATTGACATGTTTTTCTTATTGCTTTTAAAATTCTCTGTGTCTTTCACTTTTGACATTTTAATTATAGTATGCCTAGGTGAGGATCCTTCTGGGCTGAATCTGTTTGGGTACCTTTGATCTTTATGGATCTGAATATCCATAACTCTCCTAAGAGTTGGAAAGTTTTCAGCAATTACTTTGTTAAATAGCTTTTTAAAAAAATTTTTTGAGACAGGGTCTTGCTCTGTAGCCCAGGATGGAGTGCAGTGGCATGATCTCGGCTCACTGCAACCTCTCCCATACAGGTTCGAGCAATCCTCCTGCTTCAGCCTCCTGAGTGGCTGGGATTACAGGCATGCATTACCATGCCTGGCTAATTTTTGTATTTTTAGTAGAGACAGGGTTACATCATGTTGGCCGGGCTAGTCTTGAACTCCTGACCTCAAGTGACCTGCATGCTTTGGCTCCAAAAGTGCTGAGATTACAAGCCTGAGCCACTGTGCCTGGCCTACTTTTTTAAATAAACTTTCTGTGATGTTCTCCAATCATCTTCATCTGAATTCCCATAATGCAAAACTTATTTACTTAGTGATGTCCCGTAAGTCATATAGGTTTTGTTCACTCTTTTATATTATTTTGTTATTTTCCCGCTATGAATGGGTTATTTTAAAAAACCTTTCTTCAAATGCAGAGATTATTTCTTCTGCTTGATCTAATCTGCTGTTGAATTTCTCAATTGCGTTTTTAAAAAATGTTATTCATTGAATTCTTCAACCCCAAGATTTCTATTTGGTTCTTATTTTATGATATATCTCTTTGTTCAAATTTATCTTTCAGATCATGGATTTTTTCCTGATTTCATTGAATTATCTATCTGTATTCTCTTGTATCTCACTGAGTTTCGTTAAGATCATTATTATGAATTCGTTTTCAGGTAATTCATAAATTTTCATTTTAGGAGGGTCAATTACTAAATATTTATTGTGGGCTATTTTTGTGGTATAATGTACTCTAGCTTTTTCATGTTTCTTGTGTTTTTGTTTTGGTGTCTGTACATCTGGTGGAACTGTTATCCCTTTCAATTTTATAGTGCAGGTTTTGTAGGGAAATATTTTCACCTATAGATGGGTCATAGGGACTAAGCTGGGCAAGTTCTGTTGGCTCTGATTCTGAATGGGTGCAGTAGTATAGTCTCTGTTCAGCTTGGGCCCAGGAGACAGGGATGTACCTATGACTCTGATCCTGTGCTTCTGGGTGCAGTACTGACATGACTCCAAGGAAGAAGATTTCTTTCAAAGACTCAGGCCTCCAGGAGCAGTCACAGCTGCAATTTGTGTCCCAAAAACAACAGGGTACAATGAAAACTCAGGCACCCAGGATACACGAACTACATGGTGGTGACTCTTGATTTTGGAATGGTGGGACATAGCAGCGGCCCAGGCTTTATGATGTTGGGGCATTGGCATCAAGGATTCAGTAATGATGGGCAAAGTTGTGTCTTGGGCCTCAGGGGGTGGAAGCATTGTAAAGATGGCTCCATTCCTTAGGGAGGCAGGGTGCATCAGCAGGTCAGACTCCAGAGGACTTCAAGATCCAGGGAAGTTGAGCACTGCTGCTGTTTGGCCCAAAGGATAGGGTGATACAGATCAGTGAAAACTCTATTTCCCTAGAGGGCAGTGCACTATGTCAGCTCAGGTGCATAGAGGTTTGCCTGCTCTGCTGGATCAGATTCTGGGTCCCTTCAGGGCAGAGTGCCATGTGGGCTTGGGTGCAGGGTTGTGGCTGTTCCCCTGGGCTGAGGCTCTTATTCCTGATGGACAGGTCACCATGTTGTTTCAGGCACTAAGGGACACAGCTGCTCTGCCAAGTTGGGTGCAGCTTCTCTGTTCGGCCAGTGTAACCAGTACCCAGGGATCAGGATGCCATGTGGGCTCTGATGCTATGATTGTAGCTGTTCACCTAGGCCAAACCTTTAGTTCCCTAGGGGCAGGACACTTGGTTAGTTTAGGCACTGAGGGGACATGGCTGCTTCTCTGGGCCTAGGCTCTGAGTAGCTGGGGGAAGATAAGGGATATGGATTTTTTCCTAGGCAACTTTTCCCCAGAAGGAAGAGAGCTGCAGCAGCTCAGCTGAGAAATATGTCCATTCAGGGATGAAAGGATGCATTGGCTACTGGCTCCTGAAATCTGATACACTCTAGCAGTGGCTCTGGTTTCACAATGACACAGTGCAGTAACAGCGTAAGCCATGGGGGCACGGTACAAATGTGGTCTTCTTCTCTGGAGTAGTACAGCCATGTGAACTCGAGGCAGCTCTATAAGCTGGGCTCAGAGCCTGAGAGAACTGCAGGATTTCCCAATAATGAAGACTTCAGGGATCCATGGTAGTGGCGGGGGCCACTGGGGGCTTCCTGGTTACCTTTTCCCTTCAGGAAGAAGTCCCTTCTGTTTCTGAGCTGATCTTCACTTGGGGGATGAGGAGGTGGAGGCAAGTTGTTTTCTTTCCTCCTCTTTGTGCCCATCCTAAGTTTCTGGGTTCCACAGGGTTTTTATCATTCTCTTGCCATACTCTAGCCCTCTTCTTTAGTCACCCTTATCAAAATGTGGTTATTTATTCATAGCTTTGGTTCCTTTTTGTCAGAGGAATGAGTGTTAGGCACGCACCTTTAGACTGCCATCTTGCTCTGCTGCAGCCTCCTAAGCTATAATATTTTGAATACGACTGAAATTGGGGGATAAATTTGAATGCCAAAGTTGGATTGAATTTTCAACATAAGGAATCATCTCTTGAATTATGTATTATATAATGAAGTGCACTCTTGGTGTAGTTAAAGTTTCTTAATTCACAGATATATGTCACTTTTCACGTCATTGAACACTCAAGGGCCTCTAAATGAACTAAAACTAGAAGGTTGTGATTTTTCCTTACAACTGTATTTTTACTTAGCTTTTATGGGAAAGCTAATTTGACAAGGTATTTGAAGGACTGCTGTAAATATTAAAATCTGCCTATTGTTGATAAAGGAATTTCAGAAATTATACTAAGCATATCATGGGGCTGGAAAAAAAACAGTACTAAATCATCACTTAATAAAAATTGCCTGCTAATTCAGTTTATAAAACTCACAACCTTTGTATTATAATATATCATTTTTAATCATGAAAAAGTAAATTAGATAACTAAAGTTTTAATTATTCATCAATCACGTAAAACAATGACATATTAATTTCACTATCAAAATGTATAATTTATCACAATTTAATGTTCGTTTTTAGTTATATAGTCTATAAATCAGTTTTGTTTATTCTTTTAATTACAGATTGATTTTTCTTATATCAGCATGATCTATTTTAAAACCACTGTGAATAATAAGGTGGTTTCATGATAAAAATGAAGGTGAAGCATGGAGATAAGAAAAAGTAATTTCTCCCAAACAGATATTTAGACTTTGAAGCACAGTAATCCTAAAACAGTGACCACTGTGGGGTCTGATAAAGATTTGGATCACTAAAGTTTCGATAGATTCTTATTTAACTCTACACTTTGCCATAATATTGGAAAACCTTCTTGGCAAAATTTCTCAATTGTCAAAAAAATAGCCTCGTTCATCATTATCACCTTCTACTGAGTTCTTTTTGTGTAGAAAATTATAGAGAAGATTATAAGAGTACACCTTTACCTAACGAAAGCTTTTTTGAGTTTTCTTCAAAGCATGCATTGAATTTATTTATTTTTATTTGAATTTATTTTTATATTTACGCAAGATTCAATGAACACTTGCTATATGCTAGACATTGAGAGGTGCTAAGGGCATGAAGGTACATATGACTCAGTCATTGCCCTCAGTGAGCTTACCGTCTAGCGAGGGAGTCAGACAAAAACAACTTCAAAGCAACAGAGAAGACACTAGGGGAGGAGAGACCAGCTCTCCGTGAAGTAGTGGAAGAACTCAAAAAGAGCTTCAAGAAGTAGCTTTAAGATGCCTTCAACTGAGTCCTTAAGGACAAGTAGAAATTAACTAAATTTAATTTAGGCAGTCTGGGCAAAGAAGAATCAAGGAGGGAAGAGCATGTTTCATATGGGGAAGGGCCTATTAAAATAGGACATTGTGCTTTATTAACTAGAAAGGGCTTGAAAGACCATCAAGCTTATATTCTCCAATTCGTAGATGATGAAATTGAGGGTGAGAAAGAGGCAAAATGATCTACTAAATTTCCTTTCTCTCCTTTCCCCTGGATAACTCCTAGTCATTCTTCTGGCCTCAAATGACATCTCATTTTGCTACTGGAAACATTCTGAACTACCTTTAGGCTAAGTAGCTGTCCCTGCTCTGAGCTCTATAACACCTGCGTCCTTTCTTCTTTCATAGCACACATGTTCTTCAGTGTAAGTGATTCTTGGTATGTTTGTCTTCCTGTTACTTTGAAACTTCTGTGAGGGCAGAAGTTTAGCACACCATGTTACTCTATGCTTAATTTGTGAATCAGTCAATTAATGAAAATCACACTGTTATCAAACCTTACTTGAATGGTTGGAATAATATGCATCATTTCCATATGATTCTATGTAAGATAACTTTTCTTTACTGAATGCTAAACTTAACAACAAAGTCAAAATTATAATGGTTAAAACAGGGCCGGGCGCGGTGGCTCACGCCTGTAATCCCAGCACTTTGGGAGGCCGAGGCGGGTGGATCATGAGGTCAGGAGATCGAGACCATCCTGGCTAACAAGGTGAAACCCCGTCTCTACTCAAAATACAAAAAATTAGCCGGGCGCGGTGGCGGGCGCCTGTAGTCCCAGCTACTCGGGAGGCTGAGGCAGGAGAATGGCGTGAACCCAGGAAGTGGAGCTTGCAGTGAGCCGAGATTGCGCCACTGCAGTCCGCAGTCTGGCCTGGGCGACAGAGCGAGACTCCGTCTCAAAAAAAAAAAAAAAAAAAAAAAAACAGGATCTGTTTTCATAGTAGATTATGCCAGTGGCTTTCTATCTCTGATGTCTAGAATTCTATTGCAAACCAAAATTCAATCACTGTGAATCATTCCTTTTACAATAACCCATGTGGATGGCAAAAAGAAGGAGCACAAAGAAAATAAACATAGGATTTTTGGAGTTATGTAAACTGGAAAACTTATCTAGGGCTATTTTGGGACTCTTTCCTATATGCATAAAGGCTTTCTGAAAGATAATTTTTAGATAACTAATAAAATGTTTTATGAAAATAAAAGTAATTGGTGTTTTTTAAAATATCTTTTGTAGTAGAATGCAATGCCAGAAATAGGCTTTTAAATAAAATCTAAGGCCTATTCTTAATAAAGGTACTGGAAAAATTTTATTTTAGCAAAATACACAAGTTTACCTTCTCTTCTTGTCCCTGGAAGATGAATATTCCTTGATACTCTAGCCTTAATCTTTCCAGGTGAACTCTGTCTTTATTTCTGTAGGAATGATTAACAAATAGTATCTTTGGCTCCAGTCTCTGAATTTTTTCATTTTTTCATGATACCCCAGAGGCAGCAAATTTAAAACTGAATTAAAACATTTAACATTTTTTTGTTAAACAAATATTTGTCCTTTTTAAAAGTTTCTCGTATTTACACTTCTTCTTTTGTAAATGGAATAATCATTCTCACAGTTAAACTAATTCCACAACACTCTGCTCTCCTTTCCTTACCTCACCTTATTATCAGGATTTGTTGCTTCTTCTATGGAAATGGAAGAAGCCTCCTAAAGGTTCTTCTATTTCAGAGTATTATCGAATATTAAATAATGTTATTGAATAATATTAAATATTATTCAAACCTTTCACTCGGTTTCTTTCCAACCTGTACACAAATCCCAAATCATTTCTTCAAAAGTGAAGTTCTGATGATATCACTCTTCCTTTTGCTCTGAAACCTTCATTTGTTTCTCTTTACATGGTGGACATAATAAAATCTCCTAAATAGCATCTTCAAGGACTTTCATGAACTAACCATGATTAACTTGCAGCAGCATCTACCACTTCCAGCTCTTATGAAGCTTAAACACCAGCCAAACTAGTTTATCTATCATTCCCAAATATACTGTGACTCTGCTACCAAGCACTTGCTAATTTAGCTCTTTCTACATCTATCAGAGTCCTACTCTGTTCATATTGTTTCCTCTGTGATGTTTTGTTTTTTCATTGCCCTCAGCCCTTGATAATTGCTATTAAACATCAGATGCCTGCAATGCCAAGAAGGCATTCTACAGAATTTTTTAAAATCCGCACAATAATACTAGCACATAGATGCTATTTTGTAAATTTCACAATTTATTTCATCAATTGGGAAATATTTGCTGGGCGCCTAATATGGGCAGTCACAGTGCTTGTTATTGAGAATAGAAAACCTTTGCAATCATGGTATTTGCCCTGAATTAAAACTTAAGAAAGATTTAATAACTTGGCCACATTGAGTAAGTGGCAGAACTGAAACTGCCAAGGTTTGTCTGGATCCAAATTTTGTGCCCATTTCATTATGAATGGAGAAGTTTTGTGCTGTACCTGGAAGAGCTTTTCTAATTACTCAGCATTTCCCTGTCTGCATGACCTACTCTCCATGATTCTGATACATTTTTAAAATTGTGAGTGTCACTGGGATCTGTAGGGTTGTGGGGAGGGAGAGCATCAGGAAGAATAGCTAACGAATGCTGGGCTTAGTACCTAGGTGATGGCTTAATATGTGCAGCAAATCAGCATGGCACACGTTTACCTATGTGACAAACCTGGACATCCTGCATATGTACCCCAGAATTTAAAATAAAAGTTGAAGAAAAAAATAAAATAAAATTGTGTGTGCATTGGGCAGGGAGGTGCAGAGAGTGGTTGGGGTAGAGGTTGAGAAATAATTGGAGTGATCGGGAGTGATGATGAAAAATCCAAATATATTTAAAGAGGTTTCTTCTGAGCCCATATGGGTGGCTGCAGCCCAGGTTACACAATCTCAAGAAGTCCTGAGAAAATGTGCCCAAGGCTGGCAAGTTACAGATTGGTTTTATACATTTCAGGGAGACAGCAATTGCAGATAAAATCATTAATCAATACATGGAAAGTATACATTGGTTTGGCCCCAAAAGGCAGGACAACTCAAAGGGGGTGGGGGTTACAAGTCATAGATAGGTTTTAAGGATCTTTAGTTGACAATTGGTTGAGACAGTTAAGCTATTGTCTGGAGGCTTGAAGTCAGCAGAAAGGGATTCCTAAGTTACAAAGGGGTTGTGGAGTCCAAGGTTTTTTTTTTTTAATGTAGATGAATTCTCATAGGTGACAGCCCTCAGAGAGAATAGATAATAAATGTCTCTTTTCAGACTTTAAATGTGTCAGACTCTCAGTTATTCTCTCCTAGATCTGGGAACAGCCTATAAGGGGAAAATTCTGGCTACTTTAATGGAGATTCTCTAGGGATGCAAATTTTTTCCACAAAAGACAATCTGCAGGGACGTTTCAATCTGTTGGCCCAGTGGCAGCCATTTCAAAATAGGTAGAAAAATATATATTTTGGGGTAACATTATATAGAGTCAATAAAGAGCCATCTGATGGAATTTTGTGGTTTGTAGGGCATGACTCCCCAAGCCTTTTAGACAGAAGTTTGGGCAAGAGAAAAATAAAATAGTCAGAGTTTAGTCCTCAGGAGAGTTATAAAACCTTCCCAGATGTTTTTAACATCATATCCCCCTAGACGACACCCACTATATTAAATATATATATATATATATATATATATATATATATATATATATAGCAAAGCTCCTGCATTATTCTCTATGTAATTGGTTTACATATGCAGTGCATATTACCCTGATTATAGTTTTTCCTGCTTCTCTAAAGAGGAAGGAAAGTCACACTGATTGACTGAATACTGATATTTTGCTAGGTACTGTATGAACATTATCTCCCCATTCTCATAACATGCCCATGAGAAAGACATTTTTATCCCAATTTTACATATAGAGAACCAGAGACCCAGCTGGCAGCAGGCAGAGATGGAATTTGAACCCAATCTGTGTGTTTCCAGAGTCCTCTCCTTTCTACCATGTGGCCTCCTTGTCTGTATGAAAATGGAGACTCCTTGAAGGCAGAGACCATATTTTCCCTTTTACCCCCTAAAGCACTTAACACAATGCCTTACACATAATATGCTCTCGACATATATTTGTCTAAGGAATGAAGAACCAGAGCAGACCAGGAAACATTTTTTTGTTCAGAGAAATCAAATAAGCATCAATGTACAAAGTCCTTGAAGAATAAATAAGCCATCTGAAATTATAATGTCAGACACATTATTACATTTCACAGTTTTTCACAATTTGCACATTCCTATTGATCCATGAAATAATTTAATTACATAGATTATTGCATTGTGATAGTTTGGTATTGCCATTTTCTCCAGCATGTTGTTGGATGGAGATAAATTCTTTTCTCAGAAAGGAAATATATTACAGAAGAGTCTAAATAAAGATGAAAGAACTTACATACAGCTCCTCCATCCCCAGGATAGTACTGGCTAGTTCCCTCCAGCATCTTTTAATGATTTTGTCCAGAGCAGTTTTAAATATTCCAAGTGGAGCTCCAATCAGTTCTCAGGGAATGCAATGGAGAAACTGAGAAATTTAGTGGAAAACTGTTCTAGTTAAATTCTTTCTTTCTTTCTTTCACATACTCTAACAGTTGTTCTCATTAGAATCCTGAAGGAAATCAGAACCTCAAAAATGCCTTTCTAATGCTTTCATATTTACCTTTTTATAAATATAAATTATGGAATAAAATTAATTTTTTCTGTTTATTCTAATTCTTTGTCATTATTGAACTTTGGTCTCTTTTGACAAATACAGTTGCTATATATCCTGTTTTGTGTAGTTTCTAATATTTTAAAAAAACATTTTCATATTTAATTTTAATCGTCTTTTGAGACACATAGGGCTGCCTGTTGAGCTTTCTGGTTTCAATTCACAGAAATATGATCAGGTTGCTTCAACTAATGGGGGTTGTAAGGACCAATAGGGAAATAATGACAAGGAAACCATCTTAACCTTGCAGGCAGAAGTCACAGAGAACTTAGATATCAAAATTTACATAGTTGATTTAATGTACTTTTGACAGTACATTTAAAGCAGTTTTTTTTTCTCCTTGATAGTTGTGATGAGAGGAGGATAGACATCTATGAATGCTTGTCCCAGAGTCTCTCTGCCTCTGGCTTTACTCTTTTCTCCTCTGAACCTCATGGTTCCCTCTGATTCATGATTCCTACAATTTTATGGCTTTTTTTTTTCTTCAGCCTGTCTTATTGCCTGTGTGTTTCTGTGCACATAAGTGTCAGTTCAGCCTATTTGTATTGATTTCACGTCAGGCATGAATCCATGACACAGATGTTATGGGATCCTTGGGGTGTCACTTTTCTGGGCAGAAACCTCTGTGGCTGGTGGCTTCTTTGCCCAAATTTTGCTCGGACTTGCTGGGCTTGTTCTGCCTACTCAGCATGGCAGACTGTGCTTGGTTCATGCTATAAGCCTGGATCCCACACTTGCCAAGGGTGAGTCAGGCGTGGAACAGCGAGGGGTGTGTGAGTGAGCATGGGGTCCATCCACTGCACACAGTCAGACATGCCTGCTGCTGCAGCGGGGCAGGCAGCTTCAGGTGCCGGCACAGGTTCTGGGTCTCTGTGAAGCTGTGGCCAGACCAGGCACACCACAAACAGCTTCCATGGTTGGCAGTGGGGAACGTGGTGGCACCAGGAAGCTTGGAGATGCCAGGAACCACAGAGCCCCAAAGAGGGAGTAACAGCTCTGGCTCAGGGAGCTCCCAGGTCTGGGCTCCCTGACCGGTGGCAGATCTTCCCTCCTCTTTGGCTGCAACATGGGGCATGTTTCAGCCCTTTTTGTCTTAAGGCTCTTTTAGCCTCGCCATTTGGTGGGTCCCAAGTTCTTGTCCTGTGACCAGGAAGAATGAAATACTCAGACAAGTAAAGGGTGAGCAAGACAAAGAGGAGCTTTACTGAGCAATAGAACAGCTCAGAGGAGACCTGCAGGGGATAGCTCCTTTCTCTAGTCAGGGTGTCCTGTCAAGAGTTCAGCTCCTAGCAGAGAGAGTACCTCCTCTCTGCAGCTGGTCGTCTTGTCATCTATCCCGGTCTGGCTGAGCCCAGGTCTTTTACGGGCCTCAGAGGGGAGGAAGTATGTGACAGTTGGTTCATGGGTGACCATCAGTGGGCCTGGAAAAGGCACCACAAGTTCCCACTCCAGTCCACAGGACTGGCAGCCCAGCCCTGCTCTGTGGCTTGACGGTGGGGCTTCACCGGTGACCTGCCCCCTTCTGCCCAGGAAACTGCCTCCTGCCACTGTCCATGGCACCCAGGATCCTCTCACCAAAGGTCACCTGCAGGTCAGCATCTAACTGCCCTCAGTTCCCCATTGGCTTCCCTGCAATGCTTACCAGTGCCCAGAGTCCAGAAGGGGCCGAGGCAGCATGGGGGTGGCATATCAGCACTGTCCCAAGCATGTGCACACTCAGCTGGGTGGTGACAGTGCTTGGGCTCAGCCCCAACCCCATTCTGAGGTCAGAGCAGGTGCGGGAGCAGGGAGAGGCCAGCAGCAGGCACAGACACCCCCAAGCCTGTGAGGGCAGCAAGAGCCTACCCAAGTCACCATGAGTGCAGAGTGCTGCAGAGACACCTGAGTCCTGTGCCTGGGATGGCACGGCTCCCACCCAGTCCATGGAGCATGTAGGCAGCCCCAGCCACACCTGTTCATAGCTGGGGTTGGGGGCTCTGGGTCCTTGCTGGGCCCCTCTGTCCAACCCTCAGTGCTAAACCATGCTGCTCCCCTGTCCATGGGTAGCTTGGCCCAACCCCATTGCCGTGGCTCCCAGGGCAGTGGGCTCCAGGGGGGGCTCCCACTTGTCCCTGCCTCCTGCCAGCTCCATGGAGCATGGCGCCACCCTGGGCTCAGCTCCACCTCCTCCCTGTGCCCTCCCTACAGCAGCAGTGGGCAAGAGTGGTGACACAGGACAAGGTTCTGGAGCAGCAGAGGCTCCAGACCTGGAAGCAGGTCTTGCCTGGCCACATGAGGGTAGGGGTGGTGCAGTCGGCTGCCTCAGGGATGTGGGGTGCAGGGGACCCACCACTGCCATTGCTGCTCCTGCAGCTGCACCTGCCGCCACTTCTCGCACCTCCCTGCTGCAGCCTGCATGGTGGCAGTGGCCATTCCAGATGGCCCGCCGCTGCCATCACAGAGACCCAAGGGTAAAGAGGTGTTTTTTTCCCACTTCTTGTGCCATATGAGGCTATCAAGTACTCAAAGTATTGCACACCTCCTGGCAAGTAGAGTTTCATATTATTTCAATGTGACAAGTATGGACATGAGATCTCAGTAAAGTTGCCTGATTTGTTCATGTCCTCTCAGTAGCTGGAGGTTGATTTAGATTTAGTGCACAGTTTTCCTGAAACTTACATATTCAATGATCATACAAGGACCTCACTTAGCAAAGCTATACTACTGAAACAGTCATTGCAAAATTATAGCTGAGACAGTGAAAGATATCTGACCTAACCAACTCCATCTTGCTTCTAGCCTCCAAGCTGTCCCTGTTCATTCCTGGGTGTAGGCTGAACTAGCTTTGAGAGGAACTTAGTTTATAGTTTATGGTTTAGTCCTTTCTCAAAACAAAGCTCCTTCTTACCTGGGGACTAGACTGCCTTTGTAAATCTAACATTAGCCACAAGAATAGAAATTATGGTTTAGGAGTCATGCAGCTTGAGGCTACAAGATTCTGATTCTCCCTAAACTGCTTCTAGGATCAGCGCTTGAGACATTTTGCAGACCCTGCACTTGATGAATCAGCTGACAACACCCAGATCGATAAGGTGGCTCATCTGATCTTGTGGCCACCACCCAGGAACTGACTCAGTGCAAGAAGGCAGCTTCAACTCCCTAAGATTTCATCTCTGACCTGACCTATCAGCACTCTTGGCTCACTGGCTTCCCCCAACCCACCAAGTAGTCCTTAAAAACTCTGATTCCCCAAATGCTCAGGGAGGCTGATTTGAGTAATAATATAACTCTGGTCTCCTGCACAGCTGGCTTTGTGTGAATTACTCTTTTTCTATTGCAATTCTCCTGTCTTGATAAATCGACTCTGTCTAGGCAGCGGGCAAGGTGAACCCAATGGGCAGTTACACAACTATGCATATTTAGCTGGGTTTAACTTAGTATCCTTAGTGTCCCTAATAAGTTATTCATCTTTCTGATCTTCAGTTTCTTTATAAAATCAGAGCCTTATAGGGTTGTTTGGAGATTAAATGATATGATGCACATAAAGCCATCACCATAGTGCCAAGGGGCTAATGATTTATAGCTATTGTGATTTGTCTCTAGTATCTGAAGTATTTGAACATTTGTATCTTATAATGTCCTTTTTGGGCAAAATTATCCACCAAAATAATTGAGAAGATAAAAATTATTCTTTTATCTTCTCAGTTATTTTTCCTTTAAAAATGCTCTTCCATTTCCAAAACTTCTTTGAGATTATTAACAGTGATGATAAGGAGGTTGAAATTGAGGATAATGATGACAACTAAGATTTACTGAACAATAGTCTGCTAAGCACTTTACTTATATTATGTCACTGAATTTTTTTTAAACATCACCTTAAAGTGTTTATTATTTTATCCTTATTTACAGATGAGAAAACTGAGGCTCTGAGAGATGACATCATAAAGCCTTGTAAGACCCAGGTCTGTCTCACTTTAGTTCCAAGTGTCTTTTAACCAAGACACTTGCTGAGATATTATTTATTATTTTTCTTTACCATTTTTAATTATACTTTAAGTTCTAGGGTACATGTGCACAATGTGCAGGTTTTTGTTACATATGTATACATGTGCCATGTTGGTGTGCTGCACTCTTTAACTCGTTGTTTACATTAGGTATATCTCCTAATGCTATCCGTCCCCCGTCCCCCGATCCCATAACAGGCCTCAGTGTGTGATGTTCCTCACCCTGTGTCCAAGTGTTCTCATTGTTCAATTCCCACCTATGACTGAGAACATACCATTTTTGATAATAGAATCTATTCCTCAGTAGTCATGGGGCCCATAATCACCTAATCACTGTTTTTAATCACTTAGCTACAGTGATTGTTCTAAGATGTGTCTACCTAACCAATTAATTGTCCTCTTGTGTTTTTTGCTTTGTTTTAGTTTGCATATGTATTTATTTTTATACAGATCTAGAAGGCAAATTCCTTATCTCTCTGACTGCTAGGCTTTGAGGATACTGAACTCCAAATTTCTAAATGTCCATGTCTCTAGTTTTGTGTATAAGTCAGTCTGACAACAATTGACAGCAGAGGAAGTAAAGCAGGGTAAGATAAGATGAAACCACCTTTGCAAAAATCATAACAGTGAGAAAATTATGACAGTAAAAGAGATCTGATCTAAACCTCCAAACTATGCTTGGTCATTCCTGGATGTGGGTCAAGCTAACTTTGGGAGAAATTTATAGTTTAAGTGATAATATCCTTTCCCAAAACTAAACTGCCTTTGTAAAACTAAAGAAAGGCCAGGAGGTTAGGATGGATTCCACTAAAATGTAGGTGTAGTTAAGTGATTAGCATCCATTATTCTGGAGGTCATGAGATGTGCAACTTCCCCAATTATTCCTGCAAATAACATTGAAGCAAGAAATTTTCCCTGATCCCTCTGTGGGTGGGAACTGGAGTGCATGGGTGCTGGCAGGGACAAACTCCACTAACTTGAACCTGCTTTGCTCAACCCCTTGAGGGAGGGAGTACACAGGTGAGGGGGTGCAGGAGCTAGAGCAAGCACTTTTGGGTGCCAGCAGGAATGAACTTTGTAAAGGCTCCATGGCAGCATCTAGGGGGAGTGCCCATGATCCCTGAAGCCCCAGAAGGAGCGTTACAGTAAGCACTCTTTTAGTTTTGCCATCCGCGGATGGCTTAAGTGTTAACAGCTCAGTGAAAGGTCAGTGTGACAGCTTTTTGCTCCCACACCCAAGTTCTCGTCCAGTGTCCAGGAGGAATGAGGTCGCATGAACAAATTTGAAGGATGGTGAATGTGGGGGATTTTATTTCCAATGAAAGTGGCTGTCAGTGGGAAGGGGAGCTGAAAAGGGGATGGAGCAGGAAGGTAATCTTCCCCTGGAGTCCAGCCACAGCTGATCTCTTCTGCGAAGCTCTGCCATCAAGCCGTCTCTCTGAAGTTAAGTTGCTTCTTTCCAGTGTTCAACTGTAGTCCCTAACATCCAAATGTTTCTCTTCTTCTCTGCTGGCAGAGCCTGGGGTTTTTATGGGCACAGGATCAGGGATGGGGTAGGACATGGGTGGTTTTGGAAAAGGCAACGTTTGAGCAAGAAAACAGGAATGTATGTTCTCACTTTGGGCTGTGGTTCCAGGCTTGAGGTTGGGGCCCCTGCTGAGGACCCACCCTCTTCTGCCCAGAATTTTCCTGCCTTGTGTCTCTATCAACATCACTATTGTAGAACCTAAAATAGGCCTTTTGAGATATCTTTTCAGGCTTTTGCATTTCTGACTACTGAATGGCCCCACCCAGACCAGCAACTCCTCTGTGGTCCCCATCCAGAAGCTGACTCAGTGTATGAGGGCTGCTTTTGATACCCCTATGATTGTATCCCCAACCAGTCAGCATTCACCCTTTCCCAGTCCCCAGCTCACCAAACTATCCTTGAAAAATCCTAGTCCCTGAATTGTGGGGGAGGCTGATTTGAGTAATAACAAAACTCCAGTCTCTCATTTAGCCAGCTCTACTACTGGCTATTTTTCTCTACCGCAATTCTCCTGTCTTGATAAATTGGCCTTGCCTAGCAGCAGGCAAGATAAGCCCATTGGGTGGTTACAAGTACAGTCTTGATTGTTTTGTATACTTGGATCTTGTTGTTCCTAAAACAGCAGTGCCCCTACTTTTAAAGGTTTTGTGTAGAATTAGATTTATTAAGATACAGCATTCACAGTTCTTTCAAAGCTAGTTCAAGTTCTGTAATTTGCCAGCAAAGCATTTTGACTAATAAAATACTATTACCTCCTAAAATGAAAAGAAGCAGAGTATAAGATTACACAATTTATAAAATAAAAAAATTACAATAAAAAACAAAAAATAAAATTAGAGACATAGAAAATATTTCATAGGGAATTTAAAAAATTACAGTGTAGAAAATGATTAATAATGGTGTTAAATTAAGTGTAGCCTAAAGCGACCTCATTACATATTTATTTTCAGTTTAGACTAAAGGTTTCTCCATTCATAGTGAACTGTAACTTAAGAGAATGTTCAAATAGACTGTCATCTATTGGTATAAGAAGTAGCCAAGTCTGCCAGTCCCAGGTGGACAACTGTTCAAATTGTGTTTAAATAAGGCCAACACCAAACAGTAACCAATCCAATTGTTTCTGACCTCACTTTCTTTTCTGTATGTCACTTTCCTTCTTGTTTATTCATAAATGTTTTCTGACTCTGTGGCAGCCCTGAAGTCACTCTGAACCTACTCTGATACTGGGAGCTGCCTGATTCATGAATCCTTCTTTGCTCAATTTAGCTCTGTTAAATTTAATTTATCTAAAGTTATTTTTTTAATAATGGTGATTTCAGAAATTGAAAATTTGTGATTTTGTAAATAAATATGCTTAATTTCCTAACAAGGGTATTGGTTCATTTCATGGTGATTATGATTGGTAATAAACTTAAAATCTTGTTCATTCATTTACGTTCATTTACTTATTCATTTACCAGCTACTATTTATATGCCGTAGTATTTTGGCTTTCCTGTTAACTAGAATATAAAAATGAATAAGACATATTTCCTGCCCTCTTGGAACTCACAAGCCAGTTATGGAAACAGATAATTATGGTACTATCTCCTAGTCCTACAGAAAACATACTATGGGAGCAACAAGGACTAAATGATTCTAATGAAAATTAAAGCACTGTGTCAAAGAAGACTTTGTAAGCATGACCTGAAAAATAAAAATCATAAATACAAAGAGGGTTAATAAATTTTACTCTATACAAATAACATATAAAAAATCAAAAGCAAACAATATTCCATAAAAATGTTTACCTCACAAATGGCAGTGTACGTAATATAAAATAAACTCTCACACATGATTAAAAAAACTCACAATAAAGTGGGCCAAAGGTGTACATAAGGCTGTTCAATGACCCATGTAACTGTATTGGCTGTACAAATGCCAATAAACACAAAAGAAAACATAATGCCGTCTCAGGGAAAAATACAAATTAAGACAAGAATAAATAATTTTCAAATATTAGATTGGCAAAGATTAAAAAGATTATTAATATTGATTCTCTGTTGGTGAAGATATAAATGTAAAACAAAGTTTCACATACTTTGAGGCATTGATTCAAGCTTTCTGGAAGCCAATTTGGAAAAAGACATCAAAAGTAGAACTCTAACTCAGCAAACGTTTTGTATTTAACCCAGCCTACTTTTAAATTAAAAGATGACAATTACAATGCTACATCAATGTATTATAATGTAATTATAATATTGGGGCCAACTTAATTATATTCTGAGAACTAATTAATGCTATGTAAAAAGGAATATGCACACACTTAAGTGTACACGGGAATGTTTGTGTACACATAGACTACATACCAAAATATTGTCCACAGCCACCTGAGAAGTGGTAGAATAGAAAATCTCAATTTTTTCCTTAGACACAGCTGCCTGTTTTTGTCCATTTAAACAAATGAGTTTGATTTAATTATATACTGAAAATACTAAAAAATTTACATAAAATTATGAAAAAGAGGATGCACAATGTGACTTTACTATGAAGATGGTGTCACTTTAGCTTTTTACTCAGCAAAAAATAGCCATTAAATGAAAAGTGGAGGGTATTCCGTAAAGTGGAGAAAATTCATAGAGATATGAGAGAGTGGATGATAGGGCACAAAAATGGCCCAGGAAACACAGGAGAAGTAGCAAAACCAAACACCTTAGATCTCAGTGCTCTGAAATTTTGCATAATGCTATTGGAGGTTTATGCTTTCATCACTTGCAAAACTCTATTTGTTTTGCTACATATATATTTTTTCTAGGATCTTTACCTTTGAGAGGTAAAGGTATGCTTTATTATATATACCAATAATAATAATAGCAATAACAAGATTTGTTATCACATAGAAATTCTACTTCAGTTTTCTGCACTATGAAGCAGAAGCTTTTGGATGATAGAAAGAACCAGCTAATCGGGTTATCTAATCATTCCCTTCTTTCTTCTTTTATACCACAGTCCCTATCTATTTCTAAATGACTTAAACAATGGAGATCCTCTTTCTCTTGTGGGGCCAAACTACCAGATGATAGATTTAATTTCCTGAAAGTGTTCATGATATCCAGCTGAAACACCAGTCTCTAATTATAACACTGACTCCTTTATACCTTTATGATGTTTGTAGCTCTCTGACAATGTATTTTTGGCATTATTTAGATATTTTTGAATGCATATTTCATTTTTCTTCTGCTTATGTCATAATTTCTTGATTTAACTTACGAAATTTTCCTTGCTAGTAAATTGAGACTGTAACATTATGTAACCCATAATAAATTTTTCTAGAAAAATTAAATGCTGAATAAATTAATGTTATTATGCATAACACCATCAGATTAAAAAAAAAAGTGATTATAAATCCAGATTTCCTACACCTAGCATTTTCCCTAGTAATACCTTACTTTTAAAATGGGGTAGTCATTGAAAGGAAAGGGTTCTCCACATTATGACACATGCTTTAAAATTCACAGCCATTTCTCATACCTTAAAAAGCATTTTGTGGGCTGTGTGAGGGAAAAGTGGGGGATGGGACACAGTCTCAATAGGTTCTGCATTAGCTCATTAAATACTAAAATACCATTTCTATTTTACATAATTTAACATGGCAAACTATAAAAAAGGTGAAACTGGCAACCCCTAGGCATGCGTTTTAAAACATCCTCATTTAGATGCTAATTTTGATTCTAAGTGTATGACTGGCTTAAAAAAAAGCCATTAACAACAGGCCAGATTACTTAAAAGGGATTATTAGGCAAATATGTGAGGGTGTTCTGATACCAAGTGGCCTCTTTTATGACCAAATACAACCACCTCAAGTAAAAAGGGATGAAGGTATTTGTTTTAAAAGGAAACTGAAATCACACAATAGGTTTTAAAAAAGAAAAAAGTAGATAATAATCACCCTAAACATAAAACGTGCAGCTAATAAGTAAAGTTACCTTCTCCCTAGTGCTAGAGGAATATGAGTTACTGTAACATCTATAGCTTTTGAAAATATGAGGCACAGTTGGTCAGACACAGCCTTGTGTAATGGTAAAGTGAGCTAGAAAACAAAAATCTGTTTAATAATTTCTTACACTGCCTTTTGGGTTAATAAAGTCCCTGCCATGACAGAAAAAGTGAAACAAGAAAAATAACAGACAAGAAAGGAAAGTATGTTATCTTCAGTTGAGATTGAACTGATGAGTGGCAAAAATGATGCTATAATAATATTAAAATGAGACCTGTCAGACAAAAGAGATATATGTAAATGTACGGTACTGTATAAATAAATGAGTGGTAGAGGATGGGCAGATGATTGTGTAAGTACATCACAGCCAAGCAGTGCTGAATTGGCCTTGAATATGGTTCCCTGCCAAACACATGCACATTTCTCAGTATGAGGAGGACAAAGGAAGTTTGACCAGTGAAAACATGCAAACCTATAGAAACAGTCATATTTTCTCTTTGAAATTATTAGACAATTCATCTTTCCCTTCTCATCATTGGCTTCTCTGTGTACAGTTTCTTATAGCTTGAAGTTCTCCAAGAAGCTGCTAGACTACAGTAATTCTCCCTTATCTGTGGTTTTGCTTTCTACAGATTCAGGTTACTTGTGGTGAACCGAGCTCTGAAAATATTAACATATTTTAAGAGAGAGAGGAAGACCACATTTACATAAGTTTTATTATAGTATATTGTTATAATTTGTCTATTGTATTATTACTCTTGTTTATCTCTTACTGTGCTTAATTTATCAATTAAACTTTATTATAGGTGTGTATGTATGGAAGCAAACATAGTAGATAAAATGTTCAGCTCTATCCATGGTTTCAGGCATCCTCCAAGGGGTCTGGAAGGTATCTCTTGTGGATAAGGGGTGCTACTATAATTTACTTCAATGGCTTTTTCATTGTGTGATTGCTAATTGTTTAATTGTTTTACAGCTCTTACAACAATATAAACAATTGTGGGATAGGAAAAAATAATTTTTTCACTACCTTCATAGTCCTTAGTTGGGACAAATCCCTGTATCAAAAGACAGATTAACAAGAGAAAAACAAACAGAAGTTTATTAACATGTGTACCTCACGTACCCACACATGCAAAATGAGTAAATCTCAAAGAGGTGACTTCTAATTTAAGCTTAAATACCATCATCTACTGAAATAAAGAAGGGTGAGGGCAAAACTAGGTTATTAGGAGGTGGCCAGGAAAATCACCTTAAACAAGGATAAGGTTTTTATGCAGATTTAAGTCAGTGCCTTCTCCATTGATAAGAGTCAGTAGATTTAGAGTCGTTCTCTTCCAGGTACAGAGAGGGAGATACACTTACAAATGGAGGTTTCCTTTATAAATATACATTTATCTTACCAAAGGGTAACTTCTATTTTCAGAGCTTCTCCTGTGTCTGCAGTTTCTCAAAATAATCAGCTCAAAATAAGCCTTAGGCCAAAGAGGCATATTTTGGGGTGGCATAATTTTAGTTTTCTACACTCATATTGGGTTTAGCGTATTTTTGTTTCCTACAAAGTAAAGGGTGAGGGGTTATTTCCTGCTCATTTTCTTTTGTAGCTTGCAGAGTGCATTGCCTATTGCTACTTAATAAGTTCTCATTGAATGCATGGGTGGATGGATGGTTGGATGGATGAATGAGCAATTTCAGATTTTTTCTCATCGCCAATTAAATTCTAAAATAATATTCACCCATTCACCCAAGGTACCTTTTATCTTTGCAGATTCTTTTTTATTCCTTCAGATTACCCAATATTCTGTAGCCAAAATGGCTGGCTCACTGATTCCTGAATCCACCCCTCCACTGCCTATTCATCTGTGTGCCTTGGCCCATGCTGTGAACTCTATCTGGAGTATCATTTCTACCCTTTTGTATATCTGCCTCTCATAATCTTATCTGCTTTCAAGTTCCATCATAAACATCAGCTTGTCCATTAAACCTTCCTCTTGACTGAGTATTATGTATCTTTTCTTTCAACTTTCTACTTCCTATCACTTCTTTCAACAATGATGTCTGCAATATTCTGTTTTATGGCAGTATCTCCCTCATTTTAAACTCTCAAGTTGCTTAGTTTTCTTTCTTATTATTGTTATTATCCCTCTTTATTTTTTTGTCTCATTTTGGCTGTTTGATAATTGTAACTGTAATAGGTTCACTGCCTGAGGCACACAGCAAGTCAATACACCAAGATATTGGTGTATTCTCTGCTGTAGCAGAGAAAGAGGATTAACACTAGGGTCACCAAATGAGGAGCGGGGAAGGAACCTCAAATCTGTCTCCCCAAGGAGTTTGGTGCTAGAGTTTTTAAGGGTTGTGGAGTGTGCCAAAGTGTGGAGATTGCTGATTGGTCAAAGAGTACAAGGTGAAGTCATGGGACAGAGAGGTGAAGAAGCTGTATTCTCATGCAGCTCTCATTACTCTGTGGGGGTCTTCAAACTGGTTGCTAGAATTTGGGATCTGAAAAACATCTTAAACAATCCTTAAACAAAAGACTTATGATTCTAATGTCAGGGATCCTGTCTATAGGTACAATAGGGATGCAAATCAATTTTTATAGTCTTACAACCCTAATGTCAGAAATCCTACCTATAGGAATAATGGAGATGCAAATGATCAGGATCTATTGCTGTGTGACTTTTGGCAACAAGGAAATGGGCTAAAGTGCAACTTGATTAATGCTTAATTATAACTATATTTCTGTCCAGAATCTGGCATGTATTATAATTCTTGTCAACCCTGTAGGGACAGTTTCATCATAAACTTTTTAAGGGTAGAAAATGGAGTATGATTTATGTTGCTCTCTCTAATATTGTTTTTCAAACTGCAGATTTCAACCCATTGATGGGTTCTAAAATTGATATAGTGAGTTGATCACTTTGTATGAAGTAGATTATAATAATAAGTTATTAATTAGAGTAGGATAGAAAATATCAGAATGCCTCACACTTATTAAGGTTAAATATTGTTTCATGAAATCTTCTTTGAGTCCTGTAAATATATTTCTGAGCATACACTGTGTCACAATGTAAAATACATTTTTACTGTTTCTTGGAGTGAAAATTTTCAAAATTATTGCCTGAGCTTTTAGCTCAGTTACTTGTACATAATAGGCAGATCAATAATAATTTTTAATAACAGAATGAATTTCTATGAATGTCTTTATTTATTTTAAAATACCTTATGCATACTCAGTAATGCATATCTCTGCAGATAGATTTTACTGTCAAAATAACATTGATAACCATTACTTCACTTCAGGAATGATAGAAGAGTTAACATTGACAATTCAGAGAAAAATGCTGTTAAAGTGTAAAGTATCTTTACTTTTTAGGGGCACTTTAATGCTTAGCTTTTGAGGTTTTTCTATTCGAATAGTGTGGTCCATTTCTATTCATTCCTAATGCTTTTTGTTTCTTAATTCTAGTCTCATGAAAAGGCTCTAAATAAATGTAGATTTCAATTAAAAGAGGCTAGACTGTTATTTATAATTAACCATCCTAATAGTATGAGATTGTTTACTAGCCAAATGAAATAGAAATGGTGGCTTTTACAATAAATTCAGGGTTGGAGCTTGTTGCAGCATATTTGACTTTCTGTTATGCCAACACAGCTGGAGGCAGATGGTGGAAGTGGTTCCGAGCCGCCTGCCCATGAATAATGGTAGGCAAGGGGAGCTCAGCCCTGCGGGAGGGTTCTGGCTCTGCCACTTTTAGGAGAGACTCAGAAATACCTCTTTGTGTTTAGAGTATTGTTACCTCTGAACAGGATAGAGACCCCCTGCTAAAGAGCAGGAAATAGGGAGCAATGCAGTTTGAAATTAAAATGATTACTTCACACACAAACACCCACACCCCATAACAGACAGCACATGGGCTGTGGAGTCTGCCTTCCCTTTCTGATTGGGAAGCCCTATGCTCCTTTTTTTTTTTTTTTTCACTTGTACCTTCGTGGGCACCATAATCTTCTATCCCTGTTGTTAGTTTTGACCCACTTCCAACACTTGCAGAATAATGTTAAGAGAATTGCAGTCTTAGGGCTTGATGTTAACAAACTTCCGTAAGTTGATACGATGGAGTGGACAACACTGCACACACGTTTATGGGGGTGTGACTACTATGATCACAGGCATCTCTGTTTTGTATACCTTCACCTCTCTCATTTTCATTTATCATTGTATTTTCTCACTTCTTTTCAACATTTCCTGCTCATTAATACATTCATGGATTTGGCAGAATATAGCGTTCTGTAGCAATGCTTTGGTCATCAACCACTTTGGCTATCACTGCCATACCATTGTCATAGGCAACGTCTTTCCTCTCCTGTGTGCCTTCAACAAGGCTAGCACGACAACCAGACAGGACTGCGCTGACCTTTAAAAAATTTTAAAGATGTTTAAATTATTTAGTTTGGAGGTTATTGTTTATCTTCGTTAAAGACTTCAAGTCAATAAGAATTATTTTTCAGAAGATAGTATGCTATCCTCCAGTTAAAGGGGAATAAAAATAATTTTGTCAAAATGTTAGTTAGCATCATTTTTACCTTAGTCCTACTTCAAAGTATTTGGTTTGGATGATTACAGATTGTTCTTTGGCACCAAACACATCCCTAAATATCAGCAATGTGACCTAAAACTGTGCTATCCAATATAGTAGTCATTAGTCATGTTTTAGTTCTAATTTAAATGAACTGAAATAAAATAAATTCTATTGCTTAATTAAACTAGTCATATGTCAACAAATCAATGTCCTCATGTTGCCAGTGTCTATCTACCCTTTTGGAGAGTGCAGATATAGAACATTTCCATTGCTGCAGAAACTTCTTTGGGTAGCACTATTCTAGGGCCTTCTATCCTTAGTCCTATACTGCAGGATTCCAGGATAGTATGCAGCACCCCTAAGACTACTTTAAAGAGTTGTATACTAGCTTCAAATTGTTCAGTTGACATTTTTTGTGTTTCTTTCTTTCTTCTTTTGTTCTTTTTTAATTTGTGTTATTTAGGAATCAGAAATCTCCAAGGGCACTTTGTTGAAATCATAAGTAGTGGAGTAGAAAATGGTACACTTATTCAGTAAATATTTTTGGAGTATATAGTTGAGGCTATACAATGTGCTAGGTATTGCAGATAACATAGCTAGGGAGAAAGATATAATCTCTGCCTGTATGGTGATAACATTGCAATAAAGGGCACACACAAAAACCAAATTTGTATATCTCTGAGATGTGTATAGAATCCCAGATTCCCTCCCCTTTTTTTTAATGGAGAATGGAATAGAAGTCCAGAAGTGCTGAAGATGAAACAAACCATTTGAATTGAGCTACCAATTGTCTGGTGATTCATTTAGATTTAGAGGTATCTAATATTTTTACATCAAACTACAGAATATCCTTACAACCTAAACACATTGCAACTTCTGGTAAGAAAAAGAAAAAATAGGAAGAATAGATGAAGCCGAAGGCAGGTAAAGTGAGAGAGTAAGGGACATGCCTGTTTTAGAGTAGACCTTTGGAATGGGTCTTACAAGAGGCTTTCAGAATTCTGGCCTGTCACAGGGAAGTGTGAGCCATGCATTCATTCATCTACTTGGTCATGCATTCATTCATTTACTTGTTCATTTTTTTCTATTCAGCATTTTCTGTGTTTGGTAATGTGCCCTAAGAGTAAAAGAACTTCAGGATCTATTTAATTTTAATCTGTAGTCATAAGACAGCTGGAATACACTAGAATTGGATCCAAAATTTAAATGTCCCATTCACATAGTGAAATCAAAGAGGTGGGCGATCCCTGTTCCAGTATATTGTTATGATACCCACTTGAAAGTTCAAAACCTTAGAAGAGGCCGGGGCGGTGGCTCATGTCTGTAATCCCAGCACTTTGGGAGGCCGAGACAGGCGGATCACTTGAGGTCAGAAGTTCGAGACCAGTCTGGCCAAAATAGTGAAACCCTGTCTCTACTAAAAATACAAAAATTAGCCAGGTGTGCTGGTGCATTCCTGTAATCCCAGCTACTCGGGAGGCTGAGGCAGGAGAATGTCTTGAACCCGGAATGTGGAGTTTGCAGTGAGGTGAGATCACGCCACTGCACTCCAGGCTAAGCAACAGAGTGAGTGACACTCCATCTCAAAAAGAAAAAACAAAACAAAAAACCTTGGAAGAAGGCATGTATGCCCCAAAATGCATTTGTTTTTATCCAGTCTTTGTCTGTTGCAAGCAAGTTTTATTAAACATGGATATTGCCTGACCCATAGGTGGGGGTTAGGGATTGATTTGGGAGAACATGTTGAATGTCTTCAAGGTTTTGTCTAAATGGGCATTGAGATTGCTAGTGATGGGGTTCAGAACATGCTACCCCAAAATATGGCACTTTGACATACTGAATATTTTAAAGTGAAAGAATTTGAGAAAGAGGGCGGAAACAGAAAGTTCACTCTCACTTTCCCCTATCTTTCTCCCCTGAAGCAGATCAGAAGAACCTCATGTGAGAAGTGTTCTCTCTTATCTAAAGAAAAGAAGCATCTTTGTCTCCAAAGATGAAGAAACACAGAGAAGAATCTGAACGAACAAGCTTGCTAAGTTTCCCCCCGTTTATTACCATTAGATCACACCCTTTTGCCCTATCATATTTCTCCATAATGGCCTACTCTTCATCAAACCTACTATAAAATACTCAGATTTACCCATTTTGGGGGGTCTTCCTTTCCTTATGAAGGCTCTCATGTCAGGTAAAACTCATATTAAGTATTTGCATACTTTTATTTTGTAAATCTTTGGTTATTGGGGCCTCAGCCATGAATCTAAGATAGGTAAAGGAAAAGATATTTTTCTTCCCCTATATTAGATTGCTACATTTTTTTCCCTGATGACTGAGAGATAAATTGATCATCTGTAGTCAGATAAAGTCTGGTGTTAATGGCACCTCTTTCTAGACAACTCCTCAAACAACTTCTAAATAACTTCTCGAGTGATGATGTTTCTGTCCTTCTTACTAAAAAAATACCTCGTCCTGCTTAACATATGCTTTGCTAATTTTGTGTTTCTAACCCCATCACATTGTGTGGCATCCTTAACAAAATCAGTATATTTCACTTACTTTTGTGACTGATACATGAAGCACAGGGATCATACTTGAAGTAACAAAGCTCTGAAGCCTCATTTCAATACTACTTAGTTGGTTACCTGTGTAGTCAGTTGAACATCCAACCCATATGTCCTGTGAGAGAAGGAATCATATTTGTCTGGTCCAGAGATGGTTCCCCATTACCAAGCATATGACTCAAACGTAATTTGCCATCACTACACATGCAAATACACACACATGTAAGCTCACGCACACACACACACACACACACATTGTTGGAGGGGTGAAAATGGATAAGTCAATCAGCATGTAATGTTGATCTTTTCTCCTACAGATAGCTTACTGAAATTTAAGTAGACATAATTGGAGGGTACTCTCGTGTTTATTGAATATTGTATAGACTCCATTCTTCCTTGATGTATTTTCAAACAAGGTTCTCTGTAGTTATTTTCTCTTCTGTCAAAAGATAGGGATAGTGCTGGTGCCAGGTTCTCGACACTGAAAAGGGCCTAATGGTTTGGGTTACAGCTTGGAGTTCTTTTAGGTGGGTATTCAATTGGCAGTATAATTCTTGCTGGAAGAGCAGATTTTCTGAGTTTGAATCCTGGCTCCACTGCTTTCTAGATTTTTGGACTTCAGCAAAGTTACTTAACTTCTCTGTGCTTCAGTTTTTATTTGTAGAATAAAGATGATAATTGTGCCTATCTTACATATATTGTGAAATACTTTAAATTGTTCCTGGCACACCGAGTGCTCAATTAATTTTAGTAATTGTTATTATTATTTTATTTTCCCAAGATTCTTAGCTTATTGCCAAATATAATACGTGCTTAAAATTGAAATGAACAAATGAATGAGTGTGTGGTGAATATTTTCTTCTGCTTAGAAAAGATATCCGTGAGATTTTTTTTTTTACTGCTGCTAGAATAGAAGTGTATGGAGAAATGATATATGTCCATCCAGCTTTCATGACCCTTACTCAATGGAAGACGGAAATGAGAGCGACATAAGCAGCCTTTTGCTTTCTAAAATTGGTTATTTTACTACAATTCATTAATTGCTTTCATGCTGCCACATTTATCTATCATTAAATTGCAGAAAATATATTATTTTTACACTTATTGAATGAAGAAAGTGAGAATTTGCCTGCAAGGAGTAGATGGGAGTGGATGCAAATGTTTATTTTATTAAAATAATTAAAACATGTAGAAGAAATAATACTAACAATATCAAGGATAATAACAATAGGCATTTATTGAGTGTTGTGTGTTCAATTAATTTATAATTAATTCATATATACCATCTCATTTAATATTTACAAGACCTCTATGAAGTAGGAGTTAATATTACCACATTATGATGAAACTAATATTTGAGAAAGTTAGGTACCTCCATCAGTGTCACACATTAAAAGAGGTGTTTGGAACTGGCTAATCTAATTTCATAACATGAAAGTGTAAAATACTGTCTTAGTTTGGAAAAAACAATGGTCAATTAGCAGTGTGCTGTTAAACCAGCTCTCTGAAAACAAAAGCAAAAGTTTTGATTTGTAGCATATGCTGATTTCCAAGTTGGAAATGCTCCCACCATAGCCATGGTCAACTTCGAGACGACAGTGTGATATCTGCTGGCTCCCAGAATTCATGAACCTTAACAATCAGCTCTGGCCGCTTCAGCCCAGCACTGGTGGAGATAACTAGCCCATCAGTGTGGCTCAGGGGCTTGCCAACGATGTGCAGCAGTGGCGGTGGCATGGATCGGCAAAAAGTTATGATGATGCACAATAGGGACAACATTTCACTGCGGGCACATGAAAGAAAAGAAAAAGTACCTGGACAACTCAAAAGAATGATTATGGTTTGGGCGGAAAAAAATTGAATTTAAGCTCATTTGGCAGAGAAGACCAGGAGCCAGATGCTGAAAGTGATTTGAACTTGGTCTAGGGATTTATGACATTTAAAAACAAACCCAAAACCTTCCTTATTAAGATAGGAATTTGGTGGCAGAAACACTTATTTACCTTAACTGAGAGAGGAAATAGGCAAAACTATAGCCACATTTTCTGTTTCTGTGAATTCATAGGAACTTCCCCACAGAAAGATGTCTGAGCTTTGCTGGAAGGTGAATTCAACTTTGAAAATAAAAAGAGAAATTCATTGCTCATTTAGCTGCCTTAAATCATCTCTAGGATAAGATATTATATATGTATATGCATGCATAAAACATACATATGTATATGTAGAGAGACATATATATGCAATACATGTACATACATAATTCATTCATCTATGAGATATTAGACGAAGCACCATTTGGTACCCTGAAGTATCCAGCTTTACATTTTCCAAATCTCTACTAGCCCACTCTTTCTAATGTTCACCTTCTGGAACCATGCAGGTTGCAAAGTGAATGGAAATTAGCTGTCTATGGGTGTTCATCAGACACTGAAGAATACAGTTGGGTTGCAGCAGCTGTTATTTTCTGGCAGAAACCAAATCATTTGGAATGCTGCAGAATGAGAAGCTTCCTGTCAACTGGTGGCACTTACCACAAGGGAGCAGAGGCCTTTTTACGCCTGCTCTTAATCTGCAATTCTAGAAATTCACTCATTTTTCTTACTCAGCAATGTCTACTTTTCTCATTAACAAGAAAAATCTATGAACAGATTGACTGTGTTGTTCCTGCAGTGTCTGGAGAGACACATGTTTGCATATGGGGGTGAGATGGGTAGAATTGGCTCCTTTTTAAGATTTTCCTGTAGTCTTCTGTTTAACCTGAAATAAGCACATGGTAGTAGAAATGTACAGAAAAGATTATTAGTCTATGCTACACGAACAAGATTCCATTATTTCAGAGTAAATTAAAGGTAGCCAGAAACGCTGTCAGACTTTGGCATGATGAAAGGCAAGTGAAAGTTAAAGGAAAGACACAATAGTTTCAATTACTTTGAATCTCATAATGTCAAAGTTATGATACCCTTTGTTGCTTAACAAGTAGAATTGGTTTTAAGCCCTTTATACTCAAGTTCTTCTTGATGAAACAAAAATATGAGAAATTGCTTCTTCATGGGACATAGAAGGCTTTGTAAAATACAGTGTAGTTTTCTGTAGTTTTATATGAGGTTCTGCTTTCTACTATTTTACAGTTGCTGTGCTCCACCTTCATACCTTCGCCTATGTTAGAACTTCTGAGAAGCTGAAGCATCACATATAAAAAGGTCTGAAGAATAATATCACTTGGGTTAACATGGGTCAGTTGTCTTTGGATTGCTTTGTATATCTATCTATCTATCTATCTATCTATCTATCTATCTATCTATCTATCTATCTATCTATCTATCTATCTGTCTATCCATCCATCCATCCATCCATCCAATCTATCTATCTATCTGTCTGTCTGTCTGTCTGTCTGTCTGTCTGTCTGCCTGTCTGTCTGTCTGTCTGTCTATCTATCTATCTATCTATCTATCTATCTATCTATCTATCTATCTGAATGTCTTTTTTCTTCAATCAGGTGATAGTTGTATTCTACTTTTGGTTTAGTCATTAGAGTTAACAAGCTTCCAGAAAAATCAGCATCTCATGATGTCTCTTCAAGAGTGTCAGTGAAGCTGGCTTCTGAATGTATTCTGTTAACTTTATTGCACAAACCAAGGAGCTCATAGTCTCATACTCCTATTGGATAGCCTGAAGGATGCTTGTATTTGATCAAAGTATTGCTGTGTGTTTATTCATTCATTTATTTATTTATTCTCTACGCAGTGACCAAAATGGAGGAAGCAGCAAAATATCTATCCTGTTTAGAGCCTAGCATTTCGTGTCTAAAACCAGTGATTTTCCAAGAAAAATCTATCCAATTCCACTCAATTACTTTTTACTGAGCACCTACAAAGTAATAAACCCGATGCTAGATACCATCAAATCCTTGAAGTCTAGGGAGTGTGACTGTCTTAGTCTGTTGGTGCTGCCATAAGAAAATACCTGAAACTGGATAGCTTTTAAGCAACATAAATGTATTTCTCAACATTCTGGAAAGTCCAAGATCAAGGTGCTGGCAGATTCATCCCTTGTGAGGGCCCAGGCTCTACTTCCAAGGTGGCAGCTGGAATATTGTTTCCTCACATGGCAGATGGGCAAAAAAGGGACAAATATTATGGTCTCACATGGCAGAAGATAGGGAAGGAGTCCAACTCACCTCTTAAGTCCTTTTATAAATCACCAGTTGACTCTATGAGGGTGGAGCCCTTATGGTGTAATAATTTCCTAAGTGCTCCATCTCTTAATACTCTTGCATTGGGGTTTAGGTTTCAATATGAATTTTAGAGAGGACACAAACACTCAAACTATAGCATTGACAAACTATTTTTTTGTTGTTATCAGATTGTACACCTTGTTACTACTTAAAAGTATAAACAGGGACTTCAAAATAAATTTATCCTCCTTTTACAAAATGGTATAATTTTTCTAGCTACATAAAATATTTCAAACCTCTCTTCATCTGGTTTATTGACGGATCCTTTAACAAATACTGTTTTAGCTGCTATTAATAATTTGTAATTTTAAAGTATTTGAGGATAATAACTTTTTCTGCATTATCTTCTCATTTCGTTTATTAAAATGGCTAATGACTTTCACAAAAAAATTTTTAAAGAGTCAATGGCCTCATGTACTGTTATGTGTAAAAAAAAAAAGAAAAAATGGATCCAATGTCTGCATACTATATAAATAAAAACAGTGTTGAAAATTTTTATTTGAAGGTTCTTTGTTTTCAATTACAAAACTTTATACTTTGGTTAAAGATCTTAACATTTTCCATTTTCCCACATAAATAATAAAGAGTTCTTTAGAAAGACATTACTAGTGTATAAAATGCTGTTGCAAATTAAAAAGAATCGGCAAGATAAATTTTAATATAGTCACTTGAGCTATTCAAATCTTCTCACTAAAGTTATTTCTTGTTATAACATGAAAGCTAGAGAAGAAAAATGTGTTCACTTGAGTTGATATTCAGACAAACTCAAAAGATTTCATCCTTTGACCTAAATAAGACAAAAGTGAAAAAGGGGCTCAAGATGGTCTCATTTTGTCGCAATCAATCAGAAGTCCTCCACTTCACAGTATGAAGTCTGAAAATAACGGCCAGATTCACCTCCTATGGGATTGAGTGTACATATTCTGTATATTCCCATATATATGATTTAGGGCATAAATATGATACTTTTTAAATAAGGTAGAGCTATGAAAAATTTAGATGTTTTAGTTCAAAACTTCATGAACTTATTTTGTTGTGAATTGGCAATGTGTGTTGGCTTTATGTTTAGTTTGAAGTTTGGTTAATTTAAAAAATTACCAATTTACTAAAACTTAATTTTGGTGCGTAAAACACCCTATGTCACTTATTGCTTTCATAGTTTTAGGTTTTCAGTTTTCCAGAATATTTTCAAAAGATAAATAGGATTTCATCAATAAAGACTTTAGATTCCAAATTGTGTGGTTTGGAATGACAATGTATATACATTTAGTCATTATTTTTAACACACATTGCTGTTCTAAGTCACTCAACAGAAAAGTTTTTCTATTGAAAATTACATTTCCTTATATTTATATTGGGCTTTCCACATTTGCAAAATACTTTCACAGCAATACTTTGATCAATGCTTGTTGCACTTGAATGAAAATATGAATGAATTTATTGTCTCATTTTACTCTGATAACTGCACTTTGACATCCAGTTTTATTACTCCTGTATTTCAAAAGAGGAAAGTGAAGCTCCAAGGCCACAGGGCTTCTACTGGTTTTCCTGCAAGAACTGAAACTAAAAACCAGAATAATCTTATTCCCAACCCTGTCCTATTCGCTCACATTTTTAATTAATAAAATTGCAGCACCATTGTTCTTGTTGTTTTCTATTCTAGACACTATTGCAACATGGATCTCACTGTCAAACAGGTTTCAAACTTTTAGAAATGCCCATTTAACAAAAGTTTTAGTAAATAAAACTTTTGCTAATCAGCAAATGTCTATTGGGTGTCTGCTATGTGCAAGGTACTGAACAAAATGGGCACAGATCTGCCCTCTTGAAGCTTACACTGGAGAAGGGGCAGAGAATCAAACATTGTAAGTAAATCAATGATATAATACATTAGCAAGTGCTCAATAATGTGCAGGAATAGGTAGCATGGATGTTAAAAGTTACCCTAGGGTAGACTGAAAAATTAAAGAAGGTAGCCAAAGAAGGTCTCTCTTACAACATGGTGTTTGAATAGAGATTTGAAAAAAGTGAGGAAGCAGGCTAAGTTGATGTGTGAGTAACAGATGTTCTAGACAGAGAGAAGGCATGTGAAGCTTTGGTGGAGGGTGCCCTGGCCAGTAGGAGAAGCTGGAAGAGATCAGACAACTGAAGCAGAAGTGGGGATTGCAGGTAATCAGGTCAGAGGAGAAGGCTTGGGGGAGGACAGCGCTGGGTGGTGGTGGTGACTTGAAGGCCATGGTAAGAACTGTGGCTTTTACTTAGTGAGATAAGTTGTGTTGAGCATAATTTATGTTCCAGCAGGATTGGTTCACTGCTGTGTTGAGAATAGACTTTGAAGGCCATGGTGGAAACAGGAAGACCAATTTCAAACATATTGGAATAATCCAGGGAGAAATGATGATAGTATGGATAAGGGTGATAGAAGTATTGATGGTAAGAAGTCGATATACATATATATATATATATTTTTCTTTTTTTTTTGAGACAGAGTCTTGCTCTGTCGCCCAGGCTGGAGGGCAGTGGCGCGATCTCTGCTCACTGCAAGCTCCGCCCCCCGGGTTCACGCCATTCTCCTGCGTCAGCCTCCTGAGTAGCTGGGACTACAGGCGCCCGCAACCACGCTTGGCTGCTTTTTTGTATTATTGGTAGAGACAGGGTTTCACCGTGTTAGCCAGGATGGTCTCAATCTCCTGACCTCGTGATCTACCCGCCTCGGCCTCCCAAAGTGCCAGGATTACAGGCGTGAGCCACTGCTAAAGACGTCGATATATTTTTAATGTCCCATGAGATTCGCTCAAGGAATAGATGTGTGGTGTAGGAGAAAACAACACATCAAAGATAAAGTGTTTGGCCTTAGCAATTAATATTATTGGAGTATCAACAATTGATATAGAAAAGACTGTGGGAAAAGCAGGTTTGGGAGTAAAGGGAGTTTGCTTTCACTGTGTTTGGTTTAAGAAGCCAGTTAGCCATCAAAAGGAAATATATAAATGGTTTGGATATAACAGTCTGGAGTTCAGGGGACTCTGGATTGAATATACAAATTTGGCAGTTCTCAGGATATATACATGGTACGTAGTCTTGACACTGGATGGGAACACCTATGGTGTGAGTTTATATAGGGAAGAAGAGACATCCAAGAATACGATTAAGTAGGTTTGTTTTGTGATGGTTGTTGTTGTTTCGAAGAGGGAAGAAATATATTTACATGCCGATGGGAATAATCTAGTACAGAGGGAATGGTTGTTAACATATGAGAGAGAGGAAGAATTTCTAGAACAATGTTCTTGAATAGGCAAGAGAAATAGGATTTAATCCAAAGTGAGGTGGGTTGTTTGTAGGTACAGACAGTTTATAACAACAAGAAAGAAGACAGAATTACCGATGAATATAGTGATGAGAATTTGGAATGCTTATATTTTCTTAGTGAAATAGCAAGTAAGGACAGATGCTGAACAGGAAAAGGGGTGGAGAGGAAAGCTGCTGAATATTTCCAAGGAAAGTGTAGAAAATCATTATCTGGAGTGAATAGACTTGGGAAAGTGAGTATGTTTATTGGCCAGCAATAAGAACCTCTTTAGATTCTCATGGGCATTAATTTAAAATTATGCTGGTCAGTAGAAATCTTGTGCTCTTTTTTTTTCTTGTGTGGATGTAGACACGCAGGGGTAGAAAATTGTATTTAAACCAGGACTGATATGGAACCAAAAAAAAAGTTTGCCCATCGATGCTGCCTCTGACAAATCTTGTCCAAAAAGGGGAAAATGGGAACTAGAAATAAAATTATAAGCCTCCCAACTGACTGAACAGATTATCTCTTGACCAAAGAGACCCCAGATTAATCTTGAAAACTAAGTTCTCAGCCTCAACAGAATGAGGGGTCAGACAAATCTCATTATACCTCTTCCCTTGCTAACCACAATTAGGCTGTCTTCCCTAAGAGCCTATTGGGAACAAGCTTTTTCAAAAGACACCACTACTGGTATCAACCAACCACTTCACGCTGCCCCCTTTTTTTTTTTTTTTTTTTTTTTGCCTGGTAAGAGACCACTGACCATAGAATGGTTCTGGCCAGATTACAGAGGATGCACAGTGAGAGTTTTTGCATTCTCTGCTTCACCTTTTGATGTCAGAGGGCCAAAACCTCCATCCTCATATCATGCTGACTCCACCATTTTTTGATCATGGGTGCCGTGGAAAGGCAAAAAGCTCGACTGCATACATGCAGGTCTCCTTTTTTCATAAATGTTAATGACTCTTCTTATAGGTTATTGAATATGTATATTTGTCCATGCTGCTCAGCATAAACTCCTGTTCCATTTGCCCCTCCTTCAAAGTGTCTGCTTTTGGCTTCCAGCCAGAGGCTGTGCTTCCCAGCCTGTCAGAATGGTCACCCTACAGGCTGCAACCCTTTATGAGAAATGAAGCTCTCCTTTCCAAATTTAAAAATGAAAATAAACGAGGTCTGGAACTTTCTTAAGCTAGTGTAATAATGTAAGGGAGGTGCAAAGGAGTAAAGTGTTTGTGAAGAAATAATTTAAAAGATTAACCATAGAGTGCAAGTGTACTAAAAAGGAAGATGAGGCAATAAGAGAATTGAAGAGTTGGGTATAGGTGTTCTGATTCATGAGATGGAAGTACCTGTGGGACCGAAGGATTGTTGGAGTCAGTGAGGTAGACAGAATGGACTGAGGATATAGGAAGCAGTGGTCATAAAGCAGAAAACTTGGAATTAAGGTTATGGAAAGGGTGAAATCATTGAAAAAATAATTTCAAAGTTTAGTGAATGACCAAGAAGTGAGTGACTGAAGTAAGGTGAAGAAGAAGATCGTTGGAGGGGAGGAGTCCAAGGAAACAAGAGGCCAGAATATTGGAAGGATCATCTTCATAGATACTGAAGTTACCAAGAAGTAAGATGGAAATAGTGCTGAAGAGAAGGACCTGATCCAGCAGGCAAAATCTTTACATAAAAGAGGGAGAGTTGGTAGATGATTGGTATAGTTTGATCACATGAGATTCAAAGCTGATTATTTTAGGGGAGGAAGAATGGCCAGAATGCATGAAAAAGGAGCAAGGATACCCAGACAACTTCAAGTTCATTATTGTGATGATGTAGGAGGCAAAACTGCTGCTAGTAGGAGCAGGGAGGTAAAAGGAAACTCAGAAAACAGAAAGAAGCTATGCAGGATTTACTATGGATGAATATGAGCAAGAAGAGCTACAGTGGAAGGGTAGTTGAAGGAGGTAGGATGAAGGATAAAGAATGGATTACAAAGCCTTCTGATGGCAGAGTTTAGGAGATACTTATGGTTTAGGATAATTTTCAAAAGAATATTTGGATAGTATAGCGTTTATGATAAAATTTTCTTGTTACATTTCTGTGTTTATAGTACCAGAATTTATTCGCTTTTTCTCCCCTTTTAAAAAAATTGGGCCAGCACTTTAGGAGCCTGAGGCAGGCAGATTGCTTGAGTCCAGGAGTTCAAGACCACCTTGGGCAACATGGCAAAACCCCATCTCTACAAAAAAATACAAAAATTAGCCAGGTATGGTGGTGTGCACCTGTAGTCCCAGCTACCTGGGGAGCTGAGGGGAGAAGATTGCTTGAGCCCAGGAGGTTGAGACTTTGGTGAGCCGAGACTGTGCCACTGCACTCCTGCCTGGATGACAAAGCAAGACTCTGTTAAAAACAAAACAAAACAAAACAAAAAAACAGATACATAGTAGATGTACATAGTTTAGGGATACATGGGATAATTTAATACATTCATATAATTGATGAATATCAAATCAGTGCACTTAAGATATCCATCATCTTAAATATTTGCCTTTTCTTATGCTAGAAACATCTGAATTATTCATCTCTACCTATTTTGAAATGTACAATTGATTATTGTAAGCTATAGTCACTCTACTGATCTATCAAACACTAGCTCCTATTTCTTCCATCAAACCATATATTTGACTCCATCAATCAACTGCTCCTCATCACCTCTCCCCCTTTCCCTATAATTCCCAATCTCTGGTAACCACTGATTTACTCTTTATATTCATGAGATCCAATTTTTTAGTTCTCATGTGCAAATGAGAATATATGATATTTGTCTTTTTGTGCTTGGCTTATTTCACTTAACATAATGACCCTAAGTTCCATCTATGTTGCTGAAAATGACAAAATTTTATTTACTTTTATGGCTTAATAATATTTCAGTGAGTATAGATACCACATTTTCTCTATCTGTTCATAGGCACTTAGGTTGATTCCATAATGTGGCTATTGTGAATAGTGCTGCAATCACCTTAGAGGTGCTATATCTCTTCTATATATTAATTTTCTTTCTTTCGGATATATAACCAGCAATAGAATTACTGATCATATGGTATTTCTATTTTCAGTTTTTTGAGGAATCTCCATCCTTTTCTCCATCGTGGGTATACTAATTCACATTCCCACTAACAGTGTGTGAGAGTTTCCCTGTCTCCATATCCTGGCCATCAACTGTTGTTACCTGTCTTTTTGATAAAAATCATTTTAACTTAGGTGATATGATATCTCATTATAGTTTTGATTTGCATTTTTCTGATGATTAGTGATTTTAGCATTTTTTTCTTATAGCTGTTGGCCATTTATATTTCTTCTTTTAAGAAATATCTATTCAGATCTTTTGCCCAGTTTTTAATTGACTTACTTATTTATAGGCTATTGAGTTGTTTGAGCTCTGTATACATTGTGGTTCTTAATCTCTTATCAGATGGATGGTTTGCCAGTGTTGTCTCCCATTATGCAGGTTTTCTCTTCACTGTGTTGATTGTTTATGTTGCTGAGTAGAAGCTTTTAGCTTGACGAGCAACCATTTGTTTATTTTTGTTTTGGTTGCCTGTGATTTTAAAGTCTTACACAATGATCTTTGCCCGGACCAATGTCTTGAAGCATTTCTTCAGTGTTTCCTTACAGTAGTTTTATAGTTTCAGGTCTTACATTTAAGTCTTTAATCAATTTTGGGTTGATTTTTTGTGCATATTAAGAGATGGGGGTCTAGTTTCTCTTCTGTATATAGTTATCCAGTTTTCTCAGTACCATTTATTGAAAAGACTGTCTTTTCCATATTGTATGTTCTTGGCACCATTGCCAAAGTTAAGTTCACTGTAGATGGATGAATTTATCTTGTGGTTCTGTAGTCTATTTCATTGGTCTATGTGTCTGTTTTTATGCCAATACCATGTTGATTTGGTTAATATAGCTTTGTAGTAAATTTTGATGTGAAGTAATGTGATGCTTGCAGCTTTGTCCTTTTTGCTCAGCACTGCTTTAGCTATTTGGGGTCTTTTGTAGATCCATATAAATTATAGATTTTTTTCCTAATTCTGTGAAGAATGTCAATGGAATTTGATAGGGATTGCATTGAATTTGTAGATTGTTTTAGATAGCATTGCCATTTTAATAATATTAATTCTAATTCCTAAGCATGGAATATCTCCCCTTTGTGTGTCCTCTTTAATTTCTTTCCTCAGCATTTTATAGTCTTCCTTTTATAGATCTTTCACTTCTTTGGTTAAAATGATTCCTAGGTAGTTTCTATTTATTGTAGCTATTGTAAATAAGATTATCTTCTAGATTTCTTTTTCAGAATGTTCACTGTTGGCATATATAAATGCTACTGACTTTTGTATATTGATTTTATATCCTGAAACCTTACTGAATTTATTCATTCTAACAGTTTTCTGGTGGAGTCTTTAGGTTTTCATAAGTATAAAATCATGTCATATTGGAACAAGGCTAATTTGACTTCTTCGTTTCCAATTTGGATAGCATTTATTTCTTTATCTTGCCTAATTGCTCTAACCAGGACTTCCAGTACTATGTTGAATATGTTGGTATTAGTTCTTTAAATGTTTGGTAGAAATCTTCAGTGAAACCATCAGGTCTTGGGATTTTCTTTGATGGGACACTTTATATTACACCTTCAATGTCATTACTTGTTATTGCTTTGTTGAGGTTTTCTATTTCTTCATAGTTCAATCTTGGAAGGTTATATGTGTGTATTAGGCTGTGCTTGCACTGTTATAAAAAATCAGAGACTGGGTAATATATAAGAAAAGAGGCTTAATTGACTCATAGTTCTCTAGGCCATACAGGAAGCATAGTGGCATCTGCTTGGCTTCTAGGGAGGCTTCAAAAAGCTTCCAATAGCAGTAGAAGGCAAAGGGGGAGCAGGCACATCACATGGTGAGAATGGGAGCAAGAGAGCGAGAGGGAGGAGAGGTGCCACACACTTTTAAGCAACTAGATCTCATGGAACTCACTATTGCAAGAACAGCATCAAGAGGATGGTGTTAAACTATAAGAAATCTGCCCCCATGATACAATCACCTCCCACCACGCCCCACCTTCAGCACTGGGGATTAGAATTCAACATGAGATTTGGGCAGGGACTAATATCCAAACTAAATCAATGTGTCCATTAATTTATCTGTTTTATCTATGCTTGATTCCTTGTATTTCTGTGCTCTCAGTTGTTATGTCTCTTTTTTCATTTTTGATTTTATTAATTTGGGCCTTCTTTTTTTCTTAGTCTAGCTAAAGTTTTGTTGATTTTGTTTATCTTTTCAAAAAAGTGATTTCTCATTTTATTGATTGCATTTTTTAATCTCAAATTCATTTATTTCTGCTTGGTTTTTATTATTTCTTTTCTTCTACTAATTTTGCCTTAGGTTTGTTCTTGCTTTTCTAGTTCCTTGAGCTGCATTATTAGGTTGATTATTTAAAGCTTCTACTTTTTTGATATAGTCATTTGATGCTATAAATTTCCCTCTTAGTACTGCTTTTGTGTATCCCATACATTTTGGTATGTTGTATTTTCATTTTTATTTGTTTAAAGACATTTCAAATTTTTAAAAATTTTCTTCATTGACCCTCTGGTTCTTTAGGAACATAATGTTTAATTGCCATGTGTTTGGGTAGTTTCTGAGGCTTTATTTGTTATAGATTACTAGTTTTATTCCATTGTGGTCAGAGAAAGTACATCATGTGATTTTTATATTTATGAATTTGTTCAGACTTCTTTTGTGGCCAGAGATATGGTCTATTCTGGAAAATGTTTTATGTGCTGATGAAAAAAATGTGTTTTCTGCAGCAGTTGGGTAAAATGTTCTGTAAGTGTCAGTTGGGCCTACTGAGTCTAGTGGGTAGTTTAATTCTGATGTTTCTTTGTTGATTTTCTGTCTGGCTGATCTGTCCATTACTGAGAATGGGCTGTTATTGTCCCCTAATATTATTGAATTGCAATCTATCTCTTTATTTAAATCTATTAATTTCTGTTTTGTATACTTGAGAATGCCTCTATTTGATTCATAGATATTTATAATTGTTATATTCTCTTATTGAATTGACCACTTTATAGTAACCTTCTTTGTCTCATTTTATAGTCTTTGATTTGTAGTCTATTTTATTTAATATACATATAGTGACTCCTGCTCTTTTTTGTTTCTATTTGCATGAAATAGCTTTTTCCATTCCTTTACTTTCAGTCTGTGTCTTTATAGGTGAAGTGAACTTCTTATAGGCAGCATATAGTCAAATCTTTATTCTTTCAGCCACTCTATGCCTTTTAATTGGAGAATTGAGTCCATTTACTTTTTTGCTTTATTTCTTGTTGCTTTATAACCTCTGTCTTCATTTCTTACTTCTTTACTGTCTTTCTTTGTGGTTAAGTTACTTTTTCTTGGTATCATTTTTAAAATTATTCCTTTCTATTAGAGTTTTTGCATTGTGGTTACCATGAGGCTTGCAAAAAATATCTTATAGATAATAGCATGTTATTTTAAAGAGACGACAACTTACCTTAGATCACAATGAAAAGAATAAAAACAAAAACAAAACAAAATTCTATGTTTTAACTCCGTCTTCCCCACACTTTGCCTTTTAGTTTTCTCAATTTACATATTTTTATATTGCCTATTTATTAACAGATTGTTGTAGATAATATAACTTTTGATAGTTTTGTTTTGGGCTTCATACTAGAGTTATGAATGGGTTTCATACCACAATTCCAGTATCAGAGTATTCTGGTTTTGTCCACGTACTTAATTTGACCAGTGGGTGTTATACCTTTAATTTTTTGTGTGTGCACATTAGTGTGTTTTTCTTTCAGACTGAATAACTCTCTTTAGCATTTGTTATAAGACGGGTCTGGTGGTACTAAATTCTCTCAGCTTTTGTTTGCCTGGAAAAGACCTTAATCTTCTTTGTAGTTGAAGGATAACTTTTTTGGATACAATATTCTTGGATGGCGGTTTTTATTTTTAAGCACTTTGAAAATGTTATTCCTCTCATCCTGTCCAGTATGGTTTCTACTGAGAAGTCAGTTGCCAGGCAAATTGGAACTCCTTTATATGTTATTTATTTCTTTTCTGTTATTGCTCATAGGATTCTCTCTTTGTCCTTGACCTTTGAGAGTTGATTTATTTGGCTTGAATTTATTTGGTGTTATCTGACCTTCCTGTACCTAGATATTTATATTTTTTCTCAAGTTTTGGAAAGTTTTCTATTATTACTTCTTTAAATAAGATTTCTAGCCTTTGCTTTTGTTCAGTTCTCTCTTAGACACCAATAATTCTCAGATTTTTTTCTTTTGAGGTAATTTTTATTATCTTGTCAGTGGTATACAACATTTTTATTTATTTTTTTTTCATTTTTATTCTTCATGTATTTTTCAAATAGTCTGTCTTTGAGCTCACCAATTCCATCCTCTGCTTGATCTATTATGGTATTGAGAACCTCTAATAAATTTTTCAGTTAAGCAAATGTGTTTCTCAGTTCTAAGATTCCTGTTTGAATTTTTAAAATTATATCAATCTTGTAGTTAAATTTCTCTGATAAACTTTCAAGTTGCCTTTGTGTCTTTTGGAGATCACTGAATTTCTTTAAAATAGCTCTTGAATTTTTGGTCACAGAGCTCACATATCACCAACTCATTAGGGTCAGTTACTGGTTTCTTGCTATGTCTATTTAGGGAGGTCATAGTTCTCTATTTACTATTGTGTTTTTTTGGATGTATGTCTGTATCTTTGCACTGGAGGGTGAATTATTTATTTCAGTCTTTCCTATTTGGCTTGTTTTGTTTTTTACTGGATATATTTTCTTAAAGAGTCTTTACCCCTAGCTTGCTGCCTCCTTTTAAGCTCTAAGTGTTGATTTAATCCCAGGTTCTCCTCACCTCTAGTAAACAATGAAAGCACTGTCTGTTCCAAATGGGGAAGTTCCAAAAGCGGGGTATCCCAGTGGCTTGAAAAGACTGGCTAGGCGTTTGTGCACCAGGAACCTGCGGGAATTTACCTCCTACAGTACAGTGCTGCTGAATGGCCACTGTAATTTGACATCTCCTTTGGCTAAGTTATAGGGCAGAATTTTAAACTCTCGGGATGGTAGTTTTACCACTCCTTTTTGTCTCTGACCATCCTCAAAGATATATCTCCCTTTGGGTACTTGTGATGCTTCCTATGGGTTCGGACAAGGATGAGTTTTTGCCAGGGTAGCCGAGGTGTTGAGGAAGCTGGTTGTCCACCTCAATCTCACTTTGTCTACAGTGGAAACCATGAGTCAGGGAAAAATTTTTGCACACTTGGTGCCAAGCAGATTGGGAGACAGATGTCATGAATATGGAAGTCTGGTTCTCTTATTGTATACTTGAAGTTTTTTCACTTCTCTGTGATCTGAACTGTCTCTTCCTCATATTTGAGTTCTGGGATATTGCTGGTGACAATCTTGGCACTCTATATTAGTTTTTTATTTTCCAGGGGGTGGGAGGAGTGAAGTCAGCTTATTTCTACATGGCCATTTTGGAACCAGAAGTCTATTCACTTTTATAACAATGAACTATAACCATTGTATTCTGACTACATATATATATGTACATGTGTATAAACACATTTTATGAGTCACAGTGCCTCCAGTTCCAGAAACTTAACTCAGTTAGGTTGGGTTTGTTTTGTTTTTAATGGACCTTAGAAAACATTTACAAAATAAAATTTATTTTATAACATAAAAGAAAAGCCATATGTAAAAGATAAGTAAAGTAGGCATTAAAAGGCAAGATACAGTAGTATTTAAATGTCAGTAATTTTTAATTAAGAAATGTATTTATTCTGCAAATATTTAATAATTCTTTGGTGTAATTAATCATGCAACTTTGTGCAAAATGTTTTATGACTTACAGCCAGAATGTATACTTTAAATTTCATATGAAATCTGGCCGGCCATGGTGGCTCATGCCTATAATCCCAGCACTTTGGGAGGCCGAGGTGGGTGGATAACTTGAGATCAGGAGTTCAAAACCAGCCTGGCCAACATGGTAAAACCCCATCTCTACTAAAAATACAAAAAATAAATTAGCCAAGTGTGTTGGTGGGCACCTGTAATCCTGGCTACTCAGGAGGCTGAGGCAGGAGAATCACCTGAAGCCGGCAGGTGGAGGTTGTAGTGAGCTGAGATTGCACCACTGCACTCCAGCCTGGGTGACAGAGCAAGGCTCCCTCTCCAAAAACAAAATAAAATAAAATAAAATAAAATAGTAAATAAATACATAAATTTCATATGAAAACAAACATACAAAAGTAAATATGATTTTTCAAAATATACAAAAGTAACATAAATTATCTATTTATTATGACATATTTTGATAGTAAAAAGAGAAAAACTCTTCTATGCTATATCAGGTAGTTTAACATTTTATTTTGAAAACACAATGTCACGAATAAAGACTTCTAACATTTTTAAATGCATTGCATCATGCCTCTCAATATAGAACTTGTAGAGAGCACTAAGTGACTTAGAAATTCTCATGGGTAATGCAATTGTAGTGTTCATTCTATCAGTTCCAGCATCTTTTTATGATCCATAATGTAATAATATGAAAAAGCTAGGTTACTGTCTCCCAAAGTGTGTTCCTGGGAGTATACATCAGAAGTGTTATCAGAAAAGGGAGTTCTATAAACAATGTTAATAACTGGGAACTTCCAATATATAAAAATTGTGCATTGTAAGTTTTCTGCCATATGACACAGTTTCTAGCTTACTAAAATTATTTTGCAGTGGAATCTTTATTTTTTAGAAAACATATTTAACAATGCATACTTTAGGAAGGCTGACCTAGAGAGCAAGTTAAATCCACTTCTGAAATATTAACATAATTTGTCTTTAACTTTTTTTGGAGTGTTCACTAGTAGCAATGCTTTTACTAAGCATAGCATAGCTAAAGCCATCTTTTCTGCCTCCTTGGGTCACATTGTTACTTCATTTACTGCTAATAACACTAGCCAGCACTGAGGCATTGCTGATTCAAAATTGAAGAAATCAACTGACGATTCACTCTTTAGGTAATAGAACCTACCTGTACAAATAGCTTTACTGGATGGTGTGATGGTTCCATGAAATAATATCCTGCAGGTGAGTGAGAAAGAGCAAGCAAGCCTGTAGCTGATGGATGACTAAACCAAGAGTGTAATCGAGAGAAAGAAATTAGGTCTGCTTTTGCTCCTGGGGAGAGAGAGACGACTAAATCTGTCATGGGGTTTCAAAAACCACAAGGCAAGCATTATCAAGCAAAAAGCAAAGCAGGTTATGAAATTTCAGCTTTTGACTTTGGATGCTGAATTGCTAATAATATGTAGGACTGAATATATGTTATGCATATTTAAAATTTTTTTTAAAAACCATGTGATTATAGCCATTGAGTTTCATAAGAAATATTTCTTTCATATTTTTAAAAAAATTCTTCAGGTACTTCAGTAAGCTGATTGATTATCCTCATCCCTTGGAAACATTTCTTCAAAGTTACCCCATGTATTGTAAAACATTACAGCTTTATAAGAGACTGAGTTAAACATTGTTCTTTGGTACAGAATGATTAGGCAAGTCAGACTTCATAGTGATGATTTCCCGAAACAAATCATTTAGCGTCCACTGACCCAATTTTCTTCATTTGTGAATGAGGATGCTGGGGAGGAAAAAGGAGAGGAATAAAACACAAACAAGGAGAGATTGTTAGGTAATTATTAGCCAGACTCTGCTGTGGCAGAGTCAAAGATAAAAATCACGTGGTTCCTGCCTTCAAGGAGCTTTCAATAAAATAGGTGGAATTAAAAATAACACAAAAGTAAGAATAGCATGCTATGAAAATCCAGAGAGAGGAATGATTGTGTACATGGGGGCTACTTGGCAGGGCTTTCTATAGGTACGATATCAAGGGCACGAAATTTGAATGATTAAAGGAGAAAAAGTTTAGACTAAACAAAATGTCTTAGTTTGGGTTGCTGTACCAAAACGCCATAGACTGAGTGGCTTATAAAGAGCAGAAATTTATTTCTTACAGTTATGGGGACTGAGAAGTCTAAGATAAAGGTATCTGATCAGGGCTGCTTCCTGGTTCATAGAGAGCTGTCTTCTTGCTGTGTCCTCCATAACAGAGAGGGCAAAGGACCTCTGCTGTGCTTCCTTTATAATGGCACTAATACCATTCATGAGGGCTGTCCTCATGACCTATCAACCTCCCACTAGCCCCACCCTCTGATTCCATTGCCTTGGGGCTCAGGATTTCAACGTATGAGTTTTTGAGGGATACAAACCATATCACAACCCATAGAACAAGACACTAGCAATGTTGTCTTTCTCCTCATTTAGCTTGAGACCCAAGTAGCCCATGGTTTGACAGCAAATTTCTCCAACTTTTGCCTTCTACCCTACACTGAAGATATTTATTATTTTCTAGCCTAGACTGTTATCCCATCTGTTTCTACAAGGATTTTCTATTTCTGCTTAACCTATTCAGATTGACAATATTCCTACTAAGCTTTTGGTGGCCTTACGTCTCATGATGTTGCTTCTTGTCCTTCTACTCTGCTCTGCCTCTGCTTCTAAACATCTGGGACACTACTGCTTGCCTGGGAGGTGTAATTAGACAAGTGGGCATGGACTTGAGCAATAAAAAAGATAACCAGGAAAAGAGAGCTGTCTTCAAGGGAGAACTACTGTTGCATTTGGCCAAAAATCATGGTAGAGAAAAGGGACTAGTGGTGTGAAATAAGGCCTGGAAGACAAATGGGAGCCCTCCCATGAAATTCTTGAATGTTCATTTAGCTAAAAAGTCAGACTATTTTCTTTTGTAAGAAATGGGAACATATTTAATATATTTTATCAATAAAGTAATGTGCTATAGATTTTTTTATTATGAAGGTTAATTTGGTGGCCACAAATAAAGTGGATTGGTAACAGAACAGGCTCATGAAATAGTTAATAGAAGTTGATCTAGACATAAAATTAGAAATAAGACAATTTTGGAAGTAAATCCATAGGATATTATGGTAAATCAAAAATGAGTCTGAGGAAGAGACAGCACTCATGTAATTCCCAACAACTGCTGTATAATAACAGGAGTATTTGAGACCCAGAGGATAAAACTGTTAACGAAAAACAGGAAAGTTCACGTGAAGAACATGGTTTTATGCCCATAAGAGGTGGTATGAAATGGTAAGAAATAGGCTAAATTTGGAAAGAGAAGCTAAGGTTTGTGTCTCATCTTGGACAAATTTTAACTTTTGTGAATCTAATTTGTCTCAGATAATACCTCTCTTGCAGAATGGTTAAATGAATAATATGAAACAGTTACGGAAGTTCCTGCACATAGTTGGTGCTTTACAAAATTTTGCCTGGAGTTGAATCTCCGGGTGGGAATGGGCCTTTTAATTCTGATGCAGCTAGATCAGGCACCCTTCCTATACTTAAATATGTTCCCCAGCTTCTGTACCGTGGCCATTCTGCTCACACATGGACTCCTCCAGAGACAGAGAGCTTCACACCTTGCCGTATAACTCATTTTGCCCTCAGACGGTCTTGTATGCCAACAATTTTGTATATGATGTGAAGTGTCTTCATAAATACAGTTTAGGAAGTGTCGATTCTCAAGCCTTACTGTGCATGAGCACTGCTCCAGCAGCTTAAGGTCCCAGTGAGATTTGTGCTGTGTTCATCTGTGGAACAGCACAGGAATTTGTGTTTTAAGGAGTTTTCTGAGTGATTCTGATGATGAAGTTCTTTGATAAACATTATCCCAGAACTTCCCCCACATGTCCTATTTTGGCCTCTAAATGTTATATAGAATAAACTTATAATGATTCAAGAAAATTGCTAGTCAGTCTCCAGTGACTTTCTTTTCCAAGTATAGTGTGAAATTATATGTAAAAGTACTTTGGAAAAACAAAAGAAGCACATAAAATTACTTTAAACATTATTATGAGGTGGAAGAACATTTTAGTGAATCTTTAAATAGCAATTCTTATCATCACAGTTAATATTTATTAATGGTTTCTATATGCCACCTCTACTTCATACCTTATTCTGTTTAATGTTCATATTTCATTATTTTACCATTATACAGTTGAGACTTAGAAAAGTTATCTTTCCCAGGGTCACAAAATGGCATGGCCAAATTTTAAACACTATGTTTCATTGCCTTATTTAAAAACTAATGAGATTTTTTTTTCTTTTGTAGCCAAGACCATCCTCAAGGAGTTTAATGAATGTGGCATCACAAGAAAAATATGCATCAACATTGAAAAGTAAGATGAATTATTTTATCTAGTATTTTTTTTTTGTTAATTATACTTTTATTTGTTTACATTATTATCCTCATGTTGTCAGGGGTGCATTAAGACAATAACAGTTTTGCTCCAAAGAAAAAGTCATTTGTGCTTTCTCCTGGAATATTTTCCTACGACCTTAGTTCTCTGGAGAAGGCTTGTGTGGTAAGCCTATAGTAATGAGACTTGAGAGGTAATCGGAATGGAATGTGAAGAAAGGGAAGAGTAGGGCACCGAAGATTCACTATCTGTTCGAAAATTTTGCTAAGAACTAGCTGGGATCAGAGTATGTACACATAAGATCACACCAATTGATTCTGAATTTACCAAGAGTTGTTTTACATACTGTGAAGTTTAGAATAATATATATAAATAATTCTCTTTTTACAATGGTATGCTTCTTTTTAAGTGTCTGCTTTTTAGTGACTTGAGTCAATAACAAATTAGAAAAAGTGACCTGACTTCTAATTTTTGAATTCTGAAATATTCTATTTGATTATTATTTTTATGGGGTAAAAGGGAACTGAGATCTAGCCTTCTCAATCCTAGATGCAATTTAAAATCATTGGAAGAAATTCAATAATTATTCATGCTCAGATTTTACTGAAAACCAGTTATAATCAGAATTTCCAGGTGACTTTAGTGTGTAGCAGGGTTGAGAACTACAACATAACTCCATGTTTGGAGTCAAGCACAAAATTGGATCCAAAACTGGATCCTCCACACTTATTTATGAAAAACAAGAACAATGACAAAACAAAACTAAGCTATCAATAGCTGTAATCATTAATAGAAGTACTGGCTATTGAGGTACTTTATTTGGGTCCACATAAAAAATTCATAAGATTTATGTGATGAGGAAGCTAGTTTTAGGTATAAATATGAATGTTTCTCAGAGAAAGAAATGGTGCTCAGATAACTCTTGAGAATCTGAGGACAAAATTATCATTGAAACTTCACCTGGTAAAATCTAACTTTTTAATATCTTCATAATAATGAATTTGAGTTTATTTTAAACCAGATTCTAAAAAGTTACAATTTTATTTATTGTTATAATGTTATGGAAGCTCTGTTTCTAAATAGAATAATTTCTCATTATATAAACTGTGTAAATTTTCTTGAAGAACTAGATTGTGGATATTTTTATCAAAGTAAGTTAGCATGGTTATTGCCCTGAGTCGCTTTCATGACCAAAGAAAGCTGGAAAATTGAAGGAAAAATAGAAAAGCTACATTATGTATTTGATTGATTCCTTCAGTTCACGTTTGTAGGGGTTCTTGTTTGTTTTTGTTTTTTTGGCTTGTGAAGTTCTGGTCACAACATATTACTTACTTAGCTTTACTTAAAATGAGAGTATTTTTGATATGTCAAAATCAAAATTGATTCTTCTACACATGATAGACTTCTTGTAGAAGTTGTTTTAGAGTCTTAGTTGAATGTTGAAACTTTAAAAAATATCTTACCAAGGTTTGCTTGAATTGAACTTAAGTGTACTAGCTCTTAGGCAACTGTTCATGTTGTGAACACATCCTAACTATCTCAGCATGCCAGTGGTATATCATAATGGCCACTGTAAAGACCCTCAGCCTGGAATTATTTTGATAATGGAGGGGTTCCCAAGGAGTACCTGTGATTGACTCCCACAAAGCTAAGAACCATCTCCACTGCTGAAAGCATTTCTTATGATGCACTCTTTAAGTGGTCACAACAGGACGCTATGGGACTGAAATGGTGTTTAGATACTCTCTTGCTAAGAGCCATTTCTTGTTTCAGTGTCATTATGAAGACCCTTGATGTTCCCAGTCTTTTCCTCACACACATCCTTACTTTTGTGATCTACTTTTACCTCATTTATTTTCAAGGAAAATTGGTTTGGTACCATTTGCTTTCCTAATTGTTAAACTTTGTTCCCATTTTTGTCGTAGATTACCTCCTCTTCCTCCCTTTCTCCTTTGGTTTTCCTTTTCTCCTTCTTTCCTTTCTCCCTTCTTTCTTTTTTCTCTTCCTCCTTCCAATTGCTGGTCATAATTAGAATATGACTTAGTCTAGGAGTATCTATTGAATGCTTTAAGTCTACAGTACTGACACTTCCCAGTTGTTAGGGGTTGTTTTGAAGGGCATAAATTGAGCTATTAGTTCAGAGTGTTTGAGCTTCTTTCCTTTTTTTCTGGTGCTTTTATCTAGCTTCTGACTTTTAGATCCTTTCGCATCATTTTGCAAGGTTTTTATAAAGTCATCCCTTTGTGAAAATGTACTGCTTTGTTGAGTGTCATGGAATTTTTATTGATTTGTGGTTCCTTCATCTTGGGACAAATCCTCAGTTACCCCGGAAGATATATGTTTTGTGTTAGCATTGCTTTTATTATTTGCTATGTATGTTCTCTTTGACATTTTGATTTTTCATTTTTCAAGCAACGGTTTTATCTTGAGTTCTCTGTGTAGTTTCCAACACTTTATGTTTGAATACTTTTCACTGAGTTTAAATTTTTTTTAAATAAAATTATTAATAGCCCTATGGCTCTCTCCTTAATTGGTACTATTGGGTAGAGTTTACAAAGCTTGTGACAGCTGGCTGTGTTTCTCTTTATATGGCTAATGATCTGGATTTGTCCCTTTTGTGTGTGTGTGTGTGTGTGTGTGTGTGTGTGTGTTGAGATGGAGTCTCACTCTGTCACCCAGGCTGGAGTGCAGTGGCACGATCTTGGCTCACTGCAACCTCTGCTTCCTGGGTTCAAGCGATTCTTGTGCCTCAGCCTCCCGAGTAGCTGGGATTACATGCGCCCACCACCATGCCTGGCTAATTTTCATGTTTTTAGTAGAGACAGGGTTTCACCATGTTGGCCAGGCTGGTCTCTTAACTCCTGACCTTAAGTGATCCTCCTGCCTCGACCTCCCAAAGTGCTGGGATTACAGGCGTGAGCCACTGCACCCAGCCTGGATTTGTCCCTTTCTCTGATACTGCATCTTGGCTTCTGAGTTGTTATTGAAGTCAAATGCCTTTTCTACCTATTTCACAAGTTTGTTTTGAATCTTAAATAGTACATTGTATGATAACTCTTTGTTGGCTCTAAAGTGCTTTGCAAAAGTAAAAGATTGCTATTTCCTGAAGAAAATACACAAAGATGTATTTTATAAATCTTAAGTTTAAGCTTTTAAAAATATCAAAAAGTACACTGAAACTATAGTATTTTGTGCAACAAAAAGGAAAAGATATATAAAAACTCAGAAAAATGAAAAAAAGGTGAATAGTACTTTCTGAGATAATGTCTAAGACAGAAACGAGTTTGGATGTGATTCAGTTGTCGTCTACGATGACAAAATTCATAAGAAACAGAGAAGAAATTTTATGTGTTATTTTAATGAATATTTCTTAACTAGAGAGAGATTATAGAAGAGATAAAGATAGCTGGAGCAGATATAGAGGAATTAGTAACAAATTGATGACACATCTAAATGCACACATCCAGGAAAGTAAACAAGCTTTAGTGTAAGATGAAAGCTTTCTTTTGAATTCTAATTTCATCTGGTTGAAAACATACATCTAGCACATAGGTAGACACTATTTAGAACTAAATGGTAATTTATTATGAATAGGAATTTCCTATTACTTAGGCATTACCTTCTTCTGCAAAACTGTGTTTGAGCAAGCTGGTGAATGAGGAAAAGGCATCTGGGTAGGCTGTCTCATGTTAGCCTGTAAAGAGAGCATATTAGATGTAATAGAAAAATACTAACATTAAAATTAAAAAGTTGGGTTTAAAGCCTAGCTTTTTCACTTTAACAATGGGGAACATTGACACAGAGCAGTAGTGTTCCTCAAAGTTTTATGTGCAGGTGAATTGCCTGGAGATCTTGTTAAAATGAGGATTTAGATTCAGTAGGCCCAAGAGTCTCCCAGGGGGTGCTTGATGCTCCTGCTTTCCCATGGACCACACTCGGACTAGCAAAAGGCCAGAGTCTTTCATTTATTTGTGTTCTGCCACACTGTTGACAAGAACTAGGATTGAAATTCAGTATTCTTCATATTACAGTCCATGAAATAGGCATTGACCCATCATAAACTTCTTTCTTTTCCCTTGAAGTATGGATTCTCATCGATAAGCAAAAACAAATTCACAAAACATTGCCCCTTATCATTTATGTTCCATGTGTATGTTGAAACTTGATTTATATAGGGTACATTTATGATATAATCTAACTGTAACACAAAATATATTCTAAGCACAAGAAAACTATACTTTCACCTTTTTTACACCTGCAGTTCATTTACATAAAACAGTTAATTTGGTAGATATTTTTCTAGTAGTTTCTCCCTTTTTAAACATTTTTTTGGAGTAAAATTTATATACATAAAATATACAATTTTAACTCTTTTAAAGTGTACAATTCAGTGGCTTTTAAGACATTCACAATGTTATGCAACTATCACTATTATCTAATTCTAGAATAGTTTTGTCATTCCAAAAAGAATTTCTGTACTCACTAAGCCATCGCTCCTGTTCCCTCTTCCTCCAGCCTCTGGAAAACACGCATATTATTTCTGTTTTTGTGGATTTGTCTATTTGGGGCATTTTATAAATATGAGATTACAAAATGTGTGGCCTTTTGTATCTGATTTCTTTCACTTAAGAAACTTTCAAGGTTGATACACATTTTGGCTTGTATCATTACTTCATTTTTGTCGTTGAATAATATTCCATTTTATCAATAATCATATTTTGTTTATTCCTTAATCAGTTGATAAACATTTGTGTTGTTTTGTTTGTCAACTATAATGAATAATGTTGCTAGAATAGTTCTGTGCAAGTTTTTGTGGGGACATATATTTTTATTTATCTTGGGTATATACCTAGAGGTAAAATTTCCGAGTCATATTGTAATTCCATGTTTAACTTTATGAGGAATCGCTAAACTGTTTTCCAAAGTAAGTGTCACATTTCAAATTCCCACTAACAGTGTTTGAGGGTTCCCTTTTCTTCACATTCTCATCAATACTTATTATTTTCTGTTTTTTCATGTTGATTGATTTTTTTTTAAACAGCCATCCTAATGCAATGGTATCACATTGTGGTTTTGATATGAATTTCCCTAATGACAATGATGTTAAATATCCTTTCCTATGCTTATTTTCCATTTGTGTATCTTCTTTGGAGAAATACCTGTTCAAGTCTTTTTCTCATTTAAAAAAATATTTATTTTTGTTATTTTAATAGCTTTGGCGGTACAAGTGGTTTTCAGTTACATGGATGAATTCTATAGTGGTGAATTCTGAGATTTTAGTGCACCTGCCATGCAAGTAGTGTACATTTGACATGGTTTGACTGTGTCTCCACCCAAATCTCACCTTGAATTGTAATAATCCCCACATGTCAAGGGTGGAGCCAGGTGGAGATAATTGAATCATGGTAGTGGTTTCCCCATACTGTTCTTGTGGTAGTAAATAAGTCTCATGAGATCTGATGGTTTTATAAATGGGAGTTCCCCTGCACAGGCTCTCTTGCCTGCCACTGTGTAAGACATGACTTTACTCGTCATTTGCTTTCCACCGTGATTGTGAGGCCTCCCCAGCCACGCAGAACTGTGAATCAATTAAACCTCTTTCCTTTATAAATTACCCAGTCTTGGGTTGTGATGGTTAATACTGAGCGTCAACTTGATTGGATTGAAAGATGCAAAAGTATTGATCCTGGGTGTGCCTGTGAGGGTGTTGCCAAAGGAGATTAACATTTGAGTCAGTGGGCTGGGGAAGGCAATTCCACCTTTAACCCAGGTAGGCACCATCTTATCATCTGCCAGCAAATATAAAGCAGGCAGGAAAACATGAATTGGCCTACACTCACAGCCTACATCTTTCTCTCATGCTGGATGCTTCCCGCCCTCCATCATCAGACTCCAAGTTCTTCAGTTTTGGAATTTGGACTGGCTCTCTTTGCTCCTCAGCCTGCAGAAGGCCTATTGTGGGACCTTGTGATTGTGTGAGTTAATACCATATGTGTGTGTGTGTGTGTGTGTGTGTGTATATATATATGTGTGTGTGTGTGTGTGTATATATGTGTGTGTGTATATATATCTGTATGTATATGTATATATGAGTTTATTAAGTGTTAAGTAAAAAAATATATCCCATAGGTTTTTTCCCTCTAGAGAACCCTGACTAACACAGACTTTGGTACCAGGAGTGGTTCTAGAGGAACAGAATATTAAGAATTGAGTTCTTTAATTGGTTTTGGGGTTTCTGGAGTTGGCTGCTTAATATGATTAGACCCCAAAATACTAAAGACTGTACTTCTACTAGTATGGAGAACACTGATAATCCTTGGCATGAATTATTTAGAGAGTTATACAAAATAAATGCATTTGACACTCCTGATTCTTTGCTCATGAGAGGCAAGGAGTTTAGTGACTTTATACATAATACCTTTGGCCATATTTGGAGAACCAAGAAACATAATGAAGCTGATTGATTGCTCCTAAGTTCAGTGGAAAGAGGGATGAAATAAAATGATAAACTCAGGGATTCTATTTCCCAGCTTCAGAAGCAGATACCAAGCCTGAAATCTGCTAAGATTGCCCTGAGTGAGTCTTAACTCCTGTAGAAAAAGAGCTGAAATTGTGAAAAAACAGACACAAGCTCTTATCATGCAAGTGACTGACCTGCAATGAAATGTGCATCACAGTTCTGCCAGGTGTCTACTGTTGAAGTGAGGGCATTGGTTCGAAAAGAATGGACCCTGCAACTTAGAATGGGGATATGTGGGAGCACCCTGACAAAGCTGGGGGCATTGAGTTTGTAAACTGATGAACCTTGTTTGCCAAAAAAAACAGCTTTCCTATCCCCAGTAGTGGCAACATTCCCTTCCAGATCCATGCTGCCATCAGCCTTTCCACCTTTGTCTGAGGAGATAAACCCTGCGCTGCCTGAGGCAACAGTGATGGCCTCCTCTGAGGCAGTGGCCAGGCAAGATAATGTTGATTCTCCTCAGGAGCCACCCCCAACAGCCCTGTTTGCTTCTAGACCTATAGCTAGACTAAAGTCCCTGTGGACCCCTAGAGGTGAGGTTGAGAGTGTGACCCATGAAAAGGTGTGCTATACTCAAAAAGAACTGCTTGAGTTTTCTAGTTTATAGAAACAGAAATCTGGAGAACAAGCATGTGAATAAATATTAAGGGTGTGTGATAATGGTGGAAGGAACATAGATTTGGAAAAGGCTGATTTTTTTTTATTTGGGCCCACTAAGTAGGGACTCTGCATTTAATGTTGCAGCTCAGGGAGTTAAAGAAGTTTCTAATAGTTTATTTGCTTGGTTAGCTGAAATATGGATTAAAAGCTGGCCCACTGTGAGAGAGCTAGCAATGCCTGATCTCCCTTGGTTTGGTGGAGAGGAAGGGATCCAAAGGCTTAGGGAGATTGGGAAGGTGGAGTGGATTAGTCACTTTAGACCTACTTATCCCAGCTGGGAGGGTCCAGAAAATATACACTTGACCAATGCCATGCAAAATAGATTTGTGAGGGCAGCACCGACATCTTTGAAGAGCCCTGTAATTGCTCTTCCCTTCATGTCAGATCTAACAGTGGGCACCACAGTCACTCAACTATAAAATTTAAATACAATGGGAATAATTGGATCCTGAGGTGGCAGGGGCCAAGTTATGGCACTCAACCATCAAAGGCAAGGTGGGCATAGCTACCATAATGGACAGCAGAGTCAAAGTGGTAATCAGAATAGTCTGACTCATGTAGAGCTCTGGCATTGGCTAATTAATCATGGTGTTCCTAGAAGTGGAATTGATAAGAAACCTACTGCATTCCCACTTAATTTATATAAGCAGAAAACTTCTAGGTTGAATGGACAAAACACGAATTTGGATTATCCCACAATCAATTTCCAGACTTGAGCCGATTTACAGACTCAGAACCCCTTGAATGAAGGGGAAGCCAGGTCCCCTTGAGGAAGGACCCCACTACATTACTGACAATTTATGCAATGAATCTTTCTCCCATCCTTCTTCAAGAAGACCTCCAGCCTTTTACCAGGGTGACTGTGCATTGAGGAAAAGGAAATGATCAGACATTTCGAGGACTACTGGACATTGGTTCTGAGCTGATGTTGATTCTAGGGGACCCAAAATGTCATTGTGGTCCTCCAGTTAAAGTAGGGGCTATGGAGGTCAGGTAATTAATGGAGCTTTACCTCAGGTCTGACTTACAGTAGACCCAGTGGGTCCCTGGACTAATCCTGTGGTCATTTTTCTAGTGTCAAAATGCATAATTGGCATAGACATATTTAATAGCTGGCAGAATCCCCACATTGGCTCACTGACTGGTAGGATGAGGGATATTATGGTGGGAAAGGCCAAATGGAAGCCATCAGAGCTGGCTCTATCTAGAAAAATAGTAAATCAAAACTAGCATTGCATCCCTGGAGGGATTGTGGAGATTAGTGCCACCATCAAGGACTTGAAAGATGTGGGGGTGGTGATTCCCACCACATCCCCCTTCCAACTCTCCCATTTGGCTTGTGCAGAAGACAGATGGATCTTGGAGAATGACAGTGGATTACTGTAAGCTTAACCAAGTGGTGGCTCCAATTGCAGCTGCTGTACCAGATGTGGTTTCATTGCTTGAGCAAATTAATAAATCTCCTGGTACCTGGTATGTAGCCATGGATTTGACAAATGCCTTTTTCTCCATTTCTGTCCATAATGCCCACCAGAAGCAATTCGCCTTCAGCTGGCAAGGCCAGGAATATACCTTTACTGTCCTACCTCAAGGGTTTATCAACTCTACAGCTTTGTGTCATAATCTTATTCAGAGAGACCTTGATTGCTTTTGACTTCCACAAGATATTACACTGGTCCATTACATTTATGACTTTATGCTGATTGGATCCAGTGAGCAAGAAGTAGCAAACACACTGGACTTACTGGTGAGACATTAGCATGCCAACTAAACTTCAGGGACCTTCTACCTCAGTAAAATTTCTAGTGGTCCAGTGGCATGGAGCCTGTAGAGATATTCCTTCTGAGATGGAGGGTAAGTTGCTGCACTTGGCCCTTCCTACAACCAAGAAAGAGGCACAATGCCTAGTGGGCCTATTTGGATTTTGGAGGCAACACATTCCTCATTTGGGTGTGTTACTGCAGCCCATTTATTGAGTGACCCAAAAAGGCTGCCAGTTTTGAGTGGAGTCCAGAGCAGAAGAAGGGTCTGCAACAGGTCCACAGTGCTGTGCAAGCTGCTCTGCCACTTTGGCCATATGATGCAGCAGATCCAATGGTGCTTGAGGTGTCAGTGGCAGATAGGTATACTGTTTGGAGCCTTTGGCAGGCCTCCATAGGAGAATCACAGTGGAGGTCTCTAGGATTTTGGAGCAAGCCCCTGCCATCTTCTGCAGATAACTACTCTCCTTTTGGGAGACAGCTCTTGGCTTGTTACGGGGCTTGGTGGAAACTGAACTTTTGACTATGGGTCATCAAGTCACCATGTGACCTGAACTGCGTATCATGAACTGGCTGCTTTCTAACCGATCTAGCCATAAAGTGGGTCATGCACAGCAGCATTCCATCATCAAATGGAAGTGGTGTATTCATTAACCAGGATCGAATGGGTCCTGATGGCACAAGTAAGTTACATGAGGAAGTGGCTCAAATGGCCATGGTCTCCACTCCTGCTACCCTGCCTTCTCTTCCCCAGCCTGCACCAATGGCCTTATAGGACATTCCTTATGATAAGTTGACAGAGGAAGAGAAGACTAGGGGCTGGTTTACACACGGTTCTGCACGATATGCAGGCACCACCTGAAAGTGAACAGGTGTAGCACTGCAGCCTTTTTCTAGGACATCCCTGAAGGACAGTGGTGAAGGGAAATCTTCCCAGTGGGCAGAAATTCGAGCAGTGTACCTGGTTGTGCACTTTGCATGGAAGGAGAGATGACTAGATGTGCAATTATACACTGATTCATGGGCTGTAGCCAGTGGTTTGGCTGGATGGTCAGGGACTTGCAAGAAGCATGATTGGAAAATTAGTGACAAAGAAATTCGGGGAAGAGGTATGTGGATGGACCTCTCTGAATGATCAAAAACTGTGAAGATATTGGTATCCCATGTGAGTGCTCACCAACAGGTGACCTCAGCAGAGGAGGATTTTAATAATCAAGTGGGTAGGATGACCCGTTCTGTGGACACCACTCAGCCTCTTTCCCCAGCCTCCCCTGTCACTGCCCAATGGGCCCATGAAGAAAGTGGCCATGGTGACAGGGATGGAGGTTATGCGTGGACTCAGCAACTTGGACTTCCACTCACTAAGGCTGACCTGGCTATGGCCAGTGCTGAGTGCCCAATTTGGCAGCAGCAGAGACCAACACTGAGCCCTCAATATGGCACCATTCCTCGGGGTGATCAGCCAGCTATGTGGTGGCAGGTTGATTATATTGGACCTTTTCCATCATGGAAAGGGCAGAGGTTTGTCCTCACTGGAATAGATGCTTACTCCAGATATGAGTTTGCCTGTCCTGCATGCAATGCTTCTGTCAAGACTACCATCCGTGGACTCATGGAATGCCTTTCCACCATCATGGTGTTCCACACAGCATTGCCTTTGACCAAGGCTCTCACTTTATGGTTAAACTAGTGCAGCAGTAGGATCATGCTCATGGAAACTGCTGATCTTACCATGTTCCCTGTTATCCTGAAGCAGCTGGATTGATAGAACAGTGGAATGGCCTTTTGAAGTCACAATTACTGCACCAACTAGGTGACAATACTTTGCATGCCTGGGGCAAAGTCCTCCAGAAGGCCATGTGTTCTGTGAATCAGTGTTCAACATATGGTACTGTTTCTCCCATAGCCAGGATTCATGGATCCAGGAATCAAGGGGTGGCAGTGGAAGAGGCACCACTCTTCATCACTCCTAGTTATCCACTAGCAAAATTTTTGTTTCCTGTTCCCGCAACATTACGTTCTGCTGGTCTAGGGGTCTTAGTTCCAGAGGGAGGAATGCTACCACCAGGAGACACAACAATTTCATTAAACTGGAAGTTAAGATTGCCACCTGGACACTTTGGGCACCTTCTAATTTTAAGTCAACAGGCTAAGAAGAGAGTTAGTGTTGGTGGGGGTGATTGGCCTGAACTGTTAAGATGAAATCAGTCTACTACTCCACAATGGAGGGAAGGAAGAGTATGCATTCAATACGGGAGATCCATTAGGGCTTCTCTTAGTATTACCATGCCCTGTTATTAAGGTCAATGGGAAACTACAACAGCCCAATCCAGACAAGACTATAAATGACCAAGACCCTTCAGGTATGAAGGTTTGGGTCACTCCACCAGGAAAAAAACCATGACCTGCTTAGTTGCTCACTGAAGGCAAACGGAACACAAAATGGGTGGTAGAAGAAGGTAGTTATTATTACCAGTTATGACCAAGTGACCAACTGCAGAAATGAGGACTGTAATTGTTCGTATTTCCTCCTTTTTTTTTGTTACAAACATGTTTGTGCGTGTATACCCTTGTACTAAGTAAATATCTTCATTTTATTTTCTTTTTCTTTTATCATGTGACATAAGATTTATTGACTTCACATCAACACTTAAGTATTGTTAACTTTATGTAATAGTATTTGCTTTGGGGATTGGTGCATTTCTGGTTGTACGAAGGATAGTTGTGTTATGTTAGGCATAATTATGACTTTATCATTGTCTTTATTTGAAGATCATGTGTGATCTCAGGAGATATGTATGGGTTCGAGTTGACAAAGGGTGGACTTGTGATGGTTAATACTGAGTATCTACTTGATTGGATTGAAGGATGCAAAACTATTGATCCTGAGTGTGTCTGTGAGGGTGTTGCCAAAGGAGATTAACATTTGAGTCAGTGGGTTAAGGAGGGCAGACCCACCCTTAATCTTGGTGGGCACCATCTAATCATCTGCCAGCAAATATAAAGCAGGCAGAAAAACATGAAGAGGTGAGACTGTCCTAGCCTCCCAGCCTACTTCTTTCTCCCGTGGTGGATACTTCCTGTCCTTGAACGCTGGATTCCAAGTTCTTCAGTTTTGGAACATGGACTGGCTCTCCTTGTTCCTCAGCCTGCAGATGGCCTATTGTGGGACCTTGTGATTATGTGAGTTAATACTTAAACAACTCCCTTTTATATAAATATCTATTCCGTTAGTTCTGTTCCTCTAGAGAACCCTGACTAATACATGGGTATATCTTTATTAGCAACATGAGAACATACCAATACAACATTGTACCAAATATGGAGTTTTTTTTATCCCTTACCCTTCTCCCACTTTCCTTCTTCTGAGTTTCCAAAGTTCATCATATCACTCTGTATGTCTTTGTGTCCTCATATCTTAGCTCTCACTTGTAAGTGAGAACATATGGTATTTGGTTTTCCATTGCTGAGTTATTTCACTATCCAAGTTGCTGCAAAATACATTATTTCATTCATTTTTATGGCTGAGTAGTATTCCACAGTGTATATATACTACATTTTTTATCCACTCATGGGTTGATAGACCCTTAGATTGGTTCTATATCTTTGCAATTGGGAATTTTGCTGCTATAAACATGTGTGTGTGTGTGTGTGTGTGTGTGTGTGTGTGTGTGTGTGTGTGTGTGTGTGTGTCTTTTTCATATAATGACTTATTTTTCTTTAGGCAAATACCCAGTAGTGGGATTGCTAGATAGGTAGCTATGCCTTTAATTCTTTAAGACATTTCCATACTGTTTCCCATAAAAGTGGTACTAATTTACATTCCCACCAGCAATGTAAAAGTGTTCACTTTCCATGACATCCATGCCAACATCTATTGTTTTTTGACTTTTTAATAATGGCCATTCTTGTAGGAGTAAGGTGATATCTCAGTGTGGTTTTGATTTTCATTTCCCTGATGATTAGTGATGTTGAGCATTTTATCATATGTTTGTTGGTTGTTTGCATATATTCAATTAAAAAATGTCTATTCATGTCTTTGCCCACTTTTTTGATAAGATTATTTGTTTTTTTCTTGCTGATTTGTTTGAGTTCCTTGTAGATTCTGGATACTATTTCTTTGTCAGATGCATAGCTTTCAAATATTTTCTTCCATTCTGTGGGTTGTCTGTTTTTTCTGCTGATTATTTCTGCTGTGCAGAAGCTTTTTAGTTTAATTAGGTCCCATTTATTTATTTTTGTTTTTGTTGCATTGTCTTTTGGGGTCTTAGTCATGAATTATTTACCTAGGCCAATGTACAGAAGAGTTTTTCCAATGTTATCTGCTAGAATTTTTATGGTTTCAGTCTTTAGATTTAAGTCTTTAATCCATCTTGAGTTCGTTTTTGTTAAAGTAAGAGATGGGCATACAGTTTTATTCTTCTACACGTGGCTTGCCAGGGTTCCACTTTTGCTCATTTTTAATCAAGTTCTTTGCCTTTTCGTTTCTAAGTTGCAATTGTTCTATCTTCTGGATACTAGACTCTTATCAGATATATGAGTCACAAATACGTTTCTTCATTCTGTGGGCTATCTTTTCCCTTTCTTCATTGTGTTATTTGATGCAAAATTTTTTTAATTTTAATAAAATCATAGTATCAATTTTTTTCTCTTTTGTTGCTTATGCTTTTGGTGTAATACCTAAGAATACAATGCCAAAATCCAAGATCGTGAAGACTTATTTATGTGTCTTCTTCTAAGAGTTTTATAGTTATAGCTCTTACATTTAGGCTTTTTATTCATTAGTGCTAATTTGCATGGTGTGTGGTAAGGATCTAACTTCAATCTTTTGCATGTATTTATTCAGTTGTCTCAGCAATATTTGTTGAAATGACTCTTACTTCCTCATGGAATGATCTTGACACACTTTGATAATCGATTAACAGTAGGTATATGAACTTATTTCTAGACTCATAATTCTATTACATTGGTTCATATTTCTGTCCTCACGCCAGTACCACATTGTTGTACTTGGAGAGCACTACAAGCACTTATGATTACTGTAGTTTTGTAGCGCTTTGAAATTGAGAATGTGAGTTCTCCAACTATGTTCTTCTTTGCCAAGATTGCTTTGGCTCTTTGGGGTCCCTTATATCTTCTTTTTAAAAAGTTGATACATAATATTTTACATATTTATGAGGTGCATGTGATTTATTTTTGCATGCATTGAAGGTAAAATTATCAAGTCAGGATATTTGGGGTATCCATTGCCTTGATTATTTATCATTTCTCTGTGTTGGGAACATTTCAAGTCATCTCTTCTAGCTACTTTGAAATATACAATACCTTGGCTGGGCACGGTGGCTCACGCCTGTAATCCCAGCACTTTGGGAGGCCGAGGCGGGTGGATCACGAGGTCGGGAGATCGAGACCATACTGGCTAACATGGTGAAACCCCGTCTCTACTAAAAATACAAACAAACAAACAAAAAAAATTAGCCGGGCGTGGTGGTGGGCGCCTATAGTCCCAGCTACTCAAGAGGCTGAGGCAGGAGAATGGCATGAACCCGGGAAGCAGAGGTTGCAGTGAGCCGAGATCACGCCACTGCACTGCGCTCTAGCCTGGGCAACAGAGCGAGACTCTGTCTCAAAAACAAACAAACAACAACAACAACAACAAAAAAAATATATATATATATATATACACAATAGCTTGTTGCTAACTGTAGCCACCACACCCTGCAATCAAACATTAGAATTTATACCTTCTATCTAACTATATGTTTGTACTCATTGACCAACCTTGTCATCCTTCCCTTCCCAGCCTCTAGTATCAATCTTTTTTTTTTTTTTTTTTTTTTTTTTTGAGATGGAGTCTCACTCTGTCACCCAGGCTTAAGTGCAGTGCAGTGGCACGATCTTGGCTCACTGCAACCTCCATTTCCTGGGTTCAAGCGTCTCCTGTCTCAGCCTCCCGAGTAGCTGGGATTACAGGCATGTGCCACCACGCCCATCTAATTTTTTGTATCTTTAGTAGAGATGGAGTTTCACCATGTTTATCAGGCTGGTCTCAAACTCCTGACCTCAAGTGATCTGCCAGCCTTGGCCTCCTAAAGTTCTGGGATTACAGGCATGAGCCATCGCGCCCATCCTTAGTATCTATCATTCTATTCTCTACCTCCATGAAACCAAATTTTTTAGCTCCCACATATGAGTGAGGACATGCAAAAGTTGTTGCTCTGTGCCTGGCTTATTTCACTTAACATAATAATCCCCCATTATATCTATAATGTAATTTTATTCTTTTTTATGGCTGAATAGTATCCCATATATACCACATTTTCTTTATCTATTCATCTGGAGATAGATACTTAGGTTGATTCCATATCTTTGCTATTGTGAATAGTGTTGAAATAAACATATGAGTGCAGGTATCCCTTTAATAAGTTGATTTCCTTTCCTTTAGATGAATACCCAGTAGGGGACTTGCTAGATTTTATGGTAGTTCTATTTAGATTTTTAAGAATCTCCATACTGTTTTCCATAGTGGCTGTCCTAATTTGCATTCCCACCAACAGAGCTCCCTTTTATCTGTGTTCTCACCACATCAGTTATTTTATTTGCCTTTTTAGTAATAGTAATTGTAACTGGGATGACAATTCATTGTGGTTTTGATTTGCATTTCCCTGATGATAATTAATATTGACGATTTTTTCATATACCTGTTGGCTATTTGTATATCTTCCTATGAGAAATATCTATTCAAGTCCTTTGTCCCCTTTTTATTGGATTATTGTTATTTTTTTACTGTTGAGTGGTGTTCCTTCTGGATATTAGTCTTTTGTTGGATGAATGGTTTGCAAATATTTTATCCCATTGCTATTTTTTCTTTTCACTTAGTTGATTATTTCCTTCACTGTGCAGAAGCATTTTATATTGTCCCATTTGCCTGTTTTTGTTGTCTATGTTTTAAAGTCTCAGCCATGAAATATTTGCCTAGACCAACATTCGGAAGTCTTTCCCCTATGTTTTCTTCTAGTAATTTCATAGTTCCAAGTCTTATGTTTAAGTTTTTAATCCATCTTGACATGATTTTTGTGTGGTGAGAGATAGCAGTCCAAATTCATTCTTCTGCTATGGACATCTAACATTCTTAGTTTCATTTATTGAAGAGAGAGTGCTTTCCCCAATATATGCTCTTGGCATTTTTGTCAAAAATCAGTTGGCTGTAAATATGTATATTTATTTCTGTATTCTTTATTCTGTTTTATTGGTCTATGTGTCTGTGTTTATACCAATAGAGTGCTGTTTTTGCTACCGTAGCCTTGTAATGTATTTTGAGTTCAGATAGTGTGACGCTTCCAGTTTTGCTCAGAATTGCTTTGGCTACTCAGGCTCTTTTTTGGTTCCATACAAATGTTGATATTGTTTTTATCTATTTCTGTGAAAAACAATGTTTGTATTTTGATACTGACTGCATTGAATTTGTAAATCGCTATGGGCCTTTTAATATTATTACTTTTTCTGATCTGTGAATATGGAATGTCTTTCCATTTGTTTGTGTGTTCTTTAATTACTTTCACCAGCGTTTTGTATTTTTTGTTGTAGTTACCTTTCACTTCTTTGGTTGCATTTATTCCTAGGTATCTTTATAGCTATTGTAAATGGGATCACTTTCTTGATTTCTTCCTCAGTTAGTTTATTATTTGTATATAGAAACATTACTAATTTCCCTATGCTGATTTTGTATCCTGTAACTTTTCTGAATTTATTTATCAGATCTAAGATTTTTTTTTTTGGTGGAGTCTTTAGGTTTTTCTAGATCTAAGATAATATCATCAGCAAAGATGGATAGACAGTGTTTGACTTGTTCTTTTCTAATTTGCATTGCTCTCTTGACTGATTGCTCTGTGTAGGACTTCCAGTACTACATTGAATAAGAGTGGTAAAAGTGGTCATCTTTGTCTTGTTCCAGTTCTTAGAGGAAAGGCTTTCATGTTTTCTCCATTAAGTATTATGTTAGCTGTAGGTTTGTCATATATGGTCTTCATAATATTGAGGTATGTTTCCTCTATGCCTAGATTGTTGAGAGTTTTCATCATGACATGATTTTGAATTCTATCAAATGCTTTTTCTGCACCTATTGAGATGATGATATAGTTTTTGTCCTTCATTTCATTAATGTATTACATTTATTGATTTGCATGCATTAAACCATCCTTGGATTCCTAGGATAGATCTCACTTGATATGGCATATTATTTTCTTTATGTGCTATTTGATTCAGTTTGCTAAGTTTGTTGAAAATTTTTGTATCTATGTTCAACAGATTTACTGACCTGTAGTTTTCTTTCTTGTTGTTGTTGTTGCTTCCTTGTCTGGTTTTGGGATCAGGGTAATTCTTGATTTGTTGAATCAATTAGGGAGAATTCCCTCCTTTTCTATTTGTTGAAATAGGTTGAGAAAATTGATGTTAGGATTTTTTTTCTTGAAATTTGGTAGAATTTGGCAGTGAAATCATCTGTTCCTGGGCTTTCCTTTGTTGGTAGATTTTTGTTATTGATTCAATATTATTACTCATTATTGGTCTGTTCACATTTTCTATTTCTCCCTGACTTAATTATAGTAGGTTGTATGTGACCAGAAATTTATCCATTTCCTTTAGGTTTTTTAGTTTGTTCATGTGTAATTGTTCATAATAGTGCCTAATGATCTTTCTGTGCTATCAGGTGCAGTGTCTCCATTTTTATTTTGCTTATTTGGGTCTCCTCTCTTTTTTTTCTTGATCTACCAAATGGTTTGCCAGCTTTGTAGATCTCTACCAAAAGCCAGCTTTTCATTTTGTTGATCCTTTGTATTTTTTAGTCTCTATTTCATTTAGTTCTGCTCTAATCTTTATTATTTATTTTCTTCTACTAATTTGGGGTTTGGTTTGTTCTTGCTTTTCTAGTTCCTTAAGGTACATTATTAGATTCTTTATTTAAAATCTTTCTATTTATTGATATAGGCATTCATTGCTATAGACTTTCTTATTAACACTGCTTTTCTTATATTACATAGGTTTTGGTACATTGTGTTTTTCCTTTTTTTTAAAGAATTTTTTCATTTTTTTATTTTTAATTTTTTTTAACTGCCACCTCAACCTAAAACTCATTCAGGAACATGTTGTTTAATTTTCATGTATTTGTATAGTTTCCAAAGTTCTTCTTGGTGTTGATTTCTGCTTTTATTTCATTGTGGTCTGAGAAAATACTTGACATGATTTTCATAGTTTTTAATTTGTCAGGATATATTTTGTGTCCTAACATATGGTATATCTTGAAGAATGTTCTGTGGGCTGGTGGAAAGAATGTGTATTCTGTAGCTGTTGGATGAAATGTTCTGTAAATATGTTAGGTCTACTTGGTTTAATATACAGTATAAATCCAATGTTTCTCTGTTAATTTTCTGTTTAGGTGATCTGTCTAATGCTGAGGGTCAGGTGTTGAAGTTCCTAGCTATTATTGTATTAGAGTCTATCACTCTGTTTAGATCTACTAATATTTGCTTTATAAATTTGGTGTTTCACTGTTGGGTTCATACATGTCTAGAATTGTTATATCCTCTTGCTGAATTAATTCCTTTTTTATTAGGAATTAACTTTCGTTGTCTTTTTTTTTTACTGTGTTTGACCAAAATCTATTTCATCTGACGTAAGTATAGCTACTCGTGCTTTAACATTTCAACCTATTTAAAAAACAATTAATTACTTTCACTCTCATCTCTACCTCCAGCATTTATGTTCTTTTTTTGTTTTCTTTCTTTCTTTCTTTTTATTTTATTATTATTATACTTTAAGTTTTAGGGTACATGTGCACAATGTGCAGGTTAGTTACATATGTATACATGTGCCATGCTGGTGTGCTGCACCCATTAACTCATCATCTAGCATTAGGTATATCTCCTAAAGCTATCCCCCCCTCCCCCCACCCCACAACAGTCCCCAGAGTGTGATGTTCCCCTTCCTGTGTGCATGTGTTCTCATTGTTCAATTCCCACCTATGAGTGAGTTCATGTCCTTTGTAGGGACATGGATGAAACTGGAAATCTTTCTTTCTTTTCTTTCTTTCTTTCTTTCTTTCTTTCTTTCTTTCTTTCTTTCTTTCTTTCTCTCTCTCTTTCTCTTACCTTCCTTCCTTCCTTCTTTCTCTCTCTTTCTTTCTTTCTTTCTTTCTTTCTTTCTTTCTTTCTTTCTTTCTTTCTTTCTCTATTTCACTTGGTGGCATTATCCAACATACCATCACTCAAAGTAAAAACCTAGCAATTAGTCACTTAGTGCTTCTAATTTTATGTTTTATGAGAAATATTTTTTCATTGTTTTCTTCCTGTCTCTACCACCTATATTCCATGCTCTTATTTAGTTCCTCCTTGTTTATGTCTCCTGCACAACACTGCTGGGACACTTTCATTGGTTTCCATGCTGCCAATATTTTCAATTTCCATACATTCCTCCACAGGCCTCAGAAAAGTTCATCTAAAATATGAATCTGACCCTGTCACTACCCTGATAGGATCCTCATGTGCCCTGTAATTTAAAGGATTACTATTCCTTCATTGTGCTTATAACCACTTTCCTTCGAATTAAAAATTATTCAAAAATTCAAAAGAAAATTGAAGAGAGATGCTGCTAGTAAAAGAAGTGTGTGAGCACCATCATCTAGTTTTTAAAAATGGAACATCTTTATATTATGCTTTAACAGAATTAATTTTAAAAGCTTGATGGTTCCTCAAATGGTGAATTTGCATCAAGTATTATTAAGCCTACTACATTCTATAGAAAGGGATCACTGTATATTTAATTTTTCCATATACAATTATAACTCATATATGTGGTACATTTATCTAAACAAACCTAGTTTCCATTTCTGGAAGTTTATTTTGAACAGCGCGATCCAAAACTGACTTTCCACAAGAACAAAGTTACATATGGGAATTATACTTCTGGAGAACAACCAGAAGACTGTGCACATCATGAAATAAAATAAGAGAAGAAACATTAAAAGGAATTTGGACCTGAGCAACATTTATCAAAGATAGTCATTAGTAATAAGTCCCATAGTTCAAATCTAGATGTTTACTAAAGACAAAACAACAACAACAAAACCATGTGATTTGGTCAGCTGACTCACTAAGGAAGATTTACAATATTATTCTTAACAAGTTGAACTGGTTTGTCTTCCACCCTTTCCATCAAGTTTGTTCCTCCTCTGTCTTCTTCAATAAAATACCCCTACTATCTACTCAATTGCTCAAGCCAAAAACCTGTAAATCATCTGTTAACACACTTTCCTTCATCCCTAATATCTAATCCATCAGCAACTATTCAGGGCTCTTCTATCAAAAAATATCTTAAATCTATCTACTTATTTTTGTCTCTATCATCTCCTTCTAGTCCTTTCTAGATCTAGTTCTTTCTAGATCTCCTTCTAGATTCATCAATCCCTTCCTAACTGTGCTTGGCTCTTTTATTTTAGTCCATTTGCAACTTAGCCTATATATCAAGAAAAAGATGATATTTTAAAATGAATGAAACCATATTATTTAACTCTTCTATGGAAGATTATCCAAGGGTGTCACCACTTCAGTGAGATTCAAACTCCCTGCCTTGTCCTGCACAGTCCTACGTGACCTGACCTTGCCTCCCATTTTTGACCTTGTCACTTACCACTCTTCCGCTCACTTATTTTGTTCTAGGTACACTGGACTTCTGAATGAACCACCTTGCATTTGAGGGAGTTCTTTCCTGTCTTGAGGGTGTTTCCATACTATTTGGTACACTTGTAATTAGTTACAGGACTGGCTTTGCCTCTTCATTAGCCTTGGCTCATAGGTAGCCATCTGTTACAGGCTAAATTGTGTTCCCCGCAAATTCATATGTTGAAGTCCTAAACTCTAGTAAGTCAGAATGTGACTGTGTTAGTCTGCTAGAGCTACTGTAATAAAATATTACAGACTGGATAGCTTTAACAACAGAAATTTATTCTCTTATGATTCTGGAGGATTGAAGTCCAAGATCAAGGTGTGAGAAGTGTTAGTTTTTCCTAAGACTTTTCTCCTTGACTTACAGGTGGCCACCTTATTGCTGCATTCTAACATAGACTTTCTTCTGTGTGGATATACCTCTGGTGTCTCTTTCTCTTCTTACAAGGACACAGGTCATATTGGTTTAGGGCCCCATCCTTAGGTTCTCATTTAACCTGAATTGCTTCTCTGAGGGCTTTTTCTCCAAATACAATTACATTGGGGATTAGGGCTTCAACATATGACTTTTCTTGGTGAGGGGAGCACAATTCAGTTTGTAATAGTGACTGTATTTGGAGATAAGGTGTTTACAGAAGTAATTAAGCTAAAAGGAATTAATTAGGGTGAACTTTAACTGAGTATAACTGGTGTCCTTATAAGAAGAGGGGATTAGGACATAGACACTCATAAAAAGATGATGATGTGAAAACCCAGGGAGAAGATAGCCATCTACAAGTGAAGGAGAGAAACCTAAGAATAAACCAACCCTGCTGACACTTCGATCTTGGATTTCTAGCCTTCAGAATTGTGAGAAAACACATTTCTGTTGTTTAAGCCACTCTGGCTGTGGTACTATAGTATGGCAGCCCTAACAAATTAATGTAGCATCACAGTGAAGACTTCTCTGACCACCCAAACCAAGCAGAGACCCTTTTCTCTCTCTATTGTCCCATTGTTGGAATGTCACTCCATGACAGCAGGGTTCTTGTTATGCTGCTCTCTGCCTCCAGTGCTCATAGTATTATGCTCTGTTGAATAATCAAGTGAGGGATGGGCTGACTGATTGAATACCTGGGTGGAGAAATCATCTTACAGACAACAAATTCAGAAGAAACGGCACACGGGCTAGGTACATTTTGAAGAAAGGAACCTTATAAAGATCTGTGTAAGAAAGAATAATGAGATCATAGAGATGTTAAGGTTTTATTTCAAAGGGTTAGTAGGGCTTCAAGATTCCAGTAGAATGTGCATGAGAAGAAAAGTGGTAACAGAACAACTACAATGACTATGACTACATAGTTGAACAACACAACTGTAGAGTTGTAAATACAGTGTTGTTGTCCTTCCATGAGATTGCAGCAAATAAGAGGTTATTAGTTAAGAGACTTGATGGGAAAGAGAAGCAAGACTCTCACAAAACTTTCTAAAATTTTACTCATTCATTCTGGCTGTAAGGAGACCACATCTCCCTTTTGAATGCAGCCCATCTATCTGTCACATTCCGGATGCTCAGGGCCTTCTTTTTTGTGCATGAAGCAAGATGACCCCAAACCTTGTTTAAATCTGACAACTCTCAGCTCCATTTGCCACACAAACTTTCTCCATATATCCCATATACCTGGCAGTGTTTGCTATAACTGTGTTTACCTTCCCCTACTTTGACGGCTTGCTGTCTAATTCTTGCCCAAGATGACTCACATGCTGCTTTTCACAGATCTAATAGCAAGAACTGACATTTTATTAAATTTATAGAGAGCTTGATCTTTTCCCAAGTCTTAGGGATAGGCTAGATAATTATAAAATTATGGAGCTACTGACTAGCAAAATATCTAAAGAAGAATTGCCCCAGAAATTGAAAAACAATTTTAATCAGAGCAGTAAAAGCAGTTTGAAAAACACATATTTGATATTGCACAGCTATTAAACACATAAACTCTATTTAAGCGTATGAATTTATGTTAGGTAAAATTTCTAATCCAGTGTAATTCATTGTCCACATGAGCAAAATGAGCAAAAAGAGTGTTAATATGAGCTAAAGATGAAAACAGATGTTATAATGGCATTATTAAAACCTGATTGGACCTGTATAAATATACTCATAGCTTTGAAGACCAACGTTGTAAATTTTAAATATATATATATTATTTAGAGATTAGAATAAATCAGAAGAACCACATTCAGTTTCAGTGACTATCATGATATATTCATTAATGGAATTAAAGCTTTCTTAGCCAACTTTTATTTCTAAAAATCTTCAATAAATTCTATTTTCTGAATAGTGATAGTGAATTTATCAGTTTTAAGCATTACTTTATTAAATTTTTGTAACTCTGTGAGCTGGGCACTATTATTATTATTATTGACAGAAACTCTTAGTCTGTGGCCCAGGCCGAGGGCAATCTCTTCTCACTGCAATGGTGGGATCTCTGCTCACTACAACCTCCACCTCCTGGGTTCAAGTGATTCTTCTGCCTCAGCCTCCCAAGTAGCTGGGATTACAGGTGTGTACCACCACCCCAGCTAATTTTTGCATACTTAGCAGAGATGGGTTTTCACCATGTGGTCAGACTGGTCTCAAACTCCTGACCTCAGGTGATCTGCCCGCCTCAGCCTCCCAAAGTGCTGGGATTACAGGTGTAAACCACCATGCCCGGCAATAGGCACTATTATTATCTTAATTTTGCCCATGAGAAAAATATTTAAATTTTATCCTAAATTCAATCCATAAGTTGTAGAGTCAAAAATTAGACCCTAGAAGTATGATTTCAGATAAGGTTTCTTTACTCAGTACATTTATAGAAGGAAAACTTTTGGTGTCCACGAATTACTTATACAATTCTAAATCAAAGTTTATTTTCTTTACATTTATAATTATAAATTTTGAATGCTGTCTTACATATATGCATGTATAATCTATATGCGTTGGACAAAATATTATGTACATAATATCTGCAGCATAGGCAAAAAACACATATTATAGTAACATATGTGTATAAAACTTTATTGCTCAATTGATTTTTGCCCTGTACCTGCTTTGGTTTTATAATTCAAACTTTTCCCTGTTCAGGAGCTTGACAAAGGTAAATCGAGAATGGGTTTAAGTTCCTGCCTTTAATTGCTGCATGTGTAACGAGATGTTATTTGTTTTGTAGAGTTGATATTCAGACACAGTTCCATTTCTCTTTTGTTCACATTATTCTGCTTTTCAGAGACAGTCCATGTCTCTGAAGCTTCATAGTCATGTTTTGATTAAGAGAGTAATGCTTTATTAAATTTTGAATAGAGTCTGTTATCAGTGTGGTGTTATTCTTATTGAAATAGCACCATAATATTCTTCAGCTGCTTTGTGAAAGGAGAGCAAAATGTGATTTCTATCCTTACTTTGATTCCTAGTTGTTTACAGTGGTTTAAATAATTCTTATTGTAAAAGGCTCCCATTTTAGTTGGAGATGATACTGGGCTGTCTCACTGATTCTATTATCTTCAAATACATTGGAGGTGTGGTCCACCTATTCCAACTTTATTAGTTCTTGAGAGACAGGATATATTAACATGAAATACTGATTTCTACTCTGAATTCTGCTTAGTGGGTCCAAGATATTCAATGTATTTCTGAGAGTCAAATGATTATTTCAAAGTTTTCCTTTTATCTTCTAATTCTTGCCGTATTACTTGGTCAGTAAGACACAAGATCTGTGAGGACTTTTTACAAAAGATGCATGGAAAAGCTAGAGTTTGAAATTTATGGCACTCTCCAATATGCAAACCACTCTGAAATGATTTATGTTCATGTGCATAGGCCTCAGTTACAGAGTTTGTGAAAGGAAGGGGTGGGACTAGATAATTTTTAATCCTTCTAACACATAATTTTATGCTGAATAATTTTATAAATTTAGTCTTCTATGTTGTAGTGGCATCTCTATATATATTGACAACACGTTCATATATTACATTTACATCTAATATGCTAGTAATTGCTAATTTGAGCCTTTTAACCACTTTCTGATGGCAAATGCTTTACATGCATGAAAAATGTTGATTCATTCAACTAATATATATTTACTGGATATTATGTGCAAAGAACTGTGCTAGAAGAATACATATAGGAAGAATAATAGACAGTAAATACTCAAGTTGCTTCATGATTGATGAGAATTTGGAGAGCAGCCTATGTCCATAGAACCTAGCAAAAACAAAAGGGCAAAAATAATGTTTAAACTTATGGTCTTAACTTCATTATCAGTGGGCTATATTTAGCTGAGCTAAACATTTGACATCTTGGTTTTATTGATAATTAATATTGTAGAAAGGATTTTCTTGACATTGTAGAAGGGATTTTTCTTTTTTTCTTTTTTTTTAAGTTTTATCATTATTATACTTTAAGTTTTAGGGTACATGCGCACAATGTGCAGGTTAGTTACATATGTATACATGTGCCATGTTGGTGTGCTGCACCCATTAACTCATCATTTAGCATTAGGTATATCTCCTAATGCTATCCCTCCCCACTATCCCCACCCCACAACAGGCCCCGGAGTGTGACGTTCCCCTTCCTATGTCCATGTGTTCTCATTGTTCAGTTCCCACCTATGAGTGAGAACATGCGGTGTTTGTTTTTTTTGTCCTTGCGATAGTTTGCTGAGAATGATGGTTTCCAGTTTCATCTATGTCCCTACAAAGGACATGAACTCATCATTTTTTATGGCTGCATAGTATTCCATGATGTATATGTGCCACATTTTCTTAGTCCAGTCTATCGTTTTCAGACATTTTGGTTGGTTCCAAGTCTTTGCTATTGTGAATAGTGCCGCAATAAACATATGTGTGCATGTGTCTTTATAGCAGCATGATTTATAATCCTTTGGGTATATACCCAGTAATGGGATGGCTGGGTCAAATGGTATTTCTAGTTCTAGATCCCTGAGGAATTGCCACACTGACTTCCACAATGGTTGAACTAGTTTACAGTCCCACCAACAGTGTAAGTGTTCCTATTTCTCCACATCCTCTCCAGCACTTGTTGTTTCCTGACTTTTTAATGATTGCCATTCTAACTGGTGTGAGATGGTATCTCATTGTGCTTTTGATTTGCATTTCTCTGATGGACAGTGATGATGAGCATTTTTTCATGTGTTTTTTGGCTACATAAATGTCTTGTTTTGAGAAGTGTCTGTTCATATCCTTCACCCACTTTTTGATGGGGTTGTTTGTTTTTTTCTTGTAAATTTGTTTGAGTTCATTGTAGATTCTTGATATTAGCCCTTTGTCAGATGAGTAGGTTGCGAAAATTTTCTCCCATTTTGTAGGTTGCCTGTTCACTCTGATGGTAGTTTCTTTTGCTGTGCAGAAGCTCTTTAGTTTAATTAGATCCTATTTGTCAATTTTGGCTTTTGTTGCCATTGCTTTTGGTGTTTTAGAAATGAAGTCTTTGCCCATGCCTATGTCCTGAAAGGTATTGCCTAGTTTTCTTCTAGGGTTTTTATGGTTTTAGGTCTAACATTTAAGTCTTTAATCCATCTTGAATTAATTTTTGTATAAGGTGTAAGGAAGGGATCCAGTTTCAGCTTTCTACATATGGCTAGCCAGTTTTCCAAGCACCATTTATTAAATAGGGAATCCTTTCCCCATTGCTTGTTTTTGTCAGGTTTGTCAAAGATCAGATGGTTGTAGATATGTGGCATTATTTCTGAGGGCTTTGTTCTGTTCCATTGATCTATATCTCTGTTTTGGTACCAGTACTATGCTGTTTTGCTTACTGTAGCCTTGTAGTGTAGTTTGAAGTCAGGTAGCGTGATGCATCCAGCTTTGTTCTTTTGGCTTAGGATTGACTTGGCAATGTGGGCTCTTTTTTGGTTCCATATGAACTTTAAAGTAGTTTTTTCCAATTCTGTGAAGAAAGTCATTGGTAGCTTGATGGGGATGGCATTGAATCTATAAATTACCTTTGGCAGTATGGCCATTTTCATGATATTGATTCTTCCTACCCATGAGCATGGAATGTTCTTCCATTTGTTTGTATCCTCTTTTATTTCCTTGAGCAGTGGTTTGTAGTTCTCCTTGAAGAGGTCCTTCACATCCCTTGTAAGTTGGATTCCTAGGTATTTTATTCTCTTTGAAGCAATTGTGAATGGGAATTCACTCATGATTTGGCTCTCTGTTTGTCTGTTATTGGTGTATAAGAATGCTTGTGATTTTTGTACATTGATTTTGTATCCTGAGACTTTGCTGAAGTTGCTTATCAGCTTAAGGAGATTTTGGGCTGAGACAATGGGGTTTTCTAGATATACAATGATGTCATCTGCAAACAGGGACAATTTGACTTCCTCTTTTCCTAATTGAATACCCTTTATTTCCTTCTCCTGCCTAATTGCCCTGGCCAGAACTTCCAACACTATGTTGAATAGGAGTGGTGAGAGAGGGCATCCCTGTCTTGTGCCAGTTTTCAAAGGGAATGCTTCCAGTTTTTGCCCATTCAGTACGATATTGGCTGTGGGTTTGTCATAGATAGCTCTTATTATTTTGAGATATGTCCCATCAATACCTAATTTATTGAGAGTTTTTAGAATGAAGGGTTGTTGAATTTTGTCAAAGGCGTTTTCTGCATCTATTGAGGTAATCATGTGGTTTTTGTCTTTGGTTCTGTTTACATGCTGGATTACATTTATTGATTTGTGTATGTTGAACCTTGCATCCCAGGGATGAAGCCCACTTGATCATGGTGGATAAGCTTTTTGATGTGCTGCTGGATTCGTTTTGCCAGTATTTTATTGAGGATTTGTGCATCAATGTTCATCAAGGATATTGGTCTAAAATTCTCTTTTTTGATTGTGTCTCTGCCAGGCTTTGGTATCAGGACGATGCTGGCCTCATAAAATGAGTTAGGGAGGATTCCCTCCTTTTCTATTGATTGGAATAGTTTCAGAAGGAATGGTACCAGCTCTTCCTTGTACCTCTGGTAGAATTCAGCTGTGAATCCATCCGGTCCTGGACTTTTTTTGGTTGGTAAGCTATTGATTATTGCCACAATTTCAGAGCCTGTTTTTGGTCTATTCAGAGATTCAGCTTCTTCCTGGTTTAGTCTTGGGAGGATGTATGTGTCGAGGAATTTATCCATTTCTTCTAGATTTTCTAGTTTATTTGTTTAGAGGTGTTTGTAGTATTCTCTGATGGTAGTTTGTATTTCTGTGGGATGGGTGGTGATATCCCCTTTATCATTTTTTATTGCATCTATTTGATTCTTCTCTCTTTTCTTCTTTATTAGTCTTGCTAGCAGTCTATCAATTTTGTTGATCTTTTCAAAAAACCAGCTCCTGGATTCATTAATTTTTTGAAGGGTTTTTTATGTCTCTATTTCCTTCAGTTCTGTTCCGATTTTAGTTATTTCTTGCCTTCTGCTAGCTTTTGAATGTGTTAGCTCTTGCTTTTCTAGTTCTTTTAATTGTGATGGTAGGGTGTCAATTTTGGATCTTTCCTGCTTTCTCTTGTGGGCATTTAGTGCTATAAATTTCCCTCTACACACTGCTTTGAATGTGTCCCAGAGATTCTGGTATGTTGTGTCTTTGTTCTCATTGGTTTCAAAGAACATCTTTATTTCTGACTTCATTTTGTTATGTACCAGTAGTCATTCAGGAGCAGGTTGTTTAGTTTCCATGTAGTTGAGCGGTTTTGAGTGAGTTTCTTAATCCTGAGTTCTAGTTTGATTGCACTGTGGTCTGAGAGACAGTTTGTTATAATTTCTGCTCTTTTACATTTGCTGAGGATTGCTTTACTTCCAACTATGTGGTCAATTTTGGAATAGGTGTGGTGTGGTGCTGAAAAAAATGTATATTCTGTTGATTTGGGGTGGAGAGTTCTGTAAATGTCTATTAGGTCCCCTTGATGCAGAGCTAAGTTCAATTCCTGGGTATCCTTGTTAACTTTCTGTCTCATTGATCTGTCTAATGTTGACTGTGGGGTGTTAAAGTCTCCCCTTATTATTGTGTGGGAGTCTAAGTCTCTTTGTAGGTCACTACGGACTTGCTTTATGAATCTGGGTGCTCCTGTATTGGGTGCATATATATTTAGGATAGTTAGCTGTTCTTGTTGAACTGATCCCTTTGCCATTATGTAATGGCCTTCTTTGTCTCTTTTGATCTTTGTTGGTTTAAAGTCTGTTTTATCAGAGATTAGTATTGCAACCCCTGCTTTTTTTTTGTTTTCCATTTGCTTGGTAGATCTTCCGTTATCCCTTTATTTTGAGCCTATGTGTGTCTCTGCACATGAGATGCGTTTCCTGAATACGGCACACTGATGGGTCTTGACTCTTTATCCAATTTGTCAGTCTGTGTCTTTTAACTGGAGCATTTAGCCCATTTACATTTAAAGTTAATATTGTTATGTGTGAATTTGATCCTGTCATTATGATGTTAGCTGGTTATTTTGCTCATTAGTTGATGCAATTTCTTCCTAGCCTTGATGGTCTTTACATGTTGGCGTGTTTTTGCAGTGGCTGGTACCGGTTGTTCCTTTCCTTCAGGAGCTCTTTTAGGGCAGGCCTGGTGGTGACAAAATCTCTCAGCATTTGCTTGTCTGTAAAGTATATTATTTCTCCTTCACTTATGAAGCTTAGTTTGGCTGGATATGAAATTCTGGGTTGAAAATTCTTTTCTTTAAGAATATTGAATATTGGCCCCCTCTCTCTTCTGGCTTGTAGAGTTTCTGCCGAGAGATCCACAGTTAGTCTGATGGGCTTCCCTTTGTAGGTAACCCGACCTTTCTCTCTGGCTGCCCTTAACATTTTTTCCTCATTTCAACTTTGGTGAATCTGACAATTATGTGTCTTGGAGTTGCTCTTTTCGAGGAGTGTCTTTGTGGCGTTCTCTGTATTTCCTGAATCTGAATGTTGGCCTGCCTTGCTAGATTGGGGAAGTTCTCCTGGATAATATCCTGCAGAGTGTTTTCCAACTTGGTTCCATTCTCCCCGTCGCTTTCAGGTACACCAATCAGACGTAGATTTGGTCTTTTCACATAGTCCCATATTTCTTGGAGGCTTTGTTCGTTTCTTTTTATTCTTTTTTCTCTAAACTTCCCTTCTCTCTTCATTTCATTCATTTCGTCTTCCATCACTGATACCTTCTTCCAGTTGATCACATTGGCTCCTGAGACTTTTGCATTCTTCACATAATTCTCGAGCCTTGGCTTTCAGCTCCATCAGCTCCTTTAAGGACTTTTCTGCATTGGTTATTCTAGTTATCCATTCATCTAATCTTTTTTCACAGTTTTTAACTTCTTTGCCATTGGTTTGCATTTCCTCCTGTAGCTCATAGTTTGATCGTCTGAAGCCTTCTCTCAACTCATCAAAATTATTCTCCGTCCAGCTTTGTTCTGTTGCTGGTGAGGAGCTGCATTCCTTTGGAGGAGGAGAGGTGCTCTGCTTTTTAGAGTTTCCAGTTTTTCTGCTCTGTTTTTTCCCATCATTGTGGTTTTATCTACTTTCGGTCTTTCATGATGGTGGTGTACAGAAGGGTTTTTGGTGTGGATGTCCTTTCTGTTTGTTAGTTTTCCTTCTAACAGACAGGACCCTCAGCTGTAGGTCTGTTGGAGTTTGCTAGAGGTCCACTCCAGACCCTGTTTCCCTGGATATCAGTAGTAGTGGCTGCAGAAAAGCGGTGGCTGTAGGACAGCAGATCTTGGTGAACTGCAAATGCTGCTGCCTGATCATTCCTCTGGAAGTTTTGTCTCAGAGGAGTACCCGGCCGTGTGAGGTGTCAGTCCGCCCCTACTGGGTGGTGCCTCCCAGTTAGGCTACTCAGGGGTCAGGGACCCACTTGAGGAGGCAGTCTCCCCTTTCTCAGATCTCCAGCTGCATGTTGGGAGAACCACTACTCTCTTCAAAGCTGTCAGAGAGGGACATTTAAGTCTGCAGAGGTTACTGCTGTCTTTTTGTTTGTCTGTGCCCTGCCCCCAGAGGTGGAGCTTACAAAGGCAGGCAGGCCTCCTTGAGCTGTGGTGGGCTCCACCCAGTTCGAGCTTCCCAGCTGCTTTGTTTACCTAATCAAGCCTGGGCAATGGCAGGCACCCCTCCCCCAGCCTCGCTGCCGCCTTGCAGTTTGATCTCAGACTGCTTTGCTAGCAATCAGTGAGACTGCGTGGGCATAGGACCCTCCAAGCCAGGTGCAGGATATAATCTCCTGGTGTGCCGTTTTTTAAGCCCTTTGGAAAAGTGCAGTATTAGGGTGGGAGTGACCCAATTTTCCAGGTGCCATCTGTCACCCCTTTCTTTGACTAGGAAAGGGAACTCCCTGACCCCTTGCACTTCCCGAGTGAGGCAATGCCTCGCCCTGCTTCAGCTCGCGCACGGTGCGCTGCACCCACTGTCCTGCACCCACTGTCTGGCACTCCCTAGTGAGATGAACCCGGTACCTCAGATGGAAATGCAGAAATCACGTGTCTTTTGCCTCGCTCACGCTGGGAGCTGTAGACCAGAGCTGTTCCTATTCGGCCATCTTGGCTCCACCCCCAAATGCCCAATAGAAGGGATTTTTCTAAAAACTTCCTTGCAAATATACATATAAGAAATGCTGATATAAAATTTTGTGGAACATTATAAATTAGTTTCCTATTGCTGGTTGCAATAAATTGTCTCAAATTTAGTGGCTTAATACAATAGAAAATTATCTTCCAGATCTGAAAGTCATAGGTCCATATTATTATTTTTAAACAAATCATACTGATTCATGTAACAGTTATAACAATGTGGCCATGAGGGTCAAACTATTCCTATGATGTTTACTTGGTAACTCTTGGTCAAATGCAGAATATATTCTTAACAGGTCTTCATCTTCCAAATGTCAAATGTATTTTTGTATACACCTATGATATTTGGAGTTCAAAACCAATCAACAAAAGGTTGCTTCTAAAATATACTTTGAATTTTAACAAAGGAAAACTACTGCCAAAGAAATTAGGCTAATTTTATTGTATAATAAGTATTATTGTTATTGAGTACTTACTAAGTGTCAGGACATATTGTAAGTGTTTGTACATGTATTAATTCATGTAGTCCTCAAAACAACGCAATAAGTTATATCCTATCATTATTTCCACTTAAATGTGAACACACTGAGGCTCAGAGTTTAAATACTTGTCCCAAATTACAGCTAGCAAAAGGCAGAGGTGGCATTTGAGCCCAGGCTCTGTGCCTCCAGAGTCTGTATGCACTCTCTAGGAAGTTCCAAAATCATTTTTAGAGCCCATGTCCTTCGGGAGGATTCAGTGTATTTATTCTTAATTTATAGTTGGGGAGCTAAAGTGGCAGAGAACTCAAAACAACTTCCCCTGCTTTCGTTCTGAGATGCTCATTTTGAATTTTAAATGATTTTTCTCTGTTATTAAGCTTTGTTGTGGGATCATTCCTCACTTTAATCTTTTGGTATATGTTGACTTCTAATATTCTAAAAGACCACTAAGAAAATGAAAACAAGTATTGTGATTTTAACAATTTTGAACTTTCTAGGTCATACTTCTTGTAATCAGACGTGGTGCAAAATGTTTCTACAAGGTTATATGACTGACTTATAGCAAACATATGTAGCCAACCTGTTAAAATGAGTTGCCTTCCCATTGTAGCCTCACAGTTTATTTATTAGGATTGGTTCACAATGCCAGTTAGCTGTACTTTTTCAAATTCAATTTACTCTCAAAACAAATGCCATCTACTTACAAAGCTGAAACACACACACCAGAGGCTCTGAACATAATTCCAGAAGTTATTTTTCTGCAATGGTTTGGGCAAAGCCATACTTCCCCAAAACTGTATCTCCTCTCAAGATGACCATTCTGAAGTCATTTCACATAGTAGCTGGTATAATGGATAGCATGTTATCCCAGTTGGTTTCTCTGTCAGGAATGCTCTTACTTGATCTATTCATGATGGGTATAAAAATTTTGACTGTAGTGGTTTATTTACGGTCTTACCTGGAGGAATTTTTGTCTCTGAACATTATGGACTAATTAGGTTTGACTGAGTAAAACACAGTTTGAAATGACTAGATATAGTTGATTTAAATATAATATAGAATAAGCCATAAATGATATAGGAGAGTTATGAGGTCAATTTCAATTTTCCCTCATTAGAAACTGGTGAAAAATACTCCTTAGCCAAGCGAGTTAAGAGAAAGTTTCCTGTTTTGGTTCGGACTTCTTCAATTGTTCACATCCTCTTAAACGTGTTCTGGGTGACTGTTCCTAGCCATTCTGTTTTGGTCTGGTTCCTTCCTTTCACCATCATTGAGCTTGTCCTTATTTTCTAATTATGGATTTCTTCAAAACTCATTTCAAGTGCACAATATTATCATATACTGTACTTCTATTGTACTCTTCAAATTGCTTGCTCCTGTATGCTTTTTATTGGGAGATGGCTTCTGTTTTTGCTTTTGTTTGTTTGTGGGGTTTTGTGTGTGTGTGTGTGTGTGTGTGTGTGTGTGTCCTACAGCTTTAATCTCTGCATCTGTCTTCATTCCTATGTGCTGTGGTCAGCATCTATGATGGTTGTAAAGGAAGTGTTTTTAATTCATTTACTTCAGCAGGAAGAGTAAGTTACTAATGACATGCAAGGGGACACCTAAGCACACACTTACACGCACATGCATGCATACACACACGTATGAGAGCTTTAATGCCACCAAATTTCTTGTGTAATACAAATAAGCATCCCTCCTGGTTTCCAGTGCTCAGAAATGTTGTTCTTTATCCATTTAAGGTCCAGCGTCATCCAGAGGGTGCCTTTTAGAGGGTGTCTTCTCTCTAATTCATTGCTGGTGGACATTGCTTCAGTTTCCTGTAACCTTTAAATCCATCTTAAATTGCTTGGCTTAGCTTTTTTGTAAGCTAGTGACTTAGGCAGCGACATTTCTCTGGGTATTACAATCTGGAAGCCCCTTAACTAAAGCTGTAGTACAGAAACCCTTGTAAATCCAGCATTAACTAGGAAAGTTTGTAAGGAGGCTGAGGTCTGGTTATGCCACTAGCTGGAAGATTACGGTTTCTTAGATGGAAGATTCTGCCATGGAGGTATCTTCCTCAGGAAAAATGGCTCATTAGCTTTCAAAAGTGAAAATAAACTTATATAATATTGTACCTTTAAAGGATATTAAGCAAGTTCTTCCTGTTTCCTTTTTTACATGCAGATAATACCAAATGTGATCATAAACCCTAAGAAATTTGGATTAAAAACAATAAATTACAAAGTCAAAAATATTAAAAATTTGTAGGGATGTATATATGGAAAATGTATAATGTAATGTATATGATCAAAATATGAATAATTCATTAAACTAGCAAGTATTTAAGTTTCTAAAATGCTAAAGTCTATTAAAATGTAAAAACAAATTTCTAAAAAAATCTTGATTTTCCAAATATTGAACACAAATTTCTAAATTATTTAATATAATTTCTTCTTATGAGCATGCAGCTTATTTTGTGTTATACTCAGCCTTTGAGTCCTTAAGTGAGAAATCTAAAATAAAATTGCCTGGACAATGTTCATTAGAATGGGCCGCAAATGCTCATCTGCTAACATTTTAAAATATGGCAGCTCATTTATTTTAGATTAAATTTTTGCCCTTCTAAAAATGGTAGGCATTTTATACATGTCTAAAATATTTTTAAAATTTAGTTTGAAGCGATTTCAGCATCCACTCTTTACCATCGTATTAATTATTTTAATCATATAAAGTAATTACTAATGTTAGAAATATGCTTATATTAAGCAAGAATAAAAAACAGGCATGAGGAGTATTATTCTTAGACTTATTTAATGAACCTGGAAAAGAACACAAGGTGTGCTGTTAATGCTCTTAGAACAAGGGTTGGTCAAGCGTTATTAAATAATGTTGAAAATATAACAAAATTGCCTTAGTGATGCACTCAGCTTACATTTTAATTCTCAAAGAAATAGAAATAGTTTCTTCCTACATTTTAAATAAACTTAATAAATTCTTGTTGGGCAAACTAAACATGTGTTGACTAGACATTAGCCATTTTAAAGAGATCTAACATGCTGTAATAAAATACTTTATAACACCTATAGCAGCAGTTTTCCTAAAGATCAAGACAATTACTTTGACATTATGTAAAGAAAATGACCAAATCGGTATAGCTGCTTCAGCAGTAAGCTTCCAGATGAAACAGCTGTTTACAAAGGCATCACAAAACTTCATCAGATGTTTTATTTATATTAGAGGTTAAATGAAACATCTGGCCATACCTGATAGCAAAGTTACAAATGAGCATCACCATTGACCTGATTTTGTAATCAAGACAAGGGCTGGGACTGGAGAAGAGACCTTGAAAGGTAGCATCAGGTAGCCCTAACTATGGTTAAAGAGTTATTTCTTTTCAAAAATCTGTTTTATAATTTTGCTTATGCTTATGTCAGACTTAGCCTGTTGCAGATATATCTCCAATATATCATAACATGTTCAAAGGTTCTTAAACAAATTCATTAATGTGAGTCACTATTAGTAATATTTTGTATTTGTTTATATGTTTTCCTCCATCACATTCACATGTTTAAAATGCTACTTGAAAAATTTATTGTCTGATTTAAGAGAATGCCATGAAGAATGCAAAATCTATAATTTAGTAAGGCTTAAAAGTTACTAAGCATATAGGAAGTTTAAATTTTCAAAAAAATAATAAACACTAAATCTTGAAGAGCAAAGATGGCGTTTTAAGGTCTGTTAAGGTTCAATTTTAGGATGGTTAATATATTTAAGTGTAACCCTATCAGAGAAGGGCAGAGTCAATAACAAGTTTTTAGGCTGATTGATCTAACCTGTGATTTTTGTTTTCTTGTTGCCTTTCACATTATGGAAAACTAGATGTTCACTGGTGATCGCAGGAGAAGATGGGAGGAAAACAAATGGAAGGCATTTGTCTGATGTCTGTTTAGACAAACACCCAGAGGAATTTCTGAAGAATTTGCAATCTTCCTTAGACCCTCTCTTCTCCATATTCCCATGGCACTTTTAACCTCTTCCTGATTGTGACCCTCTCTTCTCCATATTCCCATGGCACTTTTAACCTCTTCCTGATTGTGACCCATTCTAGGCTCCAGCTAGTTGTAATTCTGGACTAAAAGGGAAAAGGAGCTGAAAGTCCTGAGGTAGAAGGTGCAGGAAGATAGTGGGGTATAGTAGTGAGGGGTGGGGGTTGAGAAGAAAAAAATTATTCCATTATGAAAACCATACATTAAAAAAACACTATTCAAATAATCTTGTCAATTTAGATTTTTGAAAAAAAAAACACTGTCAGTTCTGAGTTGCCAAGTATTTGCATGAAAAACTTTTGTTACCAGAAAGTGCATTGAAATGTAATTTTTGGCATGATTTGGATCTCACTGGATAAATACACTGATCCCTTTCTTCCCAGTAATGCGTATCAATAAGCAGTACTATAAATGCATTTTGATAAACTCAACAGCATTTCCTCATCAGGAGTTGTAAGTATAGTTTTATTCCCAATCAAGTACTCAGAACAAAACAAATAATAGATTTTACACATAATATGTCATAAAAGCAACTCTAAAACAACTATAAACATCTATAATAAAGCAATATAAAAATATGATGCTACTTCTAAAAAAAGCATAAATATCCAGTGGACATTACTTATAAAATGGACCCTTATGTCCAGTAAAGTATACATATAAAAATTTAAAACCTCTAATACTTGATAATTTGACCCATAACTAATAATCTGGATAAGACAGTATACATATTTTTTTAAAACCTGTATAAATATAATAGTCATTTTGCTTGTTCTTTTAAAATTTAGAAGATATTTTAGAAAGCAATTTTGTTAATCCAAATTTATCTGGATTAAGACAGGATGTTTGAGCAGATTCTTTTTTTTTTCTCTCAAATGTCTTGGAAGATAAGATAAACATTTCAAATTATTTTAATTTTATAACTGAAAGAAATATAGTGAGCTATAATTGATTATCTAAGAATTTTTTTCTACTTAGAATATTGTAATTAGCCAATAATAACATCAACAATAATACTGGATATCTTTTATTTTAGCACTTGTGTTGTGCCAGACACAGAGCTGAATGTTTTCTTTTTTACTTCAATTTACTCTTCCATTGTCTTCTATCTCAGCAAACTGCTTGTGTCTCTGAGTAAATCATTTTAAATAACATCCAAGAACACAAGTGATAGCTCAAGGATGCCTTATTTTAAAGAATAAAAAATATTCTTGGTCATCAGGAAACTCAAAAAAAGTTTTCAAACCTCTCATCTAATTTCAAAAGTAGGCATTAGATAAGCACCCCAACTCCACACGTGGCATTCGAAGAGTAGTTAAAGCCATCTACCGAGAAGTGTTAGTTCAGTTGGAAGTGAGCCATGGCATGTTTTAAAGTGCTTCTGTTCCCATACTCTCCATATGTAATAAATAATCTATCAAAACATTTAAATAACATAAGTTTCTTATTTATCTATGATATACAGTGAGTTTTTGTTTGTTTGCTTTTGCTTTTTTTTTTTTTTGGCAGGATCTCACTCTGTCACCCAGGCTGGAGTGCAGTGGCACCATCTCGGCTCACTGCAACCTCTGCCTCCCAGGTTCAAGTGATTCTCCAGCTTCAACCTACCTAGTAGCTGGAATTACAGGCGTGCGCAAACACGCCTGGCTAATTTTTGTATATTTAGTAGAGACGGAGTTTCCCCATGTTGCCCAGGCCGGTCTCAAACTCCTGGACTCAAGGGATCTGCCGGCGTTGGCCTCCCAACTTGTTGGGATTACAGGTGTGAGCCACCGCTCCCGGCCCACAGTGAATTATTTATTTAAGCAGAGTCAGGCATCCTTACAGAGAAAAGCAATCACCTACCCCTTTCACCATCTCTACTAATATTATACTAATTGATATTGCTGAATTGAAAAAATTGATTTCCACTGGATTTTTATAATTACAATATTAGAACATGTTTGTATTAATATTGACTATTGTTAACACTTTCTATCTGCTATTAAATAAATGGAAATCCTGAAATAGTCTTACCAGTGTCTAGCAGGAGTAACAATGTTGAAGGCAGAGTTTTCATACAAATTCCTTCTGCTTGGAGACAAGCTCCTTTTCTTTTGGGGGTCTCAAGAACATCTTGACTCTAAGAAGATTTGTTTTTGTATTTCCTCAGATGGAGGCCAGTTGTGAGTTCTAAATATTCAGGTTTACAAATTGGTAGGAAATAGAGATGGAAAATTAAGGCTGATATATCTAGTGAGCAAACCATTCTCTGAAAATAAGTTATTTCAGAAAACATGTATTAGTCACCTCCATTATGCTATATAAATAGCATTTTAAAACCATAGAATGAAGTAGATGTTTTATTCTCATCATGTTTAGCATTAGGCTTGTGTAGCTGTAGATTTTCTAAAGTCACAAAGCTTGAAAATAAATTTGGACATAATTTTCTTTGTTTTTCACCCTGAATTCTTCCTCCCTCCTTGTTTCAGAAATATAAGCACACAGAAATATATATATATCTGAACTATAGGCCATATATAGTATATATATTTAGAGATAGTCTTCACAAATATGGTTCATATTTAGAAATTGATATTGCAAATAAAGCTTTAGCAGAAATAGTTTTGTGTGTGTGTGTGTGTGTGTGTGTGTGTGTGTGTATGTGTGTGTGTGTATTTAAGTATAAGGGCAATGCTTAACCGTTTTGTAAATGGCACCAAAATATGATATGCAGAACAACTAACACACAGAGTAGGGAGTCAATAAAGCTTGATAATTTGGCTAGAAAACAAAGATAAAAGACCATTGTACTCCAGAGGACATCACACACAATCACTAGATATTACAGATGTAATATTAAACAAAATTTTATTATAAGATTTGTATCTATCTTTTTAATGACTAATTCTACTTTGTTTACACAGCTATCATCCCTTGAAATGAAACCAATTGAGGTATTAGTAAGTCAATAAAAACATTTATGCCATATCCAAAGAGTCATAAGTCATGTAAAACTTTGCAGACTCAGTTCTCAAGGGACACCTGTATTAGCAGTAATATAATAATGGTATGTACTAGAAACATTAATTTAATTATTATTATTTAAAATGCTAAGCACACATGTGTTATGTTAAATACTTTACACACATTGTCTTATTCAACCCCTCAACAAACTTATTATATTTTTATTTTATACATGAAGAAAGTGTCACAAATAGTTACATCATTTACCCAAGATCACACAATTAGATTATATAATTATTTTAAATTACATAACATGATATAGAATACAAAACACTTTGATTTTTATTTTTGCCTTGAAAAAATCTTGTGATATTATTATCCCACTTTTAGATTTATGAAAATTGAGGTTTGGAAAATTTAAATGACCTGCTCAATGTCAGTCAGCTGGAAAGGCCAGAGCGAGCTAGGGCCAATGCCAAGCACTGTTGGTGAAATGCAGAAACATTGCCCTTTCACTAGGAAGACACCGTTATTAAATGACAACCTACAAACCATTTATACATCATTCCATTTGATCTTCAAAACCACTCTGTGTGATGAGCTGGTTAGATACAGAAATTCCATTTTGTAGGTGAGAAAACTGACATGCAAGAGACTGTGACTTGCAAGTCACAGAGACAAGGACCCATGCATTCTGCTTTCTAATTCACTGCTTCTTCATTACACAACATGTCCTCTTTTTAGGAATCAGCAATATGGTTGATATGATAATGAATAAATAAATGAAAGATATAATAAAGTGAGCTTTAGTATGAATGTGTTGTGATTATAGTAATTAATACAGAAATTGAGAGTCTAGGGAGATCCATATGGAATTATAATAACCTATAATTTGCTCCTTGCTTACTTGGCTTCCCAAACATGCTAATCTCAGCAGTCTTTCATTTTTAAAAAAGTATTTTTTCCCAATGTGGTCTCTAATGGATTAGGGATAATCTGGAGCCGGTTATGGACAAATGGATATTTCACATATCTATTTATTTCTATGAATCATTGAGCAATCTATGTGCAAGCACTGAGAATATACAAAAGTATCCATCTTCAAAGAGACTACAATTTCAAAAGGGAGTAGTTGTAAACACATTGTTAAAATCAAATGTACTGGAAGTATAAATAAGGTCTATACAGCAATAGTATTAAAAATCATATGGTTAGCGTGGTCCTAGAAGGTCAAATGTTTCATTGAGAAGACCTTTGTGTGCGTTATCTGAATATGAGTAGCAGTTTGTTAGGTGGTCTGGGGAAGGGGTTAGTCTATGAAGAGGCAACCATATGTTTTATGAAACAGCATGGCAGATTAGAAGAACTGCAAGTGAGTGTCTGTCTAGATTACTGACTGTGTGCCTATGTTTGGCAAGAAATGACACTGGAAAGACAAGCAGGAACCATAGAGCTCTCTGTGCCATGCCAGGTACTTTGAAAGTTATCCAGTAGACAGAGATAGGCATGAAATGTTTTGAGCTCAGGAGAGAATTTACCCAAATTACCTTTTGGGAAGATCAGCCTAAAAGCACTGTGGATAAGTAATCCAAGAGTGGTGAAATAAAAGGGAGATTTTTGGTAGTTGTATTACTCTGTTAGAGCTGATTTAACAGAATACTACAGACTGGGTGCCTTAACAAAAGTTTATTTTTTCAGCATTTTGGAGGCTGAATCTAAGATCAAGGTGTTGGCAGGTTTGAGCTTCTCCTGAGGCCTCTCTCCTTGTCTTCTCACTTGTCCTTACATGATCTTTTTCTCTGTGTATGCATACCCCTGTGTCTTATTATCTTCTTACAAGGACACCAATCCTATTGGATTAAAACTCCACTCTTGTGACCTCACTTAAACTTCATTACCTCCTTAGTGACCCTACTTCAAAATATATTCCATTTGATGTTAGGATTCCACTTATGAATTTGGGAAAAACACAATTAATTTAATAATATTTGTCCTGCTAGACCTCCAAAATTCACGTCCTCTTCACATGCAAGATGCACTCACTTCACCTTGAAACAGCGCCACAGTCTTACTCGGTTCAGCATCAGCTCTAAGTCCAAAGTCTCATCTAAGTATTAACCTAAATCAGGTGTAAGACTCAAAGCTATGGTTTATCCTGAGGCAAAATTCCTCTCCAACTGTGAATCCGTGAAACCAGACAAGTTATGTCCTTTTAAAATACAATGATAGAACAAGCATAGGATCGACATTCCCATTCCAGAAGGGGCAGACTGGAAATAAGTGAGGTGTGATGGGTCCTAAGCAAATGGAAAACCTAACAAGAAAAATTCCATTCGATTTTAAGGCTTGAGAATAATCCTCTGACAACATGCTCTGTCCTTCAGACTTACTTGTGCAGCAAGCAGTGTTGCTCCTATAGCCATGGGCATTGCCCCACCCCCTCCAATGGCTGTGACTGGTTGCATGACCCCTGGGGCACTGATGGGCTGCAGCCTTGTGCACTGAAAGGAGGAGGAGACAGCCTTGTTCCACAGATTTGTGCATTCTGGACCTGTGGTAGCAGGGGCAGCCGTGCTGATTTCTGTATTGTCTTCTTTATTGTTCTTGAATGACAAGGCATTTTCACAGCCTGATGGCTCTATTGTTCCATCCTATAAAATCCTCCTTTATTTAATCCCATCTCTGCCCCCTTTAGTTCAAACTGGCAGTGTTTCAACTGGTATAATCCCATCTCTATTCTTGCGTTCTGCCAAGATGTTTGATTCAATCCATGAGTAATCTCTTCATGGAGTGATTGTTCAGCCACACCCTTGATGGTCTCTCCAGAGCACACTTTATCTTTTCTTGCAATATGGATAGGCTAACGTTTTCAAATATTCACATTTTGGTTCCTTTTTGTGTAACAATTCCTTTAATTTATCTGTCTGTTTTCTTGCATTTTACTGTAAGCAGTTAAGAGAAACCAGGCTGCACCTTTAACACTTTGCTTAGAAACCTCTTCAGCTAAATATTTAAGTTCCTCCACAATTAACTTCAACTTTTCAGAAAATACTGATATTTACTACGATAAAATACTATGATAAAATTTACTAAGATAAAATACCAAGAACTCAGCAAGGTTCTTTGCCACTTTTGAACAGGATCACTTTTCCTCCAGTTTCCAACAACATGTTCCTCATTTCCATCTGAGACCTCACCAGAATTATTTTTAATGACCACATGCTTACCAACTGTCCCATCAAGGCAATCTAGCCTTTTTCTCACATGTGCCTTAAAACTCCACTAGCCTCTACCAATTACCTAATTCCAAATTCATTTCCACATTTTTAGGCATATGTTATAGCAGGACCCTGCTTCTTGCTACCAAAATCTGTAATGGTCAGAGATGTCCAGAGAAACAAAATGAACAGAATGTGTATTTGTTTCACATGATTGTGTAAACTGGCAAGTCTAAATGTGCAGCATAGGCTGGTGGGTTTGTGATCCAGGATAGTTGGTGGTACAGATAAAGTCTGAAGGCAGACTACTTAAGAATTCCTTGTAGCTCAGGGAGGCCAGTCTTTTTTGTGCTATTCAGACCTTCATCTGGTTGGAAGAGGCTCACCCACATTATGGATGGCAATCTTCTTTACCCAAAGTTTACTGATTAAAATGTTAATTTCTTTGAAAATACCCTCCAAGTTGGCACAAACTTAACTATCACAGAAATGTATTGATGAATGTATGTGAGAGAAGGTTAGAGTTTGAACTACAACAGTTATGTTAATATGAAGTCAAGGATGACTCTTCATTTTCAAACAATTGTGACTGGGTAAATGGTGCCATTAAAACTGAAATTGAAATGTTTGAAGAGAAATAAGTTTTGTGAGATGATAAAAAATTCAGTTTTGAACAGATTGATTAGGAAGTGACTATGGAACACAAAATAGTAGATTTACCCTAGGGAGAAAAAACTTTGACAGAAATTTGGGGAATATTAACTGTGGAAAGCAGTAGAAGCTATTTGGGCATGGACAAAATTTCACTGAAAATAGAAAGTTACATAAAAACAAAAGATGGCCGGGTGCGGTGGCTCATGCCTATAATCCCAGCACTTTGGGAGGCTGAGGTGAGCAGATCACTTGAGGTCAGGAGTTCAAGACCCACCTGGCCAACATGGTGAAACCCCGTCTCTACTAAAAATACAAAAATTAGCCAGGCCTGGTGACGGGCGCCTGTAATCCCAGTTACTCGGGAGGCTGAGGCAGGAGAATTGCTTGAACCTGCGGGGCAGAGTTTGCAGTGAGCTGAGATTGTGCCACTGCACTCCACCCTGGGCAACAGAGCGAGACACCATCTCAAAATAAATAAATAAATTAATTAATTAATTAAAAAAATAGGCCTTTCATGAGTTTGGATTCTAAGGTTTCTGGCAACAGAAACCTATTAGAATAAGCTTAAGCAGAAAGAGAGGATTTGGTTTAAGGATACATGAGTTTCTCATGGAAGCCAAGGGTTCTAGGTCAAGATTACATTGAAATCAGTTTTGTTTATTGTTTGTTTGTTAATTTATTTTATGTTTAAGATGAGAGAAATTTAAGCTTGTTTATATACAGTTTAGAAGGAGCTAGTGAAAAATATTGAATATATTTGTTTTAGAAAATAGTGACAATAGATTATGAAGAGAATGGCATCTAGACGAGTGTTTCTCAAACTTTTATGTGCATAGGAATCACCTGGGAACCTTTTATAAAATTCATCAATTGAAGGGTCGGATCTGAGATTCTGCACTTCTAGCAGGTGCTATGGTATTGGCAAGTCTGCTGGTCCACAGGCTATACCTTAAGTCATGAAGATCTGGGCACAGTTGGGAGACTTTTCAATAAAGTGTGTATACCTTTTTATCTAAAACATAAAGAAATTGCCCAAGAAGAATCTTGCTTAAAATCTGCTCGGCGTCATTCTTTTTTTTTATTATTATTATTATACTTTAAGTTCTAGGGTACATGTGCACAATGTGCAGGTTTGTTACATATGTATACATGGGCCATGTTGGTGTGCTGCACCCATTAACTCGTCATTTACATTAGGTATTTCTCCTAATGCTATCCGTCCCCCTCCCTCCCCACCCCATGACAGGCCTCAGTGTGTTATGTTCCCCACCCTGTGTCCAACTGTTCTCATTGTTCAATTCCCACCTATGAGTGAGAACATACAGTGTTTGGTTTTCTGTCCTTGAGATAGTTTGCTCAGAATCATGGCTTCCAGCTTCATCCATGTTCCTACAAAGGACATGGCTTTGCAGGCTGCATGGTATTCCATGGGGTATATGTGCCACATTTTCTTAATCCAGTCTATCATTGATGGACATTTGGGTTGGTTCCAAGTCTTTGCTATTGTGAATAATGCCGCAATAAACATACGTGTGCATGTGCCTTTATAGCAGCACGATTTATAATCCTTTGGTTATATACCCAGTAATGGGATGGCTGGGTCAAATGGTATTTCTAGTTCTAGATCCTTGAGGAATCACCACACTGTCTTCCACAATGGTTGAACTAGTTTACAGTCCCACCAACAGTGTAAAAGTGTTCCTATTTCTCCACATCCTCTCCAGCACCTGTTGTTTCCTGACTTTTTAATGATGGCCATTCTAACTGGTGTGAGATGGTATCTCATTGTGGTTTTGATTTGCATTTCTCTGATGACCAGTGATGATGAGCATTTTTTCATGTGTCTGTTGGCTGCATAAATGTGTTCTTTTGAGAAATGCTTGTTCATATCCTTTGTCCACTTTTTGATGGGGTTGTTTGATTTTTTTCTTGTAAATTTGTTTAAGTTGTGTGTAGATTCTGGGTATTAGCCCTTTGTCAGATGGGTAGATTGTAAAAATTTTCTCCTGTTCTGTAAGTTTCCTGTTCACTCTGATGGTAGTTTCTTTTGCTGTGCAGAAGCTTTTTAGTTTAATTAGATCCCATTTGTCAATTTTGGCTTCTGTTGCCATTGCTTTTGGTATTTTAGTCATGAAGTCCTTGCCCATGCCTATGTCCTGAATGGAACTGCCTAGGTTTTCTTCTAGGGTTTTTATGGTTTTAGGTCTAACATTTAAGTCTTTAATCCATCTTGAATTAATTTTTGTATAAGGTGTAAGGAAGGGATCCAGTTTCAGCTTTCTACATATGGCTAGCCAGTTTTCCCAGCACCATTCATTAAATAGGGAATCTTTTCCCCATTTCTTGTTTTTGTCAGGTTTGTCACAGATGAGATGGTTGTAGATGTGTGGTATTATTTCTGAGGGCTCTATTCTGTTCCATTGGTCTTTATCTCTGTTTTGGTACCAGTACCATGCTGTGTTGGTTACTGTGGGCTTGTAGTATAGTTTGAGGTCAGGTAGCATGATGCCTCCAGCTTTGTTCTTTTGGCTTAGGATTGTCTTGGAATTGCGGGCTCTTTTTTGGTTCCATATGAACTTTAAAGTAGTTTTTTCCAATTCTGTGAAGAAAGTCATTGGTAGCTTGATGGGGATGGCATTGAATCTATAAATTACCTTGGGCAGTATGGCCACCTTCACAATATTGATTCTTCCTATCCATGAGCATGGAATGTTCTTCCATTTGTTTGTGTCCTCTTTTATTCCATTGAGCAGTGGTTTGTAGTTCTCCTTGAAGAGGTCCTTCACATCCCTTGTAAGTTGGATTCCTAGGTATTTTATTCCTTTGAAGCAATTGTGAATGGGAGTTCACTCATGATTTGGCTCTCTGTCTGTTATTGGTGTTTAGGAATGCTTGTGATTTTTGCACATTGATTTTGTATCCTGAGACTTTGCTGAAGTTGCTTATCAGCTTAAGGAGATTTTGGGCGGAGATGATGGGGTTTCCTGAATATACAATCCTGTCATCTGCAAACAGGGACAATTCGACTTCCTCTTTTCCTAATTGAATGTCCTTTATTTCTTTCTCCCTCCTGATTGCCCTGGCCAGAACTTCCAACACTATGTTGAATAGGAGTGGTGAGAGAGGGCACCTCTGTCTTGTGCCAGTTTTCAAAGGGAATGCTTCCAGTTTTTGCCCATTCAGTATGATATTGGCTGTGGGCTTGTCATAAATAGGTATATCATTTTGAGATATGTCCCATCAATACCTAGTTTATTGAGAGTTTTTAGCATGAAGGGCTGTTGAATTTTGTTGAAGGCCTTTTCTGCATCTATTGAAATAATCATGTGGTTTTTGTCTTTGGTTCTGTTTATATGATGCATTACTTTTATCGATTTGTGTATGTTGAACCAGCTTTGCATCCCAGGGATGAAGCCCACTTGATCGTGGTGGATAAGCTTTTTGATGTGCTGCTGGATTCAGTTTGCCAGTATTTTATTGAGGATTTTTGCATCGATGTTCATCAGAGACACTGGTCTAAAATTCTCTTTTTTTGTTATGACTCTGCCAGGCTTTGGTCTCAGGATGATGCTGGCCTCATAAAATGAGTTAGGGAGGATTCCCTCTTTTTCTATTGATTGGAATAATTTCAGAAGGAATGGTACCAGCTCCTCTTTGTTCCTCTGTTAGAATTCGGCTGTGAATCCGTCTGGTCCTGGACTTTTTTTGGTTGGTAGGCTATTAATTATTGCCTCAATTTCAGGGCCTATTATTGTTCTATTCAGGGATTCAACTTCTTCCTGGTTTAGTGTTGGGAGGGTGTATGTGTCCAGGAATTTATCCATTTCTTCTAGATTTTCTAGTTTATTTGCATAGAGGTGTTTATAGTATTCTCTGATGGTAGTTTGTATCTCTATGGGATCGGTGGTGATATCCCCTTTATCATTTTTTATTGCATCTATTTGTTTCTTCTCACTTTTCTTCTTTATTAGTCTTGCTAGCAGACTATCAAGTTTGTTGATCTTTTCAAAAAACCATCTTCTGGATTCATTGATTTTTTGAAGGGTTTTTTTGTGTCTCTATCTCCTTCAGTTCTGCTCTGATCTTAGTTATTTCTTGCCTTCTGCTAGCTTTTGAATGTGTGCTCTTGCTTCTCTAGTTCTTTTAATTGTGATGTTAAGGTGTCAATTTTAGATCTTTCCTGCTTTCTCTTGTGGGCATTTAGTGCTATAAATTTCCCTCTACACACTGCCTTAAATGTGTCCCAGAGATTCTGGTATGTTGTGTCTTTGTTCTCATTGGTTTCAAAGAACATCTTTATTTCTGCCTTCATTTTGTTATGTACCCAGTAGTCATTCAGGAGCAGGTTGTTCAGTTTCCATGTAGTTGAGTGGTTTTGAGTGAGTTTCTTAATCCTGAGTTCTGGTTTAATTGCACTGTTGTCTGAGAGACAGTTTGTTATAATTTCTGTTCTTTTACATTTGCTGAGGAGAGCTTTACTTCCAAGTATGTGGTCAATTTTGGAATAGGTGTGGTGTGGTGCTGAAAAGAATGTATATTCTGTTGATTTGTGGTGGAGAGTTCTGTAGATGTCTATTAGGTCCGCTTGGTGCAGAGCTGAGTTCAAGTCCTGGATATCCTTGTTAATCTTCTCTCTCGTGGATCTTTCTAATGTTGACAGTGGGGTGTTAAAGTCTCCCATTAATATTGTGTGGGAGTCTAAGTCTCTTTGTAGGTCTCTAAGGACTTGCTTTATGAATCTGGGTGCTCCTGTATTGGGTGCATATATATTTAGGATAGTTAGCTCTTCTTGCTGAAGTGATGCCTTTACCATTATATAATGGACTTCTTTGTCTATTTTGATCTTTGTTGGTTTAAAGTCTGTTTTATCAGAGACTAGGATTGCAACCCCTGCTTTTTTTTGTTTCCCATTTGCTTGGTAGATCTTCCTCCATCCCTTTATTTTGAGCCTATGTGTGTCTCTGCATGTGAGATGGGTCTCCTGAATATAGCCCACTGATGGGTCTTGACTCTTTATCCAATTTGTCAGTCTGTGTCTTTTAACTGGAGCATTTAGCCCATTTACATTTAAAGTTAATATTCTTATATGTGAATTTGATCCTGTCATTATGATGTTAACTGGTTATTTTGCTCGTTATTTGATGCAGTTTCTTCCTAGCATCAATGGTTTTTTACAATTTGGCATGTTTTTGCAGTGGCTGGTACTGGTTGTTCCTTTCCATGTTTAGTGCTTCCTTCAGGAGCTCTTGTAAGGCAGGCCTGGTGGTGACAAAATCTCTCAGCATTTGCTTGTCTGTAAAGGATTTTATTTCTCCTTCACTTGTGAAGCTTAGTTTGGCTGGATATGAAATTCTGGGTTGAAAATTCTTTTCTTTAAGAATGTTGAATATTGGCCCCTATCTCTTCTGGCTTTTAGAGTTTCTGCTGAGAGATCTGCTGTTAGTCTGATGGGATTCCCTTTGTGGCTAACCCGACCTTTCTCTCTGGCTGCCCTTAACATTTTTCCTTTGTTTCAACTTTGGTGAATCTAACAATTATGTGTCTTGGTGTTACTCTTCTCGCGGAGTATCTTTGTGGAGTTTTCTGTATTTCCTCAATGTGAATGTTGGCCTGCCTTGCTAGATTGGGGAAGTTCTCCTCTATAATATCCTGAAGAGTGTTTTCCAACTTGGTTCCATTCTCCCTGTCACTTTCAGGTACACCAATCAGACGTAGATTTGGTATTTTTACATAGTCCCATATTTCTTGGAGGCTTTGTTCATTTCTTTTTACTCTTTTTTCTCTAAACTTCTCTTCTCACTTCATTTCATTCATTTGATCTTCAATCACTGATATCCTTTCTTCCACTTGATCGAATCAGCTAATGAAGCTTGTGCATGTGTCATGTAGTTCTCGTGCCATGGTTTTCAGCTCCTTGAGGTCATTTAAGGTCTTCTCTATGCTGTTTATTCTAGTTAGCCATTCGTCTAATCTTTTTTCGAGGTTTTTAGCTTCTTTGTGATGGGTTCGAACATCCTCCTTTAGCTCGGAGAAGTTTGTTATTACCGATCGTCTGAAGCCTTCTTCTCTCAACTCGTCAAAGTCATTCTCCATCAAGCTTGTTCCATTGCTGGCAAGGAGCTGCGTTCCTGTGGAGGAGAAGAGGTGCACTGATTTTTAGAATTTTCAGCTTTTCTTCTCTGGTTTCTCCCCACCTTTGTGGTTTTATCTACCTTTGATCTTTGATGATGGTGACGTACAGATGGTGTTTTGGTGTGGGTGTCCTTTCTGTTTGTTAGTTTTCCTTTTAACAGTCAGGTCCCTCAGCTGCAGATCTGTTGGAGTTTGCTGGAGGTCCACTCCAGACCCTGTTTGCCTGGGTATCACCAGCGGAGGCTGCAGAATAGCAAATATTGTAGAACGGCAAATGTTGCTGCCTGATCCTTCCTCTGGAAGCTTCGTCTCAGAGGGGCACCCAGCTTTATGAAGTGTCAATGTGCCCCTACTGGGAGGTGTCTCCCAGTTAGGCTACCTGGGGGTCAGAGACCCACTTGAGGAGGCAGTCTGTCCATTCTCAGATCTCAAACTCCATGCTGGGAGAACCACTACTCTCTTCAAAGCTGTCAGACAAGGACGTTTAAGTCTGCAGAAGTTAGTTTCTGCTGCCTTTATTCAGCTATGCCCTGCCCCCAGAGGTGGAGTCTGCAGAGGCAGGCAGGCCTCCTTGAGCTGCGGTGGGCTCCACCCAGTTCGAACTTTCAGGCTGCTTTGTTTACCTTCTCAAGCCTCAGCAATTGCGGGTGCCCCTCCCCCAACCTCACTGCTGCCTTGCAGTTCGATCTCAGACTGCTGTGCTAGCAGTGAGCCAGGCTCTGTGGGCGTGGGACCCTCTGAGCCAAATGCGGGATATAATCTCCTGGTGTGCCATTTGCTAAGACCATTGGAAAAGCGCAGTATTAGGGTGGGAGTTTCCCGATTTCCCAGGTACCGTCTGTCACGGTTTCCCATGGCTAGAAAAGGGAATTCCCTGACCCCTTGCACTTCCCCGGTGAGACAACGCCCCGCCCTGCTTCAGCTCACACTCCGTGGACTGCACCCACTGTCCAACAAGCCCCAGTGAGATGAACCCAGTACCTCAATTGGAAATGCAGAAATCACCTGTCTTATGCATCACTCACGCTGGGAGCTGTTGACTGTAGCTGTTCCTATTTGGCCATCTTGGAACCGGACCTAGACAGCAACTTTTATTGAAGCGACAGTGTATAGCAGCAGCAGAGGTACTGTTCTTTATGGAGCAGGGCTAGCCTATAGGCAGTGTGCCTGGAGCAACAGCTCAGGAACAGTTCTGCAGTCATATTTATACCCACTTTTAATTTCACCTTCATTCTTAATCTCATGGTAGGTAAGTAATCAAAGATAACTCCAGCTGGAAAATGAATGATTACCCTTTTGATATAAACTTTAATATAAAAATGCTCAAACATGCAGATGAAACCCAATATATCCATCAACCAATTTTGATAATTATCAACATTTTGCATTCTTGTTTCATCTTTCACTGTAGCTTGCCTCATTTCACCCGACTGCTATAGTATTTTTTTTTTCTTGAGATGGAATCTCACTCTGTCACCAGGCTGGAGTGCAGTGGCACGATCTTGGCTCACTGCAACCTGACTCCCTGGTTCAAGCAATTCTCCTGCCTCAGCCTTCCAAGTAGGTGGGATTACAGGCACGCACCACCACGCCCAGGTAATTTTTGTATTTTTAGTAGAGATGGGGTTTCACCACATTGGCCAGGATGGTCTTGATCTCCTGACCTTGTGATCCACCCATCTTGGCCTACCTTACTATAGCCTTTTTAAGGGTACCCACCTATCTATTATTTTTCTCATAAATACCTAAATGTATATTTCTAACAAAAACAAATTTAAAAAATAAACACAGTGCCAAGATTGCAAGGTCAGAATTGCTACTTGTCTCAAAAGTGTATTTTTACTTTTTCATCTTGATTCAATAAATGTTAATTCACTTGAATCAATATCTCTGAATATTCTTACATTGTTTTTTGTTGACTCACCTCTTAAGTATGTTTTAATATGTAGCAGTTATTCCTCCCCTGCTATGTTTCAAAGCATTCATTTCTTTGAAAACTGGATTATTTTATTTTTTATAACATTCTCCATATTCTGGACATGCTTATGGCATCTTTATGATGACATTTAACATGCTGTACTATCCCTCATGTTTCCTATAAAATGGTAGTCGATGTAGAGACTGGATTCAATATGGTAAATTGTTTATTGACCACAGTAGCTCATGGATAATGCTCTGTGATTCCTTGCATCAGATCACAAGGCATGGAGTTTCTTACCATCCCAGTTCGGTCATGTTACTATTAATCAGTGAGTTCAGATGTTGTCAGCCTCATCCAACCATTAACTTATCACATAATGAGTTTAACAGCCATTGATGATTGCAACTTGGATACATCATTTGAATAGAGGTTTCAAAATGGTGATTTTTTTCTAATTCTTCCATTTATTCGACATTTATCAGGTATAATTCTTTTATAGAGACAAATTTTCTGTAATCAAATATTCCAGGCTAGAAAGGCAAGATAGATAGATAGATAGATAGATAGATAGATAGATAGATAGATAGATAAAATTGTTTCATTTATTTAATACTTTTTCATAATAATTATTGTTACCCTAGTAATTTCCAAAAATGACCACAAAGATGCAATTAGCAAAATTGAGTCTTTTGGAAAATCTATAGAATAAAATTATCCAGTTTCTTCAAGTAATAAATTGAGAGCAGTAAAAAAGAAGGTAGAGAAGAAGAGAGAACCTATGGATTAAAAGTAGGTCAGTCTTACTTTATCCTTATTTTTAAACACTTAGTATGATATTTGAAAATCAATTTAATTTGTGTCCTTATCAGATATTTTATAATATTCATGAATTGTTATTAATTTTAAGGTGATAACATTGTGGTTCTTTTTCACAGATATATACTGAGATATTTATAGATGGAATTATAGGGTGTCTGGGATTTTCTTTAAAACAACATGAAAGAAGATAGAGATAAACAAGATTGCCATTAGTTGATAATTGATGAAACTGGTGATACATATGTGTGAATCCATTATGCTTTTCTGTCTTTTTTGTGTATGTATGAAATTTGTCATAGTGATGATTTTGAAAGACTATCGGGAACAGGAAAATTAAAGTAGCAGTCAAATTAAAGTTATAAGATACATTTTTCTTTTCATTTGAGATCCTTAAACATTTGCATATATTACTCTGATATTTAGAAATAGCTTTTGTCATATGCTCGACTTTATATCTATTTAGTTGTTTCCTGCTTTAACCATTTAGCAACAACAGGATAACAACTGTTTTTTGGTTTTTATGTTTACAGCAACTAACACAATTTATGGTACATAGAGGCTTCTCACCAAATGTTTGTTTAATAAATGGCTGACATTTCAATACTATTCTCATAGGTAATCAGAAAATTTCCAATAGGGAATTTGCCCTTTGAAAGACCACAAGATCAAAACCCTAAAGGCTTTAACCCAACGGGGTTAAAGCAAGTCAGGCAATATCAAAAATTCTAAATTCTAAATTTACTTGAAATTTCTGGAGCTATTGTAACTGTCTCATATCCTAACATATGAAGACATGACAGATTTATATGTTTTAACTATTATCTTTTTCCTTGGAAATTGTTCATTAGGAATTTTTCCATTTATAAATTGTGATGGAACATGAGTATATATTACTGCTAAGAAATCACCGGATTCTTGCAATAATCAGAAGTTGAGAATGAGGACTGATTATTAGTTTCCCTAATGCTCAGCTTATTTCATATTTGTTCTCTCTGCAAAGCAACTCTCAGGGCAGATTGGAACTCTAATTAGGGGTCTAGCTTCCCTTTGATGTTGACGGCAACTCTTATTAGTATTAATGTATATGGAAGAGAGAATAGATCTTTAAATAATTTAAAAACAGCTTTGTGTATTATGAATACAGACAAATAAAAGATTTAATGATGTGACTTTTACATATTTATACTATGTGCACATAAACACACACTCCATGTATTGTATATAACTATGTCTTGGGGACTAAATGAAGCTCATAAAATCTTGCCATTAATTATGTTGACAGAGAGAATATCCTTTTGTGTTTATTCATTCATTCCTAGAAATGGCTGCAGCTTCTTTTAACAATGATCTGCCTAATTTTCAAGTCTCATTCTGTTATAAGAACCCTAACTTAGATTTCCATAAGTTGAAGAACACATATTTTGCAGCCATGCAAATTGAAAGAGAGGTAGCTTCAGCTTATGTCTTTATATGTCAGGTGTATGAGAGTAGACATTTCTTAGTAAAAATGTTTTACAATAGTTGACATTTTATCTTTGTGAGTGGTTGTGTTTCTTTCATAAATATTGTGAGCTACAGCTGTAATCCTTCTTTGGGCAGAAGTGACCTACAGTGTGATTGTACTGTATTGTATTTGTAAGTCGTAAGTGGTGCTTGACATGGCAGTAAGAATAGCTTGTCTGTGACTTCCACAGGGAGAGGCACTGGGGTTTTGTTGGTCAGAAGGTGTATTTTTCAGTTATTATGGCACAGCTTCTGTATTTCAATGGTCCAGTTACATTTAACACTCTGATCTTTATGTATGGCTTGCTTAACACCTAAATTATATCTTAAATAAACTTTCAAAAGCAAAAAGGATAAAAATAATGCTAAGTAAGTGTTCATTCAGGAATCAAAGAAACAAATGTAAGAACAAAATTCTTCTGGGGTTTATTCTATTTGTTTAGTTTTAAGGCGAGAGCATTTCAAACTTTCTATATGCATAAATAATTTTTCTCTTTAGAAAATTCTGCCCCTGGAAAGCAACCCTGAAATAGTTTCAGTAAAGCCTCTTTTGAAGGACTCTCTGCACAGGTCAAGGAATAAACAATGCCAAGGGGCAAGGTCTTTGTTATGCGTGAAGCCGCTGGCCATTTCAGAGCAGCTCTGGGTGTCAGGGAACCCAGTTGATGACAGATGGTGTGACTGTCCTTGCGAATTTTTCACCTTAAAATGACAGCCTATGTGGAAATACCCTGTAATCACTGGGGAAAGATACTCTAAAAGCCCCTTGATAATTACATAAAGGAAAACGGTTTTTATTTCAGGTATACTTCTGGGCTCTTTTGATATTTAGGAAAACTTAGATGCTTGTAGTAAGAAAGGGGAAAGAAGAAAAATGTCTCAGTTCAAAGGGTAGTGTTCCCCTACACACAAAGCAATAAATGGCACCCACACACACACAAGGATAATCGATATACTTTTGGTTTCTGCCTTTTAAGTGCATATATTGTTTGGTTTCCTGCAAATACCAGCAGAAATGGCCAAAGAGATTTCCCAGGTATGTGCCAGGCCAAATGCATAATATAAAATTAAGCAATAAATTGAATTGAGCAGCTTGCTTCAAAAATTGTCAATGTATGAGTAAAAGATTAAAAAATATACATTTCCCCTTTATTCATTTGTTCTCACTGAATCCACAAAAGAACACAAAGATGAGAGAAAATTCTATAACTTTGGCAACAATTTTGTATTTTCCTCTGTATATTTTTAATTTTTAATTATGTCTGTTTGTTTAAAATCTTGCAAAAATTCTGAGTGACAGTGAGGGGTTTCTAGCTTATATACTCTATAGATTTCCAGTGGCAGTCAGTATTAGAAAATTAAGACATATTGAAAATGCTTGGTTAATTCTGAATGCAAACATTGTTTTAGGCTGATTTTAATGAGAAAATCATAGCTGTCATTTCTTCTTCAAATTCAGCTTCATGTACTATAATTTGCTCATATAGTGCACTGTGGCCTCAAAGTATATGTCAAGGAGTAGAATGAATTCACAACAAAAGAATCAATAGTTCATTATTTTTTGATTCAATTATTTGTATGTCCCTTTAGTAACTTAATTAAAATTAGAGGATTGAAAAATTTAAAAAAAATTGGGATTAATCCAGTAAATTGTTAAAATTTGTTCCTAAATGGGATTTTGCTTTAAGCTTTGTGTAGGAAGAATATTATTTTTTTCTTTATAAAATATGAGACAGTAGCAGTTACTAAGAGAGGTGTATTGGTGATGGGGATGAGTGGCTTCCTCCCTTATTCCAGGTTGGCCAATTTTATAAATTATGCTCTGCCTTTGTTCATTAGTTACTTTCATCATAAATCCCTGTAATAACTAAAGTCTCCTGTGGTTCACTATTATAATTACATTTTTTGAGATATGGATGGAGTTCAGTTGTAATTTGCAGGTTACCGTGATTTTTAGGGAATGTACAAATGGTTGGATCAATAAACTAAATTTGGAGGATTTGCCTTTTATATTGACAATTATATTACAAAAATGTAAGGAAGAGCAAGAAAGAAAGGAATGAAAGAAGGAAGAAGGGAGGGAGAGGGGAAGAGTTAAGAGTGAAGGAAAGGAAGAAAAATAAGAGGCTTCCTTACAGATATGGCCAATTGTACTTCAGTATATTAACATTCTAAATTAGCTGTTCTATCATATGATTTTTTAAGTGTGTGTGGCCACTTGTAATATTGTTTAACACAAAACAAAATAGTATACTATTCCATAACTGCTCTCATAAAGTCCAAACATTATTTTCAGAAATGGTTACCTCACCTTTTTATTCCTATGTGCAGAACTGTGCTAAGGTGACAAAAAAGCACTGGGAACTCAAATCTCTGCTACAGTGAACCTTTTCTGTCTGTAGCTCATTACTTATTTCATTTGCAATGGTCTTGTTTTCATTCCTATCACTCTTCAGCCTTCTATATCTGTAATGTAGTGCATTGTTGCATATGTTACTAATCAGGTTCAACATGTTAAAAAGCTGTTCTGAAAGTTGTTTAGATTTAAGTGTGCTATTTAGGTGAATATACACAGGTTTCTTGTACACAGTGCTTCTCAGAACCTTTAATATGTGGAAGTAAATTGTAGTATCAAAACTGGAGCTATAGTGTGAAGAATTTTTCAAACGTTAACTGACCATTGAGCTTTTCTCCCCCATTCTGGAAACAGCTTACAGCACTCCTGGTTGAGAGGATACTGTAGAGGGGAAATCAGACATGTGTCAGAGTGTGCTGAAGTCACACAACTGAGTTTAGTGGAGAAAGGGACCTAGAAGATGGTGGAGACAAGCTTCATCTCAGGCCAGGTCTAAAAACGTAGTATGATTGCACTGTCTAAAAGAACATTTTGCGCACAAAAGGGACACGTTTGTTAGGTATGACAAAGCTCCAAAATAGTCATGCAGGTGGTTAATCTCTTTGGGCCTAAATATTCTCAGGTATATAAGTAGCTAAAGCTGTCAGGCTTACTTTATAAGGTTATAATGATCAAATTATGTTTGTAAAAGCACCTTGAAAATGGCAAAGCGTAGTTCTCATATAAGAGATTATTATTGCTTGAGGTAGTCATATAGTGAACAAAGCACAGCATCTAACTCCACAGGCTTATGACTCACTTGCAATTATCAAGATGTGTAAAGTTGGGTAAATTTTGTGACCTCCTTGAGCCTCAATTTCATCATCTATAGAATGGGGATAATAATGACTACTTCATAAGTTGTTGAGAAAACCAGATAGAATTACATGTTTTAATGCTCAAATTAAGCAGATATGATATGCAAAATTATCATATTAGGGTTTCTCTTGTACTGACAATTCCTGGGACACATTAAGAAGATGATAAGGGCCTTTCTCAGAAGGCTTCCAACTTTAGTCCTACTGCATTTGCCAAAGAAATCTCAAATAATAGTCCTGGGATGAGGAACTAAGATATTAGAATTAAAGAAATAAAGAAATACTATAACTGTTGGTCTTCAAAATAACCTTGACTCTATTAATCCACATTGGGAAATGCTCTAAAAATAGCCAAATACTCCTATCTGGAATGATTTTAGTCTTGTGCTATTGTTTGGAGAGAAACTGTATTTCATTTTTTAAAAGTTGCCTGCATTTCTTACATAACTTTTCCAAAAGACTAAAGAAGAAGAAATGTTATTCAAATTAATCACTTAGATGCCATAATGCAATATTATATATTTTATGCTTTTGTATTTAAGTTGATAGTATTTCTTTTCCATAAGCCTGTGGGAAAGAACAGAATGGCACCCTTCATTACAATATTTGTTGCAAATGGGGAGAAGCCTCTTTTACTGTACCAGATTCACATCTTCCTCTCCACTTCCATAGACAAGAACCTGGCCCCAAGCCACAGAAATTGCACAAAGGAGAGAGAATATTCGATTTGTTAAACATCCCATAGAAGTGCAGATTTTCAGTCGATTTTTCTCTAAGGCAGTGTTTTATATTTTAAGTTAAAAACATATACATCCACAAAATTTGATTAAACATTTTCCAGTACAACTAAAAAGGGACAACTCATCAGATTTTTCCACTTCAGGGCCCATTCCCTCTTCCCCTCTACCTAAAAGAGATCTTCCCCTGAGGCTTTCCCCTTCTCATTATTGAGTTCTGGCTTAAATGTCACTGCTTCAAAGGGGCTTTCTTTGGCCACTTTCCCTAATCAGCTCCCGCCTCCTGTCCTCCTTTGGGCTTTACTTACTGATTACATGTTCACTTGTTTGATTACATGTTTATTGTTGGTTTCCCCACTAAGACACCTTTCTGTTCCCATATGAAGCTTGGCAAGTGTTATAAAAATTGTCAAATAGGCCGGGTGCAGTGGCTCATGCCTGTAATCTCAGCACTTTGGGAGAGTGACGTGGGTGGATCACGAGTTCAGGAGTTCAAGACCACCCTGGCCAACATGGTGAAACCCCATCTCTACTAAAAAATACAAAAATTAGACAGGTGTGGTGGCGGGTGCCTGTAATCTCAGGTACTCAGGAGGCTGAGGCAGAGAATTGCTTGAACCCGGGAGGCAGAGGTTGCAGTGAGCCGAGATTGTGCCACTGCACTCCAGCCTGGGCGACAGAACAAGACTCTATCTCAAAAAAAAAAAAAAGAAAAAAATAATCAAATAAACATACGCACAAATTTGGATGAATAAACATTTTTGTTTTATAATGTGATTATTAATAAATAACTATTGAATATGTAGTGTGTATCAGACACTGTTTTGAGCCTTTGTATGTAATATTTATTTAAGCCTAACAATGACACTATGAAGTAGATACCACTGTTATCCCCATCTAAAGCTTAAAAAACAACAACAAAAAAAGAACAGAGGGATGGAGATGTTAAGTTTGCCTTGGTAGTTAGTAGTTGAGCTAGGATTTCTATAAGGAGGGTTGGCTCCAAAGCCCAAGATTTTTACCATTATGGTCTACATTCCTTCTGTTATGGCATTTTGGATTACATATTATTTTAACATATGAAGAATACATTCCATTTCAATGTTTCCCATCTACTGTAAATCTTGGGATAAAATAGTAGGCTGCCAACCTCTGTTAAAATAGTTTAATAGTGTTTTTCAACTTTTGAGGAGTTCTGTTTTCATTAGTCACTTTAATTTAGTAATAGAAATATCTTCGTTGTCATCCTCCATATTTCATCATTTTTATCTATCACGTCATTTGTGAACATCCTTTCTTATTTAATTTAACATTTTTGAATGTTTGTGGGCATTTGTTAAGAGTCCATCCAAAAGGCTAACTGAATTGCCCATGTGGAACGTGATGATTTAGAATTTATGGACTCCTGCTACAGAGAATGCTTTGGGCGGAGTAGATGCAAGTCAAGGCTTTTAGACATATGATAAAGGATTCAGTGTGTGTTGTCAATTAATACTTAAAAAATGCCTGGAGCCAATGTTGTAAGAGCTAAGTTCCCTGTGTTGAAAACTAAAGCTTTCTCTAAGAATATGTTTTCCCAGAGCCCAGACTTGAATGGCCTGGCATTTTAGCCAGAACTTGCATACCCACATCTCATCACTCAGCCATCTGCTTGCTATCACTAGAAATAATCTTGTCTAAATGACTTCACACAAAAAACTAAAGAGCACTACTTGAAGAAATTTGTTCCTGTCACTCAGGGATCTATTTCCTAATAAGCGACAAGGCTTCATCTAATAAACTTAACCTATAGCTATATTAGTGGTTCAATTAAATTGAACTTTGTGAAAAAATATTCCTTTTATAAGAGCTTTATTATTTATAATGCCTGTTCCAAAATAGCAACTTTAATTATATAAATCTTAGACATGAAAACACTCCAGATGTGGGAGACAGGTAGGAATTTTAATGCTACTCATATCACTTATTTTAAAGTTACTTAGGAATAAAAATGATAATAAAAATGGATTTGTATTTGTGATTTGAAAAAACACTTCTAAATACATTTTCTTGTTTAATCTTTATAAAAATACTATTGAGTAAAGATTTTCTTTATTCCCAACTTACAATTGAAAAATCTGAATCTCCTAGTAGTTAAAAACTACACAAGTTTATACAGTTGTACACTTATACAACTGGTAAGTGATCAAGTTGGGAATTGAACCTAGAGATCCATGCTAACACAGGATTAAGTTTCCCCCTGCCTTAGCTATCTATCATAGGGCTTAGTGCTGGTCTCGAAAAAGATCACTGGCAACAAAAGGAGTTAAATTCTAGATGTTCTAATGCTCAAGTCTATGAATTGGTCATATAGATTCTGGGGTTAGACATGGTGCCGTTGAAATCTATTTTCACTTTATTCTACTTTGTTCATTTAAAGACAGGCTATCCAACAGCTGCATTCAATAAGAATAAAAAATTCTAGAAGGTCGAAATCATTGAGTAATGATTTTCCAACTCAATAGCAGTGTTTTCTTGGACAGGTTACTTTACTGAGTCTCAGTTTCCTTATCTATAAAACTGAGATAATAATAACTCCCACATGGGCTTTGCTGAAGACTGAACATAAAAAGGCATAGGACTGCATTAGCAGAGATAAATTGCTCTACACATAAATGAGTTTGCTCTCCGTATATTTTCATCCTCTACTTTTCAGCCAGTCCTCCTTATGATGTCATGGGAATTTGCCCAGTCTCTAGGGTAGAAACAGCCCAAGCCTGGTTACAATCCTATTTTTATAAAATATCACTACATGTTATAGAATATTAAATTGTATATAAAATCTCACTAAATTTTATAGAACAATAGGATAATAGGCAAGATTCAGTTAAGTCAGATATTTTAAAATATAAAGAACTCCATGCTGTATGTAAGTCCTGAGTTGCAGTTGATCATTTATGTAAAACTGGAGTGCTAAGGAAGGCCCCAAAAAGGTGAGAATTTCCTGAGAATACAACCTCCAAGCTCTGTGCATGATAGGTAGCCATGAACTACTGGTAGACAGCACACATGGAAGGTTCAGCAAGAGCCAGGCATCAGTGGATAAAAATGAAGCCTTAAAGCCTCTTGCCTCTGGCTTAGAATCCTTAAAATAAGCCTTATACAAGACCATATATTGAAATTGTGGCTCCAAATTTAGCAGCTGAACCATTTTGTTGAATTCAGATATAAAGTTAGAATTGTAATTCATTAGACCTAAACTAGTGATAAAATTGTGTATAGCTAAATATATTTATATATTTGAATAGGTGTATATGCATTATGCATATGCATGTATGTATATATATGCATACACATATATATTTAGAAAAAGTATATTAAATATATATATTTTAAAAAATACTTGCCCAGGATCATAGTAGTTATGATCCTGGTTTATGACAGATGTGGGATCCTGTCTGTCTACTTCTAATGCTTGTTCTATGATATCTTAACTATATTTTGGAGGTTATAACTGTACATACACATAGAGAAATAATTACTCTGTTTTATAAGCATTTACTAGTTGCCTTGGACTATGCTGAACATCTCCTATGAGCCTTCTAATTAGTCTATAATGTAGGTGTTTTAGGTTCACTTTACCAAAGAAAAAGTGATTTCAAAGGCTTAGGTAATTTATTCAATATTATACAGTTAGTAAAATTACAGTCCCAAAGCCAAACTTTGATCTCTTTCACCCCAGGTCTTACCAGCATTTCTCTTTTCATTATTTCATTTTCACTACATCAATGCACCTAGTTTACCAAATATATAGTAAATCTGAGTTGAAAACATGCCTTTGTTTCATGAAGTCCCTTGCAACATTATGGAGGTTACATACTAATACTAATCACTCATGTTGTTTTCTTTCTAACCACATAAAAGTGTTTGATTAATGATATGGTAGGAAAATGACAGAAAAAAAAACAGGTCAACAGTTTCTATGTAAACTCTACTGTCTCTTCACTATATGCTACTTTATAGTAAATCAAATCCATTTTATATAATGAAGCTTGTCTTTATTATCCCATTATGGCTGTCTTAGAAAAGAAATAGTGTGTATGCTTCAGTTTTAGGACATTTGTAATTACAAAAAGATAGGCAGGAAAACCACGTACTTCTTGTATGCTTTAAAATCTTCTTCCTTGATTGTTCTGCACATTTTTTACTGTTTTATAAAGAAAGTATTAGAAGCTGTGTTTTTATTGCCTTGCTGCCTTTAATAGTACACACTGTGAAACTAAGCTGGAGACCTGATTGATGCCATTCCTACCTGTCTAGGAAGATAATGATCAAACATCCAGGGGGCTGTTCTCCAGGTGATATGTGCATGGAACTCCCATTAATGTTAATGGGAATCCTGCAGCTAAGCACAGTGACTGGAGACAAGAGGCTGAAGGTGTGGTAGGTCCATTAATACTTATTTTTTTCATAGCAGCTGGTTGAAATTTAAGTGATTGGCAGTCCTTTCGAAGCTAATAATCAGCCATATTTGAAAAGTGCTGCTTGTGCAAGATATGTAGATATATTGACAATAAACTCTTTGTGTAACATATATGTATGCTAAATTTTACTATACGAAAATATTTCTTATAAAATGTTCGCATTCTTGGAAGAATATTTCCATAATTAAGCTTCCAAAAGAGTTTGATTAGTAGTCTATAAAGAAATTTTTAAATTTATGGTTAATTGAAAACTATAGATATTAATTTAAGAACCAAAAAATGTAGTTAAAAAGGATGATGACACAAACTGACTTAAGTGCAGACAAGAGAAGACCAGCATACATACACAGAAAAGATGAAATTTTGTGCCTACACAAAGTGATATATTTAAATAGTACAGAGATAAGATGCATGTATGCAATCTATATACATGATTATAGAAATTAATCCATTAACAAAACACTGCATATAAATATATACTCCTTGATTTCTCCTGTAATATTTACTGAAGTGTGAACATTATTTTAGACACTTAGGATGTTGCATTGACAAACTTGAGCCTGGGCTTCATGAATGTTATAATCTAGGAGGGATTATAAAAGAGAAAAAAAAGCTTAGAAATAGTCTTATCCAACCCTGATTTTCTGTGAACAGAAACTCATACTCAAAGAGCTACATTAACTTGCCCATTGTAACAAAGCTGGCTGATGGCAGCAGAACCCAAATAGTGACCCACATGTTTAACAATGTATTATGTATATGTACCCTGCTCCTGTGAATTCTGCACTTAATACAGTGTTGGATTTACAGTAGACACCTACTGGTGAATGTAATTTAGACTGGGACAGACATGAATTTTTAAGAGTCATTGGGCAGACTGTGACAAGTAAAATAATTCCTCTCCCATGCCTCGCCCCTCCTTCCCCAGTGAAATATACATGTCCTAATCCCCAGAGACAGCAAATATGCTATTTTACATGGCAAAGAAACTTTGCAAATGTAATTAAGTTAAGTATTTTGAGATGAGAGATTATTCTGGATTATGAAGGTGGGTACAATGTAATGTCAGAGGTTCATACAGGAGGGACACAGGATGGACAAAGTGAGAGATGTTGTGATGACAGAAGCATAGGCCAAAGTGATTCTATTGCTGGAAGGAGGGCACAAGTCAAGGCATGCAGGTAGCACCTTTACAAGCTGAAAAAAGCAAGGAAATTAATTATTCTTTAGAGCCTTCAGAAGGAACACAGCCTTGCCAACACCTTGAGTTTAGCCTAGTAGGACCTATTTCAGACTCTGGTCTCCAGAACTGTAAAAAAGTAAATTTGTGGTAGTAGTTTGTGATAATTTGTTATAGCACAATAGAAAACTGTTACATATCAAAATTGAAAAAAATGTAGCATTATCATAAAGACAATTATAGGTCAGTAGAAGACTGTAGAGTCCAGAAAAACATGAAATATTGAACAGGCCATTGATTTTTGACAAAAGTTCAAGACTAATTCAATAAGGGAAAGGAGTTTTTCTAACAAATGTCACTTTAAAAACTGGAAGTCAGTATAAAAAAATAGACTTCAACCTCTATCTCACAACACATATAAAATTAAATTGAGATAAATTGTAGATCTAAATATAATACTTAGAACTACTCTTGAAAAAGCATAGGAGAATATCTTTGCAACCTTAGACTAGGCAAAGTTTTCACAGATAGGATACAAAAAGCGTTAATATAAAAATGATAAATTAGAATTAATTAAAATTTAAAATTGTCAGGAAAATGAATAGTAAGCAGAAAACCAGGAAAAACGTTCCATATACATGTTGTATCCAGAATATATAGAGAACTAAAACTTAATAATAGGGCCCGGCATGGTTGCTCATGCCTGTAATCCCAGCACTTTGAGAGGCAGAGGCAGGAGGATGGCTTGCACCCAGGAGTTCAAAACCAGCTTGGGCAACATGATGAAACCCCGTCTCTACGAAAATTACAAATATTAGCTGGAAGTGGTGATGTGTGTGTGTAGTCTCAGCTATCTGGGAGGCTGAGGTGGGAGGACCCTTTCAGGCCAGGAGGTCGAGGCTGCACTGAGCTGTAGTCATGCCACTGCATTCCAACCTGAGTGACAGAGTGAGGCCCTGTCTAAAAACAACAACAAAAACAAAAACCTAATAATAGAATGACAACAGAAGTTTCTAAATGGGCAAAAGATTGAGCAGACACAACAAAGGAAGATGTACTAATGACCAGTGAACACAGAAAAAAATTAAGAAGGTTTAGTCATCAGGGAAGTGTAAATTATAATAACAATGAGATATCCCTTGTAAACCCATTAGCATAAATAAATTAAAACCACTGACAACACCAAATGTTAGCAGGGATGTGAGGCAACTAGAACTTATACAGTGCTGACTGGAGCGTAAAATAGATCAACAAATTTGGAAAACAGTGTGAAAATAATTTCACTCTTAGGTATTACACAAAAGAAATAGTAACATATGTGCACAAAAATACTTAAACAGGAATATTCATAGTCGCTTTTTTCATAATAGCAAAAAACAATATGAAACAACCCAAATGTCCAGCAACAGATGAATGGATGAGCAAATTGTGTTATTTTCATCCAGTTAAATACTATTAGCAATTAAAGAAGAAACTATTGTTACGCAACAATATAGATGAATCTCAAAACCATTATATTCAAAGAGTAAAGACAGGTACGTATGGTATGATCCTATTTAAATAAAAGCCTATAAAAAGAAAAACTAGTCTATGGTGAACAATAATCAGAACAGTGGTTGCCTCTTTGTGATGGTAATTAATTGGAAGTAGCACAATGAAAATATTTTATATTTTGATAGAAGTTGTGGATTACTCAGGTGTATGCATCAAACTGTACCTATATGATTTGTGAATTATAGATGTGAATTATACTCAAATTAATATAAAATAGTTTAAAAATCACAAAAAAAGATTCTATTTAATCATTCTAACTGAAAGAGAAAGTATCAAAATTGTAACATTTGTCCTGGGTCTTGAGGAAAGAAGAATTTTCCAGGTGAGGAAATAATTAGAAAAAATTAAACAGCAGACTGTAATCCAAGAAGACAGTTGGTTGTCCTTTTCCCCTCCAAGGCCTTTTAGACATTCAATAAACATTGATTGTCTAAGTGTACTAAAGGGTATCCAAAAAATTACTATTTTCATTATATAAGTACAAATAAAATTTGAAAAATACAAAAATGTTTGAAGATAATAAAAAAGTCATCCATAGTTGAATGCCCTTTTCCTTGCATAAACTTTACTTTTACATAAATGCAATCACAGTATATACTCAGTTTATAAAGTTGTTTTTCTCAGCATAATATTGTAAACATTTAAAAAATTTTTACGTGCTTATGGTAAACATCATTTTAATGGTTGTATAATGTTCTATTTTTAATTCTAGTTTTTATATTGTATATTGACAATTTTTAATTATACATATTTATGGGATACAAAGTAATGTTATGATCCATGAATACAATGTGGAATAATTAAATCAACCTAGTGGAATAATCAAATCAAACTAGTTAACTTATTCTTCGCTTCAAATACTTAACTTTTTTTGTGAGAACAGTTGAACTTTACTCGCTAAGTGATTTTGAAATGTACAATACTCTATGCACCACACATTACAATAGATCTCAAAAACAAAAAATATTTCGCCCATCTAAGTGAGATTTTGCTCTATTGAATAAATCTTTCAAAGTGTATACTTTCTTTTAGATTTCTACATATTCATCACTTTTATGTCTTTCAGTTGGATTATTTCTTAGTAGTGATCCTCTTTCTTCCTGATAATTTCTTTTGCATTTAAGTCTATTTTGCTTGATATGTGTATGTGTATATCTTTGAGCTATTTTTTGGTGTGTAATTGCCACGGATATTGTTTTCATCTTTACTTCCAACTCTCTTATAACAAAATATTGTAGGTTCATCTCTTTGTAAATAACATAAAGGAGATGATATGAGTTGAATTGGAAAATATTCCTTTGTAATAATTTTATTATATAATGTTTGACAAATTTGAAAGAGTACATATGTGCATTTAAAAGTTTCTATAGATTTGTTTTACATATATATTTGTATGTATATCTTATTTTCCAAGCATAATAATAAAACAAATTATTTTTATGAACTCATGAACTCATCACCAACCTAAGAGTTTAAATATTACTGATTCCAAAAGTAAAAATAAAAAAGAGCAAGTGGAAAGTCTATAGCCATGGAGGGAATGAGAGAACAAATGTGTTAAGTATTGAAAGATGGCTTGACATTTAATTATGAAAGATATTGGTATAACGTTCAGAAATATGGTTCAGTCTCCCGGGAGGCAGAGCTTGCAGTGAGCATAGATGCGCCACTGGACTCCAGAGAGAGAGACTCCATCTCAAAGAAAAAAAAAAAAAAAAAGAAAAGAAATATGGTTCAATCTTAAAGGCATGAGGAGGAAGTATCCCAGGTTCCAAATAGAGTCAAACATGATGAGGTTAACATATTTGTAGTAATATTTTGATGATTGCATGAGATGGACTGGAGTAGAAAGAGAGTTGGCAAAATCATCAGTTAGAAAGCATATGTAATATTTGATGTGGGAGATGTTAAGTGGGTAGAAGTGTGAATGAAGACAAAAGAATTGTAATTGAGAAATATTTGAAGGCCAATTTATAGGCCTTGGTGACCACTTAAATTGGAGAGTGAAGGACATTTGCAAAACAGTTTTAAGAGAGATTGGCATCTAGTGAGTTGTCAAAACCCAAAGAATGGGAGAAATATCTCAAGGAAAGTAAAGAGACACAGTGCTAATAGCAGTTTTTATCAGGCCTACGTAGAAAGGAGAAAGAGAATGTTGAAATAGATTAGGATGAATCAATAGTTGTGTTTTTTAATAATTTATTTCATATGATGAAAATATTTAACTCATGAAACTGAAATATTACACTTTATTGTTGTAGGTAAACTGTTGTGTTTATGGAAACTTTGAACTTCAAAATACTTGAATTTAATTTAATCTACAGTAAAGATTGTTGATAGCCACAATCTGAGATTGATATGTATCAGATTGAACTTGAAAGTACTTTTAAGAAGCACCTGTGGGAATGCAAATTGATTTTATTATCAACCCAGTTTTATTTTCCTCAAAAGAAATCATGCAATATACTTCTTTCATGTTAGCCACTGAGCCTAGATTGGCACAAGAATTAGTAAACATAATGCAAGTTGATTTTATTATCAACCCAGTTTTATTTTCCTCAAAAGAGATCATGCAATATACTTCTTTCATGTTAGCCACTGAGCCTAGATTGGCACAAGAATTAGTAAACATAATATATACTCTTTCATTGATTGATTGATTTTTTATTTATACATAAGATATGTTTTACTATTTATACATAGTTTCAGGATACATGTGATCATTTAATACATTCACATAATTTTTAAAGATCGAATCAGCATACTTGGGATATCCAACACCTTAAATATTTGTCTTTTCTCTGTGATAGAAACATTCAAATTATCCTCTTCAGCTATTTTGAAATGCACAATACATTATTGTAAACTATAGTCACCTACTCATCTATCTAATTCTAGGTCTTATTTCTTCTATCAAACCTTATATCTGTACCCACTAATCAACTTCTCTTCATCCTTCCCACTTTCCTCTTCTTCCCTGCCTCTGATAGCCACCAATCTACTGTCTTTCTCTCTCTCTCATAAGATAAACTTTTTTGCTTCCACTATGAGTGAGAACATGTAATATTTATCTATCTGTGCTTGGCTTATTTTGCTTAACATAATGGCTTCAAGTTCCATCCAGATTGCCAGAAATGCCAAGATTTCATTCTTTTCTATGACAATAAGATTCTATTGTGTATAGAAACCATATTTTCTTTATCCATTCATCCATTGATGGGCAGTTAGGTTGATTCCATATTTTGGCTATTGTGAATAGTGCTGCAATAAGCATGGGAGTGAATATGTCTTTTCAATCTATTGAGTTCCTTTCTTTTGGAGACATACCCAGTTGTGTAATTGCTGAATCATATGGCATTTCTATTTTTAGCATTTTGAGGAACCTCCATACTGTTCTCTATAGTGGCTGTACTAATTTATATTCCCATGAACAGTGTACAAGTGTTCCCCTTTCTCCACATGCTCACCAGCTGTTGCTATTGTTTGTCTTTTTGTTAAAAGCCATTATAACTGGGGTGAGATGATATCTCATTGTGATTTTGATTTGCACATCTCTGATGATTAGTAATGTTGAACATTTATTCATATACCTGTTAGCCATTTCTATTTCTTCTTTTCAGAAATGTCTATTGAGATATTTTGCCCATTTTTAATTTGTATTATTTGGCTTTGCTGTTTTTGGTATTATTGGGTTGTCTGAGTTTCTTATATGTCTTGGTTACTAATCTCTTGTCAGATGGGTAGTTTGCAAATATTTTCTCCATTCTGTAGGTTGTATTTTCATTTTATTGATTATTTGCTTTGCTTTGTAGAAGCTTTTTAGTTTAATGTAAACACACTTGTCTATTTTTATTTTGGCTGCCTGTGTTATTGAAGTTTTATGCAGAAAGTATTTGCTCAGATCAATGTCCTGGAGTGTTTCCCCAATGTTCCCTTGTAGTGGTTTCAGAGTTTCAAGTATTACATTTTAAGTCTTTAATCCATTTTTATTTTATTTTTGTATATGGTGAGAGATAGGAGTCTAGTGTCATTCTGCATGTAGATATCCAGTTCCCTAGGACCATTTATTGAAGAAACTGTCTTTTCCCCCAATGTATATTCTTTGTCAAAGATTAAGTGGCTATAAATGTGTGGATTTATATCCAGGTTCTTTATTATGTTCCACTACTTTATGTATCCGTTTTTCTACCGGTACCATGTTGATTTGGTTATTGTAGCTTTGTAGTAAATTTTGAAGTCAGCTAGTGTAATGACTCCAGTTTTGTTCTTTTTGCTCAGGATTGCTTTAGCTATTTAAGGTCTTTTGTGGCTCCACATAAATGTTATTATTTTTTCTATTTTTGTGAAGAATTTATTCAGGATTGTGATAGAAATTGCACTGGATCTGTAAATTACTTTGGGTAGTATTGTCATTTTAACAATATTCTTCAAATTCATGAACGTGAAATATTTCCTCATTTTTTTGTTTCCTCTTCAATTTCTTTCCTCAGTGTCTTATAGTTTTCCTTGTATAGATCTTTCACTTCTTTGGTTAAATTGATTCCTTGGTATTTTCTACTTTTGTAGCTATTGTAAATGGGATTGCCTTTTTGATTTCTTGTTCAGATTGTTTGCTGTTGACCTATATAAATGTTACTTATTTTTAATGTTGATTTTGTATTCTGGAATTTTACTGAATTTGTTTATCTAACAGTTTTTTGGTGGAGTCTTTAGGTTTATTTATGTATAAGATCATATTATCTGTGAACAAGGCTAATTTGATTTCTTCTTTGATAATTTTGATTCCCTTTGTTTGTCTTGCCTAATTGCTCTGGACAAGACTTCCAGTACTATGTTGAATAAAAGTACTGAAAGTAGGCATTGTTGTCTTATTCACATCTTAGAGGAAAAGCTGTAAATTTTTCCCAGTTCAGTGTGATGTTAGCTGTGAGTTTGTCATAAATGGTCTCTTTTGAGATATACTCTTCCTATATATAGTTTGATGAGGGTTTTCTAATCACAAAGATATATTTAATTATATTGAATACCTTTTCTGTATCTATTGAGCTGATCATATGGTTTTTGTTCTTTGTTCCATTAATGTGATGTAGCACATTTACTGACATGCTTATGTTGAACCATCCTTGCATCCCTGGGATGAAGCCCACTTGATCATGGTGAATGTTCTTTTAAATGTGTTGTTGGATTTGGTTTGCTAGTATTTTGTTGAGGATTTTGGCATCCCTATTAATCGACGATATTGGCCTGTAGTTTACTTTTTTGTTGCTTCCTTGTCTGGTTTTGGTATCAGGGCAATGTTGACCTCAGGAATTGAGTTTGGAAATATTCTCTCCAACTTTTTTGAAGAGTTTGAGTAGAATTAGTACGTCTTTATAACTTTGGTAAAATTCATCAGTAAAGTCATTAGGTTCTAGGCTTTTCTTTGAGGGAGAATTTGTATTACAGCTTCAACCTTCTTACCTGTTATCGATTTATTGTGTTTTTCTATTTATTCATGGTTCAATCTTGGTTGATTATGTGTGTCCAGAAATTTGTCTATTTCTTCTATGTTTTCCAAATTATTGACATATAGTTTTTCATAATAGTCTTTAATGATTCTTTGCATGTCTGTTATCTCACCTGTTGTATCTCTTTTTTCATTTCTGATTTTTATTTGTTTGGGGCTCTCTCTTTTTTATCTTAGTCTAACTAAAGGCTAGTCGACTTTGTTTATCTTTTCAAAATCCAGCCTTTAGTTTCATTGATCTTCTGTATTGCTTTTATCTCAGTTTCATTTATTTTAGCTCTTGTATTTATTATTTCTTTCTTTCTATTAACTTTGGGTTTGGTTTGTTCTTGCTTTTCTAGTTCCTTTAGGTGCATCATTAGGTTGTTTATTTGAAGTCTTTCTACTTTGCTGATGTAGACATTTATTGCTATAAACTTCCTTCTTATTACTTCTTTTGCTGTATCCTATAAATTTTGATATGCTATATTTCCATTTCCATTTGTTTAAATAAATTTTCAAATTTTTCCTTAGTTTCTTCATTGGTCCTCTTATTTCTCAGGAGCATGTTATTTAATTTCTATGTGTTTGTGAAGTTTCTGAGGTTCATCTTGTCATTGATTTCTAGTTTTATTCCACTGTAGTCAGAAAAGACAGTTGATATGATTTTTACAATTATGAATCTGTTCAGACTTGTTTTGTGATATAAGATGGTCTATTCTGGAGAACATTTTATGTGTTGATAAAAAACTTGTGTATTCTGCAGCAGTTGGGTGAAATGTTCTGTAACTGTTAATTACGCCTATGAGGTCTAGTGTGTTGTTTAACACCAATGTTTCTTTGTTGATTTTCTGTCTAGATGATCTGTCCATTACTGAGAATGGAGTGATAAAGTCTGCTACTATTATTGAATTGCAGTCTATTTCTTTCTTTATATCTATTTATGTTTGCCACATATACTTTGGATCTCCTATGTTGGGTGCATAGATATTATATTCTCTTGCTGAATTAACCACTGTATCATTATATGGTAACTTTCTTTGTCTCTTTTTATAGTTTTTTATTTGTAGTCTTTTGTCTAAGTATAGCTTCTCTTGTTCATTTTCTTTTTGTTTCCAGTTGCATGAAATATCTTTCTCTATTTCTTCACATTCAGTCCGTGTATGTCTTTATAGGTGAAGTGGGTTTCTTGTATGTACCGTACAGTTGGGTCTTGTTCCTTTTTCCATTCAGTCACTCTATGCTTTTTATTTGGATAATTGAGTTTATATTTGGTGTTTTTATTGATAAGTAAGGACTTACGACTGCCATTTTGTTCTTTGTTTTCTGATTGTTTTGGAACTCCTGTCTTCCTTTTTTACCGTCTTCCTTTGTGGTTAGGTGAGTTTCTCTGGTAGTATGTTTTAAGTCATTGCTTTTTTTGTGTGAGTCTATTATAGATTTTTGCATTGTGGTTACCATGAGGCTTACAAAAACACTTTATAGATATAGCAAGTTATTTTAAAGAGATGACAACTCATCTTAGATCACAAAGCAAAGAGTAGGAACAAAGAAAAAAATTAAAAAAATCCATACTTTACCTCTATCTCTCCTACATTTTGACTTTTAGTTATTTCAGTTTACTTAATTTTATTTTACCTATCTATTTACAGGTTGCTGTATCTATTATTGTTTTTGACAGATTTGTCTTTGGGCCGTCTATGCAAAAAATTAATTGATAGCACCCCACAATTACAGTATTACAGTATTCTGGATTTTCCCATGTCTTTAATTTTGTCAGTGGGTTTTATACCATTTTTTGTACTTCATTTTTTTTTTTCAGGTTAAATAACTCCCTTTAGCATTTCTTGTAAGACAGATCTAGTGGTGATGAATTCTTTCAGCTTTTGTTTGTCTGGGAAAGACTATCTCTCCTTTATATTTGGAAGGATAACTTTATTGAATACAGTATTCTTGAATGGCAGCTGTTTTTTTCTTTTGGCAATTTGAACATATTATTTTACTCCTTGCTGGCCTGTACAGTTTCTGTTGAGAAGACAAATTGGAGCTCTTATATGTCATATGCTTCTTTTCTTTTGCTGCTTTTAGGATCGTTTCCTGTCCTTCACCTTTGAGATTTTGATTATTATATGCCTTGGAGTAGCTTTATTTGAGTCAAATCTGTTTGGTGTTCTCTGATCATCCTGTACCTAGATATTTATATGATTCTCAAGCTTTGGAAAAAATTTGTTTTTGTTATTATTTCTTTGAATAAGCTTTCTAATTCTTGCTCTTGCTCAACTCTCTTTTGAACACCAATAACTCTTAGATTTGGTCTCTTGAGGTCATTTCTATATCTCATAGGCAATCTTTGTTTCTTTTTATTCTTTTTACTTTTTTCTCTTATGACTACATATTTTCAAATAGCTTGTCTTTGAGATCACTGATTTTTCCCTCTGTTTGATCCATTCTGCTGTTGAGAGCTTCTAATAATTTTTTAGTTCACGAAATATATTTCTCAATTCCAAGGTTTCTGTTTGATTTTTAAAATTATTATCTTAATCTCTTTGTTAACTTTCTTTGATTAATTTCTGAATTGCTTTCTCTGTTATCTTGAAGATCTCTGAGTTTTCTTAAAACTGTAGTTTTGAATTTTTGACCAGAATAGCTCACATATCACCATCTCATTAGGGTCAGGCACTGGTTCTTTGCTGTTTGTGGAGATCATGGTTTTCTGCTTGCTCTTGTTTCTTTTTTGCTTTTTTTTTTTTTTTTTTTTTGAGATGGAGTCTCACTCTGTCGCCCAGGCTGGCATGCAGTGGCGCGATCTCGGCTCACTGCAAGCTCCGTATCTAGGGTTCACGCCATTCTCCTGCCTCAGCCTCCCGAGTAGCTGGGACTACAGGCGCCCGCCACCGCGCCCGGCTAATTTTTTGTATTTTTAGTAGAGACAGGGTGTCACCATTGTCTTGATCTCCTGACCTCGTGATCCACCCGCCTCGGCCTCCCAAAGTGCTGAGATTACAGGCGTGAGCCACTGCGCCCGGCCTCTGCTTGCTCTTGCTTCTTGTGGATGCATGTCTATGTCTTTGCACTGAAAGATTATTTATTCCAGTCTTCTTTGTCAGTTTTTTTTTAATTTAATTTTTACTGAATATATTTGCTTAGAGGTTCTTTATCGCTAGGTCAGTGCCTTTTTTTTCATGCTAGGTGGTGTCTTAAGCTCAGGTTTGCCATGGATGTAGTGAACAATCACTGTGCCATCCTTTCCTAATGGAGGAGGTCCTAAACGGTGTTTTCTGGCAGTGTGGAAAGCCTGGCTGGGATTTTGTCCCCAGGCAACCGGTACAACATACCTCCTACAGAACGGTGCTCCTGAACAGCCACTCTGATTCGACATCTCTTTTGACCAACTTATAAAGCAGTGTTTCCAGAGCTTGGGATGGGTATCCTGACTCCTCCCTTTGTCTCTGCCTGTCCTTTAAGATATTTTTACCTTGAGGAACTTGTGTTGCTTCCTCTGGGTTAAGGCAGGAACAGGTCTCCTGCTAGGGAACCCAAGATGGTGGGGAAGCTGGTTGTTCACTTCCGTTTCACTTTTTCCAGACTAGGAACTCTAAATTGTGGGAAAATTTTCTATGCACTTGGGGTTGGGCAGAATGGGCTCAGGGGAAGTTGTGGATGTCGAGGTTTGATTTTCTTACCAGCTGCTAAGAGAATTTTTAATTTCTCTGTGGTGCTGGGAACTATTTCATCTAAATATTTAAAATTTGGAATATTGCTGCTGACAATCTCAGTGTTGTGTGTTTGTTTCTTTTTTGTTTGTTTCTGTTAGGGGGAGTGAAGTCTGCTTGCTTCTATGCCTCCATTTTGAAATCAGAACCTATATTCTAAATCAAATTAGATATTTGGGGTACATCAGGCTAATATATAAGCTACATATTAACCCAATGGTATGAAAACTTCAATTCAATTTTACTTATTTTTATTCAGACATCATGCTATGGAATAATTTTTTAATTGGCTTACTCATTTTAAAATACATCAGTCAGAAAGTCTTGCCTCATCACAAGCTATGGAGACAGAGTGATTTTTTTACTGTCCTGATGAAGAAATAAATTACTAATTCAATCCTTTTCTGGTGATGCAGTTAACTGCCTGGGGTCTCAGTAGCTTCACTTCATTTAACATGAAGAAGTGTAAAACTGAAATACAAATGTTTTCTGGAGGAATCACTCATAATTATTATTTTTTTCAAAATTTAGTAAAAGGTTTTAAACTAAATATAAGGCTGTTAAAAAAACAATGTTATTTTCTAAATAAACTACCTTATGTATTATTACAAAGGCTATAAATTAAAATTACATTTTCTTCTTTATAAACTTTTTTTGCAACTTTGAATTAATCAGGATATACACTTATCGTGTCATTATCAAATGTTTTACATGATTAAAATATTAATAAATTATGGGATTATTTAAATAAATTTTATTGTGCTATAATTCATATACAATAAACCGAATGCTCCCACTGAAAGTGAATAGTTTGGTGAGCCTTAACGAATGTTTATGCCCATATAACCACCATACCAGTTAAGATATGAAATATTGGTTTATGTCCCTCGTGTTCCTTTTTGGGCAGTTACTCCATCCTACCCCAGGTACAAGAGATCTGATTTCTATCCTTATAGATTAGTATTGCCTGTTGTGGAATTTCATATAAATGAACTCATATGGGGTATACACAGTTCTACATCAAAATCTGAAGGTTATTGGTTCCAAGACCCCTGTGGAAATCCCTTATATAAAATGGCATAACAGTTACATGTAACCTATATACATCTTCCCATATATTTAAGTGACCTCTAGATTACTTATGATACCTAATACAGTGTAAATGCTATATAAATTGTTATCCTGTATTTTTATTTGTATTAATCTATTGTTGTGTTTTTTTTTTGTTTTGTTTTCCCTGAATATTCTATTCATGGTTACTTGAACCCTCAAATGCAAAACTTGTGAATACAGAAGGTCAACTATATCCCCTTTATCTGTGGCTTTGCTTTCTGTGGTTTTACTTACCTGCAGCAAACTGTGGTCTGAAACATTTCTGAGGGAGAGGTTCCACATTCACATAATATTTATTAAAATATATTATTATAATTCTTCTATATTATCATTTATTATTGTTAATATCTTACTGTGCCAAATTTATAAATTAAACTTTATTATAGATATGTATGGATAGGATAAACAGTATATGTAGTCATGTGTAGCTTAACAATGGGGATACATTCTGAGAAATGTTGTCCGTGTGTGAACCTCATAGAATGTACGTACACAAACCTAGATGGGATGGCCTACCACACACCTGGGGTACAAGGTATAGTCTATTGCTCCTAGGCTAGAACCCTGTACAACATGTTACTCTACCGAATATTGTAGGCAGTTGTTACACAATGGTATCTGTGTATCTAAACATATCCGAACATAGAAAAGGTACTGTAAAAATAGTGTGTAACAGACAAAAAAGGATACCCTAGTATACAGCACATACCATGAATGGAGCTTACAGGGCTGGAAGATTCTCTGGGAAGTCAAGGAGTGAATGGTGAGTGAACGCGAAAGCCTAGGACATTACTTCACACTATTGTAGGCTTTATAAACACTGTATAGTTGGGATACAACAAATTGATGAAAATTTTCATTCTTTAATAATAAATTGATCTTAGCTTATTGTAACCTTTTTCCATTATGCACTTTAAAATTTTTTAACAGTTTGACTCTTGATGTAACACAGCTAAAAAACACACTGTACAGCTGTACAAAAATATTTTTTATATCCTTGTTCTATAAGCTTTTCTCAATTTAAAGTTTTTTAATTTTTAAACATTTTTGTTAAAAACTAATACACAAACACACAATCAGCTAGGCCTACACTTGCACAGGATCATCATTATCACTGTCTTTCACTTCCATATCTTATCCCACTGGAAGGTCTTCAGGGACAGTAACACACGTGTTGCTGTCATCTCTTATGATAACAAAGCCTTCTTCAGGATACCTCCTGAAAGATGTGCCTGAGGCTTTTTTACAGTTTACTTTTTTTAGTAAGTAGAAGGAGTACACTCTAAAATAACATTAAAAAGTAAAGCATAGTAAACACATAAACCAGTCACCTATTTATTATCATTATCAAGAATTATGTATTGTACATAATTGCATGTGCCGAACTTTTATAAGACTGGCAGTAGGTTTGTTTACACCAACATCACAACAAGTCAGTGAGTAATGCATTGCACTACAATTTTATGTTGGTTGCATCATTAGGCAACAGAAATTTTTTCACTCTGTTATAAGCTTATGGGACCACCATCCCAGGGATACCCAATCTTTTGGCTTCCCTGAGCCATATTGGAAGAAGAAGGATTGTCTTGGGCCACACATAAAATACACTAACACTAACGATAGCTGATGAGCTAAAAAAAATTGCAAAAAAAAACTCATAGTGTTTTAAGAAAGTTTATGAATTTGTATTGAGCTGCGTTCAAAGCCCTCATGGGCCACATGCTGGCTAAGTGCCATGGATTGGACAAGCTTGAATATACAGTTTGTTCTTTATTGAAATGTCGTTACATGGTGTAGGACTGTACTGCAGGGTCAGTAGTATCCATGGTTTCGGGCATTCACTAGGGATTAGATGGAGAGTGAGGACAGGTACTGTACTTTTGTGCCCGCAACTTCTTTCACTTGGGTTACTTTTGAGATTCATTCATGTTATTTGTGTATCGCAGCTTGTTATTTCATATTGCTGACTAGCATCCTTTTTTATAACTATGCCACAATTTAGACATTTGGGCTTCCACTTTGTGGCTATTACTAATAAAGCTACTGTGAACATTCTTGTCTTAGTCATTTTGTTGTTATGGTTTTCTTTCTCTTGGGGAAATGCATACAGGTGTAATTTTGTTGAATCATACCATACATGCATGTTTAACATTAGAAACCATCAAACTGTTTTCTAAAGATGCGATAACATTGTAAACTACCATGAGCAAATTTTTTCATCAGAGAGTTCCAGCTGTTTCACACCATCACCACTTCTTGGTATTGTTAACTTTTAAAAGTTTTAGGCATTCTTATGGTAATGTAGTGGTAATCCCACTGTACTTTTTCCCCAATAATTGTAACTTTTTCCCCTGATGATTAATGATGTTGAACTCCTTTTCATGGACTTATTAACCATTTGTGTCTCTGGTGAAGTGTCTGTTTAATACTGTTACACATTTTAATTGGATTTTATCTTTGTATTATTCAGTTGTGTTCTGTATACATTCTGGCTGCAAGGTATTGGTTAGATTCCAGCCCCAGTTGGGTTCCCAAACAAATGCAGCCATACAAATGACCACAGCTATTTTAAAATAAAGTAGAATAACTGGCCCTTTGAGTCCACCGAACTCATAACATCATGAGATATAATAAATTGTTGCTTAAAAAGGCTTTTGTTGGGTATATGTTACAAGTAAATTACATATGTAATATATACTGTTAATATTTTATCCCAGTCCGCGTTTTGCCTTTATGTCTTCTTAAAAGTGTCCTTTGAAGAGCAGAAGTTTTCATTTTACTATTTTTTACTCCTTTATGGTTAGTGTTTTGTGTGTCTGTGTGCTTGTGTCTAGATATTTGTGTTTCTCTCTGTGTGTATTTTCTGTTGAAGAAATCTTTGTCCTAAGGTTGCAAAGATTTTCTCCTCTTTTTTTACTAGAAGATTTAATACTTCAGTTCTATATTTAGTTCTATTATTCATTTTGAGTTTAACTGTGTGTATGATGTGAGATAAGGTTTGATTTTATCAGACTTTTCAAGACAGTTGTTCCAGTACTATTTGTTGAAAAGATTAATTCTTTCTCCACTGTATTGCCTTGAAACTTCTGTTGAAAATCAGTAGCTATCATATATGTAGGTCTATTTCTGGATTTTCTATTCTAATCCATTTATCTATATGTCTGTACTTATGTGAACTTTACATTGTCTTGATAATTTTAGCTTCATGTTAAGTATTAAATATCCCCCAAATTATTTATTTTTTCTTTTTCAAAATTGTTTTAATGATTCTAGGACTTTTGTATTTCCATATTAAAACATTAGAGTCAACATTTCAGCTTTTACAGAGAACCTGCTGGATTTTTTACTGAAATTACTGATGTTTATAAATTATTTTGAAGGTGAATTGACATATTATTAATATTGAGTCTTCCAATCCATACACAAGGTATATGTCTCTATTTTATAGGCTTTCACTAAAAAGAAATTCCTCTTCATTTATTTATACTTTCAATACTTAATACTTTCTTTAATTTTACTCAACACTGTTTTGCAGTTTTCAGTGCATTTTTTGGATCAAATTTGTGATTAAGTATTTTATGCTCTTAATGTGATTATAAGAAGTATTTTAATTTTAAAAATATATTTCTATTGTCCATTTCCATTGGAGTTCTAAAACTGATCAGAATTTGTCACTGTTTTTCTAAAAAAATTTGAATTGTTTTCTTCATTTACTAAAACTCTAAGGTACTTTAATGAACTAAGACATTTTGCCCTATGCAATCTGGCTCCTGCTGTCCTACTGACCTCCTTGCTCCTCATTTACTCTGCACCAGACACGCTGGCCTCCTTTCTCTTATTTAAGCATGCCAAGGACTCTTCCACCCCAGGGACTTGCTCTTATTTCTTCCTTGAAATGTACCCCTTCCTCTATTCACACAGGATGCTCACTTTCTGTAAGACCTTTCCCAATTACAGTATATAAAAAGGTAGCACTCACACTTGCATGCTCCAGGAGCTGCCTGTCCCCTTACTCTGGCTTGATTTTGTTTTGCAATATTTTATACCATCTCACACTCTCTGCATTTACTTGATTATTTTTACATTTTCTGCCACTCCCACTATAAGCTCATGAGGGAAGGAACTTTGTTTTGTTCACTGCTATATTTATAATAGTACCTGGTGTGTTGTAGTTGGCTGTCAATAAGTACTAGAATGAATGGGCTTCATGGACCAACAAAGAGAATGATTTTAGAGATAGAAGCAAAAATCAGACTGCTTTAGGTTGCAGAATGGCAAGGCAGTAGAGGAAATGATGGTTAGTGAGGAGTTCTCTTTGGAGGGGCTTGTTTGATGAGAGTATCTGGATAAAGTGGCAGCCGCTTGGCGAGATAATAGATTAGAAAGTTTGTTGCTGCTTAATGCTTAATGCTTTAACTATAGAAGAGACTAAACATATTTATTTAAGAAGCCCAGCAGTTTCTCTCAATAAAACTAAATTGAGTTATCCTAAGTGTCCAAATAAATGGGGAATTTTCACGCAAGTTGGACCAGTGGTCCATAGAGTTATGGACTCCATAACTCTAATATCCAATTCTTGTCATTCTTCTTTCCATTAAAGCTTACTCATCTCTGCTGTCCTGGTGTGGGGGATGGGAGGGTCAGTGCTTCCACTTTTACCCTGGCCCACAATCATTCATTCATTATCACCAGCTGAGACCAGGATAGTCAGCATAGTAGAGCCATGGTTCTCAAACGTATTTAGGGACAGGGCAAGCTCAAAAGCTTAGAATGAGGACAATCCATGATGGTGTCTCTATTCTTTCTTTGACTAGTCATGCTCCTTAATTCTCTGAGCCCATGTCCCACATCTATAAATGGGGGTATAATAAGGCCTTCTCCATAGAGCTATTAAGAAAATTGTTAGAAAATAGAGTTAAAGCATAAAATTTCTAGTGCCTAATAGAAGTTCTTTAATTGGTCTCCACGTTTATAACATTTTTAAGGTGAACATTAAATTCTGATACGTCAAGTTCTATCATTCAAATTTCGACAACACAAATTATCTGTTTAATTATCTAAGTTACTTAAATACTTTATTTCTTTGAAATGTTTAATATGACTAACTTTGCAAACTGAAGCATAATATAAAATTGAAACCAATGTTTCCATAAAGAAAGCAACCTTCTGAATTCAGCGGAAGCTGAAGTTTGGGATTAATATTCTTTTTTCAAAAAATATTTTATTTACTTTGTTGCCTGTTAATAGCACTAACATATAAGCAGGAAGAGGTACCAAAAGTTTTAAGATAAGCGTTAAGGTCAAGAGAACTTAAACTATAGAAAACCCTATTAATCACGTAATTTAATTGTCACTTTAGAATAGATGTTATTTATTTTTCAGTAGTCCAGCATGAAGCACAAAAGGGCATTGCAGCAGCATGGCTCAGTCATTTTCTTTTTGGTTTTTTAACTTTTTTTAAATTATTTTTTATTGAGACAAGGCCTCATTCTGTTGCCCGGGCTACACTCACTGCAACCTCTGCTGCCCTGGTTCAAGCGATTTTCCTGCCTTAGCCTCCCTAGTAGCTGGGATTACAGGCTCCTGCCACCCTGCCTGGCTAATTTTTGTATTTTTAGTAGAGATGGGGTTTCATCATCTTGGCCAGGCTGGTCTTGAACTCCTGACTTTGTGATCCACCCACCTTGGCCTCCCAAAGTGCTGGGATTGCAGGCGTAAGCCACCTTGCCCAGCCAGTCATTCTTACGTTCATGTGCGCATCAGCATCAGCTGGAGGGTTTTTTAAAACAGAATCATCATCCTGACTCCCACAGTTTCTGATTCCATAGGTCTGAAGTGGGAAGCACAGATTTTCATCTCTAGCAAGTTTTCAAGCAATGTTGCTGATCTAGACCCAAGGAAATGGTTCTCAGTCTTAGAGGCACACTAAACTCACCTGCAGAAGTTTCGTTGTTTAAGTACAGATTCCTTCCCTATCTAAAACATAATCCTGGGGGTGGTGCATTGGGATCTATATATAATTTTTTAAAAACTGCCTAGATAGTACCAATGATCACTAAAGTTTTACTGTTATTGTTCTAAGATAGTGGATCACAAACTCTGCTACCTATAAAAACTGGGAAGGTTTTAGAGCTAGTGATGCCAGAGTCCTACACTCACAGTTTCTGATTAAAATTTTCTAGGGTATATCATGAGCAATAGAATTTTTAAAAGTAACCATTTGATTTTTAATTTTAAGAACTATTGCTCTCAATTTTTAACTTGTTCTTTCATATTAGGCTGTTTTCTTGCCATATGCCTATTTTTGATGGCCTATACATATTTGTTTAAAAATCTATTGTGTGCAAGATGTTATGGGAAGTATAATATAAAATATAAAAGGATACAGGTAAGAGGTTTTCCCCAAGTAGACCATAACCTAATTGAGGAAGTTAAGGGATACTGACATGAAGGTAACTAGAAATGTAGAGGTATCTGGAATTAACTCTGAATGAAAAGATTAGAAAATGCTTATAAGTAAATTTAATATCTCTATCCTGGCTAACTGAAGCTTTGAGGTTACCTGTTTTCTAGACTTCAAGTATATAAAATTGAAAGTGTGAGATACCAATAGCATAAAAATTATTGATTAGACGTTGAAATCTATTAAAAGATACAGAATTAGTTTTAATAATAGTAATTTTGATAACATAGTTTTTCTTCCAATGACATCCACAGTTGAAAGAGAGTTTCTTTTTATTAGTACATAATAATTGTACATACTTATGGGGGTACATGTGATAG